>NC_000018.10:43334688-44546429 GCF_000001405.40 Homo sapiens | reverse complement strand
GGAACAGCACCAAAAGGATGGTGCTAAACAATTCATGAGAAATTTACACCATGATCCAATGACCTCCCACCAGGCCCCACCTCCAATATTGAGGATTATGTTTCAACATGTGATTGGGGTGGGGACACTTCCAAACTGTATCAGGGGATAAGCCTACGGCGACTTCAGCACATGTGAAACTAGAAAATCATAAAAATTAGAATTCATGTATGCATTTACACATGAGATATTGTTGAAGGCCTACTGTGGTAATAGGTTCGTGCAAAAGTAATTACCATTTTTGCTATCACTTTTTAATGACAAAAACCTCAATTACTTTTGCACCAACCTAATATGTACATCAACACTCACTACATTGGGCAATTATACACTGAAATAATTGCTGAGGATTAGAAGGAAAAGCCTGGAAGAAGATTCAAAACTTCAATAGAGTTTGTAACATATATAGATTTAAACTTAATATAATTTGGAAGTAAAAAAAGAAGAGTGAAGGACATATGTTCCAAACACACACTATCATTTCCATCTTCATAAACATAACTGTAGACCACATAATAAAAATGTCTCCCCTGGACCACTGCATAGACTACTTGTCTCCTGCCTTCCACTGTTGTTGCATCAACAGTCTATTCTCCATACAACAGCCAGAGTGTACTCTTAAAAAATGGAAAACCTGGCTCACCAACTCATATTGCTTGCCACCTCACCGAGGACCCAGCCAGGATCTTAACCTTGACTTTTAGGCTCCAGATATTCTATGTCCGGCCACACCTCCAACCTCATTTTTTCCCCTTTACCCACTACCCTCAGCCACATTCACCTGCTGGCTATAGTGGGGCCACAAGAAGCTTATTCTCACTCTGGGGCACAGCTGTTCTCTCTGCCTGAAATCTTTCTTTCAAGCCTCTGCATGGCTGGCTCTTTCATTATTTAGGCCTTAGTGCAAATGGTACAGCTTCAGATAGTCCATTCCTAATCACCCAGGCTAGAATAATCCCCTCCTTGCCCATGACACTTTCTATTGGCTTATCCTGTTTTATGTTCTTCATAGTACTTTTCATTTTTCATTTCTCATTTGCATGTTCACAAATTGTCAGTCTCTCTACCAGAATGGAAACTCCTTAAGGGTAGGAACTTTTTCTGCTTTGCTCACAGCTGTTTTGCTGAAACCTAGAAGAGACCCTGCCTCACAGGTGATAAGCATTAAATAAATATTTTCAGACTCTTGTGGGTAAGTACATATGTGTGTATCTGAACTATAAGTAGAAAGAAAAGGAAGTTGCCAAGACAGAGGAGAAAGGCTTTTTGGAGAACAAGATCACAGAGTGATCAAAGGGATATAAGGGAATAGAAATATGTATTGTGTATAATATTATATAATATATAATGTTAATTATAATTATATATTATATAATATATAGTATATTATAATTATATAATATATGATATATATAATATATAATTATATAATATATATTATATATATCATATATATGATATATTATATAATATATATTTTATATATATAATATATAATATATAATATATTTATTATATATAAATATATATTTATATATAATATATAATATATATTATATATTATATATAATATATTATATATTTTATATAATATATAATATATATTTTATATAATATATAATATATAATATAGTATATAAAAATATATAATATATTATATATTATATATAATAAATTAATATATTATAATAATATAATAATAAAATAATAATATAATGATATATAATATAATAATAAAATAATATATATTATATGTAATATAATATATTATATATTATATGTAATATAATATATTATATATTATATGTAATATAATATATTATATATTATATGTAATATAATATATATTATATGTAATATAATATATTATATATTATATGTAATATAATATATATTATATGTAATATAATATATTATATGTTAAATATATAATATATGTTATATAACATATAATATATTAATATAATATATAATATATTAAATATATATAATATAATTACATAATATATTAATATATTATATATAACATAATTATATATAATGCATTATATATAATATAATATGTTATATATAACATTATTATATATAATATATTATATATAACATTATTATATATAATATATTATATATAACATTATTATATATAATATATTAATATAATATATAATAGAATATATATAATATATTATATATAATTAATATATAACATTATTATATATTATATGTATAAAACATAATTATATACATAATTATAAGATTTTAATATATATCTTATAATTATATATTATAATATATATATTATATTATATATATTATAATATATATATTATATAATATATAATATATAAAATATGTATAATATTATATATTATTATATATAAAATACCTCATATACATACACACAGAAAAAAGTTCAGTTTAAATGACTACTTAGTATAGCCAAAAAGATGATAGAGTAATAGCTGTGGGAGATGTTATGAACAAGTTTGAATTTCACCAGAAAGTGAGAATATGTTTCAACATAGAGGACCATTTTGAATTCTCTGAGATAGAAAAGGATTGAATTGAGAGGGGGGTTTGTACTTAAAAACCAACAAATGGATTAAGGGACATTTTATTTTTATTATTATTATTCTAAAGACAATAGAATATAATGATAAAAATTTCAAGTTCTTAAGTCAGACAAGCCAGGTAGGGAATTTTATCCCTACCACTAAAGATTGCAAGTAAAGACAAGCTACTTAACCTCTCTAAGCATCAGTGTCCTCAAGCATTATATGTGGAGAAAAATGAGATCTACTATGTAGTGATTGCAGGAATAAAATAAGACAATAAATGTAGAGTATTTAGCATAGAGTGTAGCGCTTAGTATTCAGTAGAAGATACGTATTCTTATTTTATATGATGCACCAATATTTTAAGGCATCTGCTATGGCACAGGAACTAAAGAGACAGTGTTTGAGCTAAGAGTAATTAGGAGTATTTTTCAGGAATTCAGATATGGAGTTTAAAGTTTATGTAGGATGTTGGATATTGAAATGGAACATAAATAAGAAAACTCAGAGATAGTGTGAAGTCAGAAACAACTGGTTTCTATGTCAAGATTCATATTAAAATGTGAAAACCTGGTGGTAATACTATTGACTGAAAGGAAACTTTGAGAGTATTCTTTGAGCTACGAGTTACCATAAAAGTGTTAGTTATTATTATGTTGCCTACTAAATTATGATCTTCTGGAAATAAGGAAGGGCTTGATTCTGGAATGTGTCACCCATTTCCAAGTAAGAGTACATACCAGAAAATTATTGATGGGTCTCATTTCATGCACAGTTCTGCTCTGAGGAACTGAGAAGCAATTCTGTCTTCTTTGTCAAGGTCTGGAGGCTATAGAGACGGGTCACAATTCCTTGATACTCCTGAATGAAAGTCTTTGATTACATCTTCAAGTTCTGGTTCTTTCTTTTGGCCAAGATTTACACTATCCAAATGGAATAAAGACTGGAGATATTGTTTATGTAATTTTTGCTTCAAATCTGATTTATTCCTAATGTGGCTTTGTCATTAAAAAAAGACTGAAGGAATTTTATTTGCATTACCTGAAAGCTTTTAGATTAAAAGATATTATATTCCTATTTATCAGGAATATAGCAATATTTTATTACTAGTAATTTTATACTGGTAAAATTATATTAATTTTATAGTAATGTGAATACAGAAATGTGTGGGTATTTCTTTTTTCCTGTAAAAATCATGCAAAATTAGGGGGAAAGGACAATATATATGCAATTAATAAATTATCCCCCTCTCAATTTATATTATATTTATATAATCTTAAAAGAAAAATTTGGACTTTACAACAGTCTTGTAACATGGAAATTTTTTTTTGTTGTTGTTGGTTACAATATGTTAAGCTGCAGTAAAGAATAGTCCCTAAAATTTCAGTGGGTTGAACAATAATAACTGTCTAGGGCTGGTGCTTAGGTTGACACCAGCTTAAAAGAAAAGAGCTTAGGGTGGCTCTTTTCTACACAGAAATTCTGGGGCTCAGATCAATGGCAACTCTGACATTTTCCACCTGTAGGCTGCTAAGACAGTTCTAGTGTTGCCATCAGTTGAAAGGTGGGAGAACATGCAGGCAGTTTTCATTGACCAGGTGTGAAGGTGTAGGTGGCACAGATATCTCTATTCCCATTCCATTGGCTTAGATTTCAGTCAAATGACCACAGATAACTGCAAGGCAAGTTTGAAAATGAAATTTCCCTGTGTTTCTGGGAAAGATAGGAAATGGAGAGTGATGAATTGCCAATAGGCGCTACTACAGTCTTTTCTGTATTTATCAGAAACATAATATTCATGAATGCTCAGACAATTGTAAGATTACTTACCTAACCAGTTTGACATGTAGCTGGGTTTAGGACCTTGGCAAACAGTCTTATAATTTGGCTTATTTATTTATTTATTTTTCTGAAACAACATGTACTGAGGAGGGCAGGAGCTCACATGTCTTTTATGATATATTTTTCCAGAAGCAGATGGTTAGATGATATGGTCAGTAAATGTTTTTGAAGATTTCCTTTTCATCTCATGAAATGACACCCCTTTTTCCATACCTTACTATTTTTCCAGGTTCTTATTATAATACTTCAGTCACATTTTGTAGAAAGCACTGATGAATAGAAACAGTTTCCCAGGAGAACTATTGATTCTGAGTGGCTGTTGATTTTTTACAGCTTGTAAGACATTTAATAGCTACCCAGATGTTTTTGTTGGTTTAAGACAAATCACCGCAGATCTAAAGTGACTTTAATTTTTCATTAAACATGAAACAAAGACAAAATTTAACACTTAAAAATTATTCAGCATTGATTTTCCATTGTTCTTTAGACTTCACAATTTTAAATCAGGGAACAAATATGCCAATAAACAATATTTATCAAACGTCAGGACGGAATCTCTTCTGTGCCTGTGGAGGAATTGACAGACACTTAACAAGCTTTCAAGGAATGAATGACAGTCTCCTGGTGCAGACAAGACCAAGTTATGACAGAGCTGGGGTTGTGCAAAACCCCATGTCTCGTTCTAGTCTTGGTTGTGATGTATTATGTAAACTTGGACAAGTGATGTATTTTCTTTGGCTGCAGACTTCTTATTTATAAAAAGTGGAGTGTCGGTCAAGATGAACTTTAAGTGTTTTTAAAGTTCTAACATTTTCCAAGTCAAGAATTAAAGAGACATGGGTTATATTACATAATTGGTCTTTGATGAAAATAGGGCAATATAGTCAGGAATGGCCTAGGAAAATCTGTCAGGAGGATATAGGATTTAAGCAGGGCCTTGAAAATTAAGAAAATACAGAGAAGGGAAAGAGCATTAATTTTAGAGCAAGAAGCATATGTACAAATTAATTTATAGTTGCAAGAACTATTATGTATATACTAGATGCTAGGTGCTGTGGATATAGGGTAAATGTGACAAATTTGGTGCCTGCTTTATGGAGATTATAGTCTAGCAAATAAAGTGTTAAGACAATGACCATCATGCACATTTAATAGTGATCCATTTTGCTTCTTTAAATAGAATGTTAATGTGGGAACAATAAGAGATGGAGTTGGATGTATGGAGGGTACCTAGTGATGAAATTCTTAAATCCCAGCTGAAAGAGAGGTTTGGTCTTTTAGTATAGCCTGCCATAGAAGATTTCTGAATTGAGATGAGATATGATAACAGGAATATTAAGGTAAAATCGACATGTGAGATGAGTTGGAACACCTTTTCCTTGAATTTTTATTTAACATTTTGACCTGACATATGCAGGTCAAATTGTTGCATTAGAGCTTACATATGCAGAGTTACTCAGAGATATACGCACTGCCTCCAGTGGTCTCAAATCACCTCTTGGGTTCCCTCTTTACCCATCATCACTTAACCACCAACCCATGACTGATAATTTAAAACTTGGTCAGTATTAGGCCTGCTGTTTGCAATCTACGGATGTGGCTCAGTAGGCAATTGCAATTGGCTAACACAAGCAGATTGATCCATGTCACTGAGTGGGACTGCACGTGTTTCACGGCAAAGATTAGAGAGTGATTCAGCATTCATGAGAAAATGTAGCAACAAAAGGTTAGTGGAACAGTCCTAGGAGTGGAGCCATATTGGGAGCAATTGCAGAAGGAAATGGTCTGGATTTATTATCTACATTAAAGATATTGTGGGTCCCATGGATACCAGGAGTGTCATGGAGACCCAGCTAATAGGTTTTTTATTGGATTATTGTCAGGCTGCTGCACCTGCTTTGAGAAGGAACGTTTGCTTCATTTTCTGGCAGAGGCTACAAGCTGCGAAGCAGAGAACAATCACTGGGGTTGGAAATGGAACTGATTGTTTTTTAGAACTTTTGCAAGGCTTGCTGGGCTGATCTCCCAACTATGGAAGTAGATGAGAAAACTAAAATTCCAGAAAATAGAAAATTTAGTTTGGGAGCTCACATTTTGTTTTGGATTCATGATATTCACATAAAAGAAGATTGTCTGGATAAGGCCCTGAGACACTAACTGTAGTCAGCCAACCAATTATGAGCCCTTAAGATTCTTCTCCAGGACTCTTCATCTAACTCACTCACATGCTGACTTTTTTTTTTCCTTGGACTAAATTTGGTCACTGTTTTCATGTTTTATAGACAGTCAAGGTGCAGTGTAGGCATGATTTATTTTTGGAATTTTGGGGTTAATATGAATAGAGGTTCTGTGCAGTTGGAAGTCTGAAGCATGTTCGGTAATTCTTGCTTTGGTCTAGAACAATTACAAAAGTAATTCTAGTTTTTGGTCTACTTTAGTAATTCTAAGAGGTACTCATCTAAATTATGTAATCACCTCAGTGAAGTGATAGTTCAAGTATCACATACTTTTTTTCCTCTACTAAAGAATTATTATTATAATCCATTGACTGAATGAATGAATAAGAAAGTCTGTGATAAGCCACAGTGCAACTGAGATTGGCAGCTCCAGATCATTACAATGTAAAATATATCTATATAGTAATGATAAACAGACACTGATTGTTTTTTAATCATTTTGATGCCTAGCCACAAACCAGTGACTTGTGCCTGAAAGTGGCTAATTTTGAATAAGGCATTAATACACTCATATTTATGGCTTCCATGGGTTATCACGTAGCAGTAGGTAGTCTCTCAGATTTCTAGCTCCTGAGGCTCTTTTTGCTTTTGGGGAAGGCTTCAGATAACTTGTGCATGAAAGACATGTACTCTTGGAATTACTGTTCTATGGAATGATCTGTTGTTCAGGCAGGTGATTCTACCTCACTTTGCTCTTTGCTCTAAATGTCCCAAGACATTTAGAATGATGGAGCTATTGAGCTTGAAATTATACCAGAGCTTCCTTGCCCAAGTAGCCATTAGAAAAGTGATTCCAAGAAGACTCCTTGTAATGACAAAGCCAAGTTCACCTTCAGGGCTTCTAACTCCTGGTTCAGTATGGTTTCTACTATGCAATTTGCTTTGCTACTTTTTCCCAAACATAAACATCTTTCTCCTCATGGCCATCTATGGGGTGACCAACTCATTTCAGTTTACTCAGGATTTTCCTGGTTTTAGCATTAAAAGTCCCGTGCCCCAGGACTCACCTTAGACCAAGCCAAACTGGAATGGCTAGTCACCCTAAAAATGGATGTGTGTGATGTCACCATTATATTTATTCCAAATTGCTTGTTATTCCAGAGGGTAAAGTATCTATTTTGTTTCTGTGCCTTTGTGCATATTGCTTCTTCAGCTTCAAATGCCTTCTTTGTTTCATGATGAGCTTCTCCTTATTTATAAATAGTCTGACCATCACTTCCTCGGCAAATATAATCTATTTTTTGGAAATTTTCATGTAGCCCTCATCTGTTTTTTCATAATTAAAACACTTTTAATATCACCATTAAAACACTTCATTGCATAATGTTGCGATTATTCACATTTCTTTCCTTTGCTTGTCTAAGAGACTCTTGAACTTGAGAACAGAGACCACACCTTATTCATCTTTGTCCTTCCAGCACCTAGCTCAGGCCTGATATATATTAAGTGCTCAGAAAAAGTTAATGACAGATGAAGCATATTAATTTGAATTCTGATACTTCCATATTCCCCTTTTTCTTTCTCATGTTTCCTAGTAACGAGTGGTCTCCTAAGTTAATCTCATTTCCCTTGCCCAAAGATTTACATTTTATTCTTTACATTTTATTAAATGTAAATAAGGTGGTTCTTAAAATACAAAAGGGCTTTTAAGAATCACAGTAATAAATACTTTTTTAAGTTTAAAATTTTAGAAACTTTGAATTGACACTAGTGGGGATATCTTGGAGCAAGATACCTACTGCTCAAGTCGCTCTAGGGTAGGAAATTACCTAATCTGACTTCTTCTGTAGCAGGTACAGGTGAGTAGAAGGAATATATATATATATATATATATATCACTCATGACAGGTAACCACTTTCAGCATCCCCAGGCAAGCATACAGGAGCAGGCTTTCTGGCTTATGGTCTGCATGGAGCCCATCTGTCTGCTTATTTGGAATTGCTCCTACAAATACAGTGAGATGCCCAGGGGGCCAGCATTGCAATGTGACTCATTGGAATGGCTCTGACTCACAACTTGGGATCACAGGCTCCTAAACTGGCAGACCAGCTTTGGAGTGGTGCCTTGAGGGCTGTTTCCAATTTGTTATTTGTTAAACCTGAGTTTTCCTGCTGACGTGACTAGTGAGAAATTAACACAGTTACTTTGGTGTATTCTTTGCAATTATATGCTATTCAATGTGTAGAAACATTACGGGACTGGGAGTTAAGAGGTTTGCATTCTTCTACCAAACCTGCTACTGATTAGTTCTGTGGCTTGTGGCAAGTGGCTTCATTTTCCTAGGTCTAAGTTTATTTATAAATGTAAGTGATTGACACTGCTTTACTTTTGTCCCTAGTATCTTCATATATATACGTACACACACACACACACACACATAAATTGTAGTAAGAGGATTTAACAGAAGATCTACTCCTTTGACAAAATTTTAAGTGCACAGTATAGTATTGTTAACTTTAGTCACAATATTGTACAGCAGATCTCTACAACTTCTTCATCTTCCATAAACTATATATGGAAACTATATATCCATTGAGCAACAACTCCCATTTCTCCCTACTTCTAATTCCTGGAAACTACCATTTAACTCTGTTTCTATGAGTTTGATTTTAGATATCTCATATAAGGAGAACCATGTAGTATTTGTCCTTCGGTGGTGGCTGGCTTATTTCACTTAGCCTTATGTCCTCCAGGTTCAGGTTGTCACATACGAGCAGGATGCAAAACCTCTCTCATTTCATCACTTGATATATCTCTGGGTCACAGACACTTTTAAAGATGAGTATCATGAACACAAAGCTGCAGTGCTCCCAGAGGTCACCTCACATCCTTGAGCATGTTACCCTATCAAATTGAAAAACTCTAAGAGGAAGGAAAGAGCCTGCACCTGATTATTGCTCCACTAAGCTCTCTAGCCACATGTCGACTACTGACCTTTGTAATCAGTGCTGCCTGAGCTGTTCAGTATATTCTCTGGACAAGTGAGCAGGTGGATGTTAAGAGCCTCCTCACTGATTGCACTGCCTGTTAACATGGTGTATGCTCTGGTGAGTGCCTGCTCTTAGGGAAGGGAAGGATCTCAGCAAACTCATGGAAGAGATGCATGGGAAGGAAACTGCACTAAGGGTCAAGAGCACCAGTGTCTAACTCCTTCGAACCCGTGCAATCGTTGTGTGCCTTCAGGGAAATCATCCAGCCTAGGGGGCACTCTATTCCAAATAAAGCATGTAATGCATGTGGCACAAGCTTATCAGGAGATTAAGGAGATATAAAATTCACCAGGAGAAAAGTTAGAATGCACAGGGAAACATTCATTTCTATTATAAGAAATCCAGAAGTCTTTTAACATCCCCCCAAATTCCCCAGCTGAAATTTAAACAAGCAGATGTTGTGAGATCTGAAATACATCATAAGTAAGAAAAAAATTACTCTTTGGGCTCAGTAACAGTTCCAATTCAACTCCTCCATTCTTTATGATTCATCATTGTGTGTGGAGTGCCAAGACTGGACTGGACTCTGTAAGCCACAGAAGGATTTAGGTCCTTCTGACTAGTTTTAGGAGACTTGGAAACTATCTATCCCAGAAACCCCAGGTGTTCAGGAGGAAATGCTTTCCAGGCATTAAAAATTCCTTGAGGGCTTGTTCGTTGTTGCTGTTTTAATTGCTTCCTCTCTCTTTCCTTTTGAAAATACTTTAGTAGGGACATCCTCAGATGGGAGATTTTCACAGGGATTTAAATAAAGAGAACATGCCTTAGGAAGGATAGTGTGGATAAAGGATTTGAAGAAAAGAGTAAGCTAGTTTATATCAGAGCAGGTCAGAAGACTTGGTACCCATCGTCAGTCCAAAACTCAGTGCCCCAGAACAAAAACTCCTGCTCTGGCCATTCGGGTCACATATACAATGTCAAGGCATGGGAAGGCCAGTGTCAGCAGTTCTACCACCCGTGGAATGTCTTTTGCCACCCAAACCCAACATGAAGCCATAGTTGACATAGTTAACGCTCAACATCACCAAACCAAACACTTCCTCTTTCCCTCAAAACCCACCTTTCCCATCTTGAAGAATAATGCCAATATCTACCTAATCTCTTACATCAGACACCTGGCAAGGTTTTAAGACTCTTTCTTTATACTTCATAACTACCTGTTTACCTTAATGCCTCTTTTCTTTTTGCTTCTTTCTATTCTCAGTGCAGTCAACTTAGGTCAGGAGCTATTTGTAATTATTTTGACTTAGATTACTGCATGACTGGGAACGGAAGTGGGGAACAAATTAGAAACATTCTACTCTACACCATCCCCTTCACATCCCTGATTTCATGGAGTTCTCAGACAAGTCTACAAAGGAAGAAGGTAGTTATGCCTCCCCTTTCTGTGATTATACTGATAATGAAATTAATGCTCTTTAAGCATTAATCACGTGCTAAGCACTGTGCACCATTCTACACTTAGAACCTCACTGCCTCATGATGTGCCCCTTTACATTGCTGCCACACTGAGTCTTGTATTCCGTTTTTCTGTGTTTCCTCTTGTCATCTTTCCCACACCCTTGCCGTTCCATGGGTTCCTTCTACAATCTGGCTCCTATTCCTTTCCCACCTTGGTGCCACGTCCCAAAGCATCTCTATTTACTATCCTCAGGACTTCCTTTTTCTTCCTCTTTCTCTTATACTCACACCACTAACTCTTGCTTTTTGTTAACATTTTTGTTCTTGTTCATTTCCTCCCAGGAGTCTTCCCCATCTTCTCTCTCTCTCTCTCTGTCTCTCTCTGTCTCTCTCTCTCTCTCTCTATATATATATACACACACACACACACACACACATATATATGTACATATACATATAAAATTTTTTTTTGAGACAGAGTCTTGCTCTGTTGCCCAGGCTGGAGTGCAGTGGCACAATCTCAGAGTGCAACCTCCACCTCTGCAGTTCAAGCAATTCTTGTGCCTCAGCCTCCCAAGTAGCTGGGATTACAGGAGTGCACCTCCATGCCCAGTTAATTTTTGTGCTTTTAGTAGAGATGAGGTTTCATCATGCTGCCCAGGCTGGTCTCAAACTCCTGGACTCAAGCAATCCACCCACCTTGGCCTCCCAAAGTGCTGGAATTACAGGCATAAGCCACCATGCCTGGCCTCCTCCCTCTATATTCTCACTGTTATTATAGATATCTGTTATTTGCTCTACCTGAGAGCCACCTTGATTTCGTGTCATTACCTTGATGTTTTTGTTTTTGAGGAACTGCCTATTCCCTAATAGAAGCAGTCTGAACAGGGTATCTGTAAGGTGAGTTGGTCTTCTTGGAAAAGGAGTCAGCCTAGGACAGAGGTTGAGCAGCCAGGGCCCTCTCTTTGGTATTTGTCTTGAAATGGCACGTGGAACCAGACATGATTGGACCTTGTTCTAATAATTCTTGCTTTTTGGATCTCAGAAACAGACTTTGCTCCTAGTTTTCTGAGGCCTGTTTTGGATCTCCTGAGGCTTCTTTCAGCCATTCAAATAATCCAACCTCTCCCTCTTTGGGTCTAAGTAAGCCAGAACTTACTTATGCTGTTTGCAAAGAACTCTGATCAACACAGGGGCCCTCTTGTGAGCAAAACCCACATGCTCTGCTTGTTCTACCATATCCCACATTACATTCTGGTCAGCAGAGCTCAGTCCAACTCACTCTCCCACTCGACTGCAATTCTGCCCCTAGACAGTGAACTCTGTGAGGACATGAACAGTGCTTTGTTCATCTTTGTGTCACTGGTAATTGGCCAGCAACTTGCATAAAGAAAATGCTTAAAATTTAATTAGTGAGTGAACCCATGGAAAAGAAAGACTATGTGACTATGAGATGGAATGGGAGTTTGAAGAGGAAGACTTTGGAGAAACCGGATACAAATCAGAAACTCATTCAGGGGATGGAGAAGGAGGTCTTGTCCATGACATGTGGAATATGAGGAGTAGAGGAATCACTTTGAGATCATGAGACACAGTGAGGCAAGTTTAGGATAGATCAGTAGTCATTCCACTAATGACTACTTCATAACTACCTATTCACCTTAATGCCTCTTTTCTTTTTGCTTCTTTCTATTCTCAGTGCAGTCAACTTAGGTCAGGAGCTATTTGTAATTATTTTGACTTAGATTACTGCATGAATGGGAATGGAAGTGGGAACAAATTAGAAACATTCTACTCTACACCATCCCCTTCGCATCCCTGATTTCATGGAGTTCTCAGACAAGCCTACAAAGGAAGAAGGTACTAATGCCTCCCCTTTCTATGAAACACAAAAATTAGGGAAGTAATCTTATGTTCTTATTTCTAGAGAGGAAATGCATTGAATATATGAAAGATTTTCGAAAGACTATATAAATACCCAGGTGACGAATCAATAAGGGATTTCTAAGGAAGTTTGGAGAAGCTGGAAGATTTTCTGCCTTTTGAGGTTGCAGTGATGCAATCAATCCCTTGTTTGCAGAGGTTTAACCCTGGGCTGCTGCCATCAAATGGTAGGTTAGAGCCTTGTGTGCAGAGGCTGTGGCCACATAGTCCCAGGAGCTCTGCTTGGGTAGACCAATGCCAGCAGGCCTGGTGTGGCCCTCTCTTGAGTTTATTCATGTATACTAGATCCAGAGGGCACATTGGAAGCTCTATTCTACTACTTTTCAAACAGTGAAGGGAGTCCTTGTATTCCTCAGGGGTCTCTCAGTTCGTTCACTCCACCATCCCTTCCCAGGCCACCTTCCTACATGTGCTTGCATCAGTCAAGCAGCAAGGATTCAGAACCCTCAGGAATTTAATGAAGTTTAATGGCTCCTTTTTTATTTTTGTAACTATGTTCTTACACAAATTCTCCATGGAAAGCATTTTCTTCAAGCATGGTTTCCTAGAAAGAGCATTGGCCGAGCTGTGGCCTGAACTGATTGAATAATTCATTTTACTTCTTAGAGTCTCAGCTTCCCTTTCTGCAAAAATGGATAATAATAAGTGGGCTACTATCTCATGTATTTGTAGGTAAAGTTCAAAGAGATAGATAATGGGAAAACTTTATGGAAGCAAAGATGTTATTATTGTCATTGTTATTTCTACTCCCACACTCCCACTCTGATCTGAGTTTATAGCACCCATCTCCTTCAACATTTTATTGTTGAAGATGCATTGCTAACCTGGTGAAACAGACAGGAGAGAACAGAGACTATCTAGGAGTCATAGTCTTCTTCTCCTTTCCAGTTCTTTTCACCAATATAGGCCAGGGACTATTGTCACAGAATCTGCAGAAAGTCAGTTCTGAAACACCTTTCTAGACTCAGCTTTTTTTATTGCCTTTGAGTGTAAGCTGAGAGTAAGTCCCATCACTTCCATCAGCTCATTTAAAACAAAAATCTCTGCCCTATGTCTTTCTTGACTTGGGGAAATAATCTTGAAAGAGCTCTATGATATATGCTCATGTTATTAGAGGTTTATGGTTTTAATTAATTAGTATCTTTGTCTGTATTAGGGCTGCTATAACAAAAGTGCCATACTGGATGGCATGAGCAACAGGAATGTGTTGCCTCACAGTTCTAGGATTCAGAAGTCCAACATCAAAGTGCCAGCAGGGTTGGTTCCTTCTGAGGCTGTGACAGAGAATCTGTTTCATCCCTCTCTTAGCTTTTGATGGTTTGCTGGTAATCTTTGGCATTCCTTGGCTTATAGATCTTTGCCTTCACCTTCACCTGCATGCTCCGTGTGTGCATGTTTGTGTTCACATTTCCAATTGTATAAGGACATCAGTTGTATTGGATTAGGACCCACCCTACTTCTGTATGACTTCCTTTGAACTAGTTATATCTGCAATGGCCCTATTTCCAAATAATATCACATTATGAGATCCTGGGGCTGAACTTCAATATATGAAGCTTGGAGGGACACAAATAGACCGATAACATTACCTACCATCATAATTATCATGTTTGTGAGAAGTGGATTTGCAGAGGTGCTTGGACTCCCAGGGTCTAGCTTTGACATGGCCTCTCTAGTGTTCAGAGGAAAGAGAATCAAAGCTGCTCCATTGTGACATCACAATGCACTTTTCTTTGTGCATTCACACGATGCATTTTCTTTTCTTATCACCAAACTGTTTTGAAAGATAAAAGTACTTCCTGAATATGTGGATGGTGAGCCACGTGAATGGAAGACATGGAGATATGGACTGTTAACACCTTGTCAAACATTTATTGTCCCTTCCACCTCTAAACTTCTGTGATAATAGGTGAACAGGACCCACGTGGTGCAGAATACTGCGATACACACTGCGGAATAATTCAGGTGAAGTTTATAAGCCACGTTTAAACTGCCTTTCATAACCTCTAAAATGAAAATTATAAAGAGTACTGTTGTATTTTTATGCTAACATGCATTGGGAAGCTGTGAGAGTTAATCTCTTCTTTTTCCCCTTCCTTTTTAGAATATTGTAGTTATCTCCTACTTAGAAGTCTCTGTAGCCCCAAGATGCCAGATATTGCATCTGCAGAAAGGAAAATTGAAATCAACGTGCCCAGTGGGTCCAGAACTTGACAGCCTGACAGCAAATTGTAGCCTTTAGCTTTTGCCTTGAGTTATTGTAGGCAGGAACATCAGTGGGAGAGTGTGTGTGTTTTCTCTTTCACAACACAATTTATGGAGGTGGTGTGATTGCCACAATGAACATGTTTGAATGGGTGATTTAAACAATTTTCCATATGAGAATGATGGCTGTGAGTGTTAAGCATGTTGATGATTGCATATTTTGTTTGCTTTCATCAAAAGTTCCTTACAAATTCACTAGAGAAGGAGCATCGACAGGATGCAGGATAGGAAACAGATTGTATATATTATCAAGGTAATGATTACCAACACATACTTCAAAAAATAAAAGTGTAAAAAGCACTAAATATGTCACAAATAACTCTTGCCTAAGTGTTTTGTGGAATGGGTCAGAGCAAAAACAAAGCAAAAGAACAAATACATGAGCAAATAAATAAAATGAAACATTATAAACACTTGCAAAACACACCCATGGATTCATAGTCATGTTCGTTTCTCCCTTTCTTCTATTTCACATCTATCATAACCTTCCCTGTATAATCTTTGGTCTAACGTTGGCAAGAGCAGTCTGGAAACCCAGGACATTGCTAAACTTTAGACAGTTCCATTACTATGTAAATCGTTCTGATGTTCCATTAAGAAAACAATTTCCAGTACCTCACACTATGGGATTTTCTTTGACCATTCAAATTCTGTGGGGAAGGCATTTTTGTCCCGCTGTTGTCTAAGAGCAGCCTCCAGGATGCTCTGTGTTTTGTTGGCACCCAAGTGTTTCTGTGCGTTTCTGCTGCATTACGCTGGCACTGGCCCCTGTGGCCCTGGCTGACAAGCAAGGCAGGCACTGTATCCAATGGCTCAATCCCATGTTTCCTGTTTGTGACAATGTCCAAAACATGTACACAGACCATTTGAATTCATCTAAACTGTCATGGAACTGCTTTCCAAGGAATCTTTCTGTTTTCAGCAATCATGTTGGAAGCTCTCTCCTCCTAACAGGGTGCTGCCTGCTTCCAAAGGCTTCCTGATAATTCAGGTTACTCAGGGCTTCTGTGTTCAAGTCCCAGGGTGTGTGTCTATTGATATTTGCTTGTTGCTTTGTGGATATACTGAAGTTTTTCAATCCTGTTTTGGCTCTGCTTCCCTCTTGTCATACTGCCTATTTCAATTTCTCCATAAGGCAAGAAAACGTCTTCTTTTTCTCTTTCAGGCTCTATCCTCTTCTCATCTTCCTTACTTTTTCTTTCTTTTGTGTCCACCACTGTTCCAGTCCCTCAGGTTCGAATCCAGAAATAGTTATTTATCTCCCACAGTTCAATTCTAAAAAACAGTACCTACTCTGGCTAATTTAAGCCATAAGGATCCAATTATGAGAATATTAAATAACTTATAAAATCTCTCAGAGGGTGGAAGAAACTAAATGTATGTTAAACTTTCAGAAATAACTCCCAAGTCTGCCATACTGTATCTTGCCACCAAGGAAGCTGCAGATTCTTCATGGTAGCCAATGCTACCAAACAGAAAGTGGTCAACACCAGCAAAGTGCTATAATTAAGAAGCCATTATTGTTGTCAGTCCTATGAACCTGCTGTAATCTGCATCAGCAAAATGGGAGCCTGATTTCTGAATTTCTTTTTCTTTCTTTTCTTTTCTTTTGTTTTTTTTTGAGATGGAGTCTAGCTCTGTCGCCCTGGCTGGAGTGCAGTGGCACTATCTTGGCTCCCTGCAAGCTCCACCTCCCAGGTTCACGCCATTCTGCCTCAGCCTCCGCCTCCTGAGTAGCTGGGACCACAGGCGCCTGCCACCATGCCTGGCTAATTTTTTGTATTTTTAGGAGAGACAGGGTTTCACCGTGTTAGCCAGGATGGTCTTGATCTCCTGACCTCCTGATCTGCCCACATTGGCCTCCCAAAATGCTGGGATTACAGGCGTGAGCCACCGCGCCGGCCTGACTGGACCCTCTCATCTGCTAAATGCTACCATTAAAACCCGAACATCTCAATGGCCGTGCTTGCCAGCAAAATAGCAGTGGCAGGTAGTGCAGTCTCCACTTCAATTCTTCCTTTAAATAGCATGCAAATGGGTTAGGAATGGGGGTTCACACCTGTAATCTCAGTACTTTGGGAGGCCCAGACAGGTTGATCACTTGAGGTCGGGAGTTGAAGACCAGTCTGGCCAACATGATGAAATCCCATCTGTACTACAAAAATACAAAAATTACACGGGTATGGTGGTGCACACCTATAAGCCCAGCTACTTGGGAGACTGAGGCAGGAGAATTGCTCGAGCCAGGGAGACGGAGGTTGCAGTGAGCCGAGATGGTGCCACTGCACTCCAGCCTGGGTGACAGAGTGAGACTCTGTCTCAAAAACAAACAAACAAACAAACAAACAAACAAACTACATAAATAAAATAGAAAAATAAAATATCATGAATATGCATGAAATTGTCCAAACCTATATCACATCAAGAATCCTAACTACAAGAGTCCCTGGGAAATGTGTTTTTCATTTTTCCCAACTTTGCAGATGAGGTTAGCACACTGGACAGGAGATGCGAGTTGAGGGTGAAATAGATGTGACATACTAATCTATCATATTTAATTTCCTTCTCAATTTTATCTTTTATGATCAATAGGCCACCACTATTACCACATTCTATTGATTTCCTTAAAAATGCAGATTGCATTTCTCTTTCATTCCTTCTTTCCTTAGTATAGTCCCTTAATTTCAAATCTGCATTATTGTAGCAACTTCATTGCTTGTTATTCTTCTAATATCTTTCCGTTAAATCTTATTTATTTCATCGAATACATTGTTCTTCCACTTATATGCTCATTACATTCATTAATCACTTATTGAGCATACTGTATGCTAATAACTGTGTTCAAAGTGAAATTAGCATGGTGTTTGCCTTCAGGATGCTTCATTGTCTTGCGGTGATGGTAGTAAAGTTGATGGGGTCCTGAAGAGTAAGACCAAATTCCTCATGAAGTTTACAGAGAAAAACAGGTGGTAAACAACTAAGAAAATAAATTATTCTTATACTGTCACATCAGTCCTATGGTAAGGAATCTCAGTGCTCTCTTTAAAAATTGGATTAATTTGCCTACAACTATCAAAATACTGTATTTCATGGTCCTTTCTTATTTATCAGATTCAGCTTCAATACTTGGAGCAACTCAGCACTGCTAAACACCACTTGAGACACTTTAATCTCTTGCCTGCTCTATCGCATTCACTTTTTTTTTTTTTTTTTTGAGACAGAGTCTCACTCTGTTGCTCAGGCTGCAGTGCAGTGGTGCAATCTCAGCTCATTGCAGTTTCTGCCTCCCAGGTTCCCAGGTTCAAACAATTCTCCTGCCTCAGCCTCCCGAGTAGCTGGGATTACAGGCATGCACCACCACGCCTGGCTAATTTTTTTTGTATTTTTAGTAGAGATGGGATTTCACCATATTGGCCAGGCTGGTCTCAAACTCTTGACCTTGTGATCTGCCCGACTTCGCCTCCCAAAGTGCTGGGATTATAAGTGTGAACCTCTACACCCGGCCTGCATTCACTTTCTAGAAGGTCTATGCCCTTCTATTCTTTGTCCTTAAATTCTCTTTTTCACATAATGGCTAGTGTGATCTTTAAAGGTACTGTCCATATCATATTATTCTCCTGCCTAAAACACTCCAATGGCTGCACATTAAAAATACAACAAAATTGAAATTCTTTCCCTGTGTCTAGAATCTGCAAGACCCTTGCCAACTATCTCTCATCTCATGGCACTACCTCCATCCAGCCTCTTTCTTGAACACACTAGGCTCATTGCCACCAGATACCTCTTATTCTCTTGAACACACTAGGCTCATTACCACAATATATAACTTATTCTCTTGAACACACTAGGCTCATTGCCACCATATGCCTCTTATTGTCTCTGCCTGAGATGCTTTCTCCTGACACCTTTATCTGTCTGGCTCCTTTCTGTCTATCAGGATATAGATCAGGTGCCACCTCTGAAGAGATGCCCAACTCCTAACCACACTAGTCTTATTTCCCTCTTTCATTTTCTAACTAGCAGAAATTATTTGTCAACCAGAATAAGCTCCATCAGGGTCATTGCTTTCTTTTCTCTTGTATCCCCAATGCCAATGTTTAAAACCATGCCTAGCATTCTATAAACATTTGTTGAATTAATGAAGTAATAAAAACTTCATCAATTTATTCTTTATCTCATGTCCTGCCTTCTCTCTAAAACCTTTTTTGATAACACCTACCCACTCTCTTCCTCTCTGAGATTCTGAACTTCCCCTTTGCTGATTGAAATGCCTCTGATCTGGGGTTTGCTTCAGGTACTCTTTAGTGTGTTATCTCCAACTGAATTAGGCCCATGTCTTATTTCCCCAATGCTACAGGTTACTTTTGGGAATAATCAGCAAGAAGTATACTTTTGCACCCCACTCAGTAAGGCTGTGCTGTCTATGAACCACAAGCCCACTCAGACCTCTGAAGAGATGGATGTTGTTTTGAGCATTTAGCCAACAGTATGTTCTTACTCCTTCTGCATTCTGTTGCCTCTTCATACATAAATACAGAAGATGAAATTGTCTAGTTAGAGACCATACATGGTAAGGCAATCTTATAAGCTTGGCTTGTTGCTTCAGAAAGTTACTGAGGCATCAATAGCTCTATGGATCTCTCTGCTGTGGTTACATTGCGTGGGTTCTAGTGAGATCTCCTGTCTTAATCTCTTATCCTCAGTCTTTGAGGCCCCTCTTTAGACTGCGCAGATATAAGTTTAGCCCTTTGATCTGGCCATTTGCTTCTCATAACACTTATTGCGTTTGGTACAATTTTAACCCCTATGTCAGCAATCATGAGATAACTTTATCTGACACCAATTCTAGACTGGCCTTATCCCTATCCCAGAGGAGCCCAGTTGGCAGTTAGTAGACAGAACACTTACGCGGATACATTTTGCTTAGCATGAAGTATATTTTATAAATTTGATCCAACATTTAAAATTAGATTTCACATAAAATTTAGATATCCACGTTGTGTTTAAAAATTAATTCTAGCAATGATGGGTTCATAATTTCACATGGCAACACATGAAAGGGGGAAGCGGCAACAGTGCTCTTTAAATTCACACATACTTGCATTCTGAGAGGCCCCTCTAATCTAATAATGTGTTTTTAACACTTACAATCTAGTCCCTCTAGACTTTTGAGTTTGAGACCTCTGCACTACAATAATCATAGAGCTATACTATGGGGAGCCATTGGGGAGTTTTACACAGGAGAATGATACTATCTGAATTGTATTTTAAAAATATCACTCTGAATGTTTTATGCATAATAGGCTCTACTGTGGCAAGAATGGAAAAAGAGAAACAATATTTAACACTGATTAGGATCCTCTAGGATGATTGCCCAAAAGCCCCAGTCTTGTATTTGATCTGCAGTGATTGCCTGCTCCATGCTGGGCCCTTAGGCCTGGGGCAGTAAATTGGTCAAGCAAGAAGCTTTCATAAATGCTTTCTCCACTTGTGCATATGAAAAAGCTGTAAGTGTTCTAACCTCTGTTCTCCTTTTCTCCTTCTCAACTCTAACCTTCTCTTTGCTTCTGCTCCATTACTGGGCATAGCTTTGCTGCGGGAAATGATGCTACCTCCTCTGCATTGGAGTTCACTGCTCTCCAGACTTCTCCTGGCCTAAGAGTCTTGAATTCATTTTAGCCTTTATTCAGCTGAGGTGAGATTGGCCTTTTACAACCTGGGGCAGTTTGATCATTGATGATCTGGCTGGCAGAGATGCTCACACATACAGGTGTGTTTCTACTTTTCACCCTTTTGGGTCCATTGGGTCTGAAGCACACTCACCAGTTGACCAGTTGCTATGGCTACTCGTAGTTTCCTCCCCGGATTGCATCATCAAGTCAGGAACTCATATATTTTTTGCCACACTTGTTGGAAGACCTCTTTCTGATTTTATTTCTGCCTCTGCTATGTGAGAAACTCCTCACTGGATTCCCAGTTCCTTCTAGGGAATTCCCTATATTTCCCAACATCGCGAGTCCTCTCCAACATTCTTCCAGGTGTAATCTCTTGATAAGTGTCTTTCTAGAATTCTGCTTCAGGTTCATATAGACAGTGTCACAAAATCATTTACTAGAACTAAGAACAGGGTTATTCTCTGATACTACTATTTACCTTAGGGCTAGAAACTTAGGCAGCCAGAACGTTTAAACATGAACCAAATTGCTATCTAAGAAACGCATTTAATGATGATTAAAGCAATAGTAATTAAAGTGAAAAGAGGGCTCTACCCGTGCATATGGAACATGAGTGCCCTCAATTAATCACCTCATTATTATTAAATATTTATTTGAACACCCACCGTGCAGGAGGCATGAAGTTCTGAGAGAATACACCAAAGACATGGACTTACCCTTTGGGAACCTGTGATCTAAAGCAATTTAGACTTCAACTTGTGACAATATGCTCCGGCTGTGACTCTCTGTAGATAAAACAAAGGTTGAAATTCAAAGCATCTCTAAGCTCCAATTTAATCTACTGCTCCCTACACTACTCATATTTCAAATCCTCTGCTTTACTCTCTGCTAGCTAAAGAGTGAGTCCTCCCCCTATCCTTTAAGATTCAGCAAAGAGCTCACCTCCTCTGTGAAGCCTGCCCTGACCCTCCCAGCAGTGTTGATGCCCCCTTTCATGCTTTTGATAGCAACATATGTGTCTATTAAACTCTTCATAACATTACCTTGTCATTCCTTTTATGCAAGCCTTTTCTTACCAACACTAGGTCCTGAATGGAGAGCTTGAACCATGTTATTTCATCTTGTATCAGTAATGTTACTCCTTGAAGCCAGATCTCATTCTCAAGAATCTGATAATCATTTAATTAATTTAAAATTTACTCTGTGCTAGGCACTTTTTGGGATATATGCCTGTAGAAATGGCAGACATAAGGTTTAGCATAAGGTTTAGGACAGATTTTTTAAGTGAATCTTGGAGGAGTATATGATGACTGTTACATACAAGCATAAAAGGGCCATCCTGGTTTAAGTATTCTAGGAAGCCTCCCTGCAAGCATGACATGGATATGGGAGAGGGAACAAGACAAGAGGGAAAGGAGTCAGAAGGCTGGAGTCCAGAAATCAGAGACTGTACCCCAAAAGATTATACCCTGAAAGAAAGGAGATCATTTTGGCTACTATTCTCTGACAAACATGAAACTCATTCCATCTTTACAGCTTTGCTTAAGCTGGAAAACTGTTCTCCTCGCTGGAAATGTCCTCATACATGCTATCATGCTCTCAATTTATTATACTCTTTCTCATCCTTCAAAACTGCATTTTCGTCTTTCTTTTCCTCTATGGAACTTTATCTTTTGATTCCAGATCATGTCGCTATTGCATTTTTGGGACACCTTTGAACACGCATTATTATTTTTTTTTTTTGGTAATTTTTTTTTATACTTTAAGTTCTAGGGTACATGTGCACAATGTGCAGGTTTGTTACATATGTATATATGCACCATGTTGGTGTGCTGCACCCATTAACTCGTCATTTACATTAGGTATATCTCCTAATGCTATCCTTCCCCCCTGCCCCCACCCCATGACAGGCCCCGGTGTGTGATGTTCCCGTTCCTGTGTCCAAGTGTTCTCATTGTTCAATTCCCACCTATAAGTGAGAACATGTGATGTCTGGTTTTTTGTCCTTGCAATAGTTTGCTGAGAATGATGGTTTCCAGCTTCATCCATGTCCCCACAAAGGACATGAACTCATCCTTTTTTATGGCTGCATAGTATTCCACGGTGTATATGTGCCACATCTTCTTAATGTAGTCTATCATTGATGGACATTTGGGTTGGTTCCAAGCCTTTGCTATTGTGAATAGTGCCACAATAAACATACAGAAAACGCATTATTTAATCTTCTCATTGAACACTTAATCACATTCTGTCATTCATATAATAATATTCATATAACAACTTCCTTGAATTTCCTTTGTTTGATTTTTGTTGTTGTTTTGTTAATCATCATGAAAATCCCTAATCAACAATGCTTGGTTTCTTTCCCATACCATCCACCCCATTCAGGAAGATTCTTTGCTCTCACAACAAGCAGAGTCAAAAGAGGGAGGAAATGGAGACACCGAAGTCCATGAGGATAGAAAAAATGAGGCTATTCTTGTCCAAAGCATAGAGGTTGAGCATGGAGGGAGAGTCAACTAAAGTGGATTCTTATTGGTCTGCCCTTTGAGATCAGACCCTTCAGCACAATCTGTCCTCTTTCTTTTTTCTCCAATCCTGGAGAATTATCATTTATCATCCCTGCCATGATGTAGATTGTACAGAGTTTGGGACTACTATAGTGCCCCTTTCATAAACCTGAAGTAGAGTTTCTCAGTGACAGAGAACACCTACCCCTTTCTTTTTCTGATGCTCATAGGGATGATATTGTTATGGGCTGTGCTGTACCCGCGTACCATTAAAGATATTGTCTTTCACCATGCTATGGCAATTTAGTTACACATTAAACAGTTGACATTGTGCAAAGGAGACCTCAGAAACTTTCAAAAACAGTGAGAAGTCCTCTTGATGGGTACTTCATAGCAAGGACCCCTTGTGATAACTCTCCATCAGGCCTTCTCTGATCTGGAGCACAGGATTGAAGCCTGGGATTGCAGATCAAGCCATAGTCTGTGGCTTGGCTCACCTGACCTTCCAATGCATTCTTGAGGAAATGAGTCCCTGTACATGTCTAAATCTACTTTACTACCTGCTTGACACCCCAAGTGATGCTCTTTGGCAGCTTGGCCCCTAGCACAATACCAGGGTGCCACCACCCAGGAGCTATCATCACTGCCCTTTCCTGCCAGGTCACCCTGGACTCAGGAAAACAACATCACAGGTCTGTCCCAGCTACAGTGGAAATGAAGCTTTCATGTCTCCTTCCAAATGCTGCTTATATTTTTATTTACATATTTTATTTGTGCTATCTTTTTCTCTTCTTACTATATCCTGACTGTATTATGAATTGCCATATATACAGAGATTGTGTCCCATCATTTTCTTACATTTTATTGAACATTGAACACTGGTTTTAGCACACTTTAGATGTCTGGTAAATATTTTTTGTTGAGTTCATACATACAAATTATAACAGGAGACAGAATAAATCTAATCACAGATAAAGACTCTTGTTCAATCTCTTTTAATAGGGATGTACTTTTGAGATAACATATTTCATGAAATGTCTATATCTTTTCAACACCATCTAGTCACATAGAATAGACCAAACATGTTACAACCCAAAGGTGAGGTCATTCATGAAGCATTCTTAGAATTGTGATCTACTTTCTAAGAGAAGGCATATGCCCCATTTTGTTGAGACAAATGCTTCTGGTCTCCTGGCTCAGATTACAGAAATATTTTTTCTAAAGAGAGTCAGGACTTATTTGGATCTGTCCTTGTAGGAGGGAGGCCTGAAGAGACATAAACAACCCAAGTGACAAGATTTTTATTTCCTATGTATGACTAGTTATGGTGTACTTTATAATATGGGTAGCATATCCGCTTCAAATTGAGAAAGACAAAGTCCAAAAAGGTTAAATGACTTGCTTAAAGTCACACAGCAACACATGGCCAGGCTTTGCACATTCTCCAGGTTTGATCAATCCTGTGCATGGATGCCAGCTGTTAGACAAAAGGAACCTATGCTCCCCAGAGGGCTTGGGTGATGAACTTCCCTCTTGTCTGGGTCCTACTTGAGGTTGCACGCATTGTTCCATCTTGCCTTGGAAGGTGATTGTTAGTGAAGCCCCTTCCAAACTATTCTTGTAATAATTTCCATCCTGAATCCCAGAAAAATTGAGAACACCGGGTGGGGTTCTGTCCCTCCTGTAAATCTCCTGGCTTGTTGCTATTTATTTAATGATTAATCCTTCAGCACTGCCTTGTTAAATAGAAGGGTAATATTTTCCTTCTGACTGGGCTGGAGGGGCTCCCAGTTCCAGTCAGGTACCTTTGGGCCATGCAGCTGAAGATATATAATGTGCCTTTTGTTTTGGCCCCTGGAAACTGAGCTTGTGTGGTGGTGAAGGATGTTCCTAGTAGTGGATTTTCTTCTGTTTCTCAAGTTTATGGTTAAAAGGAGAACTTATTATAAAGGTTAAGCTTTTATAACTGAGAGAACCAAGAAAGAATTAGAGTATCTACAGCCCCATATGCATGTGTTGTTCCCTTAAATACCTGAGATCACTAAAAACATCAAATCTCCCTAATTAGTACTTTTGTAGCTCTGAAATTTGCAAAAAAAATGTTTAATGTGATAATTATGGGTGAATTGTCAATCTCTATAGTGTGTTTGCATTTGCTCAAAATAATTCAAATGTAACAATATTTTCTAATTTACAGTTAATTGACTGCTAATAGGAAGAGGGGGAAGAATAAAAAAAAAAAGATGCCACAAACAATTGGAGAAATGACTTTAAGCTGAGACCCTTAGTGACCTTAGAGACAAAAATCTGAAACTAGGTTGAAGTGAAATAAGAGATTTTCTAATGAGAAACATTAACTTTTTAGGGGATATTGCAGTTTCCCACCTTGCACAAGAATGGCAAACAGGTTGGCTTTGGAGTATTTATATGCATGCATTGGTTTGTGTGTGTGAGTTTGTGTGTCTGGATGCCATGGGTCTGTGTAGTTTTTGTGTGAGTATGTGATAGGCTTTTTTGAGTTTGTGTCACTATGGCCCTCCTAATCACTTTCTGTGGTCACTTTCACCTTGACAGGCTTGGGTGCTCTTAATTAAATCTTCATATATTTAAAATCATTTCCTTTTTATATCTTGATTATCGGACTCAGATGGTGATGTTGATGGAGGGTTTTCACAAAACAAAAATGCAAACAAAAGCAGAAATTTACCACCAAATAAGAAATCTGAAGATGGAGCTATGTTGTGCAAAACAATCCTATCTGCCATCATATAAGCCCAGGCTTATCACCTCAATCAGGGGATGTACACCTCCAGGCTGCAGATGGCTGATAAGGAATGTAGCTTGAGGGCAATAGCCTTGATGTAGCATCCTTTTTGATGAGTCTCAAGCTTCACCTTTTCAATGAAGACCTGACTAATGTACTATGTGAATCTTTTTTTCCTGAACTCCTATAATCTTTTTAAGCCATACCTGTACTTATTTTTTCATCTTTTATTTTTTAACATGATTTAACAAGTAAGCACACCGAGAGAAAATACTTTGTATAAAGATCTTGTATCTCATATAGAACGCAGTGCAAAACCGTGCTCATTTTCTTTGCCCAGAAATTATTTATAGTTTTATGATTTGATTGAATTCTATATCATTAGGAGAATAGTGTTCAGAATCCCAAATACAGTTGTCTGAAACTTCTTTTGTCCTAAATATTTGCAGAAGTTTGTGCAATGTGTTGAGATACAGAAAGAAGTAGATGACATGATTCCTATTCTTGGGGAAATCTGTAAAGGGAATATATTCTGTGTATTTTACCCATCCTTAGAGAAATAGTTGTAGACTTAGTCAGGGAATGAATAAGTTTTTGAAATAAAGTTACCTATTATTACTGTTGGGTCAATATTTCTCTTGGTAGCCCTTGGGTTTATATAATACAGTGAAATTGAGTCTGTTCATTTCAGCAAAGGTGAGAATAACAAGAACAGCTCAAGGAAGTAGATAATATAGTACTTCATTCGGTTTAGTTTGATATATTTAGATATTTGATATCTCATCGAGTGAGTATCCCATGCCAGGTATTGGGTTAGATGCTGAGAATACAGAGATTATTCAGTTACAATCCCTGCCTGTATAGTTGTCAAGATATTTTAGTAGGTAGTGAATTTTCCTGTTGTGTTTTGATTGTAGAAGTAGAAACTGAGTTCACAGGGATTGTGATAAAGCATGATGGAAATCATGAGAGGATTTACTTATGAGTTTCTGTGCCTCAGTTATTTATTTATAAAATGGGGCTTATGATATCTATCTCTCCCAACCAGCTGGATTATTGTTAGAAGGAAATGAGATAGAGAGATGCCAAAGCTTGCTAAGAGGTTATAAGTTTTCTCACTCATAAGGCATTGTTTTTAGTGTTTTTGGATTTCCATCATTTCAGCAGCCCCTCTCTACAGAAGAATGAGTGGTGGCTAAGACGCTGACATTGGGAACTGAAATGGTCCCAAGACCCACAGAAGACTTGAGTCTAACTTGTGGACTAGGAATGAACAAGAGGAAACAGCACCCCTCCTTTAAAGGCCCATGGCCTGTCTGCTTCTCAGAAGTTTCTTGGCATGGTTCCTTGGTGGGATGGCCCCAGAGCAGACAAAGGATACATCTGTGTGTAATGTGATGTAATTCTCCAACATACATACCTATCAGGGATGCATAAGTGTTTCCAAACCACATTGAGGAAAGCCCCATAGGTTTTAAATAAAAATTATGTGAGACATTTTCTAGAAAGTAAAGCCATGTAAATGTATGTTTAAAACTTACCCCTTATCCTCTCCCTCTGTTAACTACACAGTGTGTACTATACATTTGACAAAAAGGGACAAGTGTCAAGTTATGGCAGCTCATTTTCTGGATCTGATGAGTTGGCATGCCTATTGCATTTATGGACTGGGGAGGACCTAAATGCTGAAAAGATGTCTGGTCCAGGAGTAAGATCAGCAGCAAAGTCTCTCTTACTTGGGATGAGACCAAAGTGGTTACTACATATCCCAGCAAAGTTCGTAAAAATCCTTCTCTCTGCAGTTCAGCCCCTAGACAGTCCCCTTCTCCCTCTCCCAGTGCAGAACAACACGTGGATTGCTCAGTACAACTTGTTCATCACATCCTCCTGTTCACTGAAGAATTATGGAAATATTCTCTGAGCTGCTTTCCTCCCTGCCCAACGAGTCATCTCTGTGTGAAAGGCCAAGCTTATAAATCCTGGTACGTATTGTCCTCTCCCTGTCTCACAGATCTACCTCTGCTAGATTTTCTTCTCTCTTTTCCATTTTAAAACTTATCTTCTTATTTAAAAACATATGTCTTTAAATAAGCTTTTGTCTTTCATAATGTGGAAAAAAGAAGGAAATTACCCTTTGGAACTAATGCTTGCTGATGTCTTACTGATTTACTGGCTCTCTCAGAAGTGCTTTAGATGTACAGACTCGTTTAATCGTCACTGGGACAGATACTATTAGCTGCATTTTAGAGACGAAGAAATGGAGGCAGGGAGAGGTAATATTTGAATGCCTAAGGTCGGGGAACTGGTGGGATATAATGGCTCTGAGATGTGAATCTAGGCCGTTTGGTTCTAATTGTCATGTTTTGTAATAACTACATATGTACAGCTTTCTCCCACACCTATTGCCCCTTCCTGCTATTGCTTTCTCTTCATGTTCTCAAGAAACTATCTGCTTTTACAGACCCAACTTTCATCCCACCCTTTTACAAACACTTACTGTCTCATATTCATTACCACAACTCTACTGAGATCTCTTTTTCCAGGTCATCTTTGAAATTCAAGTTGTCTCTTCTCATGGTCAGTTCTAATCCTTCTTGATAGATGTGTACTATTAGCCTAAGTCCTTCTCTTTAGTTACTTTTGCTTTTACCTAATCACTTCTGGACATCCCCCTAGGGCAACCTAGAAAGAATAATTGCCAAAAGAATATAAGAATTGTAAAGTCAAGGAGACTGACATTCCAACCTAGGATTTTAGTGATATTAATAAGTTCCTGAGCTATAATTTAGTTGGAATTGGTGAGAGGCCACGAGGAGAAAAAGGAGTCAAAGTATGTGTGTAGGGAGGGGCGGGGAGGGGGTGGGTGTGTGCGGGGATATCCAAGGCTGTGAACCTTGTTATAAAGTTAAGAAAAATAAGGAAGTTTAAAAAAGGAACTGATTTGGGATATAAATTAAAAATTTTAATTGTTAAATGATATGCTTGAAGTGCTGGCAGTGTATCCAAATGAAAATATTCATGAAGAAGTTGAAATGTGAACTATAACCTTAGAACCCATGGAGATAGGTGAGATTTTAAGAGGGAGAATACTGAGAATGACATTAGCAAAATTTTTTTCACACCAGTCCTTTGCATAAAAGACAAAATCATCAACTTAAAACTTAAAGCCTTTCAAAATCTGGCAACGGACATTTCAATTCCATTCAGGCCAACGATTGAGTGCTTATTATGTCAATAAAAGAGAACAAGAAAAAAAGACACATTTTTTTAGTCAGGGTCCTTGGTCGCAAACAACAGAGACAAAGCCTGAATAAATTAAGCAGAAAAGGAATTTATTGGAAGAATACTGGATAACTCCAAGAATAATTGGGAAGAGTAAAGAACTGGCCTCAGAAAATGAGCAGAAGCTGAAGTAGGCTAGTGTGTGTGCCTGAATTACATCTAAGAAGATGCTACAAAAAGAATCTGACCTACAATACTAGGTCTGGGTATTAGAAGTCACCACTGACATGGTTGCTGGGAGATGCATGCCGTCACCACAGTTAGAGGCATTCCAATTTGCTTCCTGTGTCTTTGCTTTATTTGCTCCCAATTAAAGTCCCAGGGAAAATATGCAATTGATTGAGTTTCAATGAAGTGCCTGTTGTCTAGCTGCCAGGAGTTAGGGAAAACATATCTGTCCTCCAAGGGAGTGAGTTCCAATACTGAGTAGCCCAAAAAGGCAAATACCCAATTCAGTTGCTATCTTCTTAACAACTTATAGATCAATTGAATCAGACAGACATATAGTAAAATGTACGAAATTAAATACATTCCATAGAGTACAAGTAAACATTTTTTTTTAATCTGGCACCTTTACAATTTGACCAATTGATTATAGTTATACTTTTTTCAGTAAATATGAAGAAATTTATCCCTCACTTCTGCCTGTTGGAAATCCATCCATCTCTCTTAAGTTACAACACATATATCATGCCCTCTCTGAAAACTTTCCAGACAGTCCCAGTGACCACTGATCTTCTCTGGTGAAATTTTTGTTTCACTTTTATGGCACTCATCCTGAAGAGAATATCTGCCTCCTGTCTCTTAGATACATTGAACTAACACAGTGTATGCACAACACAAATATTCAATAGACATTAGGTGACAGAGGATGCAAAATTTTTAAATTGTCAAAAACCAATTAATTGCACAATTCTTAATCCTCCCACACATGCAAAAATTACAAAAGATTTGGGAGTTGATGATTTGAGGGTAAATTTTTCGAGATAGGTGTTGGTGTCTCTCCACTTGAGCTAAGTGAGAAGAGGTTTGAGGGGGCCCACTGCAAAACTAAAGAAGCTGATCACATCTGCTTCCTCAACTTCAAGATTCATGTGTGCAGCACTCTGAAATGGAAGGGAAAGTTTTCATTTTAAAGCCAGTTTTGAGTTTTTTTTTTTAATATGAGATTGGGGATTTTAATTATGCAGACTATTTTGTGTTGTATAATTTTTATAACATAAGAATAATCAGTAAATCCCCTTCCCCCAGATTTAGAGAGACTGGATGAGAGTGATGGAGTGAGGGTGGGGCTGGGGATGGTAGAGAAAAAAGTACGTTGACTTCCAATTACACTTTGTACATCTTGTTTCCTTAATGTAATGGTTACCTTTGTCATAAAGAATTTAATATTCATGGTTGCAGAACTGTAGTTGAAGCTTGAACAGAAAATAGCCTTTCTGGGGCTATATACCTTATGATTCTTCTCCCTCACCAGTTCCATCCCACATAACTCTCACTGTCACTATCATACTGTTCATGGGGAACACCATAGCTGATTCTTTTATCTAGGGGCATATTGTTATCACTCTTTTGTGGTTTACCATGTTGGACAAAGAGGCTGAGCTTAGTCTGGTATCCTTCATTTCTCTGAGCTGTGATCCTAGCCCAAGAGATCCTGTCTACAAGGAGGGACTTCTAAGATTCTGGCAATCTTTTCGTTTCCTCTCTTGATAACAATTTCTGTTTTCATTTTACTACCAAGAAATTCTTCAATTTTCAAATGCCTTCATGAGCTAATGAATGCTCAATTCTAAAAGGCAATAGTGAAGTCTGTCTCAACTATTCTCTATATAAATGACTTTACATGGCATGTTCATAGAATCAAGCTTCTAATCAACATTTGATCTAAGATTTAGGGAATGCTCAAAGTAGAAGAATTGTTAGAGGTCATTAGGCCAGCTGTTCTTAACCACAATGTTGTGGCAGGTAGAGGAACTATGAGGTGTGTCATAAGTCAACTGTCACTGAAAAGAGTTAAATGCTTAGGTATATGGATGATATTTCTTTTACACAATACAGCATTTCAGGGTTGCTTCTGTAAAAACAACTATCGTACTTTTGTACAATTTGTTGTGTGCTTTCTTGACTAGCAGAAAAAGGGATAAATGGCAGCCCAACTTTCTGTAATATATGTGGGTTACACTTCAACTTTTCTGTTTTAGGCATAATGATGACTGCTGCTGATGAACTATTCAATACTGTGGTGCCAAATCTACTGTGAAATGTTTCCAAGCCACATTGCACCTGCTTTCTCCTCATTTCTAGCTCTCCTTGCATGTATAACACATTTAATTTACTGTATATTTCCAGGTGGTAACTGTTACTTATTTTCCTATGTTCTTTAATATGAGTAAGCATTTAATGTTTCTGTATCAGGTCCATTGGACTGAAAGCCTTTTAGTGGTAAGGTCTATAAATTACAGTATTTCCAGCCCTATAGGTATATAATTGGTTCTTGATAAAATTAGGCATTGGCCAAGTCCTTTGGAAATCTAGTGTAAATATATTTTTTCCTCTTCAATTATCTTAATGAGTCAGGCTCGCATCAATGTCTTGAACTAATTATAGAAGTAAATATCTAAGGAATGATGAGACAGAAAACAGTCTTTTTAACCCCTGGCATGCATGACCTAGCCCAATGGAGAAGACAAGATGTATTATGTTCTAAAAAAATTAATCCTTCAAGAGAAGGGTTTGTTTGAAAGAATTTGATTTACATTAATCACTTAAATGTTTCTCCTTTCTGGTCCTTTCCTTCAGATATATCTTTCCTGTTGGCTTCTTATTCTCATAACAATAGCACTCAGCCCCTTTTTTGAACAAACTGTCCACACAGACAGAATGCCAATGCAGCTACCTGTTTAGTGACCTGGAATCAGCTAACTGGATACCTTAGTAATATAACACTGGTTCTTCCAGCTTTAAGTTTTAAGAAAATTGAGAATGTTCCAATAAACTAAGCTGTGAGTTACTTTCATACTCTTACATTATATCAAACCTGAGTTTGATATACTGACTCTGCCACTTAGATGTTTGACCCAAGACATTGCTAATTCTCTAACCCTGAGTCTTCATTTGTCAAAAGGTTTCAGCAACATTTACCTTATTGGGTTATTATAAGAATCAAATAAAATCATAACAATCGTATTTAAAACCCTTATATACCCAAATGGCAGGTACATAGGGCGTACTCAATGCAGAGTGATTACAAATAATAATAGCAAAAACACATTATAGTAAACGATAACTATGTTCTTGTTTTAACAACACTCCTAATTAGCTGTCACTTTTGTTGTATATTTCATTTATGTATTTCAATTTACGTTCATATTTAACCCGCTCTATGTATGTTCATATTTAATTCTTTGTTTTCTTTTCCCTTTCCTTCCCTTCCCTTTCCTTTCCTTTCCTTGCCTTGCCTTGCCTTGCCTTCTCTCTCTCCCTCTCTTTCTCTTTTGCTTTCTCTTCCTTTCCTTTTCTTTCCTTCTGCCTTTCTCTTTTTCTCTCTCTCTCTTTCTCTTTTTCCTTCCTTTCCTTTTTCTTTTTCTTTTTCTTTCATGCCAGGGTCTCACTCTATCACCAAGGCTAGAGTGCAGTGGCATGAACCATCTTACTACGGTGTCAACTGCCTGGGCTCAACTGATCCTCCCACCTCAGCCTCCTGAGTAGCTGAGACCACTGGTACATGACACCACACCTGGGTAATTTTTGAATTTTTTTGTAGAGATGGGGTCTTGCCATGCTGCAGAGGCTAGTCTTGATCTCCTAGGCTGAAGCAATTCCTGCTGTTTTGACCTCCTAAAGTGCTGGGATTACAGGTGTGAGCCACAATGTCCAGACTGATGTGTTTCTTCACAAATCATTCTGGACCAAGAGAATTCATGTTTAAAATGGTAATCCGGGGGTTCTGGTTCTGGTAATGGTGGAATGGTTTATATGGAACTAATCCTTCAACAGATGATAAGTAGAACTTTTGGGGAAAGTATTTTTAAAAATCCTGGTAATAATGTGCTTAGATAAGAATCATCAATAAATGTTAAAATAATGTATGAAAGTTTGAGAATAAAAGGGTAGTACTCATCATTTTAACTTTGTCATTATTTGTACTTTGTAGTTATTTGCAATTTAGGAAGTATACTCTCAATATATTTTGATTTCTTTGTACTATAGAAAATGCATTCTAAATAAAGTAGCACTAAAGGGGCATCATATCAGCAAATTTCTCTCATAAGATTTAGAAAAAAATTATATATGTGTATGTATATATATGTACACATATAAAATATTTATAAATGAATAAATACATCGTCAGGATTATGTATAATAAAAGGGAAGTAAGATGTCTACACCGAAGCCTATAAGATATGCCTTAGATGAATTAAAGAGCTAAACTAATGATGAGATATGCCATGTTCATTGATTGGAAGAGTCAATATTGTAGATATTTCCTGTAGTTGATTTATAGATTCAACAAAATTCTAATAGATCTTTAAATTCTTTTTTTACAAAATAAAAAGATGATTATACAATTTATACAGGATTGCAAAGACCTAGAATAACTCATAACACATATTGAGAAACAATAACAGTGTATTTAAACCACTTAATTTAAAATCTTACTACAAAGCTACTGTAATTAAGAACATGTGGTATTTGTGTAAGAACAGATATATATATCTTATATATATCTGTATATATATATTTTTTGTTATACATAAAATATGTATATATATTTTATGTATAACTATATATATATAAAACAAAGAAACAAAATGGAGAATCTAGATGCAAACCCACATATCAATTGACCCATAGTCAATTGGGTACAAGTGGTTTGTTACATAGATAAATTATACAGCGGTGAACTCTGAGGTTTTAGTAGATCTGTCAACAGAGTAGTGTACATTGTATCTAATGTGTAGTTTTTTTGTTTTTTTTTTTATCACTAGCCCCCTGGCCATGCTCCCCATTCCGAGCCTCTAAGTCCAGTTGGATAAACTTATAGGAAAAAGTGAACATTGACCCCAATCTCACACCACACACAAAAATTAATTAGAGCTGGATCATAGATTGAGACATAAAACTTTTTAAAATTAAAAATAAAACATATTTTGAAAACCAAACATTTAAAAAAATCAAACACATTTAAAAAACATATTTAATAAGCAAACATCTTTATGACCTTGAAGTAGACAAGAACTTTTTAGCAATGACACCAAGCAAACAAAACATAAAATAAAAAAATGATCAATTGAACTTCACCAAAATGAAGATCTTACACTCCCAAGGAATAATGATGGTTCATTTCAGAGAGAATGTAAAGGCAGAGAGTTGATTCCTTTGATACTGTGTTATAAACTGAAAGAGACTAGTTCTACTCAAGTTGCTCAGTTTTCCATAATTATTGGAAATGAGAATTGAGGTTTGGGTTAATTTCAATTATAAAGGAATAAAGTTCTAGTTTTACAAACTTTTACTTAGATTTCAAATCCATTATATGAGTTGGAAATAAGCATATTAAGGGGAATATTGTTCAAGGAATGCTGCTTTTGCGCTCAAGATGTGTAGTTGTTGTATATTGCTAGAGAAACACCTATTCCTCTGTAGCTGTTTTCTTGTCCAGTATTCTGGATTTATTGGCCAGTTTACCTAAATACTTGTTCCTTCTATGTTGATATGAAATGAGTCCCACTTCTACCATTTATCTGGTAATAGATGTGTGCTAAAATGGTCCAAGAAATCCATTTTTATGGCTAAAATTTTCGTATGACAGTCCATAATCAATCAGTTAGTTGCAGTAGCATCATTTTCATAAGTTCTTTTTCAGCTATTCATGTTTTTGCAGCAATGTAATAATTTAAATTTAAGCCTTTCCCATGGAGCTCAACTGAAGACTGTGATTATAAGAACTGTTTTAAAGAAAGTTTCTCTCGGTCGGTCATATCCCTGGGATCTGTGGAAAAATTGCTTAAACTTTTAAAAACATTTTTTCCTTACAGTGTGGTGGTGTTTTTTTGTTTGTTTGTTTGTTTGTTTGTTTGTTTTTGCCCTGGGCTGACACTTTCACAGGGTTTTGGGGAGATTAAAATAAAATATAACTGTCAAGTTATTTTTTAAAAGTCTGAATCATATCACTAATATCAACTGTTTGTTACATTTTGCTGTGGTTGATGTTTCTCCGCCCATTCTGCCTGACCCTGGTCCTGGGACCTGATTCTTTTAGGCTTGACTTCTTCCCTACATACCTCCTCCTACTAGTTGACAGGGATTGACTAATTGTTAACTCTTATTACCATTATGCTTTCCAGAACTGGAAAGAACTCGTTCCATAGTCATCGTTTCCCATTGTTTGGTCGTCTGTGTGGGAGATCTTTTTTTTTTTTTTTCTCTCACACGAATCTGAAGTGTTTTATTTTAGGGACATAAAGCTTCCTCTGAGTCTTTGCTTTTGGTTACGTCCTTTCAGATTATTTTTCAGATCCAAACTGCTTTGTGATGGGTGTAATTACCATTTCCTTAAAGACTAAATATCACACTGATTTGTAGGACAATAAATTGAGACAATTATGTGAACTGCTTATCTTTATTTTATGTGATGTAGGCACAGCTGATGTGTCCTCCAGTCTTGGGATGTAAGCAGTGAATTAGGTTTCAGAAGAGTTCAATGATTTTGCTATTTCAGGTGGCAAAACAAAACATACCATCCATTTCTGAGGGAATGGACAGCCCTTTTACATTTCCGCTTTATCCCACACTGTTCTTCCTTTTTCTCCAGGTATCAATGTGATTTCAATAGTGTGGTGCATATTGAGACACTACCAGCCTTGGGAAGACCAGGCAATCCACGTCCAGTGTGCTCTCTGATTAATTCTCTCATTTGATATACACAATCTTCTGTAGAGTTGTCAATACAGACATTATTCTTCCAAATTTCAGGTGATAAAACTGAGGCTCCAAAGAATAATCTATTAAACGGTAATGAATGAGGAAAATAAACACGCTGGGTATTTGATTCCCGGTCTAGGACCAGTTTCTCCATAATCAACAGATTCCAGTCAAACAGCAAAACAGCAAACAGCAAATATAAGTAAATTAAAAAAAAAACACGAAAATGGTAACACCTTAATTTGAATGCAAAGGCAAACAACAACATTTACAACAATGAAATTAAGACTCTTAAAGCTTTTCCAGTAAATTGCCTGATTATATTTGATAACTTCTTTCATATAAGTACATTTTATTTTTACCCTCTACTTAAGTGTCTTTCTAGCTTAATCTTACAAATAGCATATTCAGTTCATACATACATAGCTAGAAACACTTCTTGTGATTTTCTCCCTCCTTGCTCACGTTTTTTTCTGTCTCTCCCTTTTTTTATGATTATGGCAACATTGACAGCTGTGTTCATTGCGATCTATGGCTGCCTATACCTTTAAGTACCTAGCTTGGAAATCATTTTGTCCCTCTAGATTTGAAAAATTACACCCCATCTTCCAATTCAAGATACACTGAGACAGAGCTGTGCTGTCTGCAAGAATATTAGTTCTGAGAATAGGACTGCTGTTTGCACCACACACTCTGCTCTCTTGCCAGCAATAATCAAAGCGAACTTGTATTTCTTTAATGACAAAGCCTCCCGGTGTGTTAATTTGGTTCTCAGTGACACTACATCTTGTCAGAGGAGTGAGAGAAATGGGAAAACATACACTAATATCACTGTCAGCCAAGTGGCACATTTTTCTATGTAATCCATCTCTGGAAAGCAAGGGTCTTTGGCTCCCACCTCTTGGTGAATCTCTAGGATCTGTGAGTGCTGCAGACTCAAACTTCTCATTATGTCCAAGGGTAGGACTTGTCCCCTGTGACTGCTCACTCTGGCCCAAAGAAAATTCTGTTTCTTTGCCATGAGAAATGATGATTTAGGGGCATCATCTCTCTACTGTCCCCTAAATGTGTTTTATCCCATGGTACAGAAGAAAGAGGGGGTATATCATCAGATGGACTTCGCTGTAACTGACTCTCTGATGGTGGGACAATTATCCAAGTGTCAGTACCCTCGTTTGTAAGATGATGACATTGACGCTTAACTCTTAGACCATGGTAAGGATTAAGAATAATACCTGAATTGCTTTGTGGCCACAACATTTATCTACTTCTGTTCTCAGAACTGAGGTTGAGTTGTGAAGCAACAAAATAACAACTTAGCTCAGAGGCTATCTTGAGATATAGTTCTAGGTATTTCAAATGTGGCTAAAATGGGGAGCTGAGGCCAAGAGTGTCATCCCACACAGTTCCTGGAATATCTGTCCGCTCATATCAAATATTTCAAAACTGGGGACTCATTGAGCCCAACCTGTAAACTTTTAAAGTTCCAATGATCATTCTTTGGCCAGTATAGTCACTTGTGTTGTCAATTAATTTTAAGCACCACCTTTCTTCTGGGTTTTGTAGACAACTTTCTTCTACCTCCTATTCTTGGGCAATTCCTTACTCTTCAAGCTTGCATTTTAGCATTGGGTTTCTTTCTCAGATGTTAATGCTTACACTAATGGTTGTTGGTTCTAGAAATCATTATTATTCCTTTGAATTAGCAAATGTTTTCCAAATAGCTTGCTAAAGAGGAACTGGCACTTTCTTTTCCTCTTTCCTTTCTCGTCAAGAATGCTCTGGGTTCACAGCAACCACTGGAGCCTGTCAGCATGCCCATCAGACTGCAAACCAGCCCAGCTGAGGGGAGCACTTGCGGGAAGTTCTCAGGGTCTGCCTGTTTGGTTTGCCTCTTCCTGTTTGCCTTGTAGCTTTAAATAATGCGGTTGCTTCACAACCACTTGTTTTTTGAGTAGGGAACAGGGCATATTTTTCTAGCAGATAAAATGACTTCCCACCATTCACTCTTTGTTATTTCCCCTTTCTGAAGGGCAGTCTGATGAATGCAGGGCAATGTGTAATACATGTTTTCCTGTTTTCTGCTCTTTCTCCATTGGGCTTGTCAGTCAGTCGTGGGCTTGGTTCTGAGGAGGATGTGGCATTCATGAGAAAGAAGTCAAAGAGCGTTTGTGTGATTAACCTTCTCAGAGAGCACATATTCTGACTCCGTGTGAAGATCAGGTTCCAGGGACAGTTAACAATACCCATGATGCTCAATATACAAACCATGAGATGAGAAGTCAGTCATTAATAAAAGGGAGTCATAGAAACTCAGTATTACATCACTATTTCCTGAGATATCATATCAGACAACCTCTGTAGTAACCCACTGGTGAATTGTGATATGATATTGTTGATGAGACACTAATCAAGTGCTTAAATTTACTATGGAGAAAAATAGAGAAAATAATGTGTTTAGGGTCTAGGCCATTTTGGCAAAAGTTCTTTGACCATTCATCATTTCTGATCTTACATCCCACAACGAAAATTTCCCTCTGTATCATTGCCCCCATCTTCTTTGCTGAAGGCTCAGTATCTAGCCAGCTTTCTATCTCAGTTAAGCTTTACCCTTCTATTAGCAAATTTTGGAGCCCCTTTCTGCCTCTAGAGGTTGGTTAATATCTACTAGTTCCAGGGGAGAAGATTGATGTTGCCCACCTGTCTCATTCCAGTGGTATTGAGTGGAAGTAGTTGTCTGAGTAGCAACTAGGAATATAAATTGTTTTTCAGCACTGCATTCATAATGCCAGTTTTTCAAATTAAATTTTTATAAAAAAAATCAATGTAGCTTTAATTTATATTTCCTAAATACATTAAAAATAAGGTATGGGTAGGTAATGGATTCAGGCCATGGGTAGTTCTGGTTTGTGAAATCATTCAGGGTCATACTGAATAAGAAAATTTTGTTTATGTGGTGGGATCTTAGAAGGTCTCCTAATTCAATATGTCAACAGCCTACCTAGTTTGCAATCATAGTTACCACTTAGTTTATTCTAAAACCTCTTTTGATAAGAAAGCCTTTCTCACTGGATATGCAAATATCTTATTATAAATGAACATTTATTTTAGGACACAGGAATAGGACTAGATACAAAGTTGAGTAGTGAGGAAAATGACTAAGGGAAGGGTATTGAGTGTAAAGATGAGGTATATTGGGTGTACAGTTTTTGCTTAATACATATTTTTTTTCCAAAAACTGTCCCCTTGACATATCTTGGCAAGATAAATGCAATGTGGTAATCAAATCAGGTGCTGGGCTCCGAGGCCCCAGATGGAGGGTCATGAGTCAGTCATCATTCCTTGGTCACTCCTGATGGCAACAAGCAATGAAAACCCATCTTCAAACCTCTACAGAGGCACCAGCTGTTCCCTTTACCCCTTCTAGTGTGAAGGAGCCACATCAGCCAAGTATGATAATCTCCTCCTGCTGCTCTGTCATTCTCTTCAGTTGGGATGATCATGAAGGAAAAAGGAAAATCATCTGGGCCCTTGGATCAGCCAGAGCAGATCCCTGGATTTGAGAATCATAAGTTCACAATTTTGAAGTGAGGGATTATTCTGTAGAACCTCCAGTGTGTCAGAAGAAGGGAAAAGGTCTTATAGGAGAAAGAATGAGAGAGGCTAATGTGAGTGCGACTGGCAGCAACTCTTACATTGGAGGCTCAGTGGCCTCCAGCATTTCCCTTGCTCTTGCCTTAAGAGCTATACCTATCCATTGGGAGAGAATGATCCCTATTATCTCCCACTGAGAATTTCATGAAAGCCACAGTAGGGAGGAAGAAGAAGCTGTACAAGAGTTTGTCTACAACTGAAAGGAACATGGACGGACTTCAGCAATGACAACACTGCGACCTGATTCCTTCTCCTAGTATGACAATTAGGATAGGGTGTAGGCCTTTATGTATGGCATAGGGTAAAAGTGTGATGCTATCTCAGAAAGACTAATCACCACATAATAATAAACAACAACATTTACTTAAGCCGAAACAATATTTTAGGCATGGTATGAATTCTTATGTGGTAAAGGGCATGGGAAGAGCTGATGAGGAAATTAAAGATGTGTCATTGGCTTTAAGCTGTTTGTAGCCTAACTGAGAATTTGAAACCTATATAAAGGAAATAGTTTAGGGACTAACACCAATAAAAATATTGAAAAAAGTAACACTGTTAACACCTTAAATAATGGCCACAAAACAATGGTTTATTTATTTATTTATTTATTTTTTTGGCATTTCCCAAAGCAGCAAAGATTGCAAGAAGGCAGAAAGGGAGTGAAAAGGATATAAGAATGAATGTGAAGAAAGGCAAATTTAAATTCCCCTCTATTCCTTTTTTGAATTGAAAAGTAAACCATTAAGAGGAAACTTTCTCTCACTTTATAGCGCTTAGATTTCCCTCCTACTTCTTTGGTTATCAAAAATTCACAGATCTACAGCAAGTCCTGTCTTTTCTGTGAAGCCTGAGTTCATCATTCTCGCTCACAGATGTTTTCCTTTTCTTAAGTTTTTTTTTTTTTTTTTTTTTTTTCATTTACCTTTTTTCCTATTCTGACTTGGTCCGCAGTTTCTAACGGTGGGTGTCAAGCCTCTTAGGGGAGGTATCTGAAGGAGTTTGTCCTTGATGAGAGAGGATCTTCAAGCTAAAAGAGCCATAGATGAAGCCTTGAGGGTTGATAACTTTGTGAAGACAAGACCAGGATGGGAGACAATTGTTTCTTCCAAAGAGTTGATAGACTGTCACAGAAAGAAGTAAGTAGGTTTCTCCTCCACTGTTCCAGAGCACAGAACTAGGGCTAATAAGTAGAAAGTATTAAAAACAAATTAAAGATTCGAAAATAGAACATAGAATAGTGACCTTCACTTCATCTACAATATTCAAGACAAACAATTTGTCATCAGTTAGAAACATTCGTGTAGGGAATCCTTAAACTGGTCTCTAGGTTGGAATAGATTAGATTATTTCAATGATTCCTTCTAAATTTAAGACTGTAGGCTGGGTGTGGTGGCTCATGCCTGTAATCCCAGCACTTTGGGAGGCCGAGGCAAGGGGATCACCTGAGGTCAGGAGTTCAAGATCAGCCTGGCCAACATGGTGAAACCGCATCTCTACAAAAATACAAAAATTAGCCAGGCGTGGTGGTGGGTGCCTACAATCCCAGCTACTCATGAGGCTGAGGCAGGAGAATTGCTTGAACCCATGAGGCGGAGGCTGCAGTGAGCCGAGATTGTGCCATTGCACTCCAGCCTGGGTAACAGAGTGAGACTCCCTCTCGAAAAAAAAAAAAAAGACCCTATTATGTCAAAACTATAGCATGAATTATATATACTTTATATATGGCCTGTATTTATGCTGAAAAATTCAAATATTGGTAAGAGCAGAGAAAATCACAGGTAAATGACTCATTCAGGCTTCAACTCCCTTATATTTTGTATAAATCTTTCCAGAAATTTATTTATATGTAAATTTCCTAAAAATAAATATTTCACATATTATTATCCAGTCTGTTTTTCCATTTCATTATTAGTACATCATGAGCATCTTCCTTTGCCAAAAGATGTAGATCCAAGTCATTTTTATAGTTATGTATTAATCAATTTCCTATTATTGAACATTAAGATTATCTCTAATTGTTTGCTATTGTAAATAATGGCACAGTGCAAATCCTTATACACATGTCCTTTAAAATTTGTCAAATCATTTCTTTAATAATTATTAAATTCTTATTTAATTTAGTAAACCAACTTTATGTAAACTCTTAATACTTTTAAGATATAAAGAGAAATTGCCTTCCAAAAAAGTGGAATAAATTCTTTCAGTGGCTGTATGCGAGAGAGCCTGTTTATCTAAACTCCTGCCAAAAGTGAACAGTATCTGTTTTAGATCTTTGCCAATTTGACAGGTGAAAAATTATATCTTGTTTTAATTTGTTTTTCCTTCATGACTAGTAAAATTGAATGTTTTTTCATGCATTTAAAAGTCATTTATAATTATTCTTCTTTGGATTGCCTATTTATATTCTTTGCTGATTTTTCTCCTGGAGCATTCTTATTGATTTATGACAACTGTTTGTATATTAATGATATTAGTCTTTTTTATTTATGTTGCTCTTACTAGTTTCCATTTTGTTACTTGTCTTTAACTTATATCATGCTTAAAAAAAAAGTTTTACATTTTTATTTAGTTGAATGTCTCAGTATCTTTTTTTAAAACTTCTGGTTTCACACCATGTTTTGAAAGTTCTTTTCACATGAAGGTGTGAATATTAATTTTTAAAGGCTTTTTAAAAATATAATTTACTTTATTCTTTACCCTAGAATGTCTCATGCAGTTCTGGGCTTAATGTTCATTGATTGATTGAGAATCGAGTCACTGGTAAAAATATGCATATAGTTTAGGCAGAAAAATAGAGTCCTTCCTTTTGCTTTTTCTGATCAGAGCCCTTCTTATATATTTCCTTTGTATTTACCTTCTAAAATATGGTTTTAGATAGACTTATGAAATAAACCTCACTAAGAAATTTTACATTGTTTGAAAAAGAGGGCTGAATATAGAGTAGTTTTATTATTACAAGATGGATTTTTTCATCTGTGTGTGTGTGTGCATACTTGCTTAGGCACATAACAGATATACACATTCACACACAACTGAAACTTATCTATACTTGTTCTCTTAATGTTACTTCTAAAATCTTTGGATTTCTAAAAACATTGCAAGTTCATTTGTGGTAATCACATTCATTTATTCCTCTATAATTTGTAGGCTTTATAAGTATGCTCTGATAGTTATTTTGATTATTTAATAAATCTTTATCATTGTAATTGTCAATGGCAAAGTAATTTATTAAGCATTTTCTCTTTGTAAGTCACTATGGAAGGCATTATGGAGATAAAAACTAAAAAAGAAATGTAACTGTCTGGAAGCAGAAGTAAAACACATTGAAAAGGGAAGTGGCTAGAGGTTATGAAGCTCCTACAATCATCAGAGAAAGAGGTGACAGGGACCTGAACCATGCCAATGGCCATGGCCATGGGAAAGAGGAGAAAGTATAAACATGAGCTATGTTGCAGATAGAACACCATCAGTATCATTAAAAAGTCAGTTTCAAGGCATAAGGAGTCAGGCCCATATGTCAGGGAAAGAAAAATCATGCTATCAACAAATAGTAAGGATCATGAAAGGAAAGGTATAGTGAAAGATGAGTGTGATTTTTGACACATTCAGTCAAATGAAAACAATGTACATTTGGGAAGAGGATAATACGTGTGTGTTGGCCTGACTGTGAGTCTGGCTTTTGCCACTTAGCATCACACAAGAAGAACCAAATTTCCTATAGTCCTAGAAATGTATACAATAGTTAAAAAATTATTTGCAAGAGAAAGAATAGGAATTTGCTAAGAGGGAAGAAGGAAAAATCACTTTCAGATTAAACATGTAGTATGTGTAAAGAGAGGATAAATGAAATAATATGGCTATTCATAGAGCTACAACCAGGTCAGTATTTATGAAATGGGAAGTGGGACTAAGAGCATTGTGAGGAATGAGACTTGATTCTCTGTCTTCTCTGCAAGAAACTGGAGGTTATGCATCTGAGATGACAAAGATGCAATCAGCTGAACCTTGAGTTATCAATTGGCAGAAAGCTTCCAAATCTACACTACTAACATTTAGAACGTTTGTTTCAGCAGCTAGAGTTAAGTACCAAACATGGTACCTACCTCATAATTATTTTAATTTTAAAAGCAGTAACACATGCTAAGGGTTCATTATAATATCTAGCACCAGTACATAATTTCAATAACCCTGTAACAATTACCACTAACAACTGTATTTTATATATATACGTAATATGATTGTAATTTACTCTTTCTTGAACAATTGAGAAATGGAAAAGTAAATAGAATCCAATGTTCATTATTCACTTTCTCCCCACAATCTGAATTAGGAATTCCTCAACTACCTTACCTTACCAGGAATCTTGCTTATAATACTCAACATCATGAATTACACTTATTTATTGGTTCATACAGTTTTTACACCAATTAAACTATATGCTTTGAGGTTGGATACTGCATTTTATATATCATTACTTCTCTAGAGTCATCCAGCATAAAGTGTGGTAGAAAAGAGCAGGCAATAAATATTAATTAGATTAATAAAAGATATAAGTTGGTAAACTTGGAAGAAAGCATAGAGATTATAGACTCAACTCTTTATTTTTTTTAAGATGAAAAAACTGGCTCCAGAGATGTTAAATAATTTTCTCAGTATCATGCAGCTGGTTAGTGGAATGGCTTAGAATCACATTCAGTTTTCCTGAAATACTGTTTCCACTATATTGTACACTTCTTCCATTAAGTTGGACAACAAAGAATGCTTCCATAAAATAACTGGTGGGATTTTGATTACTCTGAAGGTTTCTGTGGGCTACTGAGTCTTCTCTGTAATAACTGCTAAAGTTAATAAGTTCCCAGGAAGATGAAGGGGCAGCTTACAGGAAACCACAGACAGGAATTCAGCATGGAACTTTTCTTGAAGCTCAGCAGCCTTATATACGCACCTGCAAAGGGGCATCAAAGAGACACTTATAAAACCACAATAAGATTCTTGCTTTTCTCCATTTTTTGAGAGTGTTAGCTTCTGCTGCCTGCAGCTATGAAGAATGAAATAGCTTCCAGGAGACATTGCTTGGGCTAATGAAACTTTAGAACCCAAAACCAAAATTTGCCACAGAGGGAGGGACTTGAGATAGTTTTGTCAGTGCACAGATGTGGCAGGAGTGTTCAAAGGAAGGAAACAAAATTAAGAAACAACAGCCCTCTCCCTTTACCACCAAGCACCACTGATTTCAAATTTACTGAGTGAGAGAGCAATTTAAGAAACATCTGGCACATTGGAGAGATACAAGAGAGCCAGAACAACAGAGGAGTGAATCTGAGGATCCACCTGGTGGGGCCTACATATAAGTAGGTCATGATGCTTTCATGTCCAAATAGACACAGCCTCCAAGGCAGATGCAGACATGCACTCCTAAGGCGTCTTAATCTCAAAGCCAGAATCCTAGAGGTGGAAGTGGGAAATCTGTCCCTTCTCCTTCATTCACAGGGACACATATACATATACACTGACCAAGGGTACAAGGGAAAGAGAAAGAGGATAAGGAAGCAAGCTGATTCCATTATGTTAAAGACAGGAAGGACCTTATTTTTAAGTGAATTGTGATCCAAATAAAAATGATATTTTGAAACGAAAGAGGAGAGGGGTGAGATTTACATGGCATTAATGCATTGTTAATTTTGTCTTTTCAGATACCCAAGTGTCAAAATGTGCCTTGTGTTTTTTTGTTGCCAAATTCTGTATCTCGTTGTTTAATAACTGGAGCGAAGGATAGATGTGTGGGAGTGACGTCTTTGAAGGAAATACACCTATGTTAGTGGTTTAGGCTCCAGGAAGATGGGATAAGAGTAGCTTCAGCTTTAAGCAATTACATGGAAATACTTTGTTTCATAAGAAAATCAAGTGTGAACTATCACCTTGTCGTATCTATCATAATGGCTTGGTGTGTAGGTCAACTCTTATAGTAAATATAAGACTGTCTTGGAATTCCTAAATACTATATAGATACTAAGCATAATGCTGAACTCAGAATATCTAAATTTTAAGCTCAGATGATCTAAATTATCATTGTCATTTCAACTCCCTATTCTTATTCTCCCCTTCCTATTCTATCATCCAAGTAACTAATCATTGAATTAGACTTATAATCTAAAACAAAGGAGGTGCAGTTTTGCTTGGGTCTGTGCTACTCCAACCATATCTAAATAATTAAGTCCAGTTCTTAATGGCGTCATTTTAAAGTACATTGCTACCACTAGCAACGTGAATGGTAGAAAATATAACTGTTCAGTCAGAATAAGAAAAGACTATCTTTGGTTACTTAAATGACTTCTATAAAAGAGAATGTCAGGTGAAAAATAAACAATGTTTAAGAGAGAGTCCAGCAGTGGACTGGGTCTGACTGAAATGACTTTAAAGGATGTTTCTTTCTCCAGTCTTGACTTTCTATTTGGTTTCTGCAATTTTGAAATTCTACCTCTTGTTTGCAGTGAAGATGTCTATACAGAGGACCTTAATTGAGAAGTTTAACCTTATGATAGATCAGAATTCCAGTTCTTGGAGAAGACCACTTTATGAGTGAAGTGGGAAGACTGATAAATGTAGAGATGTGGGTGTCAGTGCACAACAATAAAATGGAGCTTGGGTGGGTCAATAAGGTCTATATCTAAAGTAGTGGATCTTAGTCATGAAAACAGTTACCCTGACAGCATCTGGGTTATTTTAGTGACATTCAGAGGAGTAGTACTGCCAGTAGTGGTATCAATAGTAGTAATAGTGGAGAGGACAAGCCAATGAAAAGAAGCTCATGATCTCAGATGCACATCCTGTCTGCATTATTCCCACTTCTGTTTTAAATCTAGGTTAATGCTCTGAAAACAGAGACACCCTTTTGAGCTTCAGATTCCATGGAGGTATGTGACCCTACCTAGATCTGGCATGCTTTCTAGACAGCCAGATTCTTTTGTTTCTCAAAAGACGAATCATGTGTCTATGTTTTAGTATGTCTATGTCCTACTATAGCTATGTAGGACATAGGCAAATTGAAATAGACTAAAGTCTATTTAAAACTACAGTACCCGGGCCGGGCGCGGTGGCTCACGCCTGTAATCCCAGCACTTTGGGAGGCCGAGGCGGGCGGATCACGAGGTCAGGAGATTGAGACCATCCTGGCTAAAATGGTGAAACCCCGTCTCTACTAAAAATACAAGAAATTAGCCGGGCGTAGTGGCGGGCGCCTGTAGTCCCAGCTACTTGGGAGGCTGAGGCAGGAGAATGGCGTGAACCCGGGAGGCGGAGCTTGCAGTGAGCCGAGATCCCGCCACTGCACTCCAGCCTGGACGACAGAGCGAGACTCCGTCTCAAAAAAAAAAAAAAAAAAAACAAAACTACAGTACCCTGGTGTAGAATTTACCACCACCAGTGGAGGTTTGAATGCCTAGGGATTCCAAAATCTGAGGCCTTCATGGACAGAATTATTTTGGAAATTGTTTTTGGCCCTGGCTTGGCTCTGTTTGTGTTTGTATGTGTGTATATTATGATTATGTTAATTCTCAGATTTCTGTCTGATGCTCCCTGTGTCTATCTGGATCTTCTGCTACTTAAAAACTTCACTCATTGTTTTGTTCTGTTTTATTATTTCCGTCAGTTCTTGGCTGTGCTGACCTGCAACTCTGAATCTTGTTCATTTTTAGATTTATGACATACACTGTTCAATGGCCATTGACACTCACCGTTTTCTCTCTGGTAAAGATTATTCTTTGTTGTATTTCAATGAGAGAAGAGACAGTGAGAAAGTCAGGACCTAGGATCTCAAGTCCCTAACTCTCAATTTTATCCAGTCACATAGCATGGCAAGAAGCAGATTTAAGAGAGAAAATGTTGAAGAGGAATAGGGAACACATCCATGGCTTATGTCTATACAGCTTTGGTACCAGACCTCACAACTGGGCTGGGCTGTGTCTGAGGGCTCAGTAGCAATGACTAAATACAGCCATCCTGGTTCCCTTCCCTGAACCTTGATGATTTAATATTCTGACAATGAGAAGCAGCAGCAAACACAAAACAGAGGAAAGCTCATCCAGGCATGTGTTTCTTCTCAAAGTATCAGCAGCTGGTTTAGATCTCCATTACCTGCCATTTTTTCATCAGTTCTCTTCCTGGTCTGGTTAGATTGCAAGTGTCAGGACTCCTCACTAGTGGAACGCATCTCAGGCTAGATTCATATTAACCCTCAATATATTTCTGAGAAACAGATTTTCAGAAAGATGACCAAAAAGCAGGTTCCATAGAAGAAACGATACCTAATAACACAAGAGTTTTTAACCTTCATGATATCATAAACTCTGGGGCCTGGCTGGCACCTAGATGGAAAAGTACAACTGGCCTTAAACCATGCCAGTGTTCCTCCTTCCCAGAGCTTAGCCTGGAATGAAATCTTGAACTACTGTTAGTGAGTGGCTTGTATTGGTTCTACTAACTAAGGCCAGATTCATATAACTACGTAGTTTAAAGATGCTGTCCACTGAAGATTTTGTGCCATATTAGTCATGTTCTGTTTTATTTTGCTGGTCACATATTGTGAACATGTTTGAGTATGACCAGAGAGCAAGGGATATTTCAGAGGGGAGAGAGTGTCAAAAAAGAGTCAATATCTAAATACATGTTTTTGCTATCTGTAAAAACAATTTCTTTCGGAAAAAGAAGCAAATAACTAAACCCCAGAATGTGCAAGTGGGTGATTCATATATTCCATAGAGTGAAAACGTTAAATTCTGAAAGCCTTTAGGCTGTGATTTTCTTGTCTTTCCTTGTAACTTAAAATAGATGGAGGAAAAAGACAGCAGAGAGAAGGAGGGGGAGTTAAATGAATCAAGAGGGGGACTGTCAAAGCTGCTATAAAGTCTGCAGGAAGGCAATAGCAGTAAGGAAAAGTAAAAAGGCTACAGTCATAAAGATGATGGCATTTGTGAAGCAGCGGAAAGAAATGTCAGGAGGGGTGCTCTCTAAATCTGAATAATATAGGACTTAGACATTTCACATTCTAAATTATTTTATCAGTTCAACCAATCCAGCTTCTACTACATTTTGCATGTGCAAATAATTGGGTGCTTCAATAAAAAGCCTTAGGTAATTCATTTATTCTATTACATGATATTACCATCAAGTATTATTATCACTATTTTAGATTGGGCTAGGTATGTTTCATAAGATTAGCTTTTAAGTTTATCAAAATTTGGTAATCCTCTAAGACAGTGATTTTCTAACCTGGCTGTGCTTTTGGATTGCTTGCATTTTTTAAAAATATGAATTCTCAGGGGATACCCAAAATCTGCATTTAAAATTCAGAATATCGGAGTGATACATCTGGGAACTGGTGACATGATCTGCCACCTTTGGGAGCCATGATTCTAAAACAATGTAAAGAAATAAATCTATTAGTCAATATTTTGTCAATGCTATAAAAAGAGAAAATACATATTAAAATATTTACAACTTCAATATTTAAGGATTTAAACAAATGAGCATACAAAAGAATAATTATTTTGCTTTCCATATGTGCCCGATGATAAGGTATGTAAATTGTGATGAGGTCAGTTTTGGTTAACATAGGTGTCCAATAAATACCTATTGGAAAAAAGACAGTTATGAATATATTAAAAGAGGATAAAAATAGGACTTATAAGTTAAAATGAAAAGGAATAAGCAGCATCACTAGACTAGAAATCAGAAGAAGTGTTCTCAATGTCATCTCTAAACTAGAAACTTGCTCAGCTGCTTCTTCTGTAAAATAAGTCAACTGGTTTAAAAAACCTCTAAGTCTCTTCAACTTCTAACATTCTATAATTCCATGATTCTAGAGACCATTGTATTTTAGAGGCAATATGTAATGAAATAATACATTCATTTGATATCTGAATATATTTTAATATATTTTAAATTACCTCTTGGCTTTTATCAATAATCAGCATTACCTTACTTCAGTGATAAAAATGCCATTTCTTTACACTCCATCCAAGCTTTGAAGCAAAAGCCTCCGGGAGAGGTGAGCGTGTTTTTCAGTTATAGGTGATTAATGGCCAAGCTCGGTGGCTCATGCCTATAATCCCAGCACTTTGGGAGGCCAAGGTGGTGGGTGGATCACTTGAGGTCAGGAGTCTGATACCAGCCTGGCCAAAATGGCAAAATCCCGTTTCTACTAATAATACAAAAATTAGCCGGGCCTGGTGGTGTGAGTCTGTAGTCCCAGCTACTCAGGAGCCTGATGCATGAGAATTGCTTGAGCCTGGAAGGCAGAGGTTGTAGTGAGCTGAGATCACGCCACTGCACTCCAGCTTGGGCAATAGAGCACGACCGCGTCTCAAAAAAAAAGTCCTTAATGATTCTGCTGCCCGTCTTCAATTTTCTGGGTTTTCATGTTTTTTTTTACTTATTATTTCATTCACACACTGATTCAACAATGTTGAGTGAATACCTAAAAGGTGCCACAGTTGTACTAGGTACTAAAGAGATAAGGGAAAGTAAAATCAAGGGTAGTCTTCATTCCCTCAGAGCTTTATGGGCTAGTAGATAAAGAGATGTTAATCACATACTTTTACAATCCGTATTAAATTTCCAGCCATTCTGAAGGAGGAAGGGCATTTAACCTATGAATTAAGAGTCAGCTGTGTTTTCAGATGGGTAGAACTGGACTAGGTCAAGAGAGATAAGAAAACTCGAGGGAGAGGATCACTTATGTGAGAAAGTCCAGTGGTTGAAAGCAACATGGAAAGTATGAAGGATTTTTAAAAAAGGCTGAGAAGACGAAGGACGGGGAGCAAGACGGAGATGTTTTACAATTAGGTGTGAGTAGTTGTTAAAGGAAGGACCATGTAGAGCCCTGAAGACCTTGTGAGATAGTCATCTGTGCTGTTGGCTAAATATTTGCTGCATTCCTTTTGAGCATAGGCTAGGATCATACCTCCCTGCCCTTTTGGAGTTAGGTGAGGCCCTTTGACCTCCTGTGATGTGAGGCATTCTAACAGGTGTGTAGTGGTATGACACTGTGGTTTCCATTTGTGTTCCTCTAATGAGTAATGATGTTGAACATTTTTCACGGTTTTTTTTTTCCATCCACCTAATATATTTTTTGGTCGGGTCTATTTAAATATTTTGTCTATTTTTTAATTGAGATTTTTGCTTTATACATTAAATTATGGAAACTATATATTATGGGTACAAGTCCTTTATAAGATATATGTTTTGCAAACTTTCTTTCCTAATCTGTGGCATGTCTTTTCATTTTCTAAACAGTGTTTTTTTGACAATCCAAAGTTATTAATTTCATTTTGTTTACTTTTTTCAGTCGGCTTATTTATTTATTTATTTATTTGAGACAGAGTTTCACTCTTGTTGCCCAGGCTGGAGTGCAACGGTGCTATCTTAGCTCACTGCAACCTCCGCCTCCTGGGTTCAAGTGATTCTCTTTCCTCAGCCTCCCGAGTAGCTGGGATTACAGGTACCTACCACCATGCCTGGCTAATTTTTGTATTTTTGGTAGAGACGGGGCTTCGCCATGTTGACCAGGCTGGTCTTGAACTCCTGACCTCAGGTGATCTGCCCACCTCAGCCTCTGAAAGTGCTGGGATTACAGGCTTGAGCCACCGTGCCTGGCCAGTCGGCTCATTTAATAGTAGAAAAAATTTCATTCACATAACAAGAGATTGAATAGTTTGCTTTTTGATATCCTTATGCTTTTGAAAAATCTGTATGATTATCTATTTGCAAAATATTTAATTTCAAACTATCTCATAAATTAACATACTGTATTAGTATTAAACTGGATTTTATTAATATTCAGATTAATCAGGCCACATATCAATAAGGAATATTATTCAACTATATTATGCTAGTTTGTTAGTAAAATAGAAGTATAAGCTCTCTTCATCTAACTTATTATGGGATGTTTATTCATGATTTTAGTTTGGACCTTTACATATCACAGAACCATGGGTTTTTCCCTAAATCTAGGTTAGTATTGATCTTCCTGAAATGATCTTAAACACACATCAAAATAATTTTGATGAAGTCTAGTTTATCAAACTATTAGTAAATATCCCATTTATAATACAAATAAAACAATAAAATATCCAGGTATGTATATTTAGTAAGAAATGTATACTATCTGTATGAGGAAATATTTAAATATCTTGAAAAGAGACAAAAATAGACCTGAACAAATAGATGCTCCATGTTGAATAATAGATTATTTTTTGGATGCTAGCCCTGTTGATTCTGACGTTTATAGGAAAAGCAAGTAGGCAAGGCCAGCCAGCAACATTTTGAATAGGTGCAGTGATAATATTGATACTCATTTTAAGTTAAAAATATACGTTATCAATATCTCTATTTAAAACACTTTGGTATCAGGATAAGAAAAACTAAATCCATTCATGGAATAGAACAGAAGACTAAAAAAATGAACTTATGGATATATGGAAATTTGGTATATAATAAAGGTGACATTTCAAATACTATGGAAGAAATAGAGCTTTTGATAAACAGTTTAAAAAATATTCGATGGCCATAACATTTTATTACTTACTTTGCACCCATACACAAATAAATTTTAAATAGATCTTAGATAAAAATATAAAAAGTAAGAACATACAAGTGTGTATTAGTCTGTTCTCACACTGCTAATAAAGACATACCCAAGACTGGGTAATTTATAAAGGAAAGAGGTTTAATGGGCTCACAGTTCCACATGGCTGGGGAGGTGTCCCACAATCATGTGGGAAGGCAAAACAGAAGCAAAGGCATGTCTTACATGGCAGCAGGCAAAAACCTTGTGCAAGGGAACTCCCATTTATAAAACCATCAGATCTCATGAGACTTATTCACTGTAATGAGAACAGTATGGGGAAAACCACCCCCATGATTCACTTGATTCAGTTATCTCCACCTGGCCCCGTTCTTGACACATGGGGATTATTACAATTCAAGATGAGATTTGAGTGGGGACCCAGAGCTGATCCATATCAAGTGCAATATAAAAATGGAATTATTTTATAATCTCCAATTGTGGAAAGTTTTTTTCTCACAATGACTCGAAACCCAGAAGCAATAAAGGAAAAATCTTAATACAAAAAGTAATGAGAAAAAACTGCCATGAGCATAGTCAAAACACAAATAACAAATCAAAAAATAATTCTAAATTATATTAAAGAATATCTACTGAAATGTAAAATGTTCTTAAAAAATAGAGATGACAAAACCTGAAAATGTAGCAGAAAAAAGAAACAGGAAAAAGATTTAAACATGGAGTTAATGGGGGTAGGGTGAGTGTGTGTGGGAAGTGGCTCTTAGATATATTAAAAAAGAAATGCAGAAAACTACTTGGAAATACTACTTTTCATCTATTAAATTAGCAAAACCCCTATTATCCACCTGTATTAGTCTGTTTTCATGCTGCTGCTAAAGACATACCAGAGACTGGGCAATTTACAAAACAGAGAGGTTTAATTGGACTCACAGTTTCACGTTGCTGGGGAGGCCTCACAATCATGGCAGAAGGCAAGGAGGAACAAGTCACATCTTATGTGTTTGGTGGCGGGCAAAAAGAGAGAGCTTGTGCAGGAAAACTCCCATTTTTAAAGCCATCAGATCTCATGAGACTCATTCACTATCATAACAGCACGAGAAAGATCCACCCCTATGATTTGATTATCTCCCACCTGAAACCTCCCACAACACATGGGAATTATGGGAGCTGCAAGATGAGATTTGGGTGGGGACACAGAGCCAAACCATATCACCACCCTCCAGCCCATTCTCCACTCCCCAGACAATAAAATGTGTTGGCAAAACTGTTATGAAATGGGCATTGTCACACATTGCTGGATGAAATGAAAAACAGTACAAATGTTATGGAGGAAAATTTCATAACATAAAACAAAATTACACATGCACTTTGCTTTTTAATCAGAAATCTAATTCTTAGGAATCTTTCCTAAAGATATATCTCAATGCATATGAAGAACAAAGACACAAATTTATTCTCTGTCCAGAAGTAGGGAGTGTTTAAATGGATTTTCTGATACTGCTGCAAAATAGAGTACCATGAGGACTTAAGACATAAAGAAGATTACCTATATGTGCTTATTTGGAGTCATCTTCAGTATGAATTATCAAAAGGAACAAATCAAGGCTTAGAAGAGTATTCACGTAATGCTTTCATTCCTGTAAGCCACAGGTTCTCAACTTGGGGTGATTTTGACCCTCAAGACATATTTGGCAATGTCTGGAGATATTTCTAGTTTTTATAACTGGGAAGGTCCTACTGGTATCCAGTGGGAAGAGGCCAGTGATACTCAGAACAACCCCTACAACAAAGAATTAGCAATGAAAACATCTAGCAATCAGATCTCAGTTTCCTCATTAAAAGGAATCATGGATCTTTGGAGAAATGGCTGGTACTCTATCTAAGATAGGGAATATGTAAATTGAGTTTGGAGCATCTTCTTGTGCCAGAAAGCAACGATGCATCCAGAGTCTAAGGTAGGAATATCAAGAGAAATAAGATGCCAGTTTGCAGAGGCTTTCATTGACCAATATGGGCAAATTTGAATGTAAAAAGTTGCATACAAAAAAAAATACCTATAATTGATTGTAAAGACAAAAGAGAGAGAAAGAGTTTTCTCTGCTGCCTCTTATTAGGGCACTAATCCCATCATGACAGCTGCATCCTCATGATCTCACTTAACCCTAATTATCTCCCAAAGGCCCCATTTCCAAATACTATCACACTGCTGGCTAGGAGTTCAACATATACATCTTTGCGGGAAACACAAAAAATCAATATATAACAGTTGATAAAGGATTTTTGTTTTGTAGAAGAGTACCAGTTAACATAGTTGAAGAAACAATAGATTTAGAAAATCAACGTTCAGCAAACTTTAAAGAAATAACTGATTTAGGCAAGAATCACCAATGGATGCTAAAATGATTAGGTGGAAGTTTGTGGGAAACAGAAAATTTCCAAACTGCTAGAGCCCCACTCTACCATTTATTTATAAGTTGCAAAAGAAAATGATACCTTTAGGGTCAAGAGATCTGGTGGTTTTCTCTTAACCAAATAATCAAACTTAGTATTGCTAATAATTGGCAATTTGATATGTGCATTCTGATGTGGTAACGTGTTGTACATAGCATCACCTCTAGAGGTTTTTTTTTGACAAAAATGTTTAATCTGAATTTTACAAAGCCTTTAGACCTAAATTCAGTTTTAAAGAGATACAGATTATATAATAACAGGTTAGCAATATAATGAGGAAACAATCAGGTAACTCTAAAATGTGGAACTGTTTATATAACAACTGACTTATTTTGATAAGGAAAAAGAGATTGGTTTAGAAAGAAAAAAGTCATAATCACACCTTGGAGACAATTAGGGAAATTTGAATATCAATTAGATACACACATGTGGAAATGTAGATAAAGCAAATGTGGCAAAATGTTAAAATTATCTCACTTTTAAGATGATTATTTTGAATTTTCCATATATTTGAAAATTTTATAATAAAAATAGAATAAATACCAGAAAGTTGATAGAATAATAAAGGGAACAAACTCCTGGTTAAGACAGAGTGGTATACACATGCATTATCTCCCTACAACCCAGCTCCCAACACATGAGAATTGTGTGTGTGTGTGTAAGATACATGATGATAAAATGTGTGTTCCAGTTAGAAAACTCTAAATAGTAAGAGCAAAATCTAGTACCAAGAAGAAAGTGGAGGAAAATATAGGCAGAGTGGTTTAGGACTTTTAAAACCATGTGTAAATCATGGCAGAGAACACAATCTGCATGTCAGAGTTAGGGGCTGGATTTAGTGCTAGTTAGTGAACTCTAGTTCAAATAAATTTTACAACCGTCTTGGGTATGGTCAGAGAAGCACCTCTTGCCAGTGGCCTAGGAAGAAAGAAATGCATCTAAACACAAACAAACAAGAGAGAAGTGACAAAACAAAAACAGAGTAACAAAAAAGAAATACCAAAAGCATGCAAAACAGCACTACCAGTTGAGGAGGAAAGGGCAAAATACAAATATAAAACCTGTTGTGGGCTGTACAGACAAGAGGACAAAGATAGTGGTACTAAATAAAAGTTACTGAACACATTATGAAAGATTCAACATACAGAACTCATATGGAAAGAAACATTAAAAATGATGTCATCCAAAAAAGTAGTTATTATCTTTGAAAACAAGAGAGAAATTTTCTTTAAAAAGGAATATATGAAAATGAAATGATTGCAGGCATCAGAAACTAATATCATATTTATTAAAATAAAATTTAGGAGAAATATTTAACAGAATGGTACAACTGGAAAGAATTAGTGAATTAAATAGAACTGAATAAAAATTGTTAAAAATTTTTAAGAGGCAGGGAGGAAGGATAGAATGAAAAGTTTCAATATACATCTTATAAGAGAGAAAGAAAGTGGGAATGGAGCAGAGGTGTAATAATGGGAGAGAGAAAATAATTGGATTTGAGTAAATATGTGAATGTTTAACAAAAAGTGCAAAATAAAGAGCAGGATATTTGTTCTTTCATGTTTTGGTAACAACACCCCACAGAACTTTCTGGGCCTGGCTGATGCCTCTTTCCAGAAAAAAAATATAAATTTGTGAGTCAATTATTCTAATTACTTTTGATTTATTCAAATATAGTTCTTTCCTTGATTTTCATAATAAAGTCCTATTTTCTATATGAAATCTTATTTTTCATGATTCTTCTTCCCAGTGGTTCACATTTTACTAATGTTTTAAATAACCAACTTTGGATTTTTTGATTACATTAGTTTTGTTTGTTTTTATTAACTTATGCTGTTGATTTTATTTCTTTTCTTATACTTTTAAGTTCCTGGGTATTTTTTTAATAGTTTCTGAGATTGAATGCTGTATTTATTTGGTACAATTTAGCAACAAATAACCTTACATCAAATATCATACTTATTGTTGAAAATTTAGAAGAGAAATAAAAACGTGTCTGCTATCACTCTATTATTTCACATTTAGAAGAGAACTCGACCAATATAATAGGATAAGACAAATAAATGGGATGTGTGAATATTGCAAAGAAGATAGGCTTTTCATTTAATTTCTTTCATTTTTTTTTGCTTTCTCTTTTTGTCTCAATTTTTGTATACAGCATAATTGTCTACATATATACCCACATACTGAATCAATAAGCTTAATAAAATAGATGATAAAAACAAATAGCAGCCAGGCACGGTGGCTCACGCCTGTAGTCCCAGCACTTTGGGAGGCCAAAGCAGGCGGATCACGAGGTCAGGAGTTCGAGACCAGCCTGACCAACATGGTGAAACCCCATCTCTACTAAAAGTACAAAAATTAGCTGGGTGTGGTGGCCTGCGCCCGTAATCCCAGCTACTCAGGAGTCTGAGGCAGAAGAATCGCTTGAACCCAGGAGGCGGAGGTTGCAGCGAGCCGAGATTGCACTGTTGCAATCCAGCCTGGGTGACAGAGCAAGACTCCGTGTAAAAAAAAAAAAAAAAAAAAAAAAAAAAAAATAGCACTTTTCTTTAATAGCAACAGTCAAAACCATTCACAAAGCAATCAGTTTCTTAAAAATTTAAATAAGGTCATCTGGAACTTCAAGAGAAAATGCAACTGTATGAAAATAGATGTTTAGTTGGGTAAATAGAGAAGCAGTCCATGTTCTTAGATGGCATGACAATATTATAAAGGTATAAATATTCTTCAATTATTTTACAAATTCAATTCAATACCAATAAAATCTCATTTGATATTTTGAGAAACTTAATAACTTAATTTTAGATTTTATATGGCAGAACTAAAACTCAGAAATACATGAGTAAACATTTGATAAGAAGCATAAAGCATAAAAATAGGGTTATATGTTCTCTCTGGTAATTTGATATATTACACTTCTCTGGAATTGAAAATAATGACAATGATGTAAGAATAAATGAACAGTCTAATGAAAGAGAAAAGAGCTCAGAGGCAGACCCATGTATACATAGGATCTTATTTTATTAAATTTTTACAATATATAGTACATGTATAGAGAAGTATATATAGACAGAGCTCACTTTTTGCATTAGCTTCACTGCCTTATCATTTAAAAATGTCATTGTCCCCCTTTGTGTTAAGGAAATTGTCACTGAACACAGAATTACAGTTAGGCAGTTATTTTCTTCCTGCACTTCAACAATGTAACTCAGTCATTATTGTTTCTGGCTTGAAGTTAGCTATAAGTTTTTACTGCTCCTTTTCAAGTACTCTGGGTGCTTTCAAAACTCTTTCTGTTTTTGGGTTTCAGCAATTTTCCTATGATGGGTCAAGTGTTATTCCCTTTATTATTCTTCTTGCGGTTTGTAGTACTTCTTGAGTTTGTGGTGTTGTATATTAATGAGTTTTGAGAAACTTCTTAGATGATGGATTTTCATTGTTGCTTATACCCCATTCTTTTTCTTCTTTTCTTCTTCCTTAATATAGTAATCACCCATTTATTAAATTATTTCATTTATATATATAAAAATATATAAAATGTAAGTACATATGTGTATATATATACCTGCATAAACATCACATATTAGATTTAATTTTATTTTTATTAATATATGTACATATTTCCAGGATACATGTGATAATTTAATACATTCACATAATTTATAAAGATCAAATCAGTGTAATTGAGATATCTATCATCTTAAATCTTTGCCCAGATCAAAGTTGTGGAGTATTTCCCCAATACTTTCTTCTAGTAGTTTAGTAGTTTCAGCTCTTAGGTTTAAGCCTTTAATCCATTTTGATTTAATTTGTACATATGTTCAAAGATAGGGATTTATTTTCTTCCTTCTGCATATCCAGTTTTCCCACCATCATCTATTGAAGAAACCGTTCTTTCTTCATTGTATGTTCTTGAAAGTTTCATTAAAAATGAGTTAGCTATAGCTGCATGGATTTATATCTGGGTTCTCTGTTCTGCTTCATTGGCCTATGTGTCTGTTTTTATGCCAGTTACCATGCTGAGCTGGTTACTAGAGCTTTGTAGTTTATCTTGAAGTCAGGTTGTGTGATGCCTCCAGGTTTCTTCTTTTATCTCAGGATTGCTTTGGCTATTTGGGCTCTTTTGTGGTTCTATATTATTTTTAAGATTGTTTTTTCTAATTCTGTAAAGAATATCATTGGTAGGTAATTTGATAGAGATTGCACTGAGTCTGTAAATTGGTTTGTGTAGTATTGCCATTTTGACAATATTAATTCTTCCACTCATGAACATAAGATATCTTTCCATTATTTTGGTCTTCTCTTCAATTCCTCTCATCATTGTCTTATAGCTTTCCTTGTATAAATCTTCCTCTTCATTAGGTAAATTGAATCTTAGGTCTTTTATAGTCTTTGTAGCTATTGTAAATGGGATTTTCTTTCTCAATTTCGTTTTCAGATTGTTTGCTGTTAGCACATATAAATGATGCTAATTTTTGCATTTTGTATCCTGCAACTTTATTGACTTTGTTTTTTGGTGGAGTTTTAGAGTTTTCTAAGTATAAGAACATACTGTCTGTGAACAAGGATAATTTGGCTTCTTCCTTTTCAATTTGAATGCCATTTATTTCTTTATCTTACCTAATTTCTATGGCCAAAACTTTCAGTATTATGTTGAATAAAAGTGGTGAAAGTGGGCATCCTTGACTTGTTCTAAATTTTTAGAGAAAAGGTTTTTAAGTTTTCCCCATTCAGTCCGATGTTTGCTATGAGTTTGTCATATTTGGCCTTTATTAATTTAAGATTATGTTCCTTCTATGTCCAGTTTAAGTGTTTTTTATCATACGGGGATATAGAATTTTATCAAATACTCTTTCAGCATCTATTGAAATGACCACATGGGCTTTGTTCTTGGTTCTGTTAATGTGTGTATCACATTGATTGTTTTGCATATGGTGAACCATGTTTTCATTCCAAGTGGAGAGTATCCAGTGGGATATTCCCACTTGCTTATAGTGATTTGGTTTTTTCACTGTGTTGCTGAATTTTGTTTGCTAGGATTTTATCAAGGACTTCTGCATCTATCTTTATTAGAGATGTTGTCTGTAGTTTTCTTTTTTTATTGTGTCTTTGTCTGGTTTTGGTATCAGGGAAATACTTGCTTTGTAGAAGGAGTTAAGAGGTATGGCCTTTTCTTTATTTTTCTGAAAAGTTTGAGTAGAATTGGTGTTAGTTTTTCTTTAGATGTCTGGTAGAATTCAGCAGTGAAGCTGTCAGGTCCTGGGCTTTCCTTTGATTGAAGAAATTTTACATTGTTCTGGTTTTCTATTTGTTTGTGGTTCAATCTTGGAAGATTGTATTTGTCTAGGAATGTATTTGTTTCTTCTAGGTTTCCGAATTTGTCAGTATATAGTTACTCATAGAGGTCTGTAATAAATTTTTTGTGTTTCTGAGGTTTCAGTTGTTATGTCACAATTTTTTTGTCTAATTTTCTGTATTTGGGTATTCTCTTTTCTTAGCCTTGCTAAAGGTTTGTCAATTTTATTTATCTTTTCAGAAAAACAAATGTTTATTTCTGCTGGCATGGTGGCTCATACCTGTAATGCCAGTACTTTGGGAGGCCAATGTGGGCAGATCACTTTAGGTCAGGAGTTTGAGGCTAGCCTGGTGAACATGGTGAAACCCCTCCTCTACTAAAAATACAAAACTTAGCTGGGTATGGTGGCAGGTACTTGTAATCCCAGCTACTTGGGAGGCTGAGGCAGGAAAATAGCTTGAACCTCGGAGTCAGAGGTTGCAGTGAGCTGAGATTGAACCACTGTACTGCAGCCTGGGTGATAGAGTGAGACTCTGTCTCAAAAAAAAATATTGCATTGATATACTGATTTTATTTTTGTCCTAATTCCCTTTATTTATGCTCTAATTCATTACTTATTTCCTTCTACTATTTTGGGTTTTGTTTGTTCTTGTTTTTCTAGTTTCTTGAGGTACATAATTAGTTTTTATATTTGAAGTCTATATGTTTTTTGTTATAGATACCTATTGCTATAAATTTATCTTTTAGTACTGCTTTTGTGGTATCCCACAGAGTTTGGTATGTTGTATTTCCATTTTATTTGTTTCAAGAAATTTTTGTTTCCCTCATAGTTTCTTCATTGACCAAATGATCATTCAAGAACATGTTGTTTAATTTTTATGTATTGAGTATTTTACAAGTTTTCTCTTGTTATTGATGTCTAGTTTTATTTCATTTTGTCAGAAATTATTTTTCATGTAATTTCAAGATCTTTGAATTTGTTGAGACTTGTTTTATGGCCTAATATATGGTTTATTCTGGAGAATGTTCCATGTGCTGATGAAAATAACAGGTATTCTCCTAAGGAATCATCAGTTAGGCCTATTTGGCTTCAGGTGTAGTTTAAGTTTGATGTTTCTTTGTTGATTTTTGTCTGGATGATATGTCCATCACTGAGAATGGGGTGTTGAAGTCCTCTACTATTTTTGTATTTCAGTTTATCTCTCCCTTGACATCTATTAATGTTTGCTTTATATGTTCTAGAGCTCCAGTGTTATGTGTGTATATGTTTAGAGTTATTATATCCTCTTGCTAAATTGATCCCTGTATCATTATTTAATGACTTTGCCTATTTTTACGTTTTTGGTCTAAAGTCTGTTTTATCTGATGTAAGTATAGCTATTCCTGTTCACTTTTGGTTTCCATTTGCATGAAATATCTTTTTTCATCTCTTTACTTTCAGTCTGTCTGGGTCTTTATAGGTTAAGTGGGTTTCTTGAAGGCAGCATATATTTGGCTCTTGTTCCTTTATTCGTTCAGCCATGCTATGCCTTTTAATTGGAAAATGGAGTTCATTTATATTTAGTGTTTTTATTGATAACTAAGGACTTGCTATTGCCATTTTGCTACTGGTGTTCTGATTGTTTCATAACTCCTCTTTCCTTTTCTTAGTGTATTTTTTTGTGATTGAGTGATTTTGTTTTGTGATTGTATGTTCTAAATTGTTGCTTTTCATTTTTGTTAATTATAAAATATAATAGTTATTATAATTATATGTTCTCATATTGTGGTTTCCATGAGGCTTACCAAAAACATTGTATAGGTATAACAAGTTATTATAAGGAGATGACAATGTATCTTAGATTGCAAAAAAGGAATAGAAACAAAGAAAAAAGCTTAGTACTTTAATTTCATCACCCCCACATTTTGACTTTATGTTTTCTCAAGTTAAAATATAAATTAATAAAAATATTGCCATCTTTCAATAGGTTGCTGGAGCTATTATTTTGGATAAAGTTGCCTTTTGAGGTTTATATTAAAGTTACCAGTGGATTGGACACTAGAATAATGTTATTAGTGTTATTAGAGTATTCTGGGTTTGTCTGTGTATTTAATTTTATCAGTGAATTTTATATCTTCAAATGTTTTCTTGTTGCATGTCAGTGTTTTGTTTTCTTTCATTTTCAGATTGAAGAATTCCCTTTAGCATTTCTTGTAAGATCATTCTGATGGCAGTGAATTCTCTCAGCTTTTGTTTATCTGGGAAAGACTATCTCTCTTATCTAAAGGATAGCATTACTGGATACAGTGTTGTTGCATGGCAATTTTTTTTTCTTTCAAGACTGTGAAATTATTGTCCCGCTTCCTCTTGACTTGTATGATTTCTATTGAGAAATCTGTTACCAGAATAATTGGAATAAAATAATTATTAGATGCATTGGGGTGGTCTTATTTGGGTTGAATTTGTTTGGTGTTCTCTGACTCCTGTACCTAGGTTTTTATCTCTTTCTCAAGTTTTGGAAAGTTTTCTGTCCTGGTCCCTTTATATGCCATGGATTAACTCACCAGTAAAAATACACATCAAGTCTCTGTTAATGGAGAATAGTGACTAGCACTGAAACTCCCACCCTCACTCCCAGGGGAAAATTTGCATTCACAAAATGGCCAACATTTTTACAAATGAGTCTGTTAAAACTCATGTATTTGAGTTTGTCAATCAGTATTGTTGATGGCTTTGAGCCATTCTTACAGAAGTTTTCAACTCTGACATTAGTATGAAAAAAATCATCTTATGCTTTTACAATTTTCTGTTTTGGTATTTAAATCTTTAATTTTGCTGATACTTATTTTTTTGGAAGAAAGAGAGGCCTGATGTAGTTATTCTATAGCTGGATTCTGCAGCTTTTCAGGTAGACCACAGATTAATGGGAAAAAACAGCACATAAACAGAGAAGCCCACACAGTATTTTCAGAAGAGAGTTAGCTACCCGGGACAGGAGGAGACACAGGGCTGCTCACAGGCACATCCCTTGGCTTTCAGAGTCTTGAATGATGTCCAGGAGCTGTGAAACATTTGTTTCTCTCAACGGCAGGGCATGCTGAATCAGGAATGCTTAGATAGTGCCATGCCACAACCCTTTTTGACTTGCTGTGTATGATCCCTCCAGAGAAATGCATATAATAACATACAACACACACACAACACACACGCACACACACACACACACACACATCCATCCCAACTAGGCGTTTTTATTTATTGAAATATATAGAAACATCCAGTTATGCTGTAGAAGCTCTCTGTCAGCAGACCCATATTATCACCTGGGAGAGAACAGTGAGGCCCACATCCACGTGCTGTTGAACAAACATCTCAGCTTCTCATATCCTATTATTCTGGAAATCTATTTCTTCCTAGCTACCCATTTGTCTCAACACAATATATTGACTGCAGCTTTCTCCTCAGTTATTTGAAACACCTCCTCCTGTATCAAAGACAAAATTCCCATGAGCATTTACATCAATTCTGGACTCTATTCTGTTTCATTTATTTTCCTGTCTAGCCCTGTATTGGTATCCACCTACTTGTGCTAAGGTTGTTATTATATTTTCTCTCTGATGGGCTAGTTTTTTTCCCCCTAACACTTTTGTTTTAGGTATCTTAGGTATCTTCTTGTTATGGATGCATAGTTTTTTTCTACATAAACTAGTTTGCTGTGTTCTCTGTCAAGGCTGATTCATTAGTAGAGAAAACATGAGAAAAATCAAAGTAAGAGAATGATACAGTGCTTGATTTACACAACTTAGAATCTTAATAATGAATCTGTCAGTACTACAACTCTGTTATATGCCCACTGAACATAGGAAGACAAATATTATCTGTAGATATATAAAGTAGAGCCTTGGACAACACGAGAGTTAGGAGCACTGGCTACCCTGCCCCCATGCAGTTAAAAATCCACAAATAATTTTGACTCACCAAAAGCTTAACTACTGATAGCCTACTGTTGACCAGAAGCCTTACTGATAACATATTCAATTACCACATATTTGGTATGTTATACTGATTGTATACTGAAGTATTCATATGATCAAGTAAGCTAGAGAAAAGAAAATATTATTTAAAAAATCATAAGAAATAGAAAATAGATTTACTATTAAGTGGAAGTGGATCAACATAAAGGTCTTTATCCTTCTCATCTTCATGTTGAGTAGATTGAGGAGGAGGAGGAAAAGGAGGGGTTGAGCTTGCAGTCTCAGGGATGGCACAGATGGAAGAAAATCTGCAAGAAAATTTGTGGACCCATGCAATTTAACACATGTTGTTTAAGAGTCACCTGTATACATATCTGAGACACACACACACACATACACACACATATATACATATGTATATATGTGTATATGTAAAAGCTTACTAATTGTTTTTAGTAGTTATTGAGAGACCAGTAGGAATTTTGGCAAAAACTCAGGAAATACAATGTAAAAATCAGAAAAGCTTTCACAGGTAAGTGACCAGAGGTGTAATTTAAAAAACAGCAAGTGTATTGTTTCTTAGAACTCTAGCTGCCCTAAAAGTGAAGGCCTCACTCAGGCTTCAAATACAGCTGGGTTTAGGTGGGTAAGTTAGGGTAGAAACTTAGAAGAGCTGAACTATTCTGTACAATTATGAATAAAGTTATGGGGACCTGGAAGAAAGGGACCAGCAAGGTGGGCCAATACCTGGGCAGAGAGGAGAGACTTGAGATGCCTCAGAGACAGAGCAGCCCAAAAGATACAAATATTACTAAATTTAAATTATCACATTGTTTGCCCATGAGATGTGCTATCACCGATTTCCCACTCTGTCCCCCGTATAGTGGCTTTATCAGGCTGCATTGCTCACTCTTGTTTTTTTGTGAAAGTGGATTCCTTTGCAGAAACTTGAAATGGGAAGCTGAGTTCTATGCCTGGGATAATACAATGCAAGACCAGATTATGTAGGAAAGCTGAGTTTGAGGACACAGGAAATCCTGAAAAGCCTAAAGATCTGAGAGTTAGCAAAAATCCATGGGCCAACTTCAAACTTGGAGGGCTGCAGAATTAGTGACATCCGAGCTGAGAATAACAAAAGGTAAAGCTGGCTGATTTGTATTTGCATACTGTAAAATTGCACTAAACTATATATAAGACATACCATAAATTTGGAGTTGGAAAGTAGCAAAGCCCAGAGAAGGATGGAGGGATTTAGCCATCTAGTCTGTGCTGTGGGGTCTGGATGGTGGAGGCAGGGATGGGAGGTTCAACTTCCACGTTGTGGCCCCTTCCCCATCCTTGAGAGCCATTGTTGACTGTTCCATGGCTCTCTGATGCAAGCCTGAATCTCTAGGCCAAAATACACAGGTTCAGGGCCCAGTGCTCAGGGCCCAATGCTCAGTGCTGCTCAAAGCAGCCACACTGTATTAGTCTGCACTTGCACTGCTATAAAGATACTCCCTGAGACTGGGTAATTTATAAAGAAAAGAGGTTTAATTGAGTCACAGTTCCACATGACTGGGGAGGCCTCAGGAGACTTATAATCATGGTGGAAGGTGAAAGGGAAGCAAGGCATGTGTTCACAAGGAAGCAGGAGAGAGAGAAAGCACAGGGGCAACTGCCACTTTTAAACCATCATCTCTTGAGAGAACTCCTTCACTATCGTGAGAACAGCATGGGGGAAACTGCCCCCATGATCCAATCACCTCCTTTTATTTACATGTGGAGATTACAGGTCCCTCCCTCAACATGTGGGGATTACAATTTGAAATGAGGTCTGGGTGGAGACACAGAGCTAAACCATATCATTCCACCACTGGCCCTTCCCAAATCTCATGTTCTTTTCACATTTCTAAATCAATCATGCCTTCCCAACACTCCTCCAAAGTCTGAACTCATTCCAGCATTAACCAGAAAGTCCAAGTCCAAAGTTTTATCTGAGACAAGGCAAGTGCCTTCCATCTATGAGCCTGTAAAATAAAAAACAAGTTAGTTACTTCCAAGGTACAATGGGGGCCAGGCATTGGGTAAATGTTCCAGTTTCAGATGGGAGAAATTGGCCAAAACAAAGGGGCCACAGGCTCCGTGCAAGTCTGAAACCTAGTCAGGCAGTCATTAAATCTTACAGCTCCCAAATCTCCTTTGACTCCATGTCTCACATCCAGGGTGTGCTGATGCAAGGGGTGGGCTCCCACAGCCTTGGGGAGCTGTGCCCCTGTGGCTCTGCAGGGTACAGCCCCTGTGGCTGCTTTTGTGGGCTGGCATTGAGTGCCTGCAGCTTTTCTAAGCACACAGTGCAAGCTGTTGGTGGAGTTACTGTTCCGGGGTCTGGAGGATGGTAGCCCTAGGCAGTGCCCCATTGGAGACTCTGTGTGGGGGCTCCAACACCACATTTCCCCTCTCCGTTGCCCTGGTAGATGTTCTCCATGAGGGCTCCACCCTGGCAGCAGACTTCTGTCTGGATATCTAGGTGTTTCTATACATCCTCTGAAATCTAGGCAAAGGTCCCTAAACCTCAACTCTTGTCTTCTGTGCACACATAGACCCAACACCACATGGAAGATGCCAAGGCTTGGGGTGTGCACCCTCTGAAGCCACAGCCTGAGCTGTACATTGGCCTCTTTTAGCTGGAGCTGGAGCAGCTGGGATGCAATGCACCAAGGTCTGAGGCTGTACAGAGCAGCAGGGCCCTGGGGGCAGTCCACGAAACCATTTTTCCTTCCCAGGTCTCCAGGCCTGTGATGGGATGGGCTGCCATGAAGATCTCTGACATGCTCTGGAGACATTTTTCCCATTGTCTTGGGGATTGACATTTGGCTCCTCATTACTTATGTAAATTTCTGTAGTTGGCTTGAATTCCTCCTCAGAAAATAGGTTTTTCTTTTCCACCACATGGTCCAGTTGCAAATTTTCCCAAATTTTATGCCCTGCTTCCCTTTTAAACATAAGTTCCAATTTCAGACCATCTCTTTGTGAACACATATGACTGATCACTTTCAGAAAAAGCCAGGTCACCTCTTGAACACTTTGCTGCTTAGAAATGTCTTCAGTCAGATACGCTAAATCATCTCTCAAGTTTAAAGTTCCACAGATCTCTAGGGCAGAGGCAAAATGGCACCAGTCTCTGTTAAGCACAGTAAGAGTAACCTTTACTCCAGTTCCCCATGAGTTATTCATGTCCATCTGAGACCACCTCAGCCTGGACGTCATTGTCAATATCACTATCATTTTGGTGTAAACCATTCAACAAGTCTCTAGGAAGTTTCAAACTTTCCCACATCTTCGTGTCTTCCTTTGAGCCCTCCAAACTTTTCCAACCTTTGCCTGTTACCCAGTTCCAAAGCAGCTTCCACATTTTCAGGTTATATTTACAGCAGTACCCCACTCTGCTGATACCAATTCTGTCAGTCTGTTCTCATGCTGCTATAACGATACTATCTGAGACTGGGTAATTTATAAAGAAAAGAGGTTTAGTTGACTCAGAGTTCTGCATGGCTGAGGTGGCCTCAGGAAACTTTTAGTAATGGCAGAAGGTGATGGGGAAGAAAGGCATGTCTTCACAAGGTGTCAGAAGAGACAGAGTACAGGGAAAAGTGTCACCTTTAAACCTTCAGATCTCATGAGAACTCCCTCACTATCATGAGAACAGCATGAGGGAATCCCCGCCCACCATTGAGCCAACTGCTTCCCTCCCTGGATGCTTGGGGATTGGAGGTCTCTCTCTTGACACCTGGGGATTACAATTAGAGATGAGACTTGGGTGGGGACACAGCCAAATCATATCACAGGCCCTTTTGATAATGGAGACAGATCTCTGTTTTCTGAACAGCCATGGAGTTCCATGGATGAGCTCAAGTGCAACCTAATGGGTCATTTTATCTATCCTTTTCTTCCTGTGTGATAGGGGGCTCTTCCTTCTTTTTCTTCACTCCCTCTGGATAAATCCATTTGTGAAAAAACACAGAAATAAATAAGGTGAGGGAATCCTAGATCCAACCCCCTAGTGTAGATGGGCTGGTGTTTTTCTTATTCCTTTTCCCACTTAACTCAGTCAATTGTATTACTGCAGCAGACATCTGAGGTGGACCCTGTTGGGAAAGATTAGAACATTTTCCTTCTGGAGAACAGGGTGAGGACAGAGGTTTTCTATCCAAAACTCATAAATCAATTTACCTGGGAGTGATAGAAGACTCCAGGGTAGAGGATAGAGTCCCAAACCCTGTGATTCTCTGTCCCTGGAATGATTATTGAGTGAGTATAAAATGTAAAATATGTCTAGAGGAACAGAGTCAGGCAATGATAACTCATTACTTCTCTTATCTGATGTTTCTGGGCCAATGCTGTGTCTTAGGAATGATTCTTAAGAGCCAGCCTGAGACTCTGAAAGCCTCTGATTAGATGTTCAAAACGGCTCTGATCTCAGGGAACAGACTTATGTCTGATGGAGCATATATGCGCCTAAGATCAGCAATTCTGTACCTGTCCTCAGCACTGATTGGAAAATTTTTGGAAGCTCATAAGCAGAAAGCCCTTCTTTCTGAGACTTTTGAATAATTAACAATAGCAAATATTTTTACCTTCTGTGAAAGAATAGGAAGAATGAAACAGTCTCACATTCAAGCTAGAAAGTCATATTATTCATGAATAATGATGGTCTCCAGTTTGTGTAAAGAGATGAGAGTGATAACTGAATCCCAGACCCTCATTCTTTCAAGGTCAATGCAGTCAAGGGAAGAATGTCCTCACCTGACCCCATAACCTCTCAGGAAATCCCTCATCAGACTTGGCTTATCCAGGGACCCTACTGGTCACTTGCTCCCATCATCCACTACTGATCTCTCTACTTCAATACAGCACAGACCATCATAATGCTGACTCAATCTGACTTGCTTCCCTTTCTGTTGTGTACAGTCTCAGAGAGCTCGTCTTCAGAGTGTTGGCCTCTTCTTTTCCAACATTCTTACACCTGGGAATTTCATCACTTGCTATTTCAGCCTCCTACTAGAGGTGCTTGTCTGGTGAGAGATTGTTCTGTTCATCTTCCTGCGTTGGGTTTTTCACAAAGGCTGTCTTTCCTTGTATTGCCCACTGGCCTCTCTTTTGAGATACCCTGCAATGAGGTTTGAAGGAGGCTAATGGCTTCTTTATTATCTTAAGCTTACCATACAGATGCTCCTGGATATATGAGTCAAAAAGAGAATGGATATTCCGATGTGGTTAGATAAATAAAAGCAGGAGAGGTCATTTCCAAACAATTGAAGCAGGACTATGAACTGAATTCTAAAAAAGCCTTAGAATTACTTGCTGGTGAGCAGGATGCCCCAGCTCCTTATACCTTCCTGAGCTTTGAAGGAAAACCAGACCAATTGTACAGGAAAACCATCAAGATGCAAGTCTACTGCTTGCAAATGCAAATTAAGAGAAAACCTGAGGGCCAGTGGCATTGGGAGTTCTCAAACTCAACATAGAAAAGCAAATAGTCTGGAAGGTCCAGTACTTATTTCCTATATCACTAAGAATTTTGGGAGGGCAAGATCTAGGGGAATCATGTCTGAAAGACCATCTTGGAGAATCAAAACTCCAATTAAAGGGAGGAACAGAAGGCCATGGCTGCACCTCTGAAGAACCCCTGACCCAGATATTTTGTCTTTTGAGGACTCTGAGCCCCAGGCCCAGAGTGTGTAAAGAAGAGATATGTACATTTCCAGGTGTACTACATCTACCTGGAGGACAGAGGGAGTGATCTGGTGTGGGAGGAGTACAGGAATTTTAAGGTTCAGGCTCCACAGTGGGGCTAGAACATCAATTTAGACCCAAGTTTAGAAAAGAGTACGCAATCTCCAATCAGAGACTTCAATCCAAAAGAGAATGCAATGTTGGGAACTTCCCTTGCTAGAGAGATGATGATCCACCCTGTCCTGGATGGGGGACCAAGAGGGATGCTATTGACCAAGACACTGTGTCACTATTCCAAAAGGGATAGGCTCCTCAAAAAAGTTAACCCCAGCAAAGGATGAGTCATTGGTTACAGTGGATTTGTCCCAGGAGAAAAGAGAAAAGTCGGCAAGTTCCCCGGAAACAAACTGGATCAGTGTTAGTCTCCACAGTTGCCAACTGTGTCTGAGGCCTCCTCCCTCCACATCTTGCAGTGAGCCAGTGTGTTCCATCAAGCCCCACCTGGACAATGCCCAGGGTGCTAGGTCCCATAGGCTGCCATGAGTACTGTCCTCTGCTCTGTATCATTGCATCTGTTTCCACTCAGCCAAAAGCCCTTCCCTATCCATTTAGTATGGTCTGTTTTACCTATTCCTCAATTTTTTTCTTTAAAAATATATTTTTATATATATTTTTTCAAATAGGAGAATTACTGTCTTTTTCTTTGGAGGATTTGGGGCTGAGGTTTAGGGAGTCCCAGTGGCTTGGGCTTAGATTAAAAACGGAAAAACTTTAGCTCCTGTTGAATGCCTGCTTTGGCTTCTAAAAGAAGCTCTGTTTTGTGATGGGTATTCTTGGAAGCTTTATTTTTGCCAATAATTTTGGTTTGTTTGTTTCTGTCTCTATAAAATGTGCCATGGTGGCAGAAGTCTAGTTTTAAATCTTTTGCTGGACATTCTGTGTGGAACACAACTGAGTGTTTTCAAGTCTAGACCATTCCTCCTGGGGATGTTGGAGGGATCAGTAGCAGTGCCATGCCAAGCCATATTGGAAACGAATTTTGACAAGATGTTTCAGATGGGATATGCTAGCTGCTTCTCACTCATATACCTTTCCTTACATAGTCCTGGAAACCAAAAGTCCAAAATCTTGTTGTTAGCAGGGCAGCTCTCCTTCTGAAATCTCCGGGGGTAAATTCTTTCTTGCCTCTTATAACTTCTGGTAGCATCAAAAGTTCCTTGGCTTAGAGCTATGCTACTCCAATCTCTGCCTCCATCTTCATATGGCCTTCTCTTATGTCATTAAGCATTTAAGCAGTAGACATCTGTATCTATTGAAATGGAACTGCCTGGGAGTCTCTAGGTAAGCAGGCAGCTGAAGTCACCCTGGAGAGGCACAGCACCAACAGGGACTCCCATCACATTGGTAGAAAGTTTCAAATTGCCATTGTGTGATCACAAATCTTGAGCCATGGAAAACAGATAATTTACTGCCTATTTGCAAAGAAGTCAGCCTGGGCTAAAAATGTGGATAAAACTGATTCATTATTCACTGGAGTCTTTATTTCACATTCCAAGAATATACACATAGCCAAGATGTTTGTAGTAAAGCTGGCAAAATCACCTCTGCAATAAGTCATCTTCCTCTGGGGTTGCAGGGCTGGTCTACATGAATGAATTTAGTTTTTCCCCTTACATTCTAAAACTGCAGTTACTACACCTTCTTTCAGTGAATGTTTTTTTCTTTTCCTTCCTGCTAGCAACATCAACAGAGCAGTTTATCATTGATTACTTGAAAATAGATCGAATTAATAAGCCATAAAAGTTAACACTGGCACCTACTGTGTGCTCCTCTTTTTCCCCTGATTACTTCCCAGAAGCAACACTCTAGAGCCTGTACTGTTTAGGATATGAAGCAATGGATGTGGCAGTTGGTGGAAATATTTCCAAGGGAGGGGAGGCAATTGCCAGCACCCCAACAGCTTGCAAGGCAGGTGGCTGCCTGGCCTGATGTGCTTCCCAGGGATGCTGGCTGTCTGTCCAGCTCTTATTGTGTTTGATGCAATTCGGTCTCTACTAAGCAGTCACGGATCAAAGGGCTTTTGACAACAAATGAAATCAGAAGAGGACAGCAATTTGTCATCCTTCCCTCTAAGCTGACCCCCATGACGCTGGCTCATTAATATAAGAAACCACAACAGTTTCTTATAGGGCCAAGCCTGGGCTAGATGGTGGAGGGGTGCTTGTAAGCAACCCCCTGGCTACTGCTTCTTGAACATAACCCATTGGCCTGCTGCAGCCTAAAATTTTGCCTTTAAGGGATCACTCTTTATCTCCCTAGACAAATAGTTCCTTATGAAAAAACAAACTCCCCTGGAGGGTTAGTACTACATTGTCCCTCACATTTTTTCTTGGATTATATTGTCAGATTTTTTTCAAGATAGCTGGGTAGCCCAGAGGCAATCAATGGGAATGAAAATATGGAGTGTTGCCTTTCCCAGCCAAGGCAAGAATGGAGTGCCATAGATTCTGAGGATAGCAGAAGACACTGAGGCATCTGGGTCCCTGGGAGTCACACAGAACAAGAGATGTGTCTTGACAAATCAAATCTGCATGCTGGAAGGGTAACAGGGAGAAAATAAAGGTGAGAGAAAGTGAAAGGATGCAAGAAAGAGAAAGAATGAGAACAAGAAAGGAAAATCCATTACTTCAGAGAGTATGGTTGTATCTATCACTGTGCCAGCCACTCCCACATGCATTTTATTTCACTGAGTCTTCACAACAGCTATGTCAGGGCTTTATTATCTTCCTGCTACACAGATGAGGATCTTAGACTGAAAGGAGATTAGGGGCTTGCCCAAGCTGGGGCATGGGATACGTAGGATAGGTTGGAAGGCCAAACAGAGGTGCTCCCACACTGAGGCACAAGAGGTCCTGCTTACAGGCTGTGCCGTTGGGGGTGGGGGTGTGTGTGTGTGTTGGGGGGAGTCCAGGAGCATAAAATCCTACCTAAAAAACCGACAGTGATGTGTTTTTCTAGATTACTATGTAAACATTACATACCTATAAATAGGTATGGATAACACCTTAACTCAGATTATTGGATCAGGTTAGCTCACGTTAGCATAGAGGAACTTAACAATTCTAGAGCTGGGAAATAGAAGGAAAAGTAAGTTTTGATGGAAGAAGGGAGATGAAACAGTATGGAATAGGGGGTGTGGCAAAAAACAGACCTAAAGGGATGGCACAGAACTGGGAAGGCAACTGCTGCAAAGTGACTTGGTCTATACAGTGTCATTTCCTAGATAAGTGTTTTTCAAGTTTTGAGTTGTGGTTTAAAATAGATGAAAATAAAATAGAATATAAAACAGTAAATTACATAATGTAAAGATAAATATCTCATGAAACCTTGCTTTCAGTTATGAGTAGTTGTATGAATATGCATACTGGATTATGATACTAGGTATACTTTTTGGTCAGATTTTAATGTGTATAGATTTTTGGGGGGAGTTTATTAAAACTTCATGACTGAGCCCCACCTTTGCCAACATAGGAGCTGTGAGATGAGTCCCAGAAATTTGCATTCTTTTTTTTAAATGGAGTCTCGCCCTGTTGCCAGGCTGGAGTGCAGTGGCACGATCTCAGCTCACTGCAGTCTCTGCCTCCCGGGTCAAGTGATTTTCCTGCCTCAGCCTCCCGAGTAGCTGGGACTACAGGCACACACCACCACGCCTGGCTAATCTTTTGTATTTTTAGTAGAGACGGGGTTTCACCATGTTGGCCAGGATGGTCTCCATCTCCTGACCTCATGATCCACCCACCTCAGCCTCCCAAAGTGCTGGGATTACAGGTGTGAGCCACCTGCCCAGCCGAGGCCAGAAATTTGCATTTTTAATAAGCTCCTCAGGAGCCACACTTTAGGAAATATTGGTCTTGGGACACCTTTGGAGGAAGGAATCTGCTTGAGGATACACTGCAACTCACACCCAGAGTGGAAATAACTGAAAATATAACCATATGGCATTTAGTTTTAAAGAAATTTCATGTTGACTACTAACTCAACACATTTCACAAAATATTCCAGGGAAATGAGCTTGGCGAAATATTTTTTTAATCTTCGATGAAGGGCAATTTGAAGGCCACCAGAAGGCTCTTTTCTAATATCCATCTACTCATTCATTAATCCATTCATCATTTATCCATCCAAGGGCTATTAATAGTTATGAATGTGGGCTCTGCAGTCATCCAGCCTGGGTCTAATCCAGCCTCTGTTCTTTATAAACTGTAATTTTAAATTACTTCACCCTTCTTTTCCTCAGTTTTCTTATTTGCACATGGATGTAGTACTAGTAGTTTCCTCCTAGGATGGTGAGATTAGGTGAAATTGTATATGTGGAGTGTGGGGAGGCTTGCTGGGCACACAGCAACCACTCAGGAAGTGTTAATGATTGTTTTCCCTGGAACATTCATTCACTGTTTTCTGTGTGATGAGCCCTTGATTTGCATGCAAAGGGGTGACAGCATAGCCTGCCGACACATGGCTTGATCAGACACTCAGTGGCCCCGCATTTCATAAGTTAGCCCTCAGCTCCTGAGCTTGCTCTTCTATCCTTTAGAGGCTGATGACCGGATCTTTCTGGCTTCATCCACTGTAGCCATATAGAGTGTCTGTGTATCCTAAAATATACCATTTACTTCCTGGAAAATAAAAACTTACTATTGCAGGACAGGGGAGCCCCAAAATTGCGGTTTAGCCTGGGAGGGTTTTTGGCTTCACCCATGAAAGAATTCAAGAGCAAGAAAGTGGTTTAAGATAACAATCTTTTATTGAATGATACTGCTCCTTGAGAAGCTGGGCTAACTCATAGGCTGTGCACTCAGACTCCACAATATATAGGCTCTTGGTGACTGTATTTAGACTTGCCTAAGCCCACTTTCAATTACATGCAAATTAAGAGGTGGGTTAGTGCAATTGAGGGACAGGTTATTTGTTAATAGAACATTCTAGGAAAGGGGTAGTAATTCAATGTCTTTGCCCTGGAAAGGATTAGTAACTTCCAAGTTGTTGCTGTGACATTTGTAAATTGTCATGGAGCTGGTGGAAGTGTCTTATGCCAATGAGTAATGAGGGCAGCCAGAAATCATATTTGTTGCCATCTGTTGGTTCCTGCCAGTTTTTTCACTTTATCCTGTCTAGACCGGATTCTGTCTTGGTCAGCAGTGTTATGACCACACAACAAGTCCTGCCAATTTCCTCCTGACTACCTGTTATGGAAGGTGAACTCCTATTATGTCTTCAAGAGTTGTCTCAAAGATTATGGAAGGGGAACCACTATTATGTCTTCAAGAATTGGTTCAAAGAAGAGCTTTCCTAATCTTCCTTCCACTTTTCCCATGGGTCCTTGGTAATCCCCCTCCCAAGGCATTTTCTTTACTCTGTTATAAAGCTCTCCGAATTGATATGATTTGCTTGTTTCAGGCTAAGCCTCCATTTTCCCTGTAATAGGCATAAATTGTTGCCATTCAGACATGTGCAAAGAAAACACTGGTTTTGTTATCTTGACTACAGTTCTTCTTTGAGCTATGAAACCTCAGTTTACTTATATCAGATTACTTTTTCTGTTCTTGTGAATTCAATTTAATTCAGCAAAATTTCAGTTTAATTTGGTTAGTAATAACCAATTTATAATTTTAAACTTACTTTGGCCTTTATCCATTCTTCCTTTATCTTTCTCTCTCTTCTCATTCCCACTTCTAATCCTCGCAGGACCTTTTTCTTTCGGCATATGTGGACTTTGACAGCAAGAGAAAAAATGAAGAATTATGGCAGTTTGGGGGTTTATTCAGGAAATATTCAATTTTATTCTGTCTCCCTAGCAAGGAGATCACCCGGAGGTAGTAGCTGGATCTTCCTTTTGTCTATATTAGGTCAATGGTTCCTTTACCTCCTGTCCTTTGACTAACCTCTTAGTACCTTCCCTTGGGGTTGTAAGAGCCAGGATGTTCATCTTTAAATCTCCCTGAGACCCATAGGCAACTGGTATGGGGATATCCTGCCCTCTTCATCCTGTCCTTCCTAACACACTACACTACAGTTCCTTCAGGCTCCACTGACACAAGGTGCTCCCATGGCTTCACACTCTCTGAAAACTTCAGAAGAGAGGGAGTGCTGGTCTCTATGCTCACCTAATCCCCAACTTCAGAAGATATGTCCAACATGCTGCTACTTTCTTGAGAACAGAGGAAATAGGTCCCTCACACTTTCTAAAATGTGCCATTCTAGTTGCAAAATCTACCCAACCAATTTTGATTTCCTTAGAACTTTGAAGCTGATTAAGGTTTAGTATCCCTCTTCCCCTAAAATAATATCTCTTGGGAGTTGGCCATTTGTAATTGAGCATCATTTTTTAAATCATAAGATCCCATCGTAGTGATCAATGTATCTTTTGCTAGTCATTGGATAGCTAGCTGATACAGGGGATGACAGGGTGAGGAAAAAAGGGTAATGATTAATATTTTATATGTTTATGTAAAATTCTAAGTATCTATAAAATAGGAAATGTAGAATATTTGCCTGTGAATGTCACTATAGCTTGACCAGAATGCCTGGCAAACAATTGTAATGCAATAATTATTTACACAATGAAGGGATGCCCTGAACCCTTATAAGTGATGTCCCAAGAGAATGTGACTAGACTTTAAGAGGATCTCAGTCAACTATAGAAGCTTTGCCATCAGTAGTTGAAGCAAAGGATTCATGCAAAAGAACAGATCCCATAGTTGATGTTATGGGAATAACGATAGATTAGAAGCAAGAAGAACTGTGACCACTGATTAATTAGGGAATCAAGGAAGAGATGCCAACATTTCTCATCCTCGGTTTTCTTTGTCAAATGAATGGTAACATATGATAATTCTAAGTTTCTCTTCAAATTTAAACATTTTATGATATACTCAGCTAAATAATGAAGATGCTGAACCTTGTGTCTACTTAACCATTTTTTCACTTATTCACCAGTAATGCTAGGGCTTCTGCTTTTTCTGAAAAAAAAAAAAAAATCTGGGTAGAGATGATGAGTTTTAGGATTATAATTGCAAAGCTGTCATTAACCTACCATTTAGATGGGTGAAACCTTTGTTCCAGAGTTAACAGTTGGGCTTTCTGATGCCTTCCTAGCCTAAAGGCAGTGAGTACTGCTCTTCACTTGTCCAGGGAGTTAGAGGCCAGTGGAATTGTCTCAGAGGCACAGCTTTCACAAGATGAAAGGCTAGGTGTAGACTCTAGACTCTGTTCCATAATCTAGCCAAAATTGTTCTACTTTCTGTTGGCAGACCCTCATGCTTGGAGTAATCCCAGAGACAATGTAGTTGGAAGTTAGAGAAGGGCTCTCAGCAACATTGACATTAACTCGAGACCTGCTTGGTACAGCTTTTGTAGGTTGATGAGTCAGTTTCTCCTCCAACAGGCACTGTAGGTCTTTGGGAGATATTTTTCTGGCACTTCTCCTTTGGGGCCATGGGAAAATATGTCCACCTGACCCAGGCATTGAGTCTGGGGCATTCTCTTTCATACCACCTTTTCACAAGACTTTGTTATCAGCTCTTCCTGAATCTCCTGACTTGTGTTAATCAAACATTTACAGAACCCTATTATGTGCCAGGTATAGTGTACCATGGTGACAGCAGTAGATGTAAAAATTTTAAAAGACAGACTCCATTTCAAGAAGTCGACAGTCAGAAATAGAGAAAAATGCAAAAACACGTAACTAAATTACAATAGGAGAGATGCTGTAGTAAATCTAAACAGAGGGTTATAACGATCTAGAGGGTAGATTTGCCAGAAAAGGTGAAAATTGAATGCCAGGTTTTATTTGCGTTGGAACTTTCCAGGAAGATAATATGTGAAGGTCCATTCTGGGTTAGGTATAAAGGCAGAGCTGATCACCTGGGTCAGGTGGCCCAGCACATGGTGGCAGTGTCAGGACCTGAACTCGGGATCCAGTTCTAGTCTGTTAGTCTTGTTAGTAATACTAATGTCACATTATATTTCACAATCTACTACATGAATTAGTATAATTTTAAATGCACCATTTTAATAGGAAACTGTGATAATTTCTAATTGGAATAAGTATCAATAGCCACATTTTATTTTCATAGAATAAGCCTTGGAAAAATATATCAAATTAAAATTTCAGGTAACAATAAAATGTTACTGCTAAAAGAAGCTCTACAGATAGTCTTTACTAACTCCTTTATTTTATAGACAAGAGCTCTAAATAGGTCGAGTGACTTGAAAAAAAAAATTAAAAAAAGAATCACGTAAAATCCTCAAGGTCATACTGTGAACCCAGTGTGTAGAATCCAGGTTTCCTGATCCTAAGGTTTGAGAGATTTTCACTAAACAACCTGTCTCTCTAGGCACAGGGCTAAACTGTTTCTATTCCTAGGCAGACATTCTTCAAGGATATATGACAGCAGGTGAACAAATTAAATGCTGTAAAATGTCTTCATGTAGGTCCTTATTTGGAGGAAAGAAGAGGGCAGAGCAGAGGGGAGGAGGGAGAGCACAGAAAGGTAGCTCAGGCAGTCCCTCTACTGAGCTATGCCTGTTGATATCCCAGCTTTTGAGGTCAGCTGTGCTCATCTCCTACTCCAATAGAGGAGCCAGACAGTAAACTACTTCATTTAAATTATGTTCTCATTCCACTGAGCACGGGACACAATTCTCTTGTATTTTCTGATAAGGCTGATAATGAAGTGATCAGTCTATAGGATCCCCGAGTGGCAGTGAACCTGCATTTGCATAATGATATTATAGCATCTGTTGAACCCACTAGTGGTAATCCATCCATATGCAAGAAATATAGGTCAGCAAAGACACAGCAGCAATGAGAGAGGCAGGGCTATTCACTTATTGGAGTAAGGAAGGTCTTCTCTATCCTTTAGCTCAGCAGGACAGAAACAAATGGAATGGAATAGATCAAGGGATTCTATTGGCTTTTGAGCAATAAAAGGAGATGCATCAATTTTGTCTCATGGTTGAAATTCCATTTAAAATGTACTTAACCCTGTCATTTCTATTAGCAGAGTATTCCTCCTACACTTCTCTGCCTAACTCAGAAGAGGTAGTGCGCTCTAATAGCAATGTGTGCAGAGAGATCAGGAGTCATGGTTCCCCATTTAGTGGGGTTTGGGCAGTAATGGTTAAGGAAATTAAGTTTCATGGTTCTCCCTTGTGTTACCTGACCCCTATCATCCTTCCTGTTTCAAAGATCTGTGAGATTTCCTGCCCAAACATGTCTTTCCATTTGGGGCCTTTTATTATTCTATTTATTGTCTTTATATTCATTTTAGAACCTCGTGTACTCTTCTATCATACTTTTCCTGTGCTCTTCTTCCCACTGTCTCTCTGAATCTTGTGTGTAAATAATAGATCTTGCTTCTTTTAATACAACAATTGTGCGTTTGCCAAAGGCAAATCCCTGGCCTTGTTTTTCTTCTGGAACTCACTTACCAAAGCCCCTATTCAGGCTGGACACACATGGAAGGCCTTCTAAGACTCAACTGAATTGCATTAGATTTATAGTATCACCATAGAATTAACTTCAAGGAGGCTAAGAGACCTTAAGAGATCATGTAGATCATCTCAGAGCCAGGCAGTAGTACAACTACAACATCTAGGGGAAATGGCTGTATGGTTTATCCTTATTTTTTTTTTTTTTTTGAGACAGAGTCTTACTCTGTCTTCCAGACTAGGGTGCAGTGGTATGATCTCGGCTCCCAGGTTCAAGTGATTCTCCTGCCTCAGCCTCCTAAGTAGCTGGAATTACAGGAGTGCACCACCACACCCAGCTAATTTTTGTATTTTCAGTAGAGACAGGGTTTCACCATGTTGGCCAGGCTGGTCTTGAACTCCTGACCTCAGGTGATCCACCCTCCTCTTTGGTCCCCCAAAGTGCTGAGATTACAGGCATGAGCTACCATGCCTGGCCATCCTTAAAATTTTTAAATGATGTATACATTATCTCAACTAAAACCTAACTCTTGTAATAGCTATTGTAACACATTTTATTTGGAAAGATGTTTTCAATCAGAATGGCAAGATACTATAATTGTCCTCTAATGATTCAGCGGTTATTAACAAAAAGAAATTGACTTTATATCACTATGTATATACAGATGAAGTGAGATAAAAATATATGTAAGAAAACATCTGTTTATTGGAATGTTCCTTGTGTTCATACTTTATTAAAATGAATGTGTTAAATTACTCTGAAGGAAAATACGTATGCAGTCTACACGTATATAATGACCCCACACTTATTCATATACATACTCATACATCTTTTACACCAATTAGACTATGGCCATTTTTTTTGTGTGTGATAAAAGACATTTTGGGATAACTGGAAGGGAAAACTCCTTATTGCCTGGAAGTAAGTTCAATGTGATGATTTTGTGGACAGACTGCAAGTGGCTATGTTGTTTAACACAGGGTTGATTTCTAAGTTAAAATGCTAAGCAAGAAAAGAATCAATCCTAATTCTTGGCTCAACATAGTAGGGCTATTCAGCCCTTGCTAGCTCAACTTGTGGCAAAGGAAGGAACATGAGGTTTGTCTAGTTCCCAGGAACTCTGGAAGCTGTATTATCCCAAATGAAAGAGTTGGACTCGGATGGAAGACAAAAGTTTATTTCTTTTTTGGTTAGACCTCAGTCTTCTTTGTTCTTGATCTCTGATCTCTGGGCTGCCTTCCCACCATCTCCAGGCTCTGCAGCTCTTGCCAGTCTGGATCTTGTCCACAAACTGGAGTCAGTAAAAAAAAAAACGCCTGAACCTAAGAAAATCCAAAGCCAAAATATTATAAATCACTGCCACTGAAGGAGAAAGAAATTACATTTTCCCTTTGTGAACTATGACTGAAGTTTTATGTTGCCTGCCCATCATATTAAACTATGAGATCATGCCTTGGAGTTAGGCATTTTGGCATGTCCTGCAGCTTTTGTTTCCATGGTTGTGGTCAAAGCAATTCTGTGGTCCCTAATTCACCTTGCTGACCTAGCATCTGGGGTGACTCTCTGCTGATAGGGGGCATTTTGTGAGATACAGTACAATTTTAAATGTTACGGTTTTGTTTGGAAAAAGAAACACACCACCCCTCTCCCCTTCCAAAACATCTTCAAGAAAAATACACATCAGATTATCATGCACACGACAACTATGTAAAACTGGAATGACTATTCCCTTAGTCTGATTGTCTTGTTTTATAGAGCAAATGGGGAAAAAATGGGATTTGAATGCTAGCGAAACCATCTGTTTATTGACTGCCTAAAAGACTAAAAGCACTTGCCCCAGAATCTTGGATATAAATGAAACTTGGAACTTCCTTGTTGTTATCTATTGTGTGTCAGAATTTTTGTGGCAATTGAAATGTCACAATTTTTCTTGGAACAACATTCTGGCATCATTTGGTTTATTTATTTTAACTGATGATTTTCATTTCTCATTTTGCATCTAACAACTTCTGACAATGTTTCTTGCAGATAAAAACTTCGTGGGAAATTATTTGGTGTATGTGACTTTTTCTTATACAATATGCTCAGTTTATTTGGGGGTAGCGGAATGTGGGAGAAGAGGATGGATGTTTGACTTGTTTTTACTAATGATTGCCTTGGTATTTTACAAGATTGATGGCTTGCTTTCTTCAAAGGCATCACTGTTCTACTTTCCACAAAGGCAGTTGAAGTCTGACTCAGGACTTTAAGAAATCTCAGTGACCTCATGACTTACCCTGCCTCATTCTTGATCCTTTTGCTGTTATGTTGATGTGGGTGTCACACATTAACATTGAACAAGAATTTTGTTATTGTTGCTGTAATGTTAGCCCAAGCCAACTCCATAATTTGTTCCCTTTTGATGCAATATTGACCCACTTTGGATACTTTCATTCTCCCTTTTTGATTTGATATTAGACAAAAAGTAGACACCATTTATCAAAGTCAATTTTGGGACCCAAAAATATACATTTTATATTTGGTACTAAAAGGCACGCTTGCTTTATTTTATTTATTATTTTTGTGGTTTTTGTTTGAGGGGAGTGGATAGTAGGGGTGGGAGAAACCTGTTAAATTTAAACTATCATGGGTTTCAGAACAACCTGTTATATCAATTATACCATTCAGATTAGTAGCTTGATCACATTAAACAAACTTCTGAACTAATTTGCATGTGTAGACACCGCTTTTTCTGTGGTATTTCTACTGTACGTCCCTTTCCTTTTATGAAAAATAAAATGTAATTAAATAGTGTGATAGATAAATTCCTGTCAGAACTGTTCTTTAAAAACAAAGAATTATTCAAGACACTTATAAAAATGATTGATAAGTACAAAATAGAAAAGGATACCTGGGACCAATATTTAGGCATGGATGGGGCTTTGGTAGGTATAGAAGAGAGGTCAGCAAATTCATTCATTAGCCTTATGAGTCAAAAGGCAAAATCAAAGCTATTATGTAGTTATTTATGTGACAACAGAATAATGTTTTATACATTATTATTAAAATTTTAAAAATAATTATAATAATTCAGTACAATTTTTAAATAAAATATGTGTACTGTAGTGTGTTGAATAGTTAACACTTCCCCCAAAAAGTCATGTTCAATTCTTAATTATTCTAATTATCTGTTAATTGCTTTCTAAATAGTACAAAGAACTAGTTTTCAGATGGTTTATAAAATTCACCAGTTCTTCCAGATAGTGTTTAACTGAACATTCCACACTCCTTCTTTTCTTTTAAAGAGATCTACTTGCTTTAGTTATTTATCAGTCATTCCCACTAAAATGAAGTTTTCTGGTCAATTCCAAAACGTAAAACAGGTCATGATGACCATAAATTTGTAACTGGGGAGATAGTTTTTGGGAAACAGAGATGTAAAGAAGGCTAGGGGTTATTTCAGGGAAGGCCAGCATTTAATCTTAGAGTTGAATGCCAGGAAACCAAAAAGGATAGAAAAATAAAATATCTGGGCAGGGTGTTAGGGAGAATAATGTTTCAATGAAGAGCAATGCAGAAGTAGATTAGGAAGACTTGCTAGAATACAGCTTTGCTCATGGAATAGTGAGAACAGTTACATTTGAATTCCTAGATTATTGCTCCTGGATTTGCTCTCTAATCCAGAGACTAAAAAAGAGTGGAAGAAATACAGGAATGGGTGTTAGAGGACAGCAGAAAACAGGCTAATAAACAAGGCGACACTACTGGCTTGCTGTGCAGTGGAGGAAGGAGTGAGTTAGCAGCCTTCCCTCAAGGCAGAGTGGAAAACAGGCTGTACTACTCTCTGGTTAGAAATACGTATGTGTCCCAATTTTTAAATTTATTATTTTACTTATGGAATCTATATATAAGTCCTTTATTTAAGTTGACTGAAATAGTCACCAAGAATACATTTTAAAAAAGGTGATAGAATATTTCAATAAGGGCATAAAATAATAACTTCAAGGACACGATTTGAATGTTATTCATATCTACTGTTTATTTCTTCAGATTCTCTAAATCAAACTTATGTACAAAGGTGTGGTACATTCCTATTCACTGTCTGACACCTTTTCTCTTCTTTGTTTTCTTTCTTTTCTAAGATCAGTGGCAATAAATGCAAGAGAAAAAACTGCATCAGGAGGGGTACCAGGGAAAAATGGTTTAACAACATCAGAATCACGTCATGGTCATCATGTCTGGAGGCATTGTCAGTTATGATCTTCAGTGCTTCTCTGTCATTTATTAAATGCTTCCAAACTGTTTTTGATTAATGTAAAAATTAATTTAGATACTTTTTCATTTTTTTAGGAGACAGAAATTCAGGAAAAGGTCCACTGACATTTCTAAGCCACTAACAACACCCAGCACATTATAAACAAAACTTCACATTGAGATCTTGCATTAAAAGATTTTAAATTAATTTTATTAAAAATTACACTTTTATGGACCAATTGAATACCCTTATGTAATTACAAAGACTTTATTTGGACAACTACTTGCTAAATCATCAAATAAATTTTAATATGTGCATGCACAGGATTCAATAGCTTCATTTCACAGATGAGGCAACCAAGGCCAACGAATTTTAATGATTTTTCCAGATGGAGTTTTAGCCACTTGAAAAGCAAAACTAGAACTCAGGGACACCTTTGCTGCCAGACTTGTACTTTGTCGTACAGCTAGTGGAGGTAGAATTGGGATTTAGGTACAATTAGTGAGGTTTTATATTCTATGCCCCTAGCCACCACCTTCCACTGCCGCTCTCAATGGAGCCCACCTCTCTCAAATCTGATCTCTTTCACCCCACTACAGACTACTTTCTTTTTGATTGATGGGTTGATTTTCAGCTTGTCTTTATAAAAAAACTATCAGCAAAGAAAACACAAATATGAATTGTCAGTAGATAGCTAAATCAAATCTTCTATCAAGAATAGACACAGCTACATAAGGGAGTTAAGATATAGGACAAAAATCCTAAATTTGCAATACTTTCTTTTTTGAAATTATATTGCTGGGTGGTCTAATGAGCCTTTATATCAGTACATGGAGATATTTCAAAAGTGGATGACACATGTCATTATAACAAATGAATCTGTCTCAGATACTGAACAAGTTCACAGGCTTCAATAAATTGTAGTGTTTTTCATCTCTCACCTGTATTGTGCACACATCACTTGAGTATTCTGGAAGGGAGCTAATTAACATCTCAGAATAAGACTTTTGTTTTTAAGTTGAATAGTTTTTTTTTTCCTTTTACAAAGAATACAGATTAATTTTTCATTAAGTGCATATGGAGATATCTTGCAATGATGCTTCAGAGAGCCCCATAGACATAGGATAATTTGCCTCCACTTCATCATCAAATGAAAATGAAATACTTGTTTAGGGACCAAGAAAGATAGACCAAGACAGCTGAATTATTCACATCTGAAGGTTTCCAGTTCAAATGTTTTGTAAGCTCATTTGCAGCTGGGTTGCAGCAGGCTCCATCCATGTCTGTCTAATGAAACTCATGCTGAAAATCTCAGTTGGAAGTTCACGGATTCAGAGCCATTCATCAAACCTCGTCATAATTATTTAATAAGCAACATTAAATGTTCAGTCAAGTCTTTAACTCATCAGTTCAGTTATCACAGTTTAGTGCATGCAAACATCATTTACAAGGTTTCCTGCTGAACGTTACAGGATACAAATAAACCCCATAAATTAAACCAACCCTCAAAATAACCTTCTCCTGACTGCCTGCCCCCTGCCTCACCTTGTCAATGCTTGAAATGCTTGAAAAGGGTTTCTCAAACGGGCTCCCTCACTAGAAATTTGGGTAGATGAGTGTTTCTTTTAGCTGGTGTCAGTTTCTGTGTGTGTGCATATGCACGCTCTATTGGATCAGCGAAGGTTCACATTTTATCAAGGCTTCATGTGGCTTGCCCCTCTCAGTCCTAGCTGGTACAGGTATGTTCATCACTAATAAGTAAGCATTTTAGGCATTTAAGTATGCATTTAAGAAGTGAACACTTGGCTCTATTGATTTTTCCCATGATAATCAGGACATAATCTAAATGATAGAATTTTATGTAGAGGCGGCACATGAGAGAAAAGAAAGCAAGGAAATTGAGGAGGAGGAGGAGGAGAGGAAAAGGAAAAGCGAGAAGCAGTTTTTAACACAGACGTTCTCAACTGAGCTTGTAGGACAGATTAGTGTGCTGTGACATGTCATGAGTGTGCCACAGAAAATTTGCCAGTAATAAGGGGCTGCATGTTTTGTAATTTACTCCTAAAATATATTAGAATGGATTCAAGGTTATTCCTGTTACATGTCACTGACTCATGTGGATTCCGTTATGCTTTCTTAGGAGGCAGAGAAAGGTTTTGATCACATTAGTGAAGATATTTTTTATAAAACTATCTCTTTATCTAGGCTGCAGCCTTGGGTATGCTGGCTGTACAGATATCTTATTCTGGTGTGTGTGTATATGTGTGTGATTGCATGCATGCACACACATGCTCACGCTAACACGTCTGTGCATGCGGATGAGATTTGTTGCCTTGGGAAACATATGAAAAGGAAATTAGGTGCTCAGAACTGAGGTTCCTCCGGTGGTTCCAGTCAAGTGACTGCAAAATTTCTGGACTGCCGTTTAGGCTGTCGGGAATCAGCAAGCTCCACAGGTTTCTTGGGCAGTGGAATGAATGATGGTTGAGGAGCCCTGAGTTCTAGGTTTCACTCCACTTTTGTCATTAACTAGATGTGTACCCATCTGTAAGTCTTGGTTTGTAAAATTGTAGTGGGTATGCCAGATTTCTGTAAAAATTTTATTAAATGAGTTCTTAAATAGGATATCTCCATATGTACTTTAAAAAAAATAAAATGCCCTTCAAATCCTAAAGTTTCCAGTTTCTACCTCAAGCATGAATATACATGAATAGATATATATTTATATATACATTCTATATATTCTCTCTCTTTATATTTATCTATATATATGCACACACTCATGCTTAAGGTAGAAACTAGAAACCTTAATATATATATGAATTTATAAATTGAAGAAGTTCTCATGAGCAGGAATGATTAATACTTTAAAACTATACTTATTATGATTTGGGGTATACTCCAACTTTTGGGAGGTGCTCCACCCAAATGATGCCAATTCAACGAATATTCATGATCTTTCCTTGGATGAACATAGCACACTGAAATGAAATACTAATATTTTGCACATAATAGTGGACTTGGTGGATATATTGTATTACAAAAGTGCTCTTGAAATTGCTGTTCAAATAATTTCAAGGCCTTACGCAGCATATCATATTTCCTTTGCATTTCGTGCACCCACTCACGATGTTACTGGGATTCTTGTAGCTGATCCTCAGGAGAAACTCTCTCAATTTACAAGGTCTTCTAATTATGCTGTTCCTCTCCCTGAGCCATTCTCTCTTTCTGATTCCTCCCAGAACACACATCTGGTCACCTTGCAGTTATAGTTCAGCTCTCACATACATTGACTTTTCTGAAGAAGTCAAATCTACTTCCAGTTCTCAGTATTCTTCAATTACAACACCGTGTTCTCTCCTTCTTTGAACTTATCACAATGGTAAACTTAGATTTATTTTACTATAGGTGTTGATTGTCTGCTCTACTAGTCTATTATAAATGCCCTAAGATCAGAGAGCAAATCTACTTTGCTCACTGCTATTTTCCCAGAGCCTCTCTCGATGCTTATGATTGTAGATCAGTGAATGTTTGTGGAAAGGATGGTTTGTTCCTGCTCCCCTACTGGCCTAACCAGGGTTATCCAGAGCTAGGAAACAGTACCATGCTCAAGGAGTGATTCATCACTCAGCTCATTCAGTGCACATGCATCTGTTATGTTCCTGTTCTAGGCCAGCCCATGGGATGTAGTCATTTAGTGAGAAATGAATCACTTTGGGGAAACTTAAATGAATAGGATTTAAATGACCAGAAAGAAAAATCAGAGGGCGTTCTAAGTCAAAGAGGAAGGAAAACATCAGAGAAATGGGAGAGTAAAACATAGTCAAGTGTTAATGCTTCAAGGGGCGTGATGTAAGGAAGACAGAAAATATATGTAAGAATCATATTGTGGGTTATCTACACAGTTACAAGATGATTAGTTGTAACCTTACAGGCATTTGGCAACAGTTGAAATTTTAGTCTTGGCCTAGTCCAGTTGCTTAGAGTTCTTTATAACTTTATTTGTGAAATCTTTCTATTCATAGTCTCACACACTTCATATGTAACATTTAATCCTCAGATCTGCCCTTTGCCTTTTACAGAGGAGAAATCTGAAACATATAGATGCAAACTAACTTGACCTAGGTCCCAGTGTAGTAAATAGTAGAGCTAGACATTGAGTCCAGGCAGTCTGTCTCCAGAACCCATACCCTTAACTTGTATGTTGAGTTGTTAGATGTCATTTTCATAGAAGGGCCTGAGGTCTCGTCATTTCACTTTGTGCCACAGTGCAGATTGTGGCTTCTGTGCATGACAGACTCATAACAAACTTTTGCATCTCTGAAGGAATTGTAAATTTCATTTAATAAATGTAATTTCAAAAAGACACATCCCAAGCTTGTGAAAATTATTGTTTTTCCAATTGGGAGAAAAGAGACAACATATACTACTGGCTTAGGAGCAATTAGCACCATTCTAGCTCTGTTGCCATCCCTAATTATCATGGAATCTGCTCTTTGGCTTGCAGTTTCCTTACCCATAAAATATCAGGTTTAGCTGGATTATCTCTAAGATCCTGTATCACACTACTTTTATGCTCCTCTTCAAATCCTCTTGGTCTCAATCAGTTCTGACTTTGGCCTCTGAAACAGGTACTCACAGGCTTTGATCAGCTTCTTGCAGATGTACCTCCCTGGGGCCATGCTATAGCCCTCTCTGTTTCTGCCCTGGAGCTGTGCTTATACTAGAATCTGCTTGCATGACCCTGCCTGGGACTCAGCATGCACAACCTGGAAGTCCCCTTTCATCCTCTGGAAGATGATTCTGAATGCAATTCATGAGCCTACTCCAAAGCTCTTGCAGAATTGAGAGTGAGCGAGTGGTTCTGTGGTAGCCAGCTTAACAAATCTTTTATTGACTACACTTCTTTCATGTTTGATTCCCTCTCTTCCTCATTCCTCATAAATTACTCTCACGCAAGGCTTTGTCTTACATTCTCAGTTGAAGATCACACAAGCTAAGAGTGGCGCCTTCCACAGTCAGGTCGTTGACTCTATGATCTAGTAAAAGTGACTCTAAGAACATCTTGGTGGGGCTGAGTTGGCTGAATAAATTCCTCAGACCCTTTCCAGGCTTCCCAGTTCAACTTTTGGAAAGTTGCTAAGATAATTGTTGGATACTCCTTTAGGAAGTGTTGCATATTTACAAAAGTCAGGAAGAATAAAAACAGGCATTTAAAGGGTTATTCTAATCACCCATTAAGGACTACAATCTCACTTTTCTAAAATTAGTTGGAAAGAGATTTTGAACTAAAGAGCTCAAATTTCAAGGCATTGTAATCTTTATCGTGAGTTTTCCAAATACCTGAGAAATTATATGTTCATATTATCTTTCTTAAAGATCATTTTCCAGTAAATGTATATGACTGTGAGTTTTCAGAAGGAAATATTAAAAATCTAGTGACTTTTGGTTAAGGGGTGATGAAGTTTAGATGGGAAACATGTGAGGAGGGGAGGGAAGGAAAGGAAATTAAGGAGCCAGTAGGAAGACAGAGGAGACATGATGCTGTGCAGGATTTTAGGATCCCTTGAGGCAAATCTTTTTAATGGAAGCTTCATTGACCCCAGTAAAGTATTATTATTTCCAAATTCCAGATAAAATCATCTTCATAAATAAGTCCTCAAATATATTCCACAGCAAAGCAGGAAAATGGAAAGAGCATTCGACTTGCGTGATATTGGGTAGTTCATGAATCTTGGTTTACTTATCCCTAAAATTAAGATGTTGAATCGCTCAGTTCTTCTGACTCCAGTCTAAAAACTAGGTGCTAGAAAACAAATGTCTTTGAGTTTAGACCACTGCTGTCTCTGCTGCTGGTATTTTTTGAATAACACCGACCATTCTTTGTACTTGCATAGCCTTAAGTTACTGGATCAAAACTTGCAGCTTGTGAAGTTGTTGTGAAGATCATATGTAAAGCACATAGAATGATACCTAGTGTACCATGAACCTTTTTGAATTTTAGCATTAAACATCCATGGAAAAATTAAACATAAATGGCTACTGTCTAAGGTATTCTATTGTAATGAATATGAAAAGTAGAGTAGAATTGTCTAGCTATCAAAATTATTGGCTCAATAAACAAAACCAATGCTGAAAATTTTTTGAAGAAAATACAAAATGTCTTAGTTGTCACTACACTCAGGAAGACTTAAGAGTGTGATGCAGAGGGCAAAATGGCTATTTCATTGCAGGTTTTCCCTTAACTGCACAGTATTAATGATCAAGTACTCACAATGTTCTGGGCATTTATATACATACATTACATGAAATCCCACAACAACCTTACATGGTCACTTGCTGCTATCCTGTTCTTAGAGACAGTGAGCTGAGACACAGAGGTTAAGTGACATGCCCAAAGTAACATAGCTACCAAGTCAGAGAGTTTGAGTTTGAACCTACATAGCCTGGCTTTGGGATAGGTGCACTTAACCAGTATTTTATACAGACTCTAAAGTTGGCCAAATGGAATTTATAAGCGTACTCTAGAGAGAGAAATACATTACTACTCTATAATCAATGTTCAAGTCACCTTTCCATCCCCATTTTCTATTACACTCCAGCCCTACTCCATGCTTCAAGAAGTAGAAATGTCTTTCAAAATCTTACATGTACCACTCTATCTATCTCTTTTTGAAACATTGCCTCAAATATCCTTTGAATTGTTTTGCTTAATCAAATTTTACCCATTCTTTAAGGCCTGTCATGTGGCCCAATTATTTCAAAAGACTTTCTTAAACTTTTTCAGCCCAAACTGACACACCTCTCCACTGAACAAACACCACATTTCCAGTTTTTATTGATAATATTTTAAAAATCATCCTATGGGTTTTAATTTCTAGTAGGTCAAATATCAATTGCCATAATCCATATAAACTAAAAGTTATCTGGCATTCACTTATTTTGCTTTAAAGAATAAAGAATTCTTAGGACCAAAAAGTGAGAAAACCACTGCGTGAATTGGTCTCAGGCATGATAGGTCCATTTCTTACTGTAATTGTTATGAAATTCCAAGCACGTATATTATTTGTCCCTGGCTGGGCATAAGTTTTTGTTCTGGCTCTAGAAGGTAACTTTCGTTGCCCTGAAGGACTTGATCAAAATTAGCTTGTTCCTTCCTTGGCTTTTCTTCTATTTTGTCTACTTTGTTTTCCCTTTTTTTATCTAGTTCTTTTTTTTTCATTTTTTAAAAATTGAATTCATTAGTATTTGTTTTGTTTATCTCATTTTTTGTCTAATATTGTATTTTGAAACCACTGTAGTGATCAGTTCATTAGACAGACTTTGTATCTGGTTTTCTTCTGAGGCAATATGGACCTAGCTTCTTACCAGCTTTTCCCAATTTTAAGCTGTCCGTGGGATAACTTGTCTCTAGAGCCAACAGTAAGTCTAACATGCTGAATGGCCTTTCAGTCATCTCTGCTAAGGAGGAGACCCATATTAGCAACTACTGGCTCCTCAAGATCATTGGCAAGAATAACTTCAACAAGATGAAGTTGTCCCTGACTACAGGACCTAGGAAAATGAATTAATGTCCCTGGTAAAGGGAAGATATGCAGGACTCATTGATGGGCCACAAAAACAATGAGGTACTGTCTACCCATCTGTTTTTGGGCTATAAGAAAGTTGAGCTGGAGGACTATACCATCGCCTTGAAGTCCCTGCCTCACCTACCTACCAGCAGAATTTGTGGTATGGCATGACCCCAGCAATAGCCAGAGCCAGAAGGGGACACTGAAAGATTCTTCACCTTCATCTCCAGATACTTGTGTTTTGGGTCCACCAGAAAGAACTGGCATGAAGCTGAAAGCAGTGTGGAGATGATTGAAACTAATGTGAGGAGCCAAAGTGGCAATAAAAAACAAGAATTAATGTGGGGAGGTCAAGCCATGCTTCCTGAATTTTACATGGGACATGAAGATCATGAGAACCAAGGAACCTAGTGAGATAGTGCAAGCTTCTGTGCCCTCTTTGGGCATGCCACCCTCAATCTTTTCCACACTTTCATGATTTTTATGTTCAGGAATTTTTTGTGTTCAGGGATTTCTATGGATACTTCATCATGTAAGCATGATCAATTATTAACTCAATCACTAGCATCTCTATTTTTTTCTGGAGGATGAGGCAGCTGAATGTTCTAAGCTTCTAATCATAGCTTGATCCTTTTGGTGACCACTCCCATCCAGGTGCCCAGTAACAGTCTCTTCATCAGAACAAAAGACACCCCAAATCACCTAGGAAATTCCAAAGGATAAGACACTTTGTGTCAGAAACTGGGATCAAAGACAGTGTATCGGAAGAAAAGATGCACTTGGTACCCCATCACCCAGAAAATTACAAAGGTTTTAGGAGCTTGGTGGCAGATACTGGGGCACAGACCATATACATATTTCTTATTATACTACAATAACACATATTTACAGCTAAAAATTATTAAATATGGTTTAGAAGGGATATTTGAAAAGAGATATTACAAGTTGTTTTGAAGGAGCTGGGTTGTGGGGAAGAAATGTAAGAAATTGGGAATTACCCTTCTGTATAAACTTTCCTATCAGTTTTGGAAAAACTCACTAGAATTTTGGTGCTGCTGACATGTTTTAATTATCGTCAAAAGGTCCACAATAGGATAACGAAGTCCTATAAACCAGACTGTTGGGAATTAGAAAAGTGATGTGATTATGATCACCCAAAGTAGCTTGGGGAGTCACTTAACTGTGACCAAGTTTTCTGACTGTATATAGCAAGAGTTAGGCCTTCACAGTGAGATTTTTTTTTCTCGTTGTAATAGAAGTATGGAGTAGTCACTCTAAAAAAGCTTAATTGAGGTAGGAGCCAGCCTGGGTTTCCAAGAGATACTCCACAGTGAGTCAGATGCCCTGGAGTTCCCAGAGCTAAGATTTATGGCAAGAGACAGCAGCCCAGAGGGATGGAGTGGATGGCAAGAAAAGTGGCTTTTAAAAGCAAATTCCAGGTCCTCAAGTTCTCATTTCCAATGTAGGCACTGAATTGATAATGTTAGAAACCCATGAGGGAGCTTCGCCAAGGGTTCCTTTGCAGCCTAAGGGGCATCCCACAAAGCCAGCAGGTACCCGTCACCGTCAATCTGCCTCCTCCACAGTCTTCCCTGTGTTGATCATCTTGACATTACATAATGTTTTGCATTCTAAGTGCATTTTATGAGCTTTATTCTCTTCCCACACTTGGATTAAAAAGACATTGAGTTTAGAATCAAGCTTTATTCATCTTCTGTGTACAAAGCCTTATAAATTTATCTATAAATAGTTAAGACTTAATAAATAAATATTGATAAATTGATGATGCTACTAAACCAAAGGTAAAATATTTTATAGTTATTTATTAAAGACTTGGACTGAGTCTTTGAAGAATGTAGTTTAAATACAAATAGGATGAAGGATGGGGTTGCAGTTTTATCAAAGGCAAAGAAGATGCACATAAAGTGGAAGAGTTGAAGTAGGGGAATTGGGCATGTGATTCAATGAACTTGCTCACACCTGAGGCATAAGGAATATAAAATAGGTATAGTTTATTCATATATTGTAAGTCCTACTATAATATTGGTATTTGTGGAAGGTGCACAGAGAATGTACATGATCTATTAAGTTGTTTACATTTATAGATATCAGCTGAATACTTGAAGAACAATAGTGAGTCAGGAAATTTATAGATTGAGGTACACTAAAACAACTATAAAACATGGAGGTTTTATAGAGTTGAAGGAAAAGTATAATTTGAAGTGTATCTAGATACCTATTGCTGCAACATCTATTGCCCAAAACTTAGTAGCTTAAGACAATTAATCTTTCATGACTTTGTGCGTTGACTAGAATCAGCTAAAAGGCTATTGCTTGGGATCCATCATGCAATGTCATAAAATGGTGGCTGTACCTGGAGTTGTCTGAAGGTTTGACTCAGCTGTGCACCCAATATGGCTTACTCAGTTGATTCTTGCTGTCAGCTGGGAGCTCAACTGGTCTGCCAACTGGAGAATTTACATGTGGCCTTTTTTGGCAAATTGGCCTTCAGTATTTTGGCGAGCTTCCCAGTGGAGAGTCAAAGAATTTTTTCTAAGATATTTGGATGGAAACTCCAAATCTTCTTATGACCTTCTAATGAAAGTCTCAAAACTTCACTTCTACCACATTCCATTGGTCAATACAAGTCACTAAGGTCAGCATAAATTTAAATGGATGGAGATTGAACTCCATTTGATGTGAATAGGAGCAGACACATAAAGAGAGGGAAGAAATTGATGATGGTCATCTTTTACTGTCTGCCACAGAGAATTAAAAAAACATTACTGAATAACTTATTTTTTAATTTATCGATTTAAGAGGTATTTCTTGACCACCTGTAGTGTTCCAGATTTTAGGAATTGTAATAGAAATATTACAGTGGAAAAAATAAAGGTTTTGACTCTGTGAAGATTGTATCCAAGTACAGAAAATAATTAGAAGCAAGTAATCCATGGTCAGAGAATGATGAATGCTATGAAAACAAATAAGATAGGGTAAAGAATAAAGAATAATGGGGATAGTAACTTAGAGGGAGTTGTCAAAAAGACCTCTCTTAGAAAGTAAAATAAGAATAGATTCTTGATTGAAGTAAGGGAGTGGGCTGTGTTATTATCTGGGGAAGGGCAATATAGGCAGAGAGGTAGGGATATGCTTGGCAGAGCATCAGGGCAGCCAGCATGGTTAGAATGATATGAGAGAGGAGAAAGAAGTTAAAGGTGAATTTGGAGAATTTGGCAGGAACCAGATAATTTAGCATCTTGTCATCCATGAAGAAAAATATATTTTGATTTTATTCTGTGCAGAGAAGCCATTGAACAGGGGAGACCTATGGTCTGACTTTATATGATTCAATATAGCTTTTGTGTACAGACTAGACTATGGGGCTGAAAGGAGTGGGTGGGCATCAGGGCAAAAATGGAAGCCAAGAGAACAATTAGGAGGTTTGCAGTGGTTCGGGAAATAGTTGATGGTGGCTTGGCTTAGAATATTGGTAATGCAAAACTTAAAACATAATTTATTCAATTATATTTTGAAGGTATAGACAACATTATTTGTTGATAAACTGGAGTGGTAAGTCAAAGATGACTCTAAGATTTTGGCCCTGAGTGAATAAGTGAATAGTGGATTTTTTCTGAGACAGAATTGCCGAGGAAACAACAGCATTGAAGGGATAGAAAGCAATTGATTGCTTTTTTCTTCCTTTTTTACTTTACATACAATGAAATGCACAGATCTTAAGTATACTTTCACTGAGTTTTGACAATTGCATACATCTGTTTAACCTAAACTCCTATAAAACATGAAACATGACCTTCACCTTAGAATGTTTCCTCACTCCTTCCCAGTTCATCTTCATTCTATCCACACAACTACCTTGACTCTTTTTTCCCCATTTGAGGCTCCTCTCACTTGTTCAAGAACTTTATAGAAGTGGAATCACATGACTCCGCTTACTCAGGAGAAGGTAAGTGGCTTTTTGAAATACTATGTTCAATATCTTCATTAGATATCCTTGTAAAGATGCCATGCAAGCAGGATCAAGTAAAGACACCCAGTAAGGAGCCTTATTGACAAAGGTATTAGGATAGGGTCTAAGTGAAAATGTAGGAGAGGAGTCTTGCAGGAGGTGAGTTTTGAGAATAGTTTTCTGAGATGGTGCTTTTTAATTGGTAAAATATTTGGGAAATGACACCAGGATGGCGACATGTTTTGTCAGAAATCCATATTAGGAGGAGCAAAAAACTGGGTGAGCCTTTCAATGACAGGTCTTATAAATTAAAAAAAAAAAGGACGAAGAAGAGTGAATTAAATCTCTTAGGCAATGTCAGTAGATCAACAAAAGACTGTGTAGGGAAATTATTCCTGCAAACTTTTATTCCAGCATTGATTTGATAATCTCAGGCTAGTTGTGGAGTACAAAACTCAGCACATGGAACTTTGTGCTTTCCACATAGTCTTGTAAAACCATGGTGAGGGGCTGCAGTTTGACAGCACCCTTGTTATGTGAAAGAAATTGCAATTTTTAATCACTTGCCTTGGGTGATACAGTGGATAACTGACTCAGAAGAGACGGTTGTTATTTATTGCAGTTTGTGGGTGGTCTGTCTGCTTGGCACAGTCAATCTGACTGGAGCTCTGAAAGTAAGCCAGAGGAAGGTTTCGTTTTGCTTTTTTCTCTTTTCAAAGGCAATTGGAGAGTGGGTCCTAATCCTGGTACTGATATCACAGAAAGTCACAACTTTGCCCTTTTCTCTTAAGATATAAAACAGCAAAAGAAAGCCCATTTAAGAATATATTATCTATCAGACAGATGTCTGTAGGGAGTGATTTGATGGGTCCTGGAAAACTCTTCTGCCCCAAAATATCTCCTCCTCCTTGAAATCTGTCGTGCCTTACTTTGGAGCGTGAAGGCTTTGGGGATTCCGAGAGTCTCTGCTGCCTTTGTAAATACCTTGGGGAGGAAGAACATATTAAGTTCTCATCAGCTGGAGGATTTATTTCATTTATCTTGAGGGCAAAGCCCTGTGGGAACAGAAAGCAGAAGGGAGGTGGTGATGCTAAATGGAATAGAGCCTTGAAGTGGGGGCGGTTTGTAAGGGCACACCCCAGGGAGGTCTTGTTGACTTCAGCATTTCACCAAGGTCTGAGTGTGCCCATCTCACTGCACTCTGATCCCCTTCTGAGGCTATTCGCCTATTTCTCTCCTCCCCCTCTTTAATATGTTGCAAACTCTACCTCTTAGCCATTATCCGAAGCACTTATGCATACTCATCCATCAGGAAGCGTCCCTTTCTCTCTTTTGCCCTCTCTCTGTCCTTTTGGCTTGCCTTCTTTCTGCTCCATTTAGAAATGTTGACAAGGCATTGTTCGCTGCTGACTAGTTTGGTTTTTAAGTTTAGTTATTAAGCGGCTCTTTTGTTGTTATTGTTGTTTTCTGCAGCATTGGATCTTAATAGCTGCTGAGCTGCAAATAATGGAAAAAGCAAACAACTAGAAAAAGAATGTTGAGAAGTAATATTTCCCAAATAATGACACCTGAGCTGGCAGAGCAGGGGACATTTCAGTAGCTTGGGTTGTGGAGGAGATAACTGTTAAAATCATTGAGGCTGGAATTCCATTAGGTGCAGTGGGGAATTAGGAAGTTTATGTGTCTCCTATTTTTAGTGGAGAAAACTGAGAGACACTAATAGCACTGGCTTGCTACATGTTTGAAATATTCACAGGTATTAGTAGAGAAAAGGGTTTAAGTAAAGAATAATATTGGAAAAAGAGGGCAAAGTATGGTGTGCAAGTGTTGAGGGGGTGTTTGGGCTCAGGGAAAAAAGGAGATGTTGGCAGAGTCTATAAAGTACCTGATGATGGTGGTAAAAATGTATACACAATCTTATACATTTCCCCATTTGGCTGTGGTTAAAGACAAATAGGGGAATGTAGAGAATGAAAGTAAGCCTTAACCAATTTAAGAATCAGTTTTCTATTCATCTTTCTCTAAAACTTTGTTTTTATGATCATGAAAAATCAATAATTTTGGGATTTCAAAAGTCATATACATCCCACAGAGCAGGAAGGCTCATAATTCAATCTTCTTATTAGGGTGTAGAGTAATTAGTCTAGCAAGCAGAGGATATGTACAAACAGTTACTTTGCTAATTGTTCTTCCTCAGCAGCCGAGAGTAACCAGCTGTCTTTAGCCTGGTATGGGACAGATGATAGCTTGCCTTGCTACACCAAGTAGTCTTGGTAGATTTAGAATTGTTCCTCAGCCAAGAATTAACTAAGCCTGGCCATGACCGCTAGGCCAAGGACAACTGTGATACATCACTTCAGGATTTAGGATTATTGTAAGACAGGCCCATAGTCACCCTGGTAAAGATAGATATGGTAGCTTGATTTAACTTCAGAAAAAGAAATGACATTGGAAGCCCTGGAAATGGATGGCCTTGCTTTATTGATGCGTCCAGGTGTTTACAGCATCCAGAATCAGAGACTTACAAAACTACACTAATTCTTATCTCTGTGAAACTTGAGACTGGTATATGATTTCTATTTGCTCAGGAACCTGTTCCAGCCTGGCTAATTAAACCCAGTGTTACCTTAGCACATCTGGCTGAAAGGAAGAACCTTGGAATGCAGGGAGATGCAGATTCTGGGAAACAGATTCTCATGGGGCATAAAAGCGTAAAACAGAAATAAGAGCCAGTTATAAAGCACTTTTATGTACCAGACTCCATCCAAGTGCTTTTGCACATTTTTTCATTTAGTTCTTATAACCATTATGTGAGATAGGCATCAAGAATCTCACTTTCATGTTAAGAAAACTGCATTCAAAGAAGTAGAACAACTTGTCTACTTAGAACACAATTTTTATATATATATGTATATTTTTATTATACTTTAAGTTCTAGGGTACATCTGCACAACGTGCAGGCTTGTTACATATGTATACACATGCCATGTTGGTGTGCTGCACCCATTAACTCATCATTTACATTAGGTATATCTCCTAATGCTATCCCTCTCCCCTACCCCCACCCCACAACAGGCCCTGGTGTGTGATGTTCCCCGGCCTGTGTCCATGTGTTCTCATTGTTCAATTCCCACCTATGAGTGAGAACATGCGGTGTTTGCTTTTTTGTCCTTGCTATAGTTTTCTGAGAATGATGGTTTCCAGCTTCATCCATGTCCCTACAAAAGACATGAACTCATCATTTTTTTATAGCTGCATAGCATTCCATGGTGTATATGTGCCACATTTACTTAATCCAGTCTATCATTTTTGGACATTTGAGTTGGTTCCAAGTCTTTGCTATTGTGAGTAGTGCCGCAATAAACATACGTGTGCATGTGTCTTTATAGCAGCATGATTTATATTCCTTTGGGTATATACCTAGTAATGGGATGGCTGGGTCAAATGGTATTTCTAGATCTAGATCCCTGAGGAATCGCCACACTGACTTCCACAATGGTTGAACTAGTTTACAGTCCCACCAACAGTGTAAAAGTGTTCCTATTTCTCCACATCCTCTCCAGCACCTGTTGTTTCCTGACTTTTTAATGATCGCCATTCTAACCGGTGTGAGATGGTATCTCATCGTGGTTTGATTTGCATTTCTCTGATGGCCGGTGATGATGAGCATTTTTTCATCTGTCTGTTGGCTGCATAAATGTCTTCTTTTGAGAAGTGTCTGTTCATATCCTTCGCCCACTTTTTGAGGGGGTTGTTTGTTTTTTTCTTGTAAATTTGTTTGAGTTCTTTGTAGATTCTGGATATTAGCCCTTTGTCAGATGAGTAGATTGCAAAAATTTTCTCCCGTTCTGTAGGTTGCCTGTTCACTCTGATGGTAGTTTCTTTTGCTGTGCAGAAGCTCTTTAGTTTAATTAGATCCCATTTGTCAATTTTGGCTTTTGTTGCCATTGCTTTTGATGTTTTAGACATGAAGTCCTTGCCCATGCCTATGTCCTGAATGGTATTGCCTAGGTTTTCTTCTAGAGTTTTTATGGTTTTAGATCTAACATGTAAGTCTTTAATCCATCTTGAATTAATTTTTGTATGAGGTGTAAGGAAGGGATCCAGTTTCAGCTTTCTACATATGGCTGGCCAGTTTTCCCAGCACCATTTGTTAAATAGGGAATCCTTTCCCCATTTCTCGTTTTTGTCAGGTTTGTCAAAGATCAGATAGTTGTAGATGTGTGGTATTATTTCTGAGGGCTCTGTTCTGTTCCATTGGTCTATATCTCTGTTTTGGTACCAGTACCATGCTGTTTTGGTTACTGCAGTCTTGTAGTATAGTTTGAAGTCAGGTAGTGTGATGCCTCCAGCTTTGTTCTTTTGGCTTAGGATTGATTTGGCAATGGGGGCTCCTTTTTGGTTCCATATGAACTTTAAAGTAGTTTTTTCCAATTCTGTGAGGAAAGTCATTGGTAGCTCAATGGAGATGGCATTGAATGTATATAATACCTTGGGCAGTATGGCCATTTTCACGATATTGATTCTTCCTATCCATGAGCATGGAATGTTCTTCCATTTGTTTGTGTCCTCTTTTATTTCATTGAGCAGTGGTTTGTAGTTCTCCTTGAAGAGGTCCTTCACATCCCTTGTAAGTTGGATTCCTAGGTATTTTATTCTCTTTGAAGCAATTGTGAATGGGAGTTCACTCATGATTTGGCTCTCTGTTTGTCTGTTATTGGTGTTTAAGAATGCTTGTGATTTTTGCACATTGATTTTGTATCCTGAGACTTTGCTGAAGTTGCTTATCAGCTTAAGGAGATTTTGGGCTGAGATTGTGGTGTTTTCTAGATATACAATCATGTCATTTGCAAACAGGGACAATTTGAGTTCCTCTTTTCCTAATTGAATACCCTTTATTTCTTTCTCCTGACTGATTGCCCTGGCCAGAACTTCCAACACTATGTCGAATAGGAGTTGTAAGAGAGGGCATCTCTGTCTTTTGCCAGTTTTCAGAGGGAACGCTTCCAGTTTTTGCCCATTCAGTATGATATTGGCTGTGGGTTTGTCATAAATGGCTTTTATTATTTTGAGATACGTCCCATCAATACCTAATTTATTGAGAGTTTTTAGAATGAAGGGCTGTTGAATTTTGTTGAAGGCCTTTTCTGCATCTATTGAGATAATCATGTAGTTTTTGTCTTTGGTTCTGTTTATATGCTGGATTATGTTTATTGATTTGCATATGTTGAACCAGCCTTGCATCCCAGGGATGAAGCCCAGTTGATCATAGTGGATAAGCTTTTTGATGTGCTGCTGGATTCGGTTTGCCAGTATTTTACTGAGAATTTTTGCATCAATGTTCATCAGGGAAATTGGTCTAAAATTCTCTTTTTTTGTGGTTTCTCTACCAGGCTTTGGTATCAGGATGATGCTGGCCTCATAAAATGAGTTAGGGAGGATTCTTTCTTTTTCTGTTGATTGGAATAGTTTCAGAAGGAATGGTACCAGCTCCTCCCTGTACCTCTGGTAGAATTCAGCTGTGAATCCGTCTGGTCCTGAACTTTTTTTGGTTGGTAAGCTATTAATTATTGCCTCAGTTTCAGAGCCTGTTATTGGTCTATTAAGAGATTCAACTTCTTCCTAGTTTAGTCTTGGGAGGATGTATGTGTTGAGGAATTTATCCATTTCTTCTAGATTTTCTAGTTTATTTGCATAGAGGTGTTTATAGTATTCTCTGATGGTAGTTTGTATTTCTGTGGGATCAGTGGTGATACCCCCTTTATCATTTTTTATTGCATCTATTTGATTCTTCTCTCTTTCTTCTTTATTAGTTTTGCTAGCAGTCTATCAATTTTGTTGATCTTTTCAAAAAACCAGCTCCTGGATTCATTGATTTTTTGAAAGGTTTTTTGTGTCTCTATCTCCTTCAGTTCTGCTCTGATCTTAGTTATTTATTGTCTTCTGCTAGCTTTTGAATGTGTTTGCTCTTGCTTCTCTAGTTCTTTTAATTGTGATGTTAGGGTGTCAATTTTAGATCTTTCCTGATTTCTCTTGTGGGCATTTAGTGCTATAAATTTCCCTCTACACACTGCTTTTAATGTGTCCCAGAGATTCTGGTATGTTGTGTCTTTGTTCTCGTTGGTTTCAAAGAACATCTTTATTTCTGCCTTCATTTTGTTATGTACCCAGTAGTCATTCGGGAGCAGGTTGTTCAGTTTCCATGTAGTTGAGCGGTTTTGAGTGAGTTTCTTAATCCTGAGTTCTAGTTTGATTGCACTGTGGTCTGAGAGACAGTTTGTTATAATTTCTAGAATACAATTTATAAGTAGTCAAACCAGGTCTCAAACCCATACCTGTCTGACCTGAAAGACCATGTTATTAATTGCAAAGTTTATTCTCTTATGAAGCAAAAGAATGAACGCAACATTTGTTTTAGTTTTTCACCCCAGATCAACACGTTTGAGAAATGTTTTACACTGTGAAATTGCATGCTGCCTTGTATGCTTTGAACATTTATACAATTTGAGCCAGTTATATTTTGATTCATCTATCCTAATCTTTCCTAGAGGAAAGAGGGAGGGGAGATTGGTAGGGGAAATCGCACATTTACCATTAATTTGTGTAAAAAATTCAATTTTAAATGTCTAACAAATTGAATTAAATTGAGAAAGGTCATAAGAGCTTATCAGTTGAGGTCGTCATGACGGCGGTAAAGAAAATAGTTAGGAGGCTGATTTTATATTAGCCAGCAAGCCAGCCAGGTCACTCTATTAAAATTCTAAGAAAGCCTACATGGAAATGCTATTCAATGTGACAATTAAATGTAATATGTAATTTACTCCACTAGCCATTACACTGATGGGCTGAGGTAGCCACTAAAAATGAAAGCTACAGGAACGATTAATACAGTATAGTACAGTATGCATATGGTGGGACCATGTGGTTTATTTCATTAAAACATATTAGTCCCTGCTATTTTCCTCTCTTTGGTGGCCAAGTCTTAACTTTCAGCTGTAAGCTCAGTCTTAATATATTTTTCCAACCTTGTTTATCATCCGTGTATAATCAGCGATTATAACTGGTTCCCCTGTTTTCTAGCATTGAAATGCCATCCAGTCATTCACATCTCAAGGGTATTGTGTATACAGTTATGTTACTTGGCAGTTTAAAGTTACATATGCATGTATTTTTATCTTGAGCAAGCAAAGAAGCAGGCTCACTGGAAGCCCTCTTTGTGAAGGTCCACTGGTTTGACTTGGAGTCAAGAGGGCTAGTGTTCATTGTCAGCTCTGTGGCTCACTGGCTGTAGCATGTAGAAGCAGTCACACCCTCTCCCTGGGCTTTAGTTTGCTGTCTCTGTAAGGCTTCTCTAATTCCAAAAGGCTCTTCTGCATGAACATCCAAATGGTCCTTGAGTCTAATAAGGGAGAATATAACCAAGGAGTGCCATTCAATCCCAGGTGATAAGAACTATATATTAGAAACAACATGAGCACTTCTCTGAATGAGAAAATTCAAACTTCTAAATTGGATGTGGCAATAAGAGATATGGGACTATTTTAAAGGAAACAAAATTATATTTATACATTTTTTTGCTAACAATATGCAAGAGGAAATAATTTCTAACACATTTTGTAGAGAAGAAATTATTATCCATGATATACAAAGAGCTATTAAAATAAATGGGAAAACCATGGTCAGCTCAACTGAAGAAAAGGCACAAATATGGTTATTAGTTGTAAAAAAAGAGAAAAATATCAATAATACATTTTATCAAAATTTCAGAGTTTACTAATGTGAAATATATCATACCTTTTAAGGAGTATATATTATTACAATTATTATTCAGTAGCACCACCTATCTTAAGAGTGAAACCAGTACATTTGAAACTTTAGTATACTCTTTTTAAAATTTTGTTTGCTAGAAGTAACCGCTACTTTCAATTTTATGTGAATCACCTACCTTGCTTTTGTGGATGATGTAGCTCCATGTGTACACATGGCTTAACAGTATATTACCTAGGTTTGCCTGTGTTTTCACTTCATATGAATAGAACATACCACGTGTATTCTTCAGTAACTTGTTTATGTCACTTAACTTTGTTTTTTTGATCCATCTGTGTTGGAGTAAAGATGTATTCATTTTATTTTCTTTCTGCCTAGCCTTCTAGTATAAAAACATATCCTCTTTTATCTAACCTTTCTGTTGAACATTTAGTAGGATTTCAGGTTTCACAATTCCAAATAATGCTACCAAAAGCACTCACAGAGTTAATCTGTATACATGAACAAGAGGTTTTCTCAGATAAATGTATCCAGAAGTAGAATTGTTGGCCACAGATACGATGATCATTTAGTATATTGTTCAAATTGGAACGTTTTGAAAACTTGAAGAGGATAATGTTAGCAATTATTCTAAAAGTAAGTAAAGTGGACATACTAGGATGCATGGTTACACAAGTACAGTATATGAGTGTGTTCAAATTTGGTGGGTAATGCTAAATTATTTTCTTAAACTTTACCAATTTAAACTCCCATTTGCCATGTCTGAGAGTTATCATTGCTCTTCATCTTTACCAATGATTGGAAGTGGGTTATTTTCCTGACAATTACTAAGTTTAAAATTTTGTTTTGACATTTATTAACCATTCATTTTTACTCTTCTCTGAAATATTTATGTAAAATGTATTCATATATTTTGGCCATTTCTTTATTAGAATGCTTACCTTATTTCTTATTATTTTATAGTAGTTCAATTTTAAAGATTCCCTGTATGCGTAAATATATTTCTGAGCTCCTTATTCTATTTTATTGGTCCATTTGTCTGTCTCTCCAACAATTCCACATTGCCTTAATTACTATATTATTATGGAAAGCTTGATGTTCTGCAGGATTGCTATGACACATTTGGAAGCATATGTGTGTTTTTTTTTCTATTTATCTTGCTAGGGATTCACCAACTTTGTGAGTTTAATGTTAGGTGCCATTAAATATTTATGAAAAAATCTCAGCTAATATCTCTCCAAATGTTACTTATTCCTTACTCTCTTTCTCTGGAAATTCAATCAGATGCATGTAGGGTGTCTTCATCATTAGGTAATTGCTCATCCCTCATTACCCTCCCACCCTTCCACCTTTCCGAGTTTCCATTGTCTGTTATTCCACTCTCTATGTTCATGTATATACATTATTTACCTCTCATTTATAAGTGAGAACATGCAGTAATCGACTTTCTGTTTCTGAGTCATTAAATTTAAGATAATGGCCTCTAGTTTCATCCATGTTGCTGCAAAAGACATAATTTTATTCTATTTTTATATCTTGAGTAGTATTCTGCGGTATAGATATACCACAATTTCCTTATGTAATAATCCATCACTGGACACTTAGGTTAATTCCATAACTTTGCTATTGTGAACAGTGCTGCAATAAGCATAAAAGTGTAGGTAGCTTGTTGATATAATACTTTATTTTCCTTTGGGTAGATACCCAGTACTGGGACTGCTGGATCGAATGGTAGCCAGTACTGGGACTGCTGGATTGAATGGTAGCTCTATTTTTAGTTCTTTGAGAAATCTCCATACTGTTTTCCACAGGGGTTTTACTAATTTATATTCCCACCAACAGTGTATAAGCATTCGATTTTCTCTGCATCCTTGCCAATATCTGATATTTTTTAAAAAACCAAAAATTATTTTGATTAAAACAAAAAAAATCTATTAGCATACCATTAATATAAAAGATACTGCATGATTCCTATGGAAAGCATAATAGTTAATGATAAAACATATAAACAAATTATCTTATTGATTTGTTTAAGTTCTTTACAGATTCTGGATAGCGGACCTTTGTTGGATATATAGTTTGTGAATATTTTCTCCCATTGTGTAGGTTGTCTGTTTATTGCTTGGCTGTTTTGCAGTGCAGAATTCTTTAATTAATTAGGTCACACTTCTCAATTTTTGTTTTTGTTGCAATTGCTTTTGGGGGCTTAGCCAAAAACTCTTTGCCAAGGCCCATATTGAGAAGTGTATCTCCTGGGGTTTCTTCCAGGATGTTTATATTTTGAGGTCTTACATTTAAATCTTTAATGCATGTTGAGTTAAATGTCCCATATAGTGAAATATAAGGGTCCAGTTTCATTCCTTTGTATATGGCTAGCAAGTTGTCCTAGCACCATTTATTGATTAGGGACTCCTTTCCCCATTGCTTGTTGTTGTTGGCCTTGTTGAAGATCAGATGGTTCTAAGTGTGCAGCTTTATTTCTGAGTTTTTATTCTGTTCCATTGGTCTATGGGTCTGTTTTTGTACAGTACCATGTACCAGTACCATGCTGTTTTGGTTGCTGTAACCTTGTAGTATAGTTTGAAGTAGGGTAGTGTGATGTTTCCAGCTTTGTTCTTTCTGGTAATGATTGCTTTTGCTGTTCTGAGTTTCTTTTGTTTTCATATGAATTTTAGAATACTTTTGTGTCATTCTGTGAAGAACAACATTGGTAGTTTGATAGGAATAGCATTTAATCTATAATTTTCTTTAGGCAGTATGGTCATTTTAATGATATTGATTCTTCCAGTCCATGAGCATGGAATGTTTTTTGATTTATTTGTGGTGTCTCTGATTTCTGTTTTATAATTCTCATTGTTGGGATCTTTCACCTTCTTGGTTAGCTTTTTCCTAGGTATTTATTTTCTTTCTAGCTGTTGTGAATAGGATTGTGTTCTTGATTTGACTCTCAGCCTGGACATTATTGGGGTCTAGAAATGCTACTGATTTTTGTGCATTGATTTTTTATCATGAAACTTTACTAAAATCATCCATCAGTTCTAGTAGCCTTTTGGCAGTCTTTAGCATTTTCTAGGTATAGAATCATATCAGTGAAGAGAGTTTAGTTTCTTCTTTTCCTTTTTGGATGCCCTTTTATTTCTTTCTCTTGCCTGATTGTTCTGGCTAGGACTTCTAGGACTATGTCAAATAGAAGTGGTGAGAGTGGGCATTTTAATCTTGTTCTAGTTCTCAAAGGGAATGGTTCCAGCCTTTGCCTGTTTAGTATGATGTTGGCTGTGTGTTTGTCACAAATAATCCCATTTAAATAATGGACAAAGGACACAAACAGGGAACAAGAAGACAAGACATACAAGCAGCCAACAAACGTATGAAAAAATGCTCATCATCAGAAATCATGAGAGAAATGCAAATAAAAACCACAATGAGATATTCTCTCATTATCAGAATGGCTGTTTCTAAAAAGTCAAATATAACAGATGCTGGTGAGGTGGAAGAGAAAAGGCAACACTTATACATTGTTGTTGGGAATGTAAATTAGTTCAGGCACTGTATAGAAAGCACTATTTCTCAAAGAACTTAAAAAAGAGCTACCATTTGACCCACCAATCCCATTACTGGGTATATACCCAAAGAAAAATAGACGATTATACCAGAAAGACACATGCACTCATATGTTCATGGCCATGCTATTCACAATAGCAAAGACATGGAATCAACCTAGGTGCCAAACAGTGGTCAACTGGATAAAGAACATGTGGTACATATACACCACCAAATACTACACAGCCATAAAAAAGAATGAAATTGAGGCCAGACGTGGTGGCTCACGCCTGTAATCCCAGCACTTAGAGAGGCCAAGGTGGGGGATCATTTGAAGTCAGGAGTTCATGACTACCATGACCAATATGATGAAACCTCCGTCTCTACTAAAAATACAAAAATTAACAGGCATGGTGGTGCATGCCTGCAATCCCAGCTACTTGGGTGGCTGAGGCTGGAGAATCGCTTGAACCCAGGAGGCGGAGGTTGCAGTGAGCCGGGTTTGCGCCACTGTACTAAAACCTGGGTGATAGAGCGAGACTTCCTTTGCAGCAATGTGGATGGAGCTGGAGGCTATAACTCTAAGCGAACTCATTCAGGAACAGAAAACCAAATATCACATGTTCTCATTTATAAGTGGTAGCTAAAAATTGAGTACACATGGATATAAACAAGGGTACAACAGACACTATGGACTATAAAGGGGGAAGGGAGGGAGGGAGGTGGGTGTTGATAAACTACCTATTGGGTACTATGCTTACTGCCTAGGTGCAATATAACCAAGTAACAAACCTGAACATGTATCCCCCACGTCTAAAATAAAAGTAGAAATTAAAACAAAACAAGAACAATGACAACAACAGCAAACATTCTCTGAAATTTAAGATGAGACAAAGGAATCCTATATCATCACTCCTATTCAATGTGTCCTGCAGTTCTAAAATTGTTATTCACAGATGCCATATTGTGTATATACATATAATCTCAAAGAAGCTATAGATAAGGAATTACATTTGAACTTAATTAAGTTTATTTTATATAAGATTAATAAAGAGAAATCAATTGTATTTCTATATACCAGAAATAAACATGTAGAAACAAAGTTAAAACCAGTACTCTTTATAGTAGTGCATACACACAAATTCAACTAACTAGAAATAAATCTAATTAAAGTAGCTCAAGAATTCTATACAGAAATCTAAGAAATGTTTTTGAGAGAAAATTTAAGTGAGTAAAATATTCATGAATTGGAAGAATAACAATTATGAAACTGTCTGAATAAGTTTTTTGTAGATTCTATGTAATCCCAGTAAACATTTCAGCATTTTGTCGTTGTGATTCTACAATTTATCTGCACACACTTCTGGTTTTCAGTTTGGCAGGTAAGGAGCTTGAAAGTTGACACTCCATCCTAACAAGGCATAAAAAGTTGAACAAACTGAAAAATCACTAATTCTTTTTAGATTCATAAGAGATGTGAGGTCACAGGGCAAACTGCTGCTCCACAAAATTGTAGAGACAGACAGACTAGATAGAGAGAATCACAACTTACCAGAGCAGAAGCCCACAAGAAGAAATCTCCATAGTAACCAGAGCCAGGAGAAGAAAACTTGAGTTGTAATTGATGAATTGCTGGAGGCTCAGTGTGGACAAGGCTGAGAGAAAAAAAACTCCAGGAGGACACAGTCATGGGGTGGGGAGGGCCCCACACTTTTGTGAATTTTACTTTCAGGAGCTTTTCCAGATCCTCATAGTGAAGATTGGAGAAAAATACCCTAGTGCTTCTGGCAAGGGGAGGGGAAAAGAACAATTTTAAAATATACTAGTGCATTCTGTTCATCTTAAGAAGGCCTGCCCTCAGGAGAAACTATTTTATTAGAGCTTCAAGTATTGCTTTTCAGACTCTAACTTACCTGAGGAAAGAAAACCCTCAACTTTATTCACTCCCACCTGAGGGAGGCGATAAAAAACTGAGAAGCACTTGTGGAGTTTACAGTCCTGAGGCACAGGCTCACGAAAAGACTGAGACCTAATCATGGCACTATGAAACATTTCCTCTCCCTCTACACCTCACCACATTATTAAAGTCCTATTTACATTAGAGAACTCAGAGAACCCCAAGCAAGAAAAATGCCAAAACCCCACTATTTCTTTTACCCAATATATCATGTCAACTATCAATAAAAAATTGCAAGTCATACTAACAGGCAAAGAAACATAGTTTGAAGAGACAAAGAAAACATCAGAACCAGAATCAAATATGGCAGAGATGTTGGAGTTTTCAGACTGAGAATTTAAAACAATATGCCAAGGGCCATTATGGATAAAGTAGACAGCATGCAAGAACAGATGGGCTGTGCAATCACAGGATGCAAATTCTAGAAATAATAAAAAAGAATTGCTAGAGATCAAAAGCACTATAAAAGAAATGAGTAATATATTTGATAGGCTTGTCAGTAGACTGGGCACAGCCAGGGGAAAAAAAAAAACTTTGAGCTTGAGAATATGTCAACAAAATCTTCTTAGAAAAGCAAAGAGAAAAAAACACTGAAAAAGAAAACCAAACAGAATATCCAAGGAATGTGGGTCAACTACACAAGGTATAACATATACATAATGGGAATACAGAAGAGGAACAAAGAGACAAGGGAACAGAAGAAATATTTGAAGCAATAATCATGGACAGTTTTTTCAAATGAATGTCAGGCTCTGCTATAGATTGAATGTGCCCTCTCTGCCAACTCACACATTGAAGCCTAACCCTAATAGCATGGTATTTGGTGGTAAAGCTTTTGGGACACAATTAGATCTTAAGTGTAAAGCTCTCATGAATGAGACTGGTATTCTTATAAGAAGAGATACAAGAAAACTTGCCTTATTTATCTTTTCTTTTTGCCATGTGAAGATACAGTAAAACATGACAATCTTTAAACCCAGAAAAGGGCCTTCACTAAGAAAGTGACATATTGTTACCCTGATCTCAGATTTCTAGCCTCCAGAACTATGAGAAATAAATATTTGTTGTTTAAGCCACCCAGTTGATGGTATTCTAACAGTCAAACTATGGAAGATACCAAACCACAGATCCAGGGAACTCAGGGAACACAAAGAAAAATAAATGCCAGAAAAATCACTATACCTATGCATATCACATTCAAACTATAGAGCATCAATGATAAAGAATAAATATCGAAAGAAGTCAAAGAAAGTAAACACCTTACAAACCGAGGAACAAAGATTAGAATTACATTTGACTTTTTAGAAGCCATGCAAGCAAGAAGAGATTGGAGGGAAATATTTAAAATGTTGAGAAAAAAAGAAATCACCAACCTAGAATTCTGTATCCTGAATCACGAGGAAATAGACAATCTGAATAGACCAATAACAGGTAACAAAATTGAATGAGTAACAAAAAGCCCCCCGTCAAAGAAAAGCCTAAGACATGAAGTTTTCATTGCTGAATTCTACCAAACACTTAAAGAAGAACCAATATCAATCCTGTTCAAACTATTCAAAAAATTGAAGAGGAGGGAATTCTTAACTCTTTCTATGAGGTCAGCATTACCATGATACTAAACCAGCTAAAGACACAACAGAAAGGGAAAACTATAGGCCAATATCCCTGATGAACCTGAATGCAAAAATCATCAAAATATATTAGAACCCTGAAATCAACAGCATGTTATGAAGATCATTCACCATGGCCAGTTAGGATTCATTGCAGAGACACAAGAATTGTTCAACATCTGTGAATCAATAATACATCATATTACAGAATTGGAAAAAACCATGATCATTTTAATAGATATCCAAAAGGATTTGATAAAATTCATCACCCGTTTATGATTAAAAACTCAACAAATTATATATTGAAGGAATGTATCTCAACACAGTAAAGGTCATATATGACAAACCCACAGCTAACATCATATTTAATGGGCAAAAAACTAAAATTCTTTCCTCTAAGATCTGGAAAAAGTGAAGGATACCCACTTTCACTACTTCTATTCAACAGAATACTGGAAGTCCTTGCCAGAGCAATTGCACAAGTGAAAGAAATTGAGGGCATCCGTATTGAAAAGGAGGAAATCAAATTATTCCTGTTTGCAGATTACATGATTATACATATAGAAAACCCCAAAGACTCTACTGAAAAGAGTTTAGTTCAATAAAATGGCAAAATACAAAATCAACATACAAAAATCAGTAGCATTTCTATAAGCCAATAGTGTCTAAAAAAGAAATAAAAAAATGCAATGCCATTTACAAAGCTACAAAAAGTAAAATACCTAGGAATAAACTGAATCAAGAAGGTGAAATATCTTGACAATGAATAGAATATCTTTACAATGAAAACTATAAAACACTGATGAAGTTAACTGAGGAATACAAAAGTAAATGGAAAGATATTACATGCTTATGAATTGAAAGAATTTATTTTGTTATTAATAAAACGTCCCTACTACCCAAAGTAATCTAATGCAATCACAATAAAAATACTAATGACATTCTTCACTGAAATAGAAAGAAAATCCTAAAATTAATATGGAACAGCAAAAGACCCTGAATAACCAAAGTAATCTTGAGCAAAAAGAACAAAGCTGGATGCATCACACTATTTGACGTCAAAATATACTACCAAGATATAGTAACCAAAACAAGACAGTACTGGCATAAAAATAACATATAGATCAATGGAACTGAATAGAGAACACAGAAATAAACCCACATACTAACAACCAACTGACTTTCAAAAAATGCACCAAGAACACACATCGGGGAAAGAACAGTCTCTTCAATAAATAGTGCTGCGAAAAATGGATATCCAGATCCAGAAAAATGAAAATAGACTCCTATCTCTCAGCACATACAAAAATCAATGCAAGATAGATTGAAGACTTAAACGTAAGACCTGAAACTTTAATACTAGTAAGTAAAAATAGGGAAATGCCCCAATTAAAAGACACAGACTGGCAAATTGGGTAAAGAAGACCCTTCTGTGTGCTGTATTCAGGAGACCCATCTCACATGCAAAAGACATGCATAGGCTCAAAATAAAGAGATGGAGGAGTAGTTTCCAAGCAAATGGAAAGCAAAAAAGAGCAGGGGTTGCAATCCTAGTCTCTGATAAAACAGGCTTTAAACCACAAAAGATAAAAAAAAAAAAAAAATGAAGGGCATTACATAATGGTAAAGGGATCAGTGCAACAAGAAGAACTAACTATCCTAAATATATATGCACCCAATACAGGAGGACCCAGATTCATAAAGCAAGTTCTTAGAGACCTACAAAGAGACTTAGATTCCCACACAATAATACTGGGAGACTTTAACACACCACTGTCAATATTAGACAGATCAACAAGACAGAAAATTAACAAGGATATTCAGGACTTGAACTCAACTCTGGACCAAGTGGATGTGATAGACATCTACAGAACTCTCCACCCCAAATTAACAGAATATACACTCTTCTCAGCACCACATAATACTTATTCTAAAACTGACCACATAATTGGAAGTAAAACACTCCTCAGCAAATGTGAAAGAATAGAAATCACAACAAACTGTCTCTCAGACCACAGTGAAATCAAATTAGAACTCAGGATTAAGAAACTCACGGAAAACTGCATAACTACATAGAAACTGAACAACCTGCTCCTGAATGACTACTGGATAAATAAGGAAAGGAAGACAGAAATAAACATGTTCTTTGAAACCAGTGAGAACAAAGACACAACATACCAGAATCTCTGGGACATATTTAAGGCAATGTGTAGAAGGAAATTTATAGCACTAAATGTCCAAAGGAGGAAGCAGGAATGACCTAAAATCGACACCCGAAAATCACAATTAAAAGAACTAGAGAAGCAATAGCAAACAAATTCAAAAGCTAGCAGAAGACAAGAAATAACTAAGATCAGATCAGAACTGAAGGAGATAGAGACACAAGAAAACCTTCAAAAAATCAATGAATCCAGGAGCTGGTTTTTTGAAAAGATCAACAAAATAGATAGACTGCTAGAAAGACTAATAAGAAAAGAGAGAAGAATCAAATAGATGCAATAAAAAATGATGAAAGGCATATCACCACCGATCCCAAGAAATACAAACTACCATCAGAGAATACTATAAACACCTCTGTACAAATAAACTAGAAAATCTAGAATAAATGGATAAATTTCTGGACACATATACTCTCCCAAGACTAAACCAGGAAGAAGTTGAATCTCTGAATAGACCAATAACAGCTTCTGAAATTGAGGCAATAATTCATAGCCTACCAACCAGAAAAAGTCCAGGACCAGATGGATTCACAGCCGAATTCTACCACAGGTACAGACAGGAGCTGGTACCATTCCTTCTGCAACTATTCCAATCTATAGAAAAAGGGGGAATCCTCCCTAACTCATTTTATGAGGCCAACATCATCCTGATACCAAAGCTGGGCAAAGACACAACATAAAAAGAGAATTTGAGGCCAATATCCCTGATGAACATCGATGCAAAAATCTTCAATAAAATACTGGCAAACCGAATCCAGCAGCACATCAAAAAGCTTATCCACCATGATCAAGTGGACTTCATCCCTGGGATGCAAGGCTGGTTCAATATACACAAATGAATAAACATCATCAATCACATAAACAGAACCAATGACAAAAACCATATGATTATCTCAATAGATGCAGAAAAGGCCTTCAACAAAATTCAACATCCTTTCATGCTAAAAACTCTCAATAAACTAGGTATTGCTGGAACGTATCTCAAAATAATAAGAGCCATTTATGACAAACCCACAGCCAATATCATACTGAATGGGCAAAAACTGGAAGCATTCCTTTGAAAACCCACACAAAACAAGGATGCCCTCTCACCACTCCTATTCAACATAATATTGGAAGTTCTAACCAGGGCAATCCGGCAAGAGAAAGAAATCAAGGATATTCAATTATGAAAAGAGGAAGTCAAACTGTCTCTGTTTGCAGATGACATGAGTGTGTATTTAGAAAACCCCATCTTCTGAGCCCAAAATTGCCTTAAGCTGATAAGCAACTTCATCAAAGTCTCAGGATATAAAATCAATATGCAAAAATCACAGGCATTCCTGTACACCAAGAATAAATAGCTAAATCATGAGTGAACTCCCATTCACAATTACTACAAAGAGAATAAAATACCTAGGAATCCAAGTTACATGGGATGTGAAGAACCTCTTCAAGGAGAACTACAAACCACTGCTCAACGAAATAAAAGAGGACATAAACAAATGGAAGAACATTCCATGCTCATGGATATAAAGATCATTATCATAAAAATGGCCATACTGCCCAAAGTAATTTATAGATTCAATGCTATCCCTATCAAGCTACCATTGACTTTCTTCATAGAATTAAAAAAAAGCTGCTTAAAATTTCATATGGAACCAAAAAAGAACCCATATAGCCAAGACAATCCTAAGCAAAAAGAACAAAGCTGGAGGCATCATGCTACCTGACTTCAAACTACACTATAAGGCTATGGTAACCAAAATAGCATGGTACTGTTACCAAAACAGATATATAGAACAATGAAACAGAACAGAGGCCTCAGAAATAACATCATACTTCTACAACCATCTGACCTTTGACAAACCTGACAAAAACAAGCAATGGGGAAAGGATTCTATATTTAATAAATGGTGCTGGGAAAACTGGCTAGCCATATGTAGAAAGCTGAAACTGGGCCCCTTCCTTACACCTTACACAAAAAAGTAAGATGGAATAAATACTTAAATGTAAGACCTAAATCCTTAAAAAGCCTAGAAGAAAACCTAGGCAATACCATTCAGGATATAGGCATGTGAAAGACTTAATGACTAAAATACCAAAAGCAATGGCAACAAAAGCCAAAGTAGACGAATGGGATCTAATTAAACTAAAGAGCTTCTACACAGCAAAAGAAACTACCGTCAGAGTGAACAGGCCACCTCCCTATCTATCCATCAGACAAAGGGCTAATATCCAGAATCTACAAAGAACTTAAACAAATTTACAAGAAAAAACCCCATCAAAGGATATGGGCAAAGGATATGAACAGACACTTCTCAAAAGAAGACATTTATACTGCCAACAGACATATGAAAAAATGTTCTTCATCACTGGTCATTAGAGAAATGCAAATCAAAACTGAAGTGAGATACCATCCCATGCCAGCTAGAATGGCAATCATTTAAAAGTCAAGAAACAACAGATGCTGGAGAGGATGTGGAGAAATAGGAATGCTTTTACACTGTTGGTGGGAGTGTAAAAAAACCATTGTGGAAGACAGTGTGGTGATTCCTCAAGGATCTAGAACCAGAAATACCATTGGACCCAGCGATCCCATTACTGGGTATATACCCAAAGGATTATAAATCATGCTACTATAAAGATACATGCACATGTATGTTTATTGTGGCACTATTCACAATAGCAAAGACTTGGAACCAACCCAAATGTCCATTAATAATAGACTGGATAAAGAAAATGTGGCACATATACACCATGGAATACTGTGCAGCCATAAAAAAGGATGAGTTCCTGTACTTTGCAGTGACATGGATGAAGCTGGAAACCATCATTGTCAGCAAAATGTCAGAAGGACAGAAAACCAATCACTACATATTCTCACTTATAAGTGGGAGTCGAACAATGAGAACACATGGACCCTGGGAAGGGAACATCATACACTGGGGCCTGTTGCGGGTGGGAGGCTGGGGGAGGGATAGTGTCAGGAAAAATACCTAATGTAAATGACGAGTTAATGGGTGCAGCAAACCAACATGGCACATGTATATCTATGTAACAAACCTGCACGTTCTGCACACGTACCCTAGAACTTAAAGTATAATAAAAAGGGGATGTTATGAACAACTCTATACCTACAAATTTGATAACTGAGATAAAATGGATCAATTATTTGAAAGACACAATCTGCCAAAACTTACACATGCAGAAATAGACAATCTAAATTAGCCTATATGAATAACCTTCCAAAACAGATATCACCAGACCCAGTTGGATCCACTAGTGAAGTCTACAAAACATTTAAGGGAGAAATAATGTTAATTATCTTAGTATCTTGTACAGAAGATAAAAGCACAGGAGATACCTCTTAACTTATTTTATGTGGCCAGCATTATGCTAACATCAAAGACACACAAAGATTTTACAAGAACAGAAAACAAAAACTAATAACTCTCATATTGATAGATAGATATAAAAATCCTCAATAAAATATTAGCTAATCAAATTAAACAATGTATACAATATACACCATAACCAAGTGGGATTCATGTCCAGTATGTGGGGCTGGTTCAACATTTGAACATTGATTTATATAATCTGTCATAATAATAGGCATATGAAAAAAATCACATGATCATACAAATAGATTCAGAAAAAGCATTTGACAGAATCCAACACCTATTCATGATAAAAACTCAGGAAACTAGGAGTAAAGGGGAACTTTCTCAATTTAATAACATCTGCGAAAAACCTACAGTTAACATCACACTTACTGGTTAGAAACTGAAAAGCTTCTCATCAAAATTAGGAAGAAGGCACAGAGGTACCCTCTCAGCACTCCTTTGAAAATTGTACTGGAAGTCCTAGCTACAGCACTATGACAAAAAATGAAATAAATATATAAAACCTGGAAAGAAAGAAAACTTTGTGCACAAATGTCATAACTGTCTTTGCAGAAAATCTGAAAGAACCAACAAAATACCTCCTGAAGGTGATAATGATTATAAAAAGGTTTCAGGACACAAAGTTAATATATAAAAGTCAATCACATTTTTTTGTATACAGAAATGAACAAATGAATCTTGAAATTAAAAATCAATATTATCTATACAGCACTGCTCCCAAATGAATTACTTAAGTATAATCTAAGGAAATATGTAAAATATCTCTATAAGGAAAACTACAAAACTGATGAACAAAATTAAAGAAGCAGTAAATAAATGGTCAGATAGTCGGTGTTCATGGAGAGGAAGACAATAATGTTAAGATGTCAGTTCTTTTAGCTTGATTTATAGGTTAAAGACAATTTCATTCAAAATTCCGGAAGTTATTTCGTGGATATTGATAAACTGATTCTAAAGTTTTTATGGAGAGGCAGAACACCCTGAGTAGCCAAAATAATTTTAAAGAAGAAGAACAAAGCCACAGAACTTATACTACCTAGCCTCAAAGCTTACTATGAAGCTACAGTAACAAAGACAGTGTGATTATTAGCAAACTTATAGCCAAACAGGTTAATAGAAGAGAATAGAAAGACCAGAAATAGACCTACATACATATAGTCAACTGATCTTTGACAAATAAGTGAAAGCAATACAACGTAGCACTGATAACTTTTTTTTACACCCGGAGATGGAGTCTTGCTGTGTAGCCTAGGCTGGAGTGTAGTGGCGTGATCTCAACTCACTGCAACTTCCGCCTCCCGGGTTCAAGCAATTTTCCCTGCCTCAGCCTCCTGAGTAACTGGGATTACAGGTGGCCGCCATCATTCCTGGCTAATTTTTGTATTTTTTAGTAGAGACAGGGTTGCGCCATGTTGGCCAGGCTGGTCTTGAACGTCTGACCTCAGGTGATCTGGCTGCCTCGGCCTCCCAAAGTACCGGGATTACAGGAGTGAGCCACTGCGGCCAGCCTTTTGTTTTGTTTTGTTTTGTTTTTGTTTTTGAGACAAGGTCTCACTTTTTCACCCTGGTTGGAGTACAGTGGTGCTATCTCATCTCACTGTAATGTCTATCTCCTGGGCTCAAGCCATCCTCCAGCTCAGTACCCCAAATAATCTGGGACTACAGGTGCAAGCTCACCACACCTGACTGATTTTTGTGGAGACTAGGTTTCACCACGTTGCCCAGGCTGGTCTTGAACTCCTGCAATCAAGCGATCCATTCACCTCGGCCTCCCAAAGTGCTGAGATTACAGGCATGAACCACCATTCCCAGCCAATAATCTTTTCAACAAATGGTATTCAAACAACTGGACATCCACATAAAAAAAAAGAAAGCTAGACATAGAACTTATGCCCTTCACAGAAATTGGTTTAAATGGATCATAGATCTAAGTGTGAAAAACAAAGCTATAAAACTCTTAGAAGACAATGTAAAAAAAAAAAACAAGACGACTTTGGGTATAATGATTACTTTGTATATATACCAAAAGCACAATTCATGAAAAAATATTTTATAGGCTGAATTTCATTAAAATTAAAAACTCTGCTCTGTGAAAGACAGTGTCAAGAGAATAAAAAGATGACGGAGACAAAGATGAAATATTTTCAAAAGAGATTTGATAAGTGTATAAAATATAACTTATAACCAAACAATTTAAAAAACCTCATTAAAAAATGGGCAAAAGACCTGAACCCTGACGCTTCACCGAAGAAGACACATAAATGGCAAATAAGCATATGAAACAATGCTCAACATAGTATGTCATTAAAGGATTGAAAATTAAAACAACGAGACACCATTGCATACCTATTAGAATGGCCAAAATCCAAAGCATTGACAACACCAAAAACTGACAAAGATAGGGAACAGCAGGAACTCTCATTCATTTCTGGTAGGAATGCAAAATGGTACAGTCACTTTGGCAGACAGTTTGACAGTTTCTTATAAAACTAAAACATACTCTTAACCACATGTTCTAGCATTTGTGCTTTTTGATATTTGCCCAAAGAAGTTAGTAACTTATGTGTCCAAAAAGTGTTCATAGCACCTTTATTCATAATTGCCAAAACTTGAAAGCAACCACGATCTACTTCAGTAGGTTAATAGATAAACTGTGGTACATCCAGACAATGAAATATTACTCAGCACTAAAAAGCAATGAGCTATCAAGCCATGAAAAATCATGAAGGACTCAAACGCATATTATTAAGTGAAATAAACTATTATGAAAAGGCTACATACTATAAAATTTTGATTATATGACATTCTGGAAAAGGCAGTATTACGGACACAGTTTTAAAAGGATCAGTAGTTGCCAGGGTTTAGAGGAAGAGAGAAAGATGAATAGGCAGAGCAGAGAGGAGTTTAGCTTGGTGAAACTACTCTGTATTTTTTCCATAATCGGGGATACATATGATTATATATTTGTCAAAACTCATAGAATATACAATACCAAGAGTGAACCATAAACTATGGACTTTGGTCGATAATGATGTGTTGATGTAGGTTCACTGATTCTAACAAACATACAACTATCGTGTAGGATTTTGATGGTAGAAGACGCTGTGTATATGTGGGGAAGGGAGTATACAAAAAAATCTCTGCACCTTCTGTTCAATTTTGCTGTGAATCTAAAACTTCTCCAAAAAACTATATTACAAAAAAATTTATATGGACATAGGGTCAAGGAGAGTTAACACAATGTTGAAAATGAAAAAAAAATCCTCTATCACATTGAAACACTATAAATTTTTAATAAGACTGCTGTTGGTAGAATAAGTTATTAATATAAGTGGACATAATAAAAAGCTAAGAAACAGCCTAATTATAAATTGACTTACAACATACAACTCATACAAGGAAAGTAGCACTGCAAAGAGTAGGAAAGACATTCCCTCCAATAGTGTTGGTTCAACTAGGTATCCCAACAAATAGAGAAGGAAATCCCAGAGACTTGAAACCTACTTCGTGCTAACAAATATCTGTCTTAGACTATTGTAAATCTAAATGTGAGATGTGAGATGTGCTAACAAATATCTGTCTTAGACTATTGTAAATCTAAATGTGAAATGTGAGACAAAGAAAAATATTTTATAATGTATGAGAATATTCTTATTAACTTGGGATAGGGAAAGGTTTATCAAGCAGGTCACAATAAATGCTAATGGTAAATGAAAATATTACCAAAGCAAAATACATTAAGATTGGGAATTTTTGATCATTGAAAGACAAGTTGAAGAAAGTGAAAAAGTCCTAAGAGCAGGAAAAGTTATTTTGCCACAAATGTATACAAAGTAGATAATTTCTTCCTACCAATGAGGAAAAGACAGACAATAAAAATAATGGACAAGAGAATCAGACACTTCACAAGAGAGGATATCTAAACAATCAGTAGAAATACAGTGCTTCTCATTAGTCAAGAGAAAATGCAAACTAAAACTATAATGAGATGCTACTACACACCTTTCAAGATGGTTGTTGGAACTGTAATTGTGGAAGTGTAAACTTTTCTGTTTGATATTTGCTCAGGTACATACCCAACAGAAAACTGTCGTATGTGTAAGAATAGGCAAGTAAAAGAATATTCATAGTAGTACAATGCTTCATAACCACAAATTGGAAATATCTCTAATATCTGTTGGGAATATAATAGATAAATATAACTGATATAATTTACAATTGACTCCTAAACAGCATTGAAAGTGAATAGATACATGCAATAAAGAATGAATCTCTTATCTACATAAAATTTTTAAAATGAGCAAAACTGATGTATGCAGATATAAGTCAAGACAGTGTTTAATTCTGGAGAGATGAGAGGAGTTGTGACTGGTAGAGGCCAAGAAGCTCTGCATGTTGATAGATGTTAAATTTCTTAATCTGGGTGGTATTTTCACTTTATGATAATTTATTAAGCTGTTCATATATAAATCCTGCACTTGTCTCTTTACATGTTATACTTCTACTGAAAAAAGTTAAATAAAACAAAGCAATTTTTTAAAAGGTTATTTGTTCCTGGCTTAGTTGGTCCAGTATTGGATCAACTAATCAATCACCATGACTTAGTATATCATCAGCAGCAACATTATTAAAATATTGGTAATCTGGACAGAATCAATGCTTAATCTGAAAAATAAAAAAATTACAAATCTGATTTTCTGTCCTTGAGTAGTATAGTTAGGGACAAAATCATAATGTGATTTTAAAAATTTCCACTTAATTCTTATTATTTTCAAGTTTCTACTGTTGGATAGGAGTTGACATAATATAACCCAGTACTACATCTGTGATTAAATTTCTTATTGCTCTTTCCCATTTTTAAAAACTGATACATAAGAGGTGTACACATATTTTGATACATTTATGCGATATTTAATGATCAAGTCAAGATAATTGGGATAGCCACCTAAAACATTTATCTTTATGCTGGGAACATTCAAACTTTTCTAGCTATTGAAATGTACAATAGATCATTGTTTACTATAGTCACCCTACTGACCTATCGAATACTACATCTTATTCCTTCTAACTGTATTATTGTATCCATTAATCAACCTCTTTATCCACCACTACTCTATACTCTTCCCAGCCTCTTACAATTACAAATATACTTTCTATCTTCATGAGATCCACTTTTTTTTTAGCTTGTACGCAGAAGTGAGAACATGTGATACCTGTCATTCTGTGCCTGGCTTATTTCATGTAACACAATGACCTCCAATTCTATCTTTGCTGTTGCAACTAACAGAATTCCATTCATTTTTAAGGCTAAGTATATTCCATTGTCTATATATACCACATTTAAGAAAACATTTATCTGTTCATAGAACTTAGGTTGATCCTATATGTTAGCTATTGTAAATAGTGCTGCAATAAGCATATGAGTGCAAATATATCTCTTTGATATATTGATTTCCCTTCTTTTGGGTATATATCCAGTAGTGGGATTGATGGATCATGGTCATTCTATTTTTAGCTTTGCTCACACCTTTCCATCAATTCTGGCCTCACTGCTATTTCTCAACTGTTTCTGGTTTTACTTTCTGTCTGAAATGCACTTCACTCATATATCAGAATGCCTGGTTCTTTCATTTATTGCAGATTTCTGCTCCAATATCATCTCAGAGCAATGTTTTTGGCTACCCCATTCTGAAGTAGCATTCTTCTGGTTTCTGTCCTTTAAGCTCACTTCATTTGTGATCGTAACAGTTACTACAACATGACATTTTATTATGTATTCATGTGCTCTGTCTATAATTTGGCTTCTAATGTAAACTCCGGGGGGCAGGAACTTTTTTTCTACTTATTGTTACATCTTCAGCACCCAGAACAATTTCCAGCACATACTTAGTGCTCAATAATTGTTAAATGGATGAATGCATGAATAGTTTGTGTTAATGGCCAATACAAACCATATAGACAAATTATTTAGTTGATTGGTGATCATATATTTGAATTAACATCACCAGACTCTGGACAACTTGGTGGTTAACTCACTTTTGGTTTATTTGGGAAATTTTAAACCCCCAAACCTGGGCTTAACCATCTTCCTCCTTTATCCTGTTGTGCATATTCTACTGAGTTGCACAGTCCCTGGCGGGGAAACATTAAACAAACAGAACCCAGGGTTGCTATGCTGTTAAAGCCAGAAGTACATCATTCATTATGTGAATAAAATACATAGAGAATCAAATAGCCACAGAGTAATGGGAGTTTTATTCTCTCTCTATTCCATTTCACTCCCTCTCTATTTTACTTACGTTATGAAATGATGCTCCCGCCGCTGGCTGATAAATGTTGATTAATCTGATGGAGAGTTGGATTTGTTAGCAGGCAAAAGCAATGTAAATAAATCGAGCAGGTGAACTGGAGTTCACAGTGTCATTTCTGAGATTAAAGAGCCTGTCTAGCCCTTCAAGCTCACTTATTACAATCAGGATGCATGTTCTTCTTGTAAACAGACCTAGTAAGCCCCTTTAAGCAGCTCAGCAGGCCTCCTTTTGTTTTTCCTACTGACTGTCCCTTCAGCAAGTTTCATCTCCTGTGAATTGCCTATGATGTTAATTTTTGTTTCTTTTCCAGGGACTGGGAGTTGGAGAGGGGAGACTGGAGAGAGTAGGAAGGTCAGTTTTTCTTTTTGGAAACCATTGCCGTCAGCCAGTCAATAATTACACAGAACTTACAATATGCAAGGCTCTGAACGAAATGCTTGCAGATTTATAACAATAAAGACAATGATGAAAGCAGCAATACTCATTAACACCTATATAGATTTACTGTTTATAAAGCACTTTAGGTAGTATTATATTGGTTGATGCTCAAGGTAATCCTAGGCGTAGGGATTGTTTTATCCAGGTCACCCAGATGTCAGCTGTGTCACCCTTCCTTGTAAATACATTTATGTACTTTTTTTAAAAAAAAATTACTTTAAGTTCTGGGATACATGTGCAGAACGTGCAGTTTGTTACATAGGTACACATGTGCCATGGTGGTTTGCTGACATTTATACACTTTTGTAATGGATTGATCTCCCTGTTTTCAGTTCTGCAGGACTCCCAATGTCTTCCTCAAATTTTGTTGTTAGTTCCCAGGCAGCTTGTGGTCTTGTCATTTTTGGCTCTGGTATTGACTCTGCTAAAAAATTATCCTCCCCTGCACCTTCCTACCCCCCACAGTTCCATAGCTCTGTTCTGTGATTGTTTCCTTTTCTTCTGTTCCACATTGGCTTAGACACTGAACTGAGATCTGTTTCTGAATTTGTCCTCCAGGTAATAAAACACAGCTCTTGAACACAGCTCTGGAGTGTATTCGTGCCATACCTTAGAAGGCTTGGCTGCTACTTCCCTTGAAGGCTCCTAGCGTAGCTTCTAAATACAGCTATGTTAATCCCAAGGCAAGAGATCCTGTCACCATATTAAAAAGAGGACTACCTGACTGCCACACTTTCTGCTTACAAAGCCACTTTTGTTGCTTTACATTATTATGTAGACAGGTTTTAGTCCTAACTGTTGTTTGGTCTCTGATGTTCACAATTTGCCTCAGGTGAACTCGTATTAAAAATGATGGCTGTAATGTAATTGCTGTATACTGATAACTATAGCATGATGCAGCAGAAGTTTTAAAAGAAATTTTCCTGTTCCTAAGGTCGGATAACATTCTCAACCAGTGTACCCCCACTTTTTTTCTCCTAAACAGCTTTAGAGTACAGCAACTGAAATTGGTTGGTTAAGAGGGTGCTTCTGATGTCTTATCCTTCTGACAAAATTTGACTCTACTGGCTACCAGCCATGTGACCCAGGTCTCCAGTGTACAGTTGCTCAGTCTCTGTCCTGAGACTCCCAAGGAAACAATCCTAGAACAGAGCTCTGGGAATGTGGGAGGTGGGAAGGGGCAGGGGAGGATGTGTTTTCAGCAGAGTCCATACCAGAGCCAGAAATGACAAAGACTCCTGAGCCACAAGTGCACATGAGAATAGAAATACAGATTGAACCCTAGTCATTGATACATCAGCCTTGAGGTAAGACTAGTTTAGCAAAGAGGAAGGTCCACCTTTTAGAAGTTGAGAGACACTCTTCTGAATTTGAGCAATGGCACTATAACTACTAATAGTTGTCCTAAGGGTGGCCTTTGAAAAGTCACTTATTCGTTCTGTGCCTCAGTTTTTTTCTTTGCTTTTCTTTTTTTATTATACTTTAAGTTCTGGGATACATGTGCAGAACATGCAGGTTTGTTACATAGGTATACACGTGCCATGGGGGTTTGCTGCACCCATCAACGTGTCATCTACATTAGGTATTTCTCCTAATGCTATCCCTTCCCTAGCCTCCCACCCTGCAACAGGCCCTGGTGTGTTATGTTCCCCTCCCTGTGTCCATGTGTTCTCATTGTTCAACTCCCACTTATGAGTGAGAACATGCAGTGTTTGATTTTCTGTTCTCGTGTTAGTTTGCTGAGAATGATGGTTTCCAGCTTCATCTGTGTCCCTGCAGAGGACAAGAACTCATCCTTTTTTATGGCTGCGTAGTATTCCATGGTGTATATGTGCCAGATTTTCTTTATCCAGTCTACCATTGATGGGTATTTGGATTGGTTCCAAGTCTTTGCTATTGTGAACAGTGCTGCAATAAACATACATGTGCATGTGTCTTTATAGCAGAATGATTTATAATCCTTTGGCTATATACCCAGTAATGGGATTGCTGGGTCAAATGGTATTTCTGGTGCTAGATCATTGAGGAATTGCCACACGGTCTTCCACAATGGTTGAACTAATTTACACTTCCACCAACAGTGTAAAAGTGTTCCTGTTTCTCCACATCCTCTCCAGCATCTGTTGTTTCCTGACTTTTTAATGATCACCATCCTAACTGGTATGAGATGGTATGTCATGGTGGTGTTGATTTTCATTTCTCTAAAGACCAGTGATGAGGAGCTTTTTTTCATGTTTGTTGGCTGCATAAATGTCTTCTTTTGAGAAGTGTCTGTAAATATACTTTGCCCACTTTTTGATGGTTTTTTTTTTCTTTTTAATTTGTTTAAAGTCTTTATAGATTCTGGATATTAGCCCTATGTCAGATGGATAGATTGCAAAAATTTTCTCCCATTCTGTAGGTTGCCTGTACACTCTGATGATAGTTTTTTTTTTTTTTTTTTTTTGCTGTGCAGAAGCTTTTTAGTTTAATTAGATCCCATTTGTCCATTTTGGCTTTTGTTGCCATTGCTTTTGATGTTTTAGTCATGAAGTATTTTCCATGCCTACGTCCTGAATGGTATTGTCTAGGTTTTCTTCTAAGGTTTTCATGGTTTTAGGTCTTACATTTAAGTCTTTCATCCATTTGAGTTAATTTTTGTATAAGGTGTAAGGAAGGGGCCCAGTTTCAGTTTCCTGTACATGGCTAGCCAGTTTTCCCAACACCATTTATTAAATAAGGAATCTTTTCCCCATTGCTTGCTTTTGTCAGGTTTGTCAAAGATCAGATGATTTTAGATGGTGGTATTATTTCTGAGGCTTCTGTTCTGTTTCACTGATCTATATATCTGTTTTGGTACCAGTACCATGCTGTTTTGGCTACTGTAGCCTTGTAGTATAGTTTGAAGTCAGGTAGTGCGAAGCCTCCATCTTTGTTCCTTTTGCTTAGGATTGTCTTAGCTATGTGGGCTGTGTTTTGGTTCCATATGAAATTTAAAGTAGTTTTTTTTTTTTTAATTCTGTGAAGAAAGTCAATGGTAGCTTGATGGGGATAGCATTGAATCTATAAATTACTTTGGGCAATATGGCCATTTTCATGATACTGATCTTTCTATCTATGAGTATGGAATGTTTTTCCCTTTGTTTGTGTCCTCTCTGATTTCCTTGAGCAGTGATGTGTAGTTCTCCTTGAAGAGGTCCCTCACTTCCCTTGTACGTTGTATTCCTAGGTATGTTATTCTCTTTGTAGCAATTATGAATGGGAGTTCACTCATGATTTGGCTTTCTGTTTGCCTATTATTTGTGTATAGGAATGCTTGTGATTTTTGCATATTGATTTTGTATCCTGAGACTTTGCAGAATTTGCTGATCAGCTTAAGGAGATTTTGGGCTGAGACTATGGGGTTTTCTATATATACAATCATGTCATCTGCAATCAGATACAATTTGACTTCCTCTCTTCCTATTTGAATACACTGTATTTCTTTCTCTTGCCTGATTGCCCTTGCCAGAACTTCCAATACTACGTTGAATAGGAGTGGTGAGAGAGGGCATCCTTGTCTTGTGCTGGTTTTCAAAGGGAATGCTTCCAGCTTTTGCCCATTCAGTATGATATTGGCTCTGGGTTTGTCATAAATAGCTCTTATTATTTTGAGATACATTCCATCAATACCTAGTTTATTGAGAGTTTCTAGCATGAAGGCTGTTGAATTTTATCAAAGGCCTTTTCTGCATCTATTGAGATAATTATGTGGTTTTTGTCATTGGTTCTGTTTATGCAATGGATTACATTTATTGACTTATGTATGTTGAACCAGCCTTGAGTGCCAGGGATGAAGCCTCTGTGATTGTGGTGGATAAGATTTTAGATGTGCTGCTGGATTTGGTTAACCAGTATTTTATTGAGGATTTTCACATCAATGTTCATCAGAGATATTGGCCTGAAATTTTCTTTCTTTGTTGTGTCTCTTCCAGGTTTTGGTATCAAGATGATGCTGGCCTCATAAATTGAGGTAGGGAAGAGTCCCTCTTTTTCAATTATTTGGAGTTGTTTCAGAAGGAATGATACCAGCTCCTCTTTGTACCTCTGGTAGAATTCAGCTGTGAATCCCTCTGGTCCTGGGCTTTTTTTGGTTGGTAGCCTATTAATTACTGCCTCAATTTCAGAACTTGTTATTGGTCTATTCAGGGATTCAACTTCTTCCTGGTTTAGTCTTGGGAGTGTGTGTGTGTCTAGGAATTTATCCATTTCTTCTAGATTTTCTAGTTTATTTGTGTAAAGGTGTTTATAGTATTCTCTGATGGTGGTTTTTGTTTTTGTGGGATCAGTGGTGATATCCCCTTTATCATTTTTTATTCCGTCTATTTGATTCTTCTCTTTTCTTCTATATTAGTCTGGCTAGCCATTTATCTGTTCTGTTGATCTTTTCAAAAAACCAGCTTCTGGATTCATTGATTTTTTTGAAAGGTTTTTCATGTTTTCATCTCCTTCAGTTCTGCTCTGATCTTAGTTCTTTCTTGTCTTCTAATAGCTTTTGAATTTGTTTGCTCTTGCTTCTCTAGTTCTTTTAATTGTGATTTTAGGGTGTTGATTGTAGATCTTTCCTGCTTTCTCCTATGGGGATTTTAGTGCTATAAATTTCCCTCTAAACACTGCTTTAGCTGTGTCCCAGAGATTCTGGTACGTTGGTCTTTGTTCTCATTGGTTTCAAAAAACTTCTGATTTCTGCCTTAATTTTGTTATTTGCCTGGTAGTCATTCAGGAGCAGATTGTTCAGTTTCTATGTAGCTATGCGGTTTTGAATGAGTTTCTTAATCCTGAGTTCTAATTTCATTGCACTGTGGTCTGAGAGACTGTTATGATTTCTGTTCTTTTGCGTTCGCTGAGGAGTGTTTTACTTCCAATTATGTGGTCAATTTTAGAATAAGTGCGATGTGGTGCTGAGAAAAATGTATATTCTGTTGACTGGGGTGGAGAGTTCTGTAGATATCTATTAGGTCCACTTGGTCCAGAGCTGAGTTCGAGTTCTGAATATCCTTGTTAATTTTCTGTCTCATTGAGCTGTCTATTATTGACAGTGGGGTGTTAAAGTCTCCCACTATTATTGTGTGGGAGCCTAAGTCTCTTTGTAGGTTTCTAAGAACTTGCTTTATGAATCCTGGTGCTCCTGTATTGGGTGCATATAAATGTAGGATAGTTAGCTCTTTTTGTTGCATTGATCCCTTTACCATTATATAATGCCCTTCATTGTCTTTTTTATATTTTGTAGTTTAAAGCCTGTTTTATCAGAGACTAGGATTGAAACCCCTGCTTTTTTTTTTCCTTTCCATTTGCTTGGTAAATATTCCTCCATCCCTTTATTTTGAGCATATGTGTGTCTCTGCACGTGAGATGGGTCTCCTGAATACAGCACACCAATGGGTCTTGACTCTTTATCCAATTTGCCAGTCTGTGTATTTTAATTGGGGCATTTAGCCCATTTACATTTAAGGTTAATATTGTTATGTGTGAATTTGATCCTGTCATTATGATGCTAGCTGGTTATTTTGGCTGTTAGTTGATGCAGTTTCTTCATAGTGTCAATGGTTTTTACAATTTTGTATGTTTTTCCAGTGGCTGGTGCCAGTTTTTCCTTTCCATGTTTCATGCTTCCTTCTGGAGTTCTTGTAAGGCAGGCCTAACAGTGACAAAGTGTCTCAGTATTTGCTTGTCTTTACGGGATTTTATTTTCCTTTGCTTACGAAAGTTAGTTTGTTGGATATGATATTCTGGGATGAAAATCCTTTTCTTTAAGAATATTGAATATTGGCCCCCACTCTCTTCTGGCTTGTAGGGTTTCTGCAGACAGATCCACTTTTAGTCTGATGGGCTTCCCTTTGTGGGTAACCCAACCTTTCTCTCTGGCTGCCCTTAACATTTTTTCCTTCATTTATCCTTGGTGAATCTGACAATTATGTATCTTGGGGTTGCTCTTCTTGAGGAGTATCTTTGTGGTGTTCTTGTATTTCCTGAATTTGAATGTTGGCCTGTCTTGCTATGTTGGGGAAGTTGTCCTGGTAATATACTGAAGAGTGTCTTCCAACTTGGTTCCATTCTGCACTTGTCTTTCAGGTAAACCAATTAAACGATGATTCGGTCTTTTCACATAGTCCCATATTTCTTGGAGGCTTGCTTTGTTGCTTTTCATTCTTTTTTCTCTAATTTTGTCTTCACACTTTATTTCATTAAGTTGGTGTTCAATCTCTGATATCCTTTCTTCCGCTTGACTGATTTGCCTGTATATACTTGTGTATGCTTCACAAAGTTCTTGTGCAGTGTTTGTAAGCTCCATTAGCTATTTTATGTTCTTCTCTAAACTGGTTATTCTAGTTAGCAATTCCTCCAACTTTTTTCAAGGTTCTTAGCTTCCTTGCGTTGGGTTAGAACATGCTCCTTTAGCTTGGAGGAGTTTGTTATTACCCATCTTCTGAAGGCTACTTCTGTCAGTTCGACAAACTCATTCTCTGTCCAGTTTTGTTCCCTTGCTGGCGAGGAGTTGTGATCCTTTGGAGGAAAAGAGGCGTTCTGGTTTTTGGAATTTTCTGCATTTTTGCAATGGTTTTTGTTCATCTTCATGGATTTATCCACCATTGGTCTTTGATGTTGGTGACCTTCGGATGGGGTTTTTGTGTGGACATCCTTTTTGTTGATATTGATGCTATTCCTTTCCATTTGTTAGTTTTCCTTCTAACAGTCAGGCCCCTCTGCTGCAGTTCTACTGGAGTTTGCTGGTGGTCCAGTCCAGATCCTGTTTTCCAGGGTATTACCAGCAGAGGCTGTAGAACAGCAAAGATTTCTGCCTGTTTCTTCCTCTGGAAGCTTTGTCCCAGAGGGGCACCAGCCAGATGCCAGCCAGAGCTCTCCTGTATGTGGTGTCTGCCAACCCCTGCTGGAAGGTGTCTCCCAGTCAGGAGGCACGGGGGTCAGGGACCCATTTGAGGAGGCAGTCTGTCCTTTAGCAGAGCTTGAGTGCTGTTCTGGGAGATCTGCTGCTCTCTTTAGAGCCAGCAGGCAAGAATGTTAAATCTTCTGAAGCTGCACCCACAGCTGCCAATTCCTCCAGGTGCTTTGTCCCAGGGAGATGGGAGTTTTATCAATAAGCTCCTGACTGGGGCTCCTGCCTTTATTTCAGAGTTGCCCTGCCCAGAGAGGAGGAATCTAGAGGGGCAGTCTGGCTACAGCAGCTTTGCCATACTGCAGTGGGCTCTGTCCAGTTTGAACTTCCTGGTGGCTCTGTTTACACTGTGGGGGAAAACTGCCTACTCAAGCCCCAGTAATGGTGGACGCCTCTCCTCCCACTAAATTTGAGCCTCCCAGGTCAACTTAGACTGCTGTGCTGGCAGCAAGAATTTCAAGCCAGTGGATCTTTGCTTGCTGGGCTCCACGGGGGTGGCATCCGCTGAGCTAGACCATTTGGCTCCCTGGCTTCAGCTCCCTTTCCAGGGGAGTGAAGGGTTCCATCTCGCTGGCATTCTAGGTGCCACTGGGATATGGAAAAAAAACTCCTGCAGCTAGCTCAATGTCTTCCTAAACAGCTGCCCAGTTTTATGCTTGAAACCCGTGGCCCTGGTGGTGTAGGCACCCAAGGGAATCTCCTGGTCTGTGGGTTGCAAAGACCATGGGAAAAGCATAGTATCTGGGCCAGAATGCACCCTTCCTCCTAGCACAGTCCCTCACGGCTTCCCTTGGCTAGAGGAAGGAGTTCCCCAAACCCTTGCCCTTCCCAGGTGAGGTGACACCCCACCCTGCTTCAGCTAGCCCTCCATGGGCTGCACCCACTGTCTAACCAGTCCCAATGACATGAGCTGGGTACCTCAGTTGGAAATGCAGAAATCACCTGCCTTCTGTGTTGATCTCACTGGAGCTGCAGACCAGAGCTTTTTCTATTCAACCATCTTGCCAGACACCTCTTTTCTTTTCTTTTTTTTCTTACCTACCTGGAATCGATGTGATTTATTTTTCCAAAGAAGCCATGTTTAATTACATATTGTATTCTGAAGTAAGAAACTTGTACAAAATAAATTATAGGCATGCCAACAGGTGAAAAAATAAAGCTGTAGATATATACCCCAGGATCCTGGATATAATAAAATTATCCTTCAAGCCAAATAAGAAATATCCTTAAATACTGTAATTGTAGATACCTAAGAGACTGAAGCATATATAGCACATAATACTATTCTATGTTTTTTACCTACAATTAATATGCTGGCTATAACAACAGTAAATTGCTCATTAACAAGAATCACACTTATATCCTAATAATTTAGAAATATTTATTTGGGTAATTTGAAATGCTTAGATCTTTTTTTTTTGGATATGGTATTTTTTTTTAATTTTTATTGTACTTTAAGTTTCAGGTTACAGGTGCAGATTGTGCAGGTTTGTTACATAGGTATATGTGTGCTATGGTGATTTGCTGCACCTGTTGACCCATTCTCTAAGAACTGCCCCCCAGTTCCCAACAGGCCCTATTATGTGTTGTTCCCCTCCCTGTGTCCATATTTTCTCATTGTTCAACTCCCACTTATGAATGAGAACATGAGGTGTTTGATTTTCTGTTCCTGTGTTAGTTTGCTGAGGATGATGGCTTCCAGCTTCATCCATGTCCCTGCAAAGGACAGGATCTCATTTCTTTTTATGGCTGAGTAGTATTCCATAGTGTGAATATGTGCCATGTCTTTATCCAGTCTATCACTGATGGGAATTTGGGTTGGTTCCCTGACTTTGTTATTGTAAATAGCATGGAAATAAACATATGTGTGCATGTATTATTATAGTAGAATGATCTATATTCCTTTGGGTATATACCAGTAATGGGATTGCTGGGTCAAATGGTAGATCCTTGAGGAATCATCATACTGTCTTCCACATGGTTGAACTTACTTACATTCTCACCAACAGTGTTAAAGTGTTCCTATTTCTCCACAGCCTCGCCAACATATATTGTTTCTTGATTTTTTAATGATCACCATTCTGACTGATGTGAGACAGTATCTCATGATGGTTTTGATTTGCATTTCTCTAATGAACAGTAATGTTGGGCTCTTTTTCATATGTTTGTTGGCTGTGTAAATATCTTCTTTTGAGAATTGTTTTTTCATATATTTTGCCCACTTTTGATGGGTTTGTTTTTCTTGTAAATTAGCTTAAGTTCCTGGTAAATTCTGGATATTAGACGTTTGTCAGATAAGTAGATTATGAAAATGTTCTCTCATTCTGTAGGTTGCCTGTTCACTCTGAAAATAGTTTCTTTTGCTGTGCAGAATCTCTATAGTTTAATTAGATCCCATTTGTCAATTTTGGTTTTGTTGCTATTGCTTTTGGCGTTTTTGTCATGGAGTCTTTGCCCATGCTTATGTCTTGAATGTTATTGCCTAGGTTTTCTCCTAGGGTTTTTATGGTTTTGGGTTTTACATTTAAGTCTTTAATCCATTTTGAGTTAATGTTTGTATAAGGTGTAAGGAAGGGATCTAGTTTCAGCTTTCTGCATATGGCTAGCCAGTTTTCCCAGCACTATTTACTGAATAGGAAATTTTTTCTCCATTGCTTGTTTTTGTAAGGTTTGTCAAAGATCAGATGGTTGTAGATGTGTGGTGATATTTCTGAGGTCTCTGTTCTGTTTCATTGGTCTCTATGTCTGTTTTGGTAAAAGTACCGAGCTGTTTTGGTTACTGTAGGCTTGTAGCATAGTTTGAAGTCAGGCAGTGTGATGCCTCCAACTTTGTTCTTTTTGCTTAGAATTGTCTTGGCTATACAGGATTTTCTTTGATTCCATATGAAATTTAAAGTAGTTTTTTTCTAATTCTGTGATGAATGTCAAGGGTAGTTTGATGGAAATAGCATTGAATCTATGAATTACTTTGGGCAATATGGCCATTTTCATGATACTCATTCTTCCTATCCATGAGCATGAAATATTTTTCCATTTGTTTGTGTCCTCTCTTATTTCCTTCAGCAGTGGTTTGTAGTTGAAGAGATCCTTCACATCTCTTGTTAGCTGTATTCCTATGTATTTTATTCTCTTTGTAGTGACTGTGAATGGGAGTTCATTCATGATTTGGCTCTCTGCTTGTCTATTGTTTGTGTAAAGGAATGCTTGTAATTTTTGCACATTATTTTGTATCCTGACACTTTGCTGAAGTTGCTTATCGCTTGAAGGACTTTTGGGGCTAAGACGATGAAGTTTTCTAAATACAAAATCATGTCATCTAGAAACAGACAATTTGACTTCCTCTCTTCCTACTTGAATACCCTGTGTTTCTTTATCTTGCCTGATTGCCCTGGTCAGAACTTCCAACACAGTGTTGAATAGGAGTGGTGAGAGGGCATCCTTGTCTTGTACTGGTTTTCTAAGGGAATACTTCCAGTTTTTGCTCATTCAGTATGATATTGGCTGTGGGTTTGTCATAAATAGCTCTTATTATTTTGAGATTTGTTCCATCGATACCTAGTTTATTGAGAGTTTTTAGCATGAAGGGGTGTTGAATTTTGTCAAAGGCCTTTGTCTGCATCTATTGAGGTAATCATGTGTTTTTTGTTTTTGGTTCCGTTTATGTGATGGATTATGTTTATTGATTTGCATATGTTGAAGCAGCCTTGCATCCCAGGGATGAAGCTGATTTGATCATGATGTATAAGCTTTTTGATGTGCTGCTTGATTTGTTTTGCTAGTATTTTATTGAAGATTTTTGAATTGATGTTCATCAGGGATATTGGTCTGAAATTTTTTGTTGTGTCTCTGCCAGGTTTTGGTATCAGGATGATGCTGGCCTCATAAAATGAGTTAGGGAGGAGTCCCTCTTTTTCAGTTGTTTGGGATAGTTTCAGAAGCAATGGTACCAGCTTCTCTTTGTACCTCTGGTGGAATTCAGCTGTAAGTCTGTCTGGTCCTGGGATTTTTTTGGTTGGTAAGCTATTGATTATTGCCTCAATTTCAGAACTTATTTGTTTATTTAGGTCTATTTGACTTCTTCCTCGTTTAGTCTTGGGAGTGTGTCTATGTTCAGGAATTTATCAATTTCTTCTAGATTTTCTAGTTTATTTGCATAGAGGTGTTTATAGTATTCTCTGATGCTAGTTTGTATTTCTGTGGGGTCAGTGGTGATACTGCTTTATTATTTTTTGTTGTGTCATTTTTATGTGTAGCTCTCATGTGGGCCGCCGCACCACACTGTTCTTCCCTTCTCCCAGTGGATCATACCAGCTGCCTGGTCATTTCTGATGGGAGAACCTGGATACTTTGGTTGCTGGTGAAAGATTCACATACTTATTATGGTTCTTTTCCATGGGAGCTGCCAATTGCTGTTTCTAGTTAGCCATCTTGGCCCTGCTCTGCCTTCCCTCAGTTTCCTCATGGTAAATGAGGGTTGTTGAGAGGACTAAGTGAATTGATGTATGTAAAATGCCCACACTGTCTAATACTGAAGCACTCCTTGCTCTCTGGCAGGTTCAACAGCTTTCTTTAAGCTCCCATGACCCCTGAGCCACCTTATACTAAGGAGCAGGATGACAACAGTTTTTGCCAGTGCACTGTGAGGGAATGCTGGATTCTATGCCAGATCTTTAAAATGGGCAGTCCTGGCTGTCATGCTCCTCCCTTTGCTCTTCCCCTTTTTCTTGCCTGGGATGGAGATGTGATCCCTGGAGGCATAGCATGTAACCTCTGGCCTAGGGGAAAGCCACAAGAAGATAGGAGGAGCCTCTGTCTTTAACGACAGGATTGGGATACAGAAGCATTTCTGGAAAGCCTGCCCTGAAATTTTTGTTCAGTGAAACAGATATGCATACAAGTTGTATGTTTTAGGCATTTTAGTGGATTTTTCTGTTATTTGTAGCTGAATGTATTCGTGACAGTACAGTTCCTCCTCCTCCTTTTCCTCCTGTACTGTCATTATCATTATTTTCTGTGAGAAGGAAAGCAATTCTGTATAAGCAACCTCCAGAAATTGAGGGATGTAATTTGTTCTTCCAGTTACACCTAATTTACAGGTGAAAAATCTGAGTAAATTAAATTCCCCAGATTTCCCAATTTGTAACCAAGCAAGTCATAATACACATCCATACACTGCCAACAAATTTGTTGCTTTTCTACTATTGCATGTTGTTGCCAAGTTTCCATCCTGTGACTGTACTATAAAAATACCACCTAATCCTCTTAATTTCAGACTTGTTTTAGGTCATCCAGTCTGTTGAGAACCAGTTGAACTTTGATGGTGTCATGTAATATATTAATTACATGCTCTAGTTATATAGAATCTTTAAATTTAATCTAGGATCATTCTAATGCATGATGTAATAATTTAGAATTATTGAATAGTACAGGGCCAAATTCAGCCTGAGACATGTGATCAGAGGATAATATAGTTACATTGTAATTCACAGTTAGAGATGTCTCATCCACTAGTCATCAACTGATTATTTATTACTTTTAACTAGTGTTGTTGGTTATAGGAGGAAAAACATTAACAAACAAAAGTTTTCTTTCTCCACATTGTTTCCCCTCCTCTTCCTTTCTTCTTCTTTCTTTTCTTTTCTTTTTTTTTTTTTTTTTTTTTAAGAGGTGAGGACTGGGTTTGTTGTCCTTGGCCTCCCAAAGTGCTGGAATCTCAGGCATGAGTGCCGGGCCACTTTCCATACTTTCAATTGGCTATGCACTCTTTCAAATTTTTTATATATATTATTTAAGTTAATCTTCACAGAAAGCCACAAAGTGACCCTATCATTATTTTCATGTTTTATTTGTGATGAGCACAAAGGTTGTTTTTTAGAGATAAGCAATAGATTAGGTTATAATGCAGGCACACTTGGAATAGTTTTCAATAGCTACATGGAAAGATAAATTACACTGGCAGATAGCACATGATACCTCCTCCCATTCTGATTGACTTGTTTTGGCAGGAAGCCATCCTGAAATGACAGTAAGATGCATTCCCTTGAATCTGGGGTAGGAGTTTCTTCTCTGTGTGTAAGGCATATGAGATCAAAGCTCCAGTATCAGATATGGAAAGGGCCTGGGGAGGGATGTCCAAAACATATCTCAGGGAAAGAAGAGCTTCACATTAGCATCCCTCTAGTACTGGCAGCATATACAGCGAACCTTGGTATGGGGGGCAGTTTTGATCTACAGGCCCTATAAACCACATTTACACACTTTCTGGTCCTGCCTTACCTTCCTATTTCTGTGAATGTCCTGACAATACTTCTAACAAGGCCATCAACTGAGCAACTCTCCACACTCACTCATCTTCCTTTTTTTAGCAACTTTATTGACTAATAATTCAGACCATACAATTCACCTTTCTAAAGTACAGAATTCAATGGTTTTTATTATATTTATTATTTGCAACAATCATCAGTCAATTTTAGAATATCAAATTTAGAATGTCACCTCAAATAGAAACTTCATACTATATACCTATCATTCCCCATCCTCTCATCCCTCCAGACCAAAACAATTACTAACCTACTGTCTGTCTCTTTATATAGTATTTGCTTCTTCTGAACATTTCCAATAAATAAAATCATATAGTCTGTGGTCTTTTCTGACCTGATTTTGGTATCAGGGTATTACTGGCTTTAGAATTATTTGGAAAGTGTTCCCTTCTCTTCTATTTTTGGGAAAAATTTATGAAGAATTACTATTAATTATTTTTAAATGTTAGAATTCACCAGTGAAACCATCTGGGCCTGAGATTTTCTTAGTGGGTAGTTTTTTATTATGAATTCAATCTCTTTGTTATAGGCTGTGATGGTTAATTTTATTTGTTAACGAGATGGGGCCAAATGATGTCCAGGTATTTGGTTGAATGTTATTTTTCTGTGAGAGTGTTTTTGGATGGGTTTGATATTTAAATTGATAGACTGAATAAAGCAGGTTGTCCTCTAAAGCGTGAGTGGATCTCCTCCAATCATTTGAAGGTCTGGATAGAACAAAAAGTCTGGCCCTTCCCTGAGTAATAGAGAATTCTTCCTGCCTAATGATCTCTGGACTGGAATATTGCCTTTTTTTCCTGCTCTCAGACTTGAACTGAAACGTCATGTCTACTTGAGTCTTGAGCCTGTTCACCTTGAATTGAAGCAAAACTATTGGCTCTTCTAAGTCCCTGGTTGGACAAGTCACCCTGCATGCATATGTTGGGACTTGTCAGCTTTCAAAATTCCATGAGTCACTTCACACACATATACATATATATTTTATTCATTCTGTTTCTCTAAAGAACACTGATGAATACATATGTCTATTAGATTGTATATTTCTTTTTCAGTCAATTTTAATAGGTTTTGTGTTATGGACTGCATGTTTGTGTCCTCCTAAAATTTATATGTTGAACCCCCCTAATCCCCAATGTGATGGTGTTAGGAGATGAGGTTATAACCTCTGAGAGGTTATTAGGTTTAGGTGAGATGATAAGGGTGGAGACCCCATGATGGGATGACTGTCCTTATAACATGAGAAAGAGAAACCAGAACTTCTTTCCCTGCCATGTGTGGATTCACCAAGAAAATCTGCTTATCAGGAAGAGGGCCTTCACCAAGAACTTCCCCATGCTGGCACCCTGATCTTGGACTTCCCAGCATTCAGTACTATGATAAACAAATGCATGTTGTTTAAATCACCCAGTTTTTGGTATTTTGTTATAGAAGTACCAGCCAATTGAGAGATTTTTGTCTTCCTGGGAATTTGTTCATTTAACTTACCTAATTGGTACATTTTTAAATACCATTTCTTCATAATCCTTTTTATTTCTGCAAAGAAGTCCGTAGTGATATCTTTCTTTCATTTTTGATTCTCTTCTTCCTTTTTTGCTTGGCCAATCTTTCGAAAGATTTGTGAATTTTGCTAATACTTTTCAAAGAACCAACTTTTGGTTTTGTTGATTTTATTGATTACTTTTCTAGACCTTATCAATTTCTGCTCAAATCTTTTTATTTTATTCCTTCTACTTCCACAGGTTTAGTTTGCTCTTCTTTTGTCAGTGCCTCAAACTGCTAAACTGTCAGTGGCAGTTTAGGTTATTAACTTGAGAATCTTAATATATGGACTTACAGTTATTACTTCTTCTTGAAGCACTGCTTTACTTGGATTCCATAAGTTTTTGTGGGTTATGTCTTCCTTTTCATTTATTTTAAATATTTTCTATTCTCCTTCTTGATTTCTTCTTTGATCCTTTCCCCCCACCATTTAAGGGTGTGTTGTTTAATGTCCACATAATCTGTGATTCTCAAAAAATTCTCATAGGTATTTACTTATGATTCCATTCCATTATTGTATCAGTCTTTTAAAATTTGTGGGGGTTTATTTTATGACCTAGCATATACCCTATCTTGGGAGATGTTCTGTAAGCACTTGAGAAGAATGCATATTCTGCTGTCGTTAGGTATGGCATTCTATAGGTATGTTAGGTCTAGTTGCTTTATGTTATGGACGTGTTTCATTTCCTTCTTGTTCTTCTGCCTGGTTTCTTTCTCCATTATTGATAATACTGTATGAAAATTTTAAACTGCTATTGTTAAATTTTCTACTTTCCCTTTCTGTAAAATTTTGCTTTATATATTTCGGTGCTGTTATTAGGTATATATGTATGTATAATTGTTAGATCTTCCTGATGAATAGACCCTTTTATCACAATAAAATGTTTCTCTTTAACTCAGTAATTTTTTTTTTGTTTGTCTTAAAGTCTATTTTGTCTGACATTAATGTAGCTACTTGGGCATTCTTGTTGTTGCTATTGGCCTTATATGTTTTTTTTTCTCTTCTTTACTATCCATCTATATTGTCTTTGAATCTAAATTATGTCTCCTGTAGATAACATAGAACTGGATCTTCTTTTTTCATCCAGTTTGAAATTTTCCTGCCTTTTGTTTGGGTTTTGGAATCTATTCACGCTTAACACTATTATTGACATAGCTGGATTTATGCCTGCACTTTATTTTTTAAGATCTCATGTCTTATTTTTCCTTTTTTCCTCTTTTACTACTTTCTTTTTCATTAAGTGAACATTAATTAATTTCTTTAATGATTAAAACCATTGTAGGTTTTTCCATAGTGATTGCTCAGGGGCTTACCTTATGCACTTTAATTTATAAGAATCAGCTTCAGATTTATGCTACTTCTAGTGAGATATAAGAATATTACTCCTACATAGCTCTCTTCTTGTCCTCCCTTTTTGTGATATTATTGTTATATACATTTATAAATGTTACAGATGTAACAATGCATTGTTAAAATTATTACTTTATATAACTTTATGACCATAAAGAAGACAAGAGAAGAAATATAAACAAGTAAATATTTGTAGCTTTGTTACTATTAACTTTTTAAAATAACATTTCTTGGCCGGGTGCGGTGGCTCACGCCTGTAATCCCAGCACTTTGGGAGGCCGAGGCAGGCAGATCACGAGGTCAGGAGATTGAGACCATCCTGGCTAACATAGTGAAACCCCATCTCTACTAAAAATACAAAAAAAATTAGCTGGGCGTGGTGGTGGGCGCCTGTAGTCCCAGCTACTCGGGAGGCTGAGGCAGGAGAATCACGTGAAGCTGGGAGGTGGAGCTTGCAGTGAGCCGAGATCGCGCCACTGCACTCCAGCCTGGGCGACAGAGTGAGACTTTGTTCTTAGTCACCTCTTTCTCTGTTATTGACAAATATATTACATTTCTATATATTATAGGCTGAGTGCATTATATATATATTATTCAATACAATTGTTTTTTCAATTACTTAAGAGAGGAAAGGGAAATATGCATTTATGCTCTCTTTGATAATAATTTACATAATTACCTTTACTGATGTTCTTACACACTCTGTGTGTGTGTGTGTGTGTGTGCGTGCGTGTGTGTGTGTGCGTGCGTGTGTGTGTGTGTATTTGAATTACTGCTTGAGGTCGCTTGCTTTTAGCATGAAGAATTTTAGTATTTCTTGTAAGATAGATCAGCTAGAAAAAATCCTGTCAGTTTTTGTTACTGGGAAATGTCTTTCTTACACCTTCATATTTGAAGGTTAGCCATACTGGATATAGAAATCATGGTTGGCTTACTTTTCAAATTGCACTTGAAATATTTTATCCCACTGCCTTTTAGTCTTCATTGTTTTTGACAAAAAGTTAGCTGCTAATCTTAATGGAGTTCCCTTGTGAATAAATCATTTTTCTCTCACTGTTTGTAAGATTTCATCCTTGTTTTTTGCATCCAGCATTTTTACTATGACATGTCTTTTTATGAATGTGTGTTTATCCTTAGAGTTTATTGATTTTTCCGAAATGAGGAAGGTCTTTTTCTTAAAATGTGTGTAATTTACAGCCATTATTTTATTGAAAAAAATATATATACATATAATTTGTCTTCTCCTCTCCTCATATTCCCAATATGTGTTCTTGCACTAATTGATGTTTCACACTTCTCTGAGACTCTGCTCATTTTTCTTTATATTGTCCTCTCTGTTCTTTGGATTTAATAGTCTATTGCTCTGTTTTCAAGTTGGCTAATGCTTTCTTATGCCAATTGAAATCTATAGTCTCACTAGTAAATTATTTATTTCAATTTGTATACTATTTAACTCTAGAATTTCCATTTGGTTCTTTATTATAATTTTTATTTATTGATATATTGTATTTGACCCAACATTGTTGTCATACCTTCTGTTACTTCTGTAACCATATTTTTTAGTTCTTTGAACATATTTCTAATGGCTACTTTGAAGTATTTTCCTGTTAAATCTGACATCTGTACACTGTTACAGGCAGTTTCTGTTGCCTACTTTTATTCCCCAGTGTATGGCTCATACTTTCTTAAATTGGACATTTTAGATAATATATTATAGCAATTTTAGGTACTAGACTCCCCTTCCTGGGCTTGTCATTGTTATTCGCCTTTTTGTTGTTGTTGTTGTTGTTCAGTTACTATCTGTATAATTTTAATTTTAGTGAAGCCTATTTCACTCCAAAGAAAAAGCCTTTGATCCTCCTCAGAAGGCGACAACCTTGGGTGTGTCCACGGTTGCTCTGGAATTACAGTGTTTTTGGCAGAGCTGTCTCTTTTACTGTCACTTTCCCTGACCACACCTACTTGTTAAGCTCCATTAATTATCTGCCAAATGCCCTAGTGTGTTCAACAATGCTTTTGAGGCATAAATTGTTCTGTAGACTAATCTAATCAAATCTACAGTCCTTTGAAGAGATAGCTTCCAAGGTCAGTCTTTGATATTTTTCAAATAACAGTTAAACTTCTGGATGTCTCCTTCCTTGGTTCTCTCTGATAAACTAATCAGGCTACAGTTTAGCCTATATCTTCAATGAATCTACCAGTTTCCTCTCACTATGGTTCATTTTTTATCTATATTTATGTTTATATATTGTTACCTCCACTTTTTTTTTTTTTTTTTTTTTTTGAGATGGAGTCTCGCCCTGTCACCCAGGCTGGAGTGCAATGGCATGGTCTCAGCTTACCGCAATGTCTGCCTCCCAGGTTCAAGCAATTCTCCTACCTTAGCCTCCTGAGTAGCTGGGATTACAGGCACACGCCACCATGCCTGGTTAATTTTTTGTATCTTTAGTAGAGACGGGGTTTCACCATTTTGGCCAGGCTGGTCTCGAACTCCTGACCTTGTGATCTACCCGCCTTGGCCTCTCAACGTGCTGGGATTACAGGCAAGCCACCATGCCTAGCCACCACCACTGTTTTTGATAGTTCCCTTAGGTTTGAACTTCTCTGTATTATGTTGCAAATTAAATTAGTTTCTTACAAAAAAGATTAGGAGCTATTGGTGTTACTGCCTGCTTCTCACCCCAGGCAAAATTGTTGAGCCTCAGTTTTGGAGTTGGGGATGAGGACAATGGCATATTTCTCTCTGAATGATATGCCTTTATTACGGGATGAACACTAGATGGGGGATGGCAGTAGTCTCAGATCCTCTTAGCCTGCCTCTCCTGGCATTCACCTTCCACCCTATGAACCATGGTAAGGATGATTACGGTCCCAGTATTCTAGACTATGTTGTTCCAAGGTATAACCTATATTTTATGAATTGGGGCTGGGCAGAAGAAGGGAAGCCCCCAAATTTGGCCACACCCATAACTTAGCCTCAAAAAAGATAATTGGTGGCAGGATGAAAAACACTGACATTCTGTTCCTTCTTAGAGGTTATCCTCCCAACTAGAAGTTGGTGAGAGTAGGAGCCCTGTGTTTCTGACTGCACTAGTCTGAAATAGAGTCTCTATCTCACTGAGTGAGGGGCAGGAGATTGAACAGTGTTAGTTAAAATACCACAGACTCTCAACTTTCTTACTGAATTTCAGTAGATATTCTTGAATAGATATTTCTTTATTTGCTGTGTGCCCTTGGGACCATTTCTGGAGACTTTAAATGGTTGTTTTATTAAATTTTCTCTAGATTCTCTGTGAAGATTGCCTACAGAACTTCTCATACTGCCATGCTGGAAGTTAATCTCTTCTCCATTCTCTCATAATATGAATTTTTCCATTTTACTGAATCATTTTTTACCAGTATACACAGTAACTGTTTTCTTTTGTCACATTAAAAAATAAAATACAGTAAAACTTTTCAGCCCACTTTTCAGCTATTATCAGTTTTCTTTTTTTCATGTAAACAGTTCCAAAAAACAAACTTATACATGCTTGCCTCTAATTCTTCTCCCATTTTTCTTTTGAACCCATTGCTATAGTATGACAGGTCCCTGACCAGGTAACTTGAGCGCTTATGTCTCTTAGGTTGAGCCAAAGGCATAGTGCCCATCCAAGGACCAGGTGTCCCTGAGAACCCAAACATATCAGAGAGTATCTGAGAATCTACTTAGGAAAACAGTCCTATCACACATACGCAGCAGGCAAAGAGCCAGAAAATTAGCTTAAAAGCTGCTTAGAGATAGGAGGCAGGGAGGATCTCTAAATCTGTTCTTCTGCCACCCAGGAGTGCCTTGTATATAAGTCCTAGTAAACTCATCTACTCACCAAACTGGACTTGTCCCAGTCACTCTTTGGTCTCTCAGCTCCCTTCCCGTTTGGGGAAAGGATTTTTAAGATGATTCCAGGTTGTTCTCATTACAATTGTTATGAGGATTTTGTCTCCCCTCCTATTCCCCACTTCATTATTTTAAAGCCCTTGGTGATGACCATGTTGTTATATTTAATGATGAATCATTGGTGTCATCTTAATTGACTTTTGTGAAGTACTCTCTTGTTTTCACTATTCCACACCACATTCTCCATCTTAGCTTTGACTGCTTATTCTTTCCCATCTCCCTAACCTCTAAATATTGACTGGTTCAGAGCTCAGTTCTTGGACTTTTTCCCTTTTTTCTTTACACTCATTCTTTGGTTATCAATTTAGTCTCATAGCTTTAAATATTAACTAAGTGTAATGACTCTTAATTTTATATCTTCAGCCTAAACCTGTCTTCTGAATACCAGGCTAACATATACAATTGTCTTCTTTAAATCTCTACTTGGATGTTGTAGTAAGCTTTCTTATTATTTTCATTACTATTATTGCCACCATTATTGTCATCATCATCATCATCATCATCATCATAATTGGCTTTCTCCCTAAGAGAAAATTATACCACTTCATCACTTTGATGATGTTCTAACCTTATGACTTCTTTTGGCCAATTAAATGTGGCATGCACAGTTTAAGTAGGTTTTAAGATGCAGTGTGTGAACTCTCATATCTTTTTTACATCTACCACAGTAATTAGGAACATTCTGGTTAGAGAGGCTGACCATAAGCTTTGGTCCCAAAGAGAAGAAAACAGAAGCAGAGTGGTATCCAATTCCATAGTGTATATGTAACTTGATAAGTACATAAACTACATTGCTGTAAGTGATGAAAATTTGGGGGTAAATTGTTACTTGGTATACATTTACCACCAACTTAACATGTCCCAAAGGGAATGCCTCAGTCTCAAATCTGACTCTTAGTTTTTCCCACTGAAGTAAAAATGTTTTATCCCTACAGTTTCTCATGATCCTTGACTCATTCCTTTCTGAAACATTATAGGAGATTTCACTGTCTCATCATTCAAAATATAACAATAATCAATCATTTTAATCACTGTATCTTTCATTATAGCCCAAGACACCATTCTCTTTTGTTTCAGTTAGCTCAACAGCCTCCTTCCTGAGCAGTCTCTCAGCTTCCATTCTCACCTGTTTTGTCTTTCCTCAACTCAGTAGCAACCATCACCTTAAGATGTAAGAGAGATCATGTCATTTGTGTGATCAATACTCTCTGATGGTTTTCTTCCTCACCAGGAAAAAAAAAACAAACAAAACAAACCCAAGGTCCAAACAATAATCAGTAAGTCCCATCCACTGCCCCTCACTTTCTGACCTCCTCTCCTAATACTCTATTACTCACTGCTTGTCAGTTAAACTGGCCTCCTCACAGTTCATTGAACATAACAGGCATCCTTCTGCACCAGGGCCTTTGCATTTCATTCTTTCTCCTACTTAGAATGCTCTTTCCCTCAATATATATGGCTTACTCTCACACTACGTTCTTGATGTAAACCTTTCTCACATTCCTATGCAAATTCTAAAACTGCTTCTTCCCCCATTTTTTTTCTATTCCCAGTCCCTGTTTTGCATTCTGCCATAGTACTCTCTACTCTCTAACATAATACAAATTTACTTCTTTAGCTTATTTATTGTTTGTTTCCCTCAGTAGAATACATGCTACATGAGGGCAAATATTTTTGTCTGTTTTTTCTAGATTTAGTATCAAAAAGAATGCTTCACATGTTGTAGATACCACATAAATATTGGTTAACAATTAAATACTATGAAAATTGTATCATGTGATTCTAGAAAATGGACCTACTTCTCATAACTGGGATTTAGAATGTTCCTAGAGTCCATTTTATGAGTGGATTTGTTCTATTTAAGTGGGTCATGCCTTATCAGACATCTACTGAGAATTCTCCTTTCTTTCTTTTCTTTTTCCTCCTCTTGTAACCAAATCCCCTTTATTTTTCTTCTTTCTGCTATAGATACTTTTTATTTAACACCTATTTTTAGAATGTTATTTACAAAAAATTTTTCTGTTTCCTGTTGAATTACATATTCAAAACTTTGGGAAGACTTCTTTTCATTACTCCCTGAATCTTTCTTTTAAGAAAAATTCCATCTTTCCAGGAGCTCTAGAAAATACAGCTTTTAATATTGTATTATCTTCTTTCATAATTTATTTCTTTATCCATCTGTATTTATAGAAATAATGACAAACTATTTAGGCTTATATATCTTTAAAGATTCTTACCTAGAACTTCAATGGTCATGAATCCTATTTTTTCTGATGTATGCTATGATTTTCAAAAGACATCAGAAATTGGCAGGTTAAGTGGACTATATAAGAAGTTGTCAAAATCTTGGTCATATTTCAAGTTTATTTTCTAAAAATATACTGATTTCAATTAGCTAGATCAGTAGAAAGTTATGAGCTCTCATTATAGGATTTAATATAGTTTATTTTAATCAGATTACTTTCCTCCTAAAAGCTGGCACAGTAGGGCAAGGAAGTAGAATAAGACTTTGATTGGTAGAAAGAAAGACGGGTAAGTGTTGAGTATACTGCTTAGCTTGAGGAGAATGTCTGGGTAGAACCCTTGTAATTAGGGTCTTGAGTTGGACTGATCAATGGGTTCCACAGGTGTCTGGACTCTTGGAGCACACAGGATGTCAACTGTGAGAAGACAATTGATATGAAAGGGAAGAAGAACTAAAAAGAAACTCTGTTAACTACACAGTTCTAGAAAGAGTCATCACTGCTCTGTGCGTTCTCTTAGAAATGGGCTTTTCCACAAAACCCAGAAGGGTCGTTGGATAGTTAGGGTTAAATTACTTAATTATAATCTTTTGTGTGTCATGCAGTTTACACATTCATGCAGGGATTGGGTGATTTTGCCTATGGCATCTTCACAAATGTTGAAATAACAGGCAGTAAAATAATAAACTTTAAGCTCCTTGTCACATTTGTTGCATTGTTTATCACATCTGTTGTTTTTCCCCCCTGAACAGTGAGAGGATCAATTATTCATGACAGAATGATAGCAGTTTCATAATAATCTCACTTGTGGATGAAACCACTGTGTCCATTTAGGCACCCATAGAATCTGTATCACCAGAGGAATAAGTCACTATTAAACACCCACCTGCTCTGAGCATTTCTCTTCATTTTATTTGTTTAGGCTTTAAAAAATTGCTGCAGAAAATTCTGCAATAGTCACTTATGCAGATTACAGCAGTAGACACTATGCAATGCCTAATAAATGACCCCATTACTATCTTTCAGTCGATAAATATAATGAATACTGAGAGAAAATTCATTATACTGAAAATTCTTTTTATTTTTACAAGAGGGTGTAAATGGGCCAGTTGCGGTGGCTCACACCTGTAATCTCAGCACTTTAGGAGGCTCAGGTGGGTTGATCACCTGAGGTTGGGAGTTTGAGACCAGCCTGAGCAACATGGAGAAACCCCATCTTTACTAAAAATAAAAAATTAGCCGGCTTGGTAGCTCATGCCTATAATCCCAGCTACTTGGGAGGCTGAGGCAGGAGAATCCGTTGAACCCAGCAGGCAGAGGTTGCAGTGAGCCAAGATTGCACCATCACACTCTAGCCTAGGCAACAAGAGTGAAACTCCCTCTCAGAAAAAAAAAAAGGGGTGTAAATGTCATTTAATTGCCTATTCTTGATTGGTAGGTCAGGGATAAGGCAGGGATAAAGGAGAGGCTGGAATTCCATCTCTGAAGAACCAATGACTAACTGAAGTTCACAGTTGATAGATGTCTAATGAGCTAGTGGAAATAAAGCTGGTTTAAGGGATGCCAGTGAGGTCTGGTGGAGTTCAGGGTAATTCTTCAGAGATCAGAAGAATCACCCTCACTGCTAAATTGAACTGAGGTCAGAAACAACACTGGTGATGAGGGATGAGGAGCAGTATTGTATTCTAAGGGAATAAGCTTGAGGCATTTTTAAATTTCTGGTTTGTGTTTGTGCTTGTGTTATTTGGCATCAATTTTCCCGGCTCCAAAACTGACTATAGTAATTATCTAAACTAGTTTTCCCTGATATTTTTTTAAAAAACGATCTTGTGTTTAAATTTACAGTAGTCTTTACAGATCTCTGAAATCAACATCAAAGTTTGGAAGCTAAATTTCTCTTTTTCTTTTTCTAATACACTATGGACTTATTTCTGAGATTTCTGGTACAAGAATTCTTCAGTGTATTGGGGAAGTGCCAGCTTCAGGTAAAATGTGAAGCTGATAAAACTGTTTTGGTTTGAGTCCTCTGTTTTTACGTTATTTCTGTATCTGTTCATTAAATGTGTCTTGGGAACCAAGAAGCCCCAGATTCTATTTCTATAATCAACACTTCTCAGATACTTTTAACTAAGGTATAATAATATATTTATATAATTTCAAAATTATAAGGTATCATAAGATCACTTTATGATGGTCACAGATAACTACATAAAGTGTTACTTTTCCCCCTAGGGGCTTTTGTATTTAAATACTTAAATAATAACATTGTCACAATAAAATTTTAACTTCATGAAACTTGGGAAGGCTGTGTTTTTACATGTCACCTCCTGAAGCCTTTTCGGTAATACTACATAGGAAATCACCTGCTTACAAGCAGAATTGATGAAGGTTTTCAGTTATGCAAACAGCCTCACATTTTTTTAAAATAGACTAACCACATCCTCTGTTTCTGGATTTTGTATTTCATTATGGAAGTTGTTTCTCAGGGATTCTTTTTCTGAACTTCAGAAGATGTTTTCATACTATTTCTTATTCTGCAACATCTAATAAACTCAGTAATACCTTAAAAGAGTGTTTCCAGGAGTGCAAACAAACAGATGTTATATGAGATATCAATTTCAGAGTATCCCTGAAATTGATCAACTGAAATTGATCACTCACAATTCCATCACTCACATGGAATTATTGAGTGTGATATGTTGGAATAGAGTGTCAAGGCATAGAATAGAAAAAGAGGTGGTTAGAGATAAAGAGGACAAATCCTGGGGGTTTTTTTACACCTTGTCATGGGATGATTATGGTCTGTAAGGGTAAATATGTAACAACCTTAAGTTTAGTTTCTTATATGAGAAGAACCTTGAAGGCTTATTTACTCACTTCACTCTGAATAACATGAAATATTTTGAGCACTAAAGTGGACACTAAAGTTTTGAAAAACATGGACTGAGCTCTATAGTTGATTCGTATCACCTACTGCATCTAATGGGAGGCAAATATCATCATCATCATCATCATCATCCTTGATTAAATAGCATGGAGACATATGTTCAAAATTGATGGTTTAGTAAGGTCATTTAAATAATTTCAAATACTCTTTTAATTCTTTCTGGTAACACTGGATAATATTGAATTTAAAAGTTAGAAATAAGACCTCGTATTTGATAGCACAACAGGGCAACTATAACCAATAATAATTTAATCATACATTTAAAAATAACTAGAATAATATAATTATATTGTGTGCAACACAAAGGGTAAGTACTTGAAGGGATGAATTCCCCACTTACCATGATGTGATTATTACGTATTGCATGTCTGTTTCAAAGTAGCTCATGTACCTCATAAACATATACACCTACTACGTACCAACAAAAATTAAAAATTAAAAAAGAAAGTTTACAGTCACAGATGACTGGAAAATGATGCAAATGTATCCCTGAGGGTGTATTAACATGTGGGTCTATTAACTTTAGAGAAATGGGGTGGGGGTGGAACTTTATAACTCATATGAAACTCTCCTGGGCTGTTTGGAGTCTGGGAACAAAAACCAAAGTTACATTAAATACAGATCATAAATGTTTCAAAATTAAATGAGAAAGAGAATTAATTGCACTAGTCACACATTTCAATCTGAAGTTTCCTTGTGCAAAAATAATTTTCTATTTAGTTATTTTGATAGATTAGTTTTGAAATCTAATTGAAGAGGGGGATAAACTCTCATTTGCAGATTAATTTTTCAAACAATACAGCCAAGATATCAGTGCTCATTCAGATGTATCTGACTTGCAAATAGAAATGTACAAAGTGATAATTATAACGTCCTTTCAGAATTCTTCACAAATTTCAGTGAAATCTATAAAATTATCAATTAAAATATATAATTAATTTTATCTTTTAGATCTACAATACAATTATTAAGCCATTCTAATAAAGTAAATTAAAGTGCTCTACTAAAGGAGAGTAGAATTGCAGGAAGAATAAGTTCTAGTAATTATAAAGAGAAATATAATGAAATTAAGGATTAGGCTACTAAGGAAGTTTACATCTGGAGAAAGTGTTTTAAGAAAAAAATATTTACAAACATAATTCTAGAGATACATGCAGGTTTACTGAGAATTATTCAACCCTAAGAACTCTATAATCGCTAATATTTAAAAAAGAGATTATTCTGAAAAATGTGTCTTAGAAAACATGATCATACATAGGAATTAAAATTTAATATGCAATACGTCCATTTCTTCACAATTGATTCTCATAATCCTAATGGGTTTAATAAGCAGGAACACATTTGCATATTTTTACAAATAAATAAACTTTCAAAGCTAGATAATTTTAACCATGTGAGTGGCAGAACCAAGGTAGCCCCTGTATGACAGATTCGCCACTTGTGGAAGATACATGCCAGGGTGATTTCTAATATTCCACATTGGTGCAGTCATATGTTGATGTGCGTAATTCCAGCTTTAATGAAAGCAACAGTGACAATTCCATATGGGCTGCATCCAGATTTCATGGATCTTAACTAAACTGTTAACTCTTCTACAGAATGGATCAGACTCTATTTCTAACAAGTCTGGCATTTCTCCTATTAGGAGGCTGATGCTGAAAGCAAAACAATATTTAAGAATCCTCTGTCAAGTTTGTGTGAAAACAATAAAGTGAAGGCATTGGTATAGTTCCTTTTATGTCATCATTTTGGGCCAGAAAGCAACTACTCTTTTCCCTTGACTCTTCTTTCACACCTGCTGATGGGGCAGTGAGAGCTAGCAGTGTGAAAAAGCTGCAAACTGCAGAGGGAGGTTGCTCCCACACACCTCATTAGGCCTTTAACACATTTGACTTTGTCCTTCCCTAGCACAGTGCATATTACAATTAGAAGCAGTTGGGTACTTCCTATTTTTCTCTGAAAGGTGTAAGTGGGTAACCAAGGAGCTGTCACTTTCTGGACATTGCCAGCTTTGCCATCTGCCTTTGGAGCATCAATTTACTGGCTATTTCTTTAAGAGGTTTTGACTCATGGAATATTCCATTTTAAAAGAGCTCACCAGTTCTTTTGTTTAATCTCTTATTTTACAGATGAGGAAACTGAGGCCAGGAAGATTAAATGTCTTACACATGGACACACAGTTACTGGATTTATTTCAAGTTGCCTGGTTTAAAGATGAACTATCTTTATACAAAACCAATCTTTAATATATCCATGATCCTTTTATTTTCTCCAAACCTGGCAACTTCATGAGCCTAACAGGTTCAATTGGCTCATTTTACATTTGGAAATAATGTAGCCCATTTAGGTATAAAATACAAGACAAATGGGGAGAACCAGGCTATTATGGAAAAGCTCCAGGCTGTAGTTTCAAGAAGCTATACATCGCTTCAAGAAATTGTTTGCTCCTCATTGTTCGCCATAGTTATAAAATATTGTTCTGTAACTATCATGGGTGAGAGGAAACGGGGCAAAAGAATTGGACAGTACAGGCAAATTTTAGTCTAGTCTGTCATCATCTTGAATGTTTCTCTTCTATAAGACTGTGTTGGAGCAACGGAAATAAATTTGGACTAAAACAAAGGAGTGTGAGGTCTTGCTACATGGCTAACTGGCAGTATGTATCTATGAACAAGACATTTAGCTTACTGATTATTGGTTGTTATTATGTTGTATCTCAGCAAATTTTTGGGTTTGTGTATAGCTTAGGCTCTAAGCAACAGGCAAATAGCCAAGAACTGTGAATGTCATGTGATTTTTTAAACAGATTTTTCACCTAAACTGTAATTCATCATATATAAAAAATAATGAGTTAAGCTTCAGTAATGTGAAGCTGTAGGATTGCTACGTTTTGAATCATGCCACTGCCACCATTCTTTCATCCTCTTCCTATACACTCATCAGGCTCATAATTCTGTCTCACTCTTCCACCTAAGCCTGACATCTTGCAAGTCTTATCTTCCTTCTTCATGACAATTAATAGGGAGGTTTAGAGGCTCCTTACTGCAAAACTCTAGATATAATGAAATATTGACCTCCTTCAGACTGGCAAAATTAGAATCAAGAGTAAGGATAAAGGTCCAAAAAGTATGCATTTAATTCTCTCTCTCTCCATTGTCGATTTGTAGCCATTTTAAAAAGAATCTGGGTAAGAGAGCTGGACATCTGGGAATGTTTGTCAGCCAGTGAGAGAGTAATATGACCTTAAGCTTCCTATTATTACCTGTCTCCTTCCTGGGGCATGCATCTCTAATATACCCAGAATTCCAGAAATATAGAATTTCTGCACTTACAGGAGCCCTGCTTAGAAAATAAAGTTATTTTGAGGTCATTCTTTCTGCTTTGAGAGGTTTCAATGGTAACTGGGAAATATTACTATTACTTTGACATATTTTTTTCAATAACCTTGAAGCTCTTTTTAGCTCTCTTCCTACACTCTAATACATTCTATAGTCTCCTGTCATATCAAACTTCTTAAAGTGAAACTTTATTTTATCACTTCATTTCCTTGATATCGTCAATGACTCTGTTGCCAATTACATTAAATCTGGAGTTCAAGGCTCTTTATAACCTTTCTGTCCAGACTCATCTCCCAGTATTATACTGTTATTTAAGTATCAGTCAGACCAAGCCACTCAAATTTTGCTGAATAAATGGCCCATTTCCTCATCTTTGCCTTTGCTAATGTCCATGTTCATGTCCATTTGCTTACCACACTCTTCCACACTTGTTCACACTTGCATATTGTGCCTGCTCACAGAGCTGATCTCAATTTAGAACCAAGACGCACATGGTACCTTTCTCAAACCACTTCAGCCCCATCTTAACTCCCATGCATCTCTGTTTCCCGGGGGATACAAGTCTCTATTGGTTCAATACTAAACATATTATAGACATGAAACAGCTATTGAGTTGAAGCATTAATAATTATAATCTAATAGCAAGTATTTATTTAGGACACCTATTTGTCAGGCACTGTGTGATGTATCTCATTTAGTCCTTACAACGATCGTGTGTTGTAAATATAAAATAACCCATTCAAGCAAATGGACTCTGAAGCTTAGAGAAATTAAATACATTGCCAGAATTATATAGCTAGTGACAGAGTTGAATGCTTATTGTTTGTCTGCTTCCAAACCCTGTGCTCTCCAGGCTCTGCTCCCTTGCCTCTAAGTAAATGACACTTAGGAGAATTTTAAAATTGTATTTCAAATATGTAAGTAAGTTTCAAGTTTTTCTGACACAATGTACAACTGTGGGGAAAACATGTTTTTATTGATGTTAAAGGAAACCCATGCCTACATTTGTGATAAATTGTAGAACTGTTAGCTTTTTGCTGTAGTCTATATTTGGGGACTGAAGGACTTGTCAGTGTCTCTTTAATAATATCACTGTTTTTTTTTCCTTCAGACTGAATCTCATTGTCTCTAATCACTGGTTTTACTTGTATGTGTAGCTTCCAGTCTTCAATTTTCCTAAATGTCATGTAGATATAAATGTAAGACTCAATTGCTCAGCCTGAGTTTTTGTGTCTTGATGGACAGTTAGGTGGGGGAGGCAGAGAATGCTTAGTGTTGGGTTTCGCCCTAATTTTGTGGGTATTTTGCGCAAATAAGAACTGAAGCATATTTTTGTTCTTGTTTTTTTTTTCCACATATAAATATATTCAGGGAAACTGGAAATGAAAAGAAAAACACTGAGCCCCACAGTTTCAAGTCGGAGACAAATTATCTCAAGGTAAAAAGCTTGGCCAGGTTCCATGTAATGACTGAATTACAGCCTTTTTTTGTAAGATTAATATCAATGTTGACTAAAAGAACACTGGGCTTTCAATACAAAAAGGTTCAAATTAGAAAAGTACATTGGCATTTTCTAAAAACCCACCACAAGGTATGACCTTGTGCCCAGATGATGTAGGTGTCATTGCACCTAGGCAGCGCAATTAAAGATTAACTGAGGGACTGTTTCCAGGCAAACCTGTTCCTCCTTGCTCTGTTACACAGTATTAAAAGTCAAATTGTAGAGACTAAAGCCTTTGATTTAAAGAACTAGGCTCCCCCGTCATTTATTTACTACTGTAGAACAAAACCTGGGAGAAGAGTAACACATAAAACATTTTGGAGTCATTATTATTTAGTGGCAGAGCTTCTTTTGACAACTAACTGAATGTTGCAGATAGATAGGAAAGAGGCATGTCTCTCTGAGACATGGGTATTTGTATTCAAATATTGGGTGTAAGGAGAGGGCAAACCTGTCTTGGGAACTCTTCCTGGGGTCATGGTAAGATTGGAGTCAGGGAAGTGCTGAGAAGAGAAAATCATACATCATTTAGTCCCCACTTCCAGAAAATTGGCATTTTATATTGTTATCACCTATACACCAGAATGAAGGCTGGGTTGACTAACTGGTTCCCCAGGGTCACTGTGCTAATCTAGATTTTTCAAATTCCTACCTCTTTGAGCAGGGAAATGCAGCCACAATGGTTTGAAAAGGCCCAGAGTTTTTGGTATTTAATGCAGTAACTCCTCTTCTTTCCAGAGACTCTGGTTAGTTAAGAACCTAACTAATTGGTTGGAGGCCATAGAGATACTCAGGACAGTGGAGTTCTTATAATGAGTGTCCTCACTTCTCTCTTCCATAATTATTATTTAGATGATAATTAAAAGTAAAATATAGTTGCAGGGCATAATGTCAAAATTGTCCTATTGTGTTTTTTTAGTTGATAAAAATTTGTACACAGTGTATGCTTCCTATATTTGGAATACATTTTCCTTATTTGTAAGATAATTTGTTGAGCAGATAATCTCTGCACTTCTTTCTATAGCAGCATCAATAATTTATATTTTAAATTTTTGGGTTCCTAAGTCTGATTACTTTAGTCCCAGGTAATCTTGAAAAAAACAGAATGTATGGATACTCAAGAGAGCTAAGATTTCATAAAATTTCTTTTAATATACTCTTGGCTTGCTTTTTTCATTTTTGGAAAAAAATATTAAAGCACCTATAAAAAGAAAAATTAGACTACACATACCAGTTTCTAATTCTTGGAATTAATAGAAGGGATGCTGTGACTTTAGTAGCAACATATAACTGAGATTCAGAAAATCACAGCATGAAAAAAAGCAATACAAGTTGTTATTGATAGCACCTGAGGAGCATTATTAAACAGCTTCACAGAGTGCCTGTAGAAGACATTAAAGTCAGCTTCTACATTCATAGTCTGCATTTTAAACTTAGAAGGAACTATAGACATCATGAGCCCACAAATTATTTTCAAATAAAGAAACTGAGCTCCAGGCATAGGAAGTGCTTTGCTCAAAGTCATGCCACAGGATTTAGTTATCTCAACTTCCAGTTTTGGAGTGAGGCTATAAATTCAGTAGTGGCTTAAAGATTCCTTTTGGTATATGATAAAATTATAACCAATTGGGAATAGAATAGGATTATCATGGTCTACAGAAAAGAAATGGAGGACAGTAAGAATGTGTGAGCTATGTGAATTTTGGAAGCCAGCAGCAGAGACAGTGGGAATCTCATTTCCCCCAAGAGATGGGGCTATCTGCAACAGCTGGGCTAATGCCCTTGGCTGGGAAGAGCTCCTTAAGTAAGATACTCCATTAGATTAAAACTAAGAAGAAGGGAAATAGTCTCATGGGCTATAAGACTTATAAATCAGGAAGTCTTGGATGTTTCCTCAACCCTGAAATATACTAAGTGACCACAGGAAAACCACTTTTCCCTTCTGGCCCTCAGTTTCTTCATTCGCAAATTAGAGATGATGCTCCCTCCTCTGTCTACTACACAGGGTTGATACCAAGATCAAATGTAAAAGTGGATGTGACAGTATATTAAATGTATTTTAAAACATAGACAAATTGGAGTGATTATTCTTTTAATACCTTTACTCCTCATCAGGTCCTAATTCTTATTTGAACAACATTGCCCCTTTTGGATCTGGTAATTGTAAAGTACCTGCAAGGGACCTACTTTCTTTCTTTTACCTGTACTGTTACTTCCTGATTGACCTTAGACATCTCAGGAATATCCAATGGGTTCTCAGTTATTGGGTTTCTTGGTTCTATTCTCAGCTTTGTAAGAGGAAGTGTGTGCTCTGGGAAGAGCCACATCAATTTTTAGACCCTTTAGGTATTGCCTCAAGCTTCAAAGAACCAACTTGTCTAAGGCTTATATTTCTTCTGAGTGTGGCCAACACCTACTGACTGATCAATGTAGGAGTATAAAAAGGCTCAGTCAACAGGGGGCAACTCTGAAGTGGCAGTAGTTTCATATCGCCCCAAGGGGCTGGTCAAGCCTGTCAGTAGTCTCGCAGTGTAGCTTGATTTTTTCCCTCCCATCCAACTTTCTTCCCCTTTTTGCTACAGGCATTGGTACCAAGATAATTATCTAATAAACATCTGACATGCAAAACACTGTGTCAGTATCTGGTTCCCAGAGAACTCAAGCTAAAACATGCATGTTTCAGCACATTTTCTTATTATTTCCCCTTGACGGGGAGAATCAGTCTGGGACATGCAGACCTGAGTAGCTCTATCCATCCAATAGAAAGAATGATAGCCAGGCCCAGCATCCCCATTCTACCTCTAATTCCTATCTACACACTATTGACTCTCCTTGCAACCACAATCTCAGTTTTCCAACTTTGGATAAGATTAAATTCCATGATAAAAAGTAAATACATTGCACCTAGCACAGCTCAAAAGATCATGTTTGGTCTGTGATTTTATTGTTCATTGCAAAGCATTGGGATGTAATTAACTTTTAAAATTCATGCCAAAGAATGTCATTTACAATTACCAAATGAGCCAGCAAAACCAGAAACAAACAAACAAACAAACAAACAAAGGCAGTATCTAAATGCCTGCTGACCCTTTTCCAGGCTTATGGGGAAAAATGTTATTTGGATAATGAAAACTATTGAGCCATTTCTCATTTAGTCAACTCATTCCCTTTCTTGAATTTCTGCCTACATGATGATTAAATGGCCTCTGCTGTTTGGTCTCATTGTCTGTACTTGAATTTGGCCTAAGAGGGCCTAATCCTGTAACTCTTTGGTAACTGCTCAGACTTTAAATATCTTCTTCCCTATGCATGAAAGAAGACAAATTACGATGGGTTTCCTTGATTAAAGGCCCATCACATTATTTGTGTTTCTTTTATTTCTTAAATTTTCTTGCCTGTTAAGAGTGAGATCTTATGCTTGATACTGGTGAGTAGATGGTGGCTGAGATCAAATCAGTCCCTGCCTTTGCTGAGCTTAGAGTCAAATGGAAGAGGCAGAAAAATAAATAGACAATTACAACTTTGTGGAGTAGAACCCGGTAATGGAAAGGTCAGAGTGCTCTTGGAATTGGAGAAAGAATACAAAACAGGGCTTTGTAGGGCAGAGAAACTTTCATTTATTCCAGCTTTCTCTGTTTGAGTGCTCATTGAAATGCTAACCTTGTTTTTCTCCAGATATTGGGAAAAGGGCTGCTGTTCACACTCTCTCAAGATGTGGGGAATTATACACTTTGGGCAGGCCAGCTCCCAAGGCACCTGGTGATCTAGAGCAGGCCTGAATCTAATTTGGTTTCTAGTGACAAGGAAGGGGAACTCTGTCCAGTGCTACAAGGAGGTGACAGTTCTGCATAGAAGGTGCTCAGGTCCTTGTATTTGGCTCCTCAGACACTGAGTTTAACTAATTACCTGATTCCAAAGATAATGAGAGAAATTACCTGGCTGTTTAATGGAAGTCATCTCTTTTCTTCCCAAGTTCAAGCCATTGCTTAAACTTTCACATTCTGTTTCGTCTGTTTGGAGAAACTATGGTTTTCATTACACATATTCAACTACTTCTGTGCCTTGTTCTCTAAGGGATTTAACAGAGAAAAAATGGGCTCCATCCTATAAAAGCATGTAGTTTTGTTGAGGAAAGGATTGGATAGATTAAAAACGAAAAATTTCACCAAAATCATACATTTTAAGAAATACATTTACAATATAACCAATAATTGTAATGTTACTTACCTAATAATAGTGACACTTGGCAGTAATTTGGTATAATGAAAAGAAGAAGCACAAGGCCAACCTGTCGTTCAGCCTAAGATTCTCTCCCCCTCTTCCATTCTTTGTCTCACTGACTTCCATTCATTATAGGTTCATGTGCCACCTACTTCATGGAGCCTTCCATTTTTCCACTCCCCGACCTCTGCCTAAATGCTCTGGCTCTGTCCTGCAGAGCTCTATAATCATTCATGTAATTTTATATGATAGCTACCTACATATATTTTGATCTTTCTTATTAACCTGTGAATTCTAGGATTGTTCCTTTCCAGTATGCAGAAAAGATTTATGGAACTTTCGTGTTTCCTGAATGTTGAAAGAATAGCAGCCTATTTATCTGTCTTTAAATAGGTGTATGATTTTGAGGGAGAATGTCTTCTAGGACTACTACAGTTAGTTATGTATTCATCAGATAAGAGGTGGCAATAAAAGGGCATTAGAGTTAGGCACTAGTATATTCTCATAGTAAACCATCTTCTGGAAAGTTAGAAATGCTATGGAGATAGAAGGTGTTCCTTCTAAATGAAAAAAAGTGTTACATTCAATTTAAAATACTAGTGCTTAAATATTGACCTAGATTTGAAACCATGAACACTCTATACTTTCATGATGTTGGGGGCAGGTGGTTAAAAAGATGGCCTCCAAGATACTTCTATGCTTCACTGAGTCCTCTACCAGATTTACTTGCTTATATTACTTCTAAGGAAGTATATTATGTCCACAACCAATCCAATTTCAGATGAATTCCAAAAGTTATAAAAACTTTAAAAAGCCAAAGCGTCAATGACTTTAAGGAACTTTGAGTAGGTAGCAAATGGAACTCCATGAATGCTAAGGGAACCTGACATCAGACATTTTTCTAAGAGCAAATCAGAATTTAGAGTCACATATTCAAAACTGTACTTCTAGCCTAGTGTGAAGCTTCCTGAGAGATTATTCTATGGTGAAATACTTTTGGGAGCTTTGCCTACAATTTCCCCCTCTTGGAATATCATCGTGCATTTTAGCTATTAAATGTTCTGCCAAGCTCTGCAATAAAATAACCAGTTAAACTTTGTTTAACCTCTCTTTTTCTGAACAAATTTGATCTCAGAATCTTTTTTGTGTCTATTACCAATTATAATTTCATGGAATTAGACTTCTAAGGAACACAGTTTGAAAAAGGCTGACCTGGGCTCTTTGCACTGCTGCTCTTTAGTACAATGTTAGGCCCATACCTAGAAGTCAGTATTTCCCCTCACTCTAACCAACTTCTTCCTTAAGACTTTTTAAAAATTATTTTTGTACAGAACAAGATAGAAACTGGCATGGTGTCCATTTTTAACTTTGGAATGTAGCTTCCAGAACATTTTTCCTGAACTTTTTTTATGGAATAATAATTACAGAATAACAACCATTCTATGAATGATAAAAGTAGGTAGAAAATAACCCTTGCCTTAAAGAAATGCCTAGTTGTGCCAGGAACTGTGGCTAATGACTGTAATCTCAGTGACTAGGGAGGCTGAGGCAGGAAGATTGCTTGAAGCCAGGAGTTCAAGACCAGCCTGGACAACATAGTAAGACCCCATCTCTAAAAGTGTTAAAAAGAAAGAAATACCTAGCTATGTAGGCATGGAGAAAGAAATAAAAGTGAGTATTAACACCAACTAATATAGACCATGGGTATTATAATTTCAGAGAGACAGCAACCAATAATTATGAGAAGGATAAATTAAATCTTCCAGGAGACAAAATTGGAGCCAGCAGTTGAGACACTTAAAGGAATGAGCTGGGTAACACCAAAGAAGTTAATCCAGACTAAATTCATAAATGAACCCAGGCTCAAGTCATAAATGATGATTCTAATTAGGTTTAGGTTTACTGCCATGTAGGTTACTACTGAGCCAGCAATTACGAAGTTCGGGAAGGAACACATAGATAATATTATACATCAGTATTTAAGGCTCTCTCATACCTCCCGTGTTTCTCAGAGACATTGCCTGAACTGACATTCAGTGGTTTCAGCATCCTGCAGGAGGGGGAATTCTCCCAGATTGGAGAAGCTCAGTGCTTCAGGTTCTCTGCATTTTTTTTTTTTTAATTCTGGCAAGGCCATATCAGGGGGCAAGAGTCTCACTCTTACCAAGTAGGAATTCATTAGTAGACCACAGCTATGAGATTTCATGTTTTATTTCTGTCAACATCACTGGGTTAGCAGTAGGTAGGGCCATGGCCTCTCACAGAGTTGATGGAGAGTATTTGAAACAAACAAAAAAAATTTAAAAACTGACAAAATTAGGAAACCAGGAAGAGAGCTTTTATGAGGTCAAGTTCTTATACTTTTAAGTACTTGAATTGAAAACTGTGTACATGTATGTATGTTGGTGTGGTCCTTTATTTAAAACCCAGGACAACATTACCTCTCTAAGTTTTTGAAGAGAGAAAAGGAAGGTGGTAGCTTGGGCTGCCCCAAAGCCTTAGACACAATGATCACATCCCTGTTTCTGTTTCCCAGGTTCTCTTGCCAGCAGAAGCCTGCTGGAGAAAATAAAGTGTTCCCATTAAATCTTTATAATTTCAGAAGGGATTTGGTATATTATCAAAGCCTTCATCAGTGGCTTTTTAAATGGTAGATGAGGTTATCCTTCTGCATGTTTTATAAAGTTATCTAGTTTGCATTAAATATGTATCATGTATATTCTGTTATTTTACACCAACAATTTGATGGTGCCAGTAATTTTGCCTTCTTTCTCTGAGGTCCCATGCTCTGTCCCTCCCGCACAGTACACAGCTCCCCCTGGGTTCCAGGGAAAATTGGGCAGCAGTACAATCAAAATGATGTGTTTCCCCAAGTCTCATTTTTAAGGAGGCTTTATCAGGTTTAATTAGACAGCTGCCATCTCTCGTGGCTTGCAGTGTATATTTAAGGAGAGAAACATGAGTCGTCCTCTGTGAAATGAAAAACAATGTCATCAACACTGTCTCTCCAATGCTCTGCTGGCTCTTTACCCATAGCCTAGAAACACGTTTGAGCTCTTTCCAGGGCTCTGTGGAGAGTTTTTTCTCAGTAAAGATGTGCAGATTGCGTTAGCTTTGATAGCAGTGTTTTTATAGGAAAATGCCTAAAATGGATTGAACATTTCAGGTAGGAAATATGTGGGCACAAAAGGTGTAGACTTTTTTTTCCTCTGGAGCATGAAAGAGGCTTGACCCCAAAAAGGCAAAGCTAAATGTATTTTCCACTCTACATTCAATTCTGATCTTCAGTAGTCATCTAGTATGTTTTGGGTCCTGAAGCTAAGTAGGCAAGTGTGCAGATAGGGGAACAAATGATAGGAGGGAGAAAGATAGAGTGAAAAATCTCTGTGACTGAGCATACCATGAGGTGCTATGGAAGATGGTGCCTCCTCCTACTCTCCTGCTCATACTTAAGTGACATACTATCCTATTTTATTTATTTTCCTTCCATGCCTGTCCTTGATGTTACCTGTTTCCAGGATTCCCTGGATCTGGATAACAATATTGACATGTGGCCAGTACATTTTGGACCTGCCAGGCATTATGCTCATGCTAGACAGGTATCTAGAAGAGATGGTCCCTCTGACACCTTTGGTTTTTAATTTTTTTGTTTGGCTATGATTCTATGTTATTACCATTTCTGAAATAAACTTCAGCAAGACAAATAAATACCTATTGGGTCTTTCAGTTAGTTTCCATTCTTCCAGCAATATAGGGGGAAAAACATGAAGATGCTTCCAGGAATCTTTAATCTTCCCTATAGAATGACTTGGTGATGTCTGAATCCCTCTAGTGTCCCTGTGAAGCTGAACAAATCTCTAGCCAATATTTTAGAAATTAGCTGCAAATTAGCTTTTCTTCCCTAGATCTTTCATCATTTCATTCAGCGTTGGCTTCCATCCTCACCAATTTCCCTGATATCCTGTGCATCCATGGAGCCAGGAAGTGCCAATTAGGAGGCTTGTGACTATATTCCAGGCCTTGATGCTCCCAGGATCCAGACATTGAAGTGGTAAAATGTGTGTAGCAAGGGATGAGAGCCTAGGATGTATTTGGCTTAAGTATGAATGATCAGAATGAAGTAGAAAATGAAGAATTGTTAAGAAGCATAGGGTAGCAATTTTGGTTGCTTCCAGTGTACCAGTCGATGTGGTAAATTCTGCACATAAACGTCTTTTTTTTTTTTTTTTTTTTTGGTGAGATGGAGTCTAGCTCTGTTGTCCAACTGGAATGCAGTGACGCGATCTTGGCTCACTGCAACCTCTGCCTCCCGGTTTCAAGCGATTCTCCTGCCTCAGCCTCCTGAGTAGATGGGATTACAGGAGCCCACCACAATGCCCAACTAAATTTTTTGTATTTTCAGTAGAGACAGGGGTTCTTTATGTTGGCCAGGCTGGTCTCGAACTCCTGACCTCGTGATCCACCCACCTTGGCCTAAACATCTTATATAATCCTCAAAATCATCCTATGAGGACTTATGTTACATACAATGACATGGAACTATAGGTTCAGTACACATTAGCACATTTTATTATTTATTTATTTATTTATTTATTTTGAGATGGAGTCTTGCTCTGTCCCCCAGGCTGGAGTGTAATGGCGTGATCTCGGCTCACTGCAACCTCCGCCTCCCGGGTTCAAGTGGTTCTCCTGCCTCAGCCTCTGAGTAGCTGTGATTACAGGCATGCACCATCATGCCTGGCTAATTTTTGTATTTTTAGTAGAGACTAGGTTTCACCATGCTGGCCAGGCTGGTCTCAAACTCCTGACATCATGATCTGCCAGCCTTGGCCTCCCAAAGTGCTGGGATTACAGGCATGAGCCACTGCACCCAGCCAGCACATATTATTTCTACTAGCTATTTGCTCTCCATGATATCAGTTATATGAACTGATGGATTACTTTGTCAAACTATTTTGATCTCATATACTTCAAGTAAGAAATCAGTTGGTTCTTCAAAAAACAGGGATGATGTTTTTTTCATTGGATTGTGAGGACAAAATGATATGATAATTCATGAAAATGGAACATAGCTGTTGTAATCTATAGGAATTGTCCACTAGTTAATGTATTTTCTTCTTATTCTATCACTGATTAGAGTGTGATGTTAATATGCAATTCACAGTTGAAGACTGATGATTGTTGACAATTTCTGATGATCATTTGGAAAATATTTATTGAGAACCTTTAATTATCCTAAATGTTACGTGCAATACTGAACTAAATAAATTCTCTATCTACAAGGTGTTTATAATCTAGTAGTTTAAATAAAACATGAAGAAGCATTCGAAACTTTCCCCAACACATTATCTTTTTCTCCAAGTTTCCTCTTTGTAAATGTATGCATGTGCCTGAGTGTGCACACACATGTATTTTTAGGTGGAAGTACAAAAAAATGAAGTGTATTGAGGTATTTTGGAAAATGCTATGAATAGCTTCCTTGCATCGGGAGGAAGAGGGCCCTTTGTTCCTCTGATGATAATAGATTATCTTTTGAGGTGTAGTTTGTGTCCTTACATCTCTGGGTGGTCTGCTAGTATGTGCTACTGAGAGATGTAGTTGCCAAACTCAGCATTCTTTGCTAAAACATATCCCCTCAATTCTTGTTGGCCTTGCAGATACTGGTGAATCAGTGGCTTAATTTTTATATTTGTTTCCAGATAGCATTGCCCTCTGTTTCCCTGGGCAGACTTAATGCAAGCCCATTGTCTCTCAGTTCAACATCAGTGCCACATGGGAAGATGCATTAACCTTGTAAACACAAACTTACCTCCCCTTTTATGCCAGGCCGTGCTGTTTCATCATCTTGAACTATTCTGGGGCTGCTTCATTTTAGGGTATAGCTGCCTGCTGTGGAGGTTTCCTCCCAGAGTTCTAGATGGGGAGCCAGTCAAGAACTCCCTTGACATTTCTGCTATCTAGCAATGCCCTTTTCTGCCTAGGCTCTGAATCACTTTGGTGAGGAGATTAGGACTCACATCTAATTGACTTCTTTCTTTTTTCTCTCCACAAAATAGCAGACTGAAAGAGTAAATTTTCTTTTTCTTGATGTGTGACTCTTCTTACTCTAGTGCTCCAGAACTTCTGGACTAGCTTTCATGATGGAAAAAGTGTTCTCTTCATACTACCAAGAAACATGATGAGCTGAGATTCCAGCCATAGTTCTTTAGGATCCACAGCACGACTTGCAGTAAACGGCGCTAGGTAATAAAAATACAGTATTACCAAAAATACAATGTAAGTTATATAAACAACAAAATACAAATGATGATGTAATGAGTTCCATATGTGACATAAAAAAGTAGGCGATTTCATAGGAAGTGAAGACAATTTCTGGCATAAGAAATCCCATGCTTTTTTTTTGAAGAAGAAGAAGATTAATCTGGTTTAAAAAATAATAAGGTATTAATAGGTGAATATGGAGGCACAGATTATTTCATTTCGTAGAAATGGCTTGAGTCGTAGTTCATAGGCATTATGCAACTGAATGGCTTTAAAAACATTTTCCCATGCTTAAGCTGTGATGATGATATGACACCTTTTGTAAGGACAAAAAATGTAGATAATACGGAAAGAAAGATAAAAATTTAAAAAAAATGAAATTAAAAACAAAATAAACATTTCCTTGTATCAGCAGTGAAACCAAAATACCAAATTATAATCAAGGCTAGACTCTGAGCCTCATAGGATCTTGTTCATAGAGCGATATGGTTTGGCTTTGTGTCTCCCACCCAAATCCCATGTTGAATTGTAATTCCCAGTGTTGGGGGAGGGACCTGGTGGGAGGTGATTGGATCATGGGGGTGGATTTTCCCCCATGTGATTCTTGTGATAGTGAGTTCTCATGAGATTCAATGGTTTAAAAGGGTATGGCATGTTCCCTCTCATATTCTCTCCTGCCACCATGTGAAGAAGGTTTTTCCTTTCCGTTCACCTTCTGCCATGACTGTAAATTTCCTGAGGCCTCCTAGGCATGCTTCCAATTAAGCCTGCAAACTGTGAGTCAATTAAAACTCTTTTATTTATAAATTACTCAGTCTCAGGTAGTTATTTATAGCAGTGTGAAAACAAACTAGTATAGAAAATTGGTATGAAGATGCCTGAAATGTGGAAGCAACTTTGGAACTGAGTAATGAGCAGAGGTTGAAACACTTTGGAGGGCTCACAAGAAGAGATGAGGGAAGGTTTGGAACTTCCTAGAAACTTGTTAAATAGTTGTGACCAAAATGTTGATAGTGATATGGACAATGAAGTCCAGGCTGGGGTGGTCTCAGATGGAGATGAGGAACTTATTGGGAAATGGAGTAAAGGTCACTCTTGGTAATTTGGGAGGGGCCAGGGTTGGAATGATATGTTTTGGCTCTGTGTCCCCACCTGAATCTCATGTTACATTGTAATTCTCAGTGTTGGGGGAGGGACCTGGTGGGAGGTGATTGGATCATGGGGGCAGATTTTCCTCTTGCTGTTCTTGTAAGAGTGAGTGAGTTTTCAAGAGATTTGATGGTTTAAATGGGTGTAGTACTCCCCCCCTCACATTTTCTCTCTCTCCTGCCACCATGTGAAGAAAGTCCTTGCTTCCCCTTCACCTTCTGCCATAATTGGAAGTTTCCTGAGGCCTCCCAGTCATGCTTCCTTTTAAGCCTGCAGAATTGTGTGTCAAAAATTAAACCTTTTTTATTCATAAATTACCCAGTCTCAAGTAGTTCTTCATAGCAGTGTGAACATGGACTAATACCTAGGAGGAGGAAGAGGCAACCAGAAGTTATTTGTGGGAAAGGAGACAAAAGTGACTGAGAACAAAACTAAGTTCAGGACTACACGGCAGCAGTTGGTGTAGAGTTGGATTTGGATAACCAGGGAATTAAGTAGATTGTCAACGAACTGCTGCTGAAAGGACTTTAGGGAGAGTGGTTCCTAGGGAAGCTGGAGAGCATAAACAAGGACTCATGACCATCCTAGGATAAGCCTCTTGCCAGGTCTGTTCATGGATCTGTACAATCTTCAACAGGAATAGAGGATAGGACTTTGAACATATTATGGCCATTTTAATAGCAAGGCTTTTTAATTTTATTATACATGTCATTTCTATGTTTCTTTTTTTAAAGAAAGTTAATAATACAATAGATGATGTGAGACAAAAGATCTAAAAGATGGTAAATAGGGGGTGCATTTGTGTTATGCTTATTTTTGTTCCCATTTCAGTGCTCAATCACTGTGGCTTCTAGTAAATAAAATTATCAGTTGCAAACATTTAAATCAAATTTCAGTGAGTGGAAATATTACTTATTTGTGACAGTTTTGTTTAATCTTTTTTTTTTCTTAAGTTCTGGGATACATGTGCTGAATGTGCAGGTTTGTTACATAGATATACATGTGCCACAGTGGTTTGCTGTGCCTATAAACCCATCATCTAGGTTTTAAGCCCCATGTGCATTAGGTATTTGTCCTAATGATTTCCCTCCCCTTGCCCCCCACCTCCTGACAGGCCCCGGTGTGTGATGTCCCTTCCCTGTGTCCATGTGTTCTTACTGTTTAACTCCTACGTATGAGAACATGCGGTGTTTAGTTTTCTGTTCCTGTGTTTGCTGAAGATGATGGCTTCCAGCTTCATCCATGTCCCCACAAAGGACATAAACTCGTTCTTTTTATGGCTGCATAGTATTCCATGGTGTATATGTGCCACATTGTCTTTATCAAGTCTATCATGGATGAGCATCTGGGTCAGTTCCAAGTCTTTGCTTGTAAATAGTGCTGCAATAAGCATATGTGTGCAGTTATCTTTAGAGTAGAATGATTTATAACCCTTTGGGTATATACTCAGTAATGGGATTGCTGGATCAAATGGTATTTCTGGTGTTAGATCCTTGAGGAATTGCCACACTGTCTTCTACAATGGTTGAACTAATTTACACTCCCGCCAATAGTGTAAAACTGTTCCTATTTCTCCACATCCTCACCAGCATTACGGTTTCCTAACTTTTTAATGATCACCATTCTAACTGGTGTGAGATGGTATCTCATTGTGGTTTTGATTTGCGTTTCTCTAATGACCAGTAATAGGCTTTTTTTTCATATGTTTTTGGCCACATAAATGTCTTCTTTTGAGAAGTGTCTGTTCATATCCTTCAGCCACTTTTTGAGGGGGTTTCTAAGTTCCTTGTAGATTTTGCATATTACACCTTTGTCAGATGAATAGATTGCAAAAATTTTCTCCTATTCTGTAGGTTGCCTGTTCACTCTTGATGATAGTTTCTTTTGCTGTGCAGAAGCTCTTTTGTTTAATTAGATCCCATTTGTCAATTTTGGCTTTTGTTGCAATTGGTTTTGGTGTTTTAGTCAGGAAGCCTTGCTCATGCCTATGTCCTGAATGGTATTGCCTAGGTTTTCTTCTAGGGTTTTTATGGTTTTAAGTCTTTAATCCATCCTGAGTTAATTTTCGTATAAGCTGTAAGGAAGGGGGTCTAGTTTCAGTTTCCTGCATATGGCTAGCTAGTTTCCCAACACCATTTATTAAATATGGAATCCTTTCCCCATTGCTTGTTTTTGTCAGGTTTGTCAAAGATCAGATGGTTGTAGATATGTGGTGTTTTTTCTGAGGCCTCTGTTCTGTTCCATTGGTCTATATATCAGTTTTGGTACCATTAGCATGCTGTTTTGGTTACTGTAGCCTTGTAGTATGGTTTGAAGTCGGGCAGCATGATGCCTCCAGCTTTGTTCTTTTTGCTTAGGATTGTCTTGTCTTGGCTATACAGGCTCTTTTTGGTTCCATATGATATTTAAAGAATCCTTTTCTAGTTCTGTGAAGAGAATCAGTGGAAGCTTGATGGGGATAGCATTGAATCTATAAATTACTTTGGACAGTATGGCTATTTTCATGATATTGATTCTCCTATCCATGAGCATGGAATATTTTTCCATTTGTTTGTGTCCTCTCTTATTTCCTTAAGCAGTGGTTTCTAGCTCTGCTTGAAGAGGTCCTTCACATCCCTTGTAATTTGTATTACTAGGTATTTTATTTTCCCTGTGAATGGAAGTTCACTCATGATTTGGCTCTTTGCTTGTCTATTATTGGTGTATAGGAATGCTTGTGATTTTTGCACATTGATTTTGTATCCTGAAACTTTGCTTAAGGAGTTTTATGGTCTGAGACAATGGGGTTTTCTAAATATACAATCAGGTTATCTGCAAACCGAGATGATTTGACTTGTTCTCTTCCTATTTGAATACATTTTCTTTATCTTGGCTGATGGTCTTCTCCAGAACTTCCAATACTATGTTGAATAGGAGTGGTGAGAGGGGGCATCCTAGCCTTGTGCTGGTTTTCAATGGGAATCCTTCCAGCTTTTGCCCATTCAGTAAAATGTTGGCTGTGGGTTTGTCATAAATAGCTCTTATTATTTTGAGATGTGTTCCATCAATACCTGGTTTATTGAAATATTTTAGCATGAAGGGTGTTGAATTTTATCAAAGGACTTTTCTGCATCTATTGAGATAATCATGTGGTTGTTGTCATTGGTTCTGTTTATGTGATGGATTATGTTTAAAAATTTGTGTATGTTGAACCAGCTTTGTATCCCAAAGATGAAGCCGACTTGGATAAGCTTTTTGATGAGCTGTTGGATTCTGCTTGCCACTATTTATTGAGGATTTTCACAAGTATGTTCATGAAGGATATTGGCCTGAAATTTTCTTTTTTTGTGTTGTGTCTCTGACAGGTTTTGGTATCAGGATGATGCTGGCCTCGTAAAATGAGTTAGGAAGGAGACCCTCTTTTTCTGTTGTTTGGAATAGTTTTAGAAGGAATGGTACCAGCTCCTCTTTGTACCTCTGGTAAAATTTGGCTGTGAATCCTTCCGGTCCTGGGCTTTTTTTTGGTTTGTAGGCTATTAATTACTGCCTCAATTACAGAACTTGTTATTGCTCTATTCAGGGATTTGACTTCTTCCTGGTTTAGTCTTGGGAGGGTGTATTTTTCCAGGAATTTATCCATTTCTTCTAGATTTTCTAGTTTATTTGTGTAGAAGTGTTTATAGTATTCTCTGATGGTAGTTTGCATATCTGTGGGATCAGTGGTGATATCCCCTGTATCATTTTTTATTATGTCTATTTGTTTTTTCTCTCTTTTCTTCTTTATTAGTCTGGCTAGCAGCCTATTTTGTTAATCTTTTAGAAAAAACTTGCTTCTGTATTTTTTTTTTTGAGACGGAGTCTCGCACTGTCACCCAGGCTGGAGTGCAGTGGCGCGATCTCGGCTCACTGGAAGCTCCGCCTCTTCGGTTCATGCCATTCTCCTGCCTCAGCCTCCCGAGTAGCTGGGACCACAGGCGCCCGCCACCACGCCCAGCTAATTTTTTGTATTTTTTAGTAGAGACGGGTTTCACCGTGTTAGCCAGGATGGTCTCGATCTCCTGACCTCGTGATCCACCTGCCTTGGCCCCCCAAAGTGCTGGGATTACAGGCGTGAGCCACTGCGCCCAGCCTGAAGGGTTTTTTGTGTCTGTATGTCCTTAAGTTCTGCTCTGATCTTAGTTATTTCTTGTCTTCCACTAGCTTTTGAATTTGTTTTCTCTTGCTTCTCTGGTTCTTTTAATTGTAATGTTAGGGTGTCAATTTTAGATCTTTTCCACTTTCTGATGTGGGCATTTAGTGCTATAAATTTCCCTCTAAGCACTGTTTTAAATGTGTCCCAGAGATTCTGGTTCTTTGTCTCTTTGTTCTCATTGATTTCAAAAAACTTCCTGATTCCTGCCTTTTTTTTTTTTTTTTTTTTTCTCAGTAGTCATTCAGGAGCAGGTTGTTCAGTTTCCATGTAGTTTTGCAGTTTTGAGTTAGTTTCTTAATCCTGAGTCCTAATTTGATTGCACTGTGGTCTGAAAGACTGTTATGATTTCCATTCTTTTGCATTTGCTGAGGAGTATTTTACTTCCAATTATGTGGTCGATTTTACAATACATGCTATGTCACACTGAGAAAAATATATATTCTTTTGATTTGGGATGGAGGGTCCTGTAAGATGCCTATTAGGTCCTCTTGGTCCAGAGTTGAGTTCAAGTCCTGAATATCCTTGTTAATTGTCTTGATCTGTCTAATATTGAGAGTGGGGTGTTAAAGTCTCCCACTATCATTGTGTGAGAGTCTGTCTCTTTGTAGGTCCTTTAGAACTTGTTTTATGAATCTTGGTGCTCCTGTATTGGGTGCATATATATTTAGGATAGTTAGCTCTTCTTATTGCATTGATCCCTTTACCATTATGTAATGCCCTTCTTTGTCTTTTTTGATCTTTGCTAATTTAAAGCCTGTTTTATCAGAGACTAGGATTTGCAATCCCTGCTTTCTTTTGCTATTTTCTTGGTAAGTATTCCTCCATCCCTTTATTTTGAGACTATGTGTGTCTTTGCACATGAGATGGGTCTCCTGATTACAGCACATTGATGGATCTTGACTCTTTATCTAATTTGCCAGTCTCTATCTATCTTTTATTTGGGGCATTTAGTTCATTTACATTTAAGATTAATATTGTTATGTTTGAATTTGATCCTGTCATCATAATGCTATCTGGTTATTTTGTTCATTAGTTGATGTAGTTTCTTCATAGTATCGATGGTCTTTACAATTTGGTATGTTTTTGCAGTGGCTGGTACCAATTTTTCCTTTCCATATTTAGTGCTTCCTTCAGAAGCTCTTGAAAGGCAGGCCTGGTGGTGACAAAAATCCCTCGGCATTTGCTTGCCTTGAAAGAATTTTATTTCTCCTTCACTTATGAAGCGCAGTTTTGCTGGATATGAAATTCTGGGTTGAAAATCCATTTGTTTTAAGAATGTTGAATATTGCCCCCTACTCTCTTATGGCTTGCAGGGTTTCTGCAGAGAGATCAGCGCTAGTCTGATGGGCTTCCCTTTGTAGATAACCTGACCTTTCTCTCTGGCTGCCCTCAACAATTTTTCCTTCATTTCAACCTTGGATAATCTGGTGATTGTTTCTTGGGGTTGCTCTCCTCAAAGAGTATCTTAGGGGTGGTTTCTGCATTTCCTGAATTTGAATGTTGGCCTGTCTTGCTAGGTTGGGGAAGTTCTGGATAATAACATGAAGTGTGTTTTCCAACTTGGTTCCATTCTCCCGTCACTTTCAGGTACCCCAATCAATCATAAGTTTGGTCTTTACATGTCCCATTTTTCTTGGAGCCTTTGTTCATCCTTTTTTTTTTTTTTCCTTTTTTCTCGAATTTTGTCTGTCTTCACACCTTATTTCAGTAAGTTGTTCTTCAATCTCCGATATCCTTTTGAAGGAATATGATTGATTCAGCTGTTAATACTTGTGTATGCTTCACAATGTTCTTGTGCTGTGTTTTTCAGCTCCATTTATGTTCCTTTCTAAACTGGTTATTCTAGTTAGCAGTTCCTGTAACCTTTTGTCAAGATTCTTAGCTTCCTTCTGTTGGGTTAGAACATGCTCCTTTAGCTCAGAGCAGTTTGTTGTTATTACCCACCTTCTGAAGCCTACTTTTGTCAATTTGTCAAACTCATTCTCTGTTCAGTTTTGTGTCCTTGCTGGAAAGGGGTTGTGATCATTTGGAGGAGAAGAGGCATTCTGGTTTTTGGAATTTTCAGCATTTTCATGCTGGTTTTTCCTCATCTTCATGGATTTATCTACCTTTGATCTTTGAGGCTGATGACCTTTGTATGGGGTTTCTGTGTGGGGGTCCTTTTTGTTGATGTTGATATTATTGCTTTCTGTTTGTTAGTTTTCCTTCTAACAGGTCCCTTTTCTGCTGCAGTTTGCTAGAGGTCCACTCTAGACCCTATTTGCCTGGGTATCACCAGTGGAGGCTGCAGAACAGCAAAGATTGCTGTGTGCTTCTTCCTCTGGAAGCTTCATCCCAGAGGGGCACTGGCCTGATGCAAGCCAAAGTGCTCCTCTATGAGATGTCTGTCAACGCCTGCTGGGAGGTCTCTCCCAGTCAGGGGGCACAGGGACCAGGGACCCACTTGAGGAGGCAGTCTGTCCCTTAGCAGAGCTTGAGCACTGTGCTGGGAGAACCCTCTTTGTCAGGATCTGCTGTCCTGATCCACAGCTAAAGCCCACAGCCAAAAATGTTTAAGTCCACTGAAGCTGCACCTATAGCCATCTCTTCCCCACAGTGCTCTGTCCCAGGGGGATGGGAGTTTTATCTGTAAGCCCCTGACTGGGGCTGCTGTCTTTCTTTCAGAGATGCCCTGCCCAGTGAAGAAGAATCTAGAGAGGCAGTCTGGCCACAGCTGTTTCGTATGCTGTGTTGGGTTCTGCCCAGTCCGAACTTCCAGCTCTTCTTAGCACTGTCAGAGGAAAACCGCTTACTCAAGCCTCAGTAATGGCAGACACCCCTCCCCCAGACTAAGCTCTATAATTCCAGGCCAACTTCAGACTGCTGTGCTGGCAGTGAGAATTTCAAGCCAGTGGTTCTTAGCTTGCTGGGTTTCATGGGAGTAGGACCTGCTAAATGAGACCACTTGGCTCCCTGGCTTCAGCCCCATTTCCAGGTTCTGTCTCACTGCAATATGAAAAAATACTCCTGCATCTAGCTTGGTGTCTGCCCAAAAAGCCACCAGGTTTTGTGCTTGAAACCCAGCATCCTGGTGATGTAGGGATATGAGGGAAACTCCTGGTCTGTGGTTTGCAAAAACTGTGGGAAAAGCATAGTATCTGGGCCTCATAGGAGAGTCCCTCACAGCTTCCCTTGGCTGAGAAAGAGAGGCTCCCCACTCTTTGCACTTCCCAGGTAAGGCAATGCCCCACCCTGCTTCTGCTCACTTTCCATGGTTTGGACCCACTGCCTAACCAGTCCCAATGAGATGAACAGGGTACCTCAGTTGGAAATGCAGAAATCACTCGCCTTTGCACTGGTCTCGCTGGGTGCTGCAGAATATAGCTGTTCCTATTCAGCCATCTCACCAGATCCCACACTTCTATGTTTCTATTGACATATTTTTCTCCTGGTTATGGAGATGTGTCCTGCTATTTCATTTGTCTACCAATTTTTATTTGAATGCCAGATGTGACTATAAGGTTTGCAATGCTGGATCATGCAGATTCCTGGAGCTCTTTCCCCATGTTGCTCCCTCTTCTGAAAGACTTATCCCCACAATTTTATAGGTCACCATTTAGTATAATTAGCTTTTTGGTTTTATTTTTAGCCATTCTAATAAGTGTTAGTGATAGCTCTTTTTATTTTTTTGCATGCCCTTCGTTATGAATAATATTAAGCATCCTTTGATACACCTCTTTGTCATTCATATATCTTTGGTAAAGTGTCTATTCAAACGTTTTGTTTATTTGTAAAGTAGGTTGTCTATTTCTTATTTTGAAGGATCCCCTTGAAATAGTTTGGTTGTTCTAGATCTTTTGTGTTTCTATGTACATTTTAGAAAAACATTGTCAAGGCACATTCGTGGGGGATCAATCCAAGATGGCTGACTAGAGGCAGCTGTGGTCAGCCCACCTGGGAACAGTGCACAGCCCCCCACCCCCAACCAAGGGAAGTGGTGAGTGATTGCACAACCCTACCTGGGAAACCATGCTTCTCCCTTGGATCTTTGTAGCCCACAGATCAGGATATCCACTCATGAGCTTATGCCACCAGAGTCTTGAATCTGATACACAGACCTGTGTGGAGTATTGGCAGAGCAGCTGCTCAGGCACACACACAGAACTGGGAGTTTTGCATACTTCACCCATAGGATGCCGGGCAAGATGGGAAATTCACCTGTAAATGTCCTTAAGAAGGGGGCCACATGGTTTTGTTGGCCCCACTTCCACAGCACCTCACAAGTTGAGTCCCACTGCCAATGGCAGTGGGTTGGAGTCCAGCTGAGATGGGTTCAAGTTCCTGGCAGGGAGAGGCAGCCACCATCTGTGTGGTTCAGTCTACTCAGATGCTCCAGCCTGCTGGATATGGAGAATACAGGCAGTCTGGACAAGGAAGGGTCCACCCCCAAAGTAGCACACCTGTTCTACCCAAACCTGCCAGACTGCTTCTTTAGGCAGGTCCCTGATGCTGTTATTCCTGACTGTGTGAGACCTCTGAACAGAGGGGAAGAAGCTGGCTGCAATCTTTGCTGTTTCACGGCCTTCATTTGTGATACATCCAGAAAACTGCAGCAGCCCTATGATAGAGTAGCCTGATGGTTGAAAACAACAACAACATCAACAAGAAAGACCCAACTAAAATCTCATTCAAAGGTGAGAAACCTCCAAGATCGAAGGTAGGTAAGCCCACAAAGATGAGTAAGAATCAATGCAAAAATGCTGAAAACTCAAAAAGCCAGAGTGCCTCTACTCCTCCACATTACTGTGACACCTCTTCAGCAAGGGCACAAAACTGGGCTGAGGCTGAGATGGCTGAATTGACAGAAGTAGGTTTCGTAAGGTGGGTATAATAATGAGCTTTGCTGACCTAAAGGAGCATGTTGTAACTCAATGGAAAGAAGCTAAGAATTCTGATAAAACAAACAATATAGGAGCTGATGGCCAGAATAGCGAGCTTAGAGAGGGACATAACCAATCTGATGGAGCTGAAAAACGCAACATGGGAACCTCACAATACAGTCACACACATCAATAGCAAAATAGACCAAGCAGAGAAGAGAATCTTCGAGCTTGAAAAGTATCTTTTCAAGACAAAAATAGAGACAAATGAATGAAAACAAACAAACAAAACATCCAGGAAATATGGGACTATGTAAAAAGACCAAATCTATGACTGATTTGGATACCTGAAAGAGACAGGGAGAACAAAACTAAGTTGGAAAACATACTTCAGGGAATGCAGAAAACTCCAATAAGATACTCCACAAGAAGATCAACCCCAAGACACAAAATCATCAGATTCTTTAAGATTGAAATGAAAGAAAAAATGTTAAGGGTAGCCAGAGAGAAAGGCCAGGTCATCTGCAAAAGGAAACCCATCAGACTAACAGCAGACCTTTCAGTGGAATTCCTACAAGCCAGAAGACATTGAGGACCAATATTCAACATTCTTAAAGAAAATAATTTTCAACCCAGAATATCACATACAGCCAAACTGATCTTTATAAGCAGAGAAATAAGATCCTTTTCAGACAATCAAATGCTGAGGGAATTCATCACCACTAGGCCTGTCTTGCAAGAGCCCCTGAAGGAAGCACTAAATATGGAAATCAAAAGCTGTTACTAGCCACTACAAAAACACACTGAAGTATACAGACCAGTGGCATTATGAAGCAATTACATGAGCAAGTCTGCAAAGTAGCCAGCTAGTATCATGACAGGATTCAATTCACACATAACTATTAACTTAAAATAATAGGCTAAATGCCTCAATTAAAAGGCACAGAATGGCAAGCTGTATAAAGAGCTAAGACCCATTGGTATGCTGTTTTCAAGAGACCCGTCTCATATTCAAAGACACACATAGGTTTAAAATAAAGGGATGGAGGAGAATTTACCAAGCAAATGGAAAACGGAAAGAAGCAGGGGTTGCAATCCTAGTTTCTGGCAAAACAGACTTTTAACCAACACAGATAAAAAAAGACAAAGAACAGTATTACATAATTGTAAAGGGATCAATTCAACAAGAAGTGCTAATTATCCTAAGTAGATATGCACCCAGTACAAGAGCACCCAGATTCATAAAGCAAATTGTCAGAGATCTACGAAGAGACTTACTTAGACTCCCACACAATAATAATGGGAGACTTTAACACTCCACTGACAATTTTAGACAGATCATTGAGACAAAGAATTATCAAAGATATTCAGGACCTAATCTCAGCTCTGGATCAATTGGACCTGATCGATATCTACAAAAATATTCACCCAAATTCAACAGAAAAGAGGGGAATTTATACACTAAATGCCTACATAAAAAAGCTAGAATGATCTCAAGTTAACAACCTGAAGAACTCAACTAAAAGAACTAGAGAACCAACAGCAAACAAACAAATCTCAAAGCTAGCAGAAGTCAAGCAGTAACCAAGATCAGAACAAAACTGAAGGAGATAGAGAAACTGAAGGAGATAGAGAAACAAACCCTTCAAGAAATCAACAAATTCAGCTGTTTTTTTAAAGTTAATAAAACAGACCTCTAGCTAGACTAAAAAAGAAAAGAAAGAAGAATCATAAATACAATAAGAAATGATAATGGGGATACCACCACTGACCCCACAGAAATACAAACAACAATCTGAGAATACTATAAACACCTCTATACATATAAACTAGAAAATCTAGAAGAAATGAATAAATTCCTGGACAAATACACCCTCCCAAGACTGAACTAGGAAGAAATTGAAATTCCTAAGTAGACCAATAATGAGTTCTGAAATTGAAGCAGTAATAAATAGCCTAACAACCAGAAAAGCCCAGGATTAAATGGATTTACAGCTGAATTCTACCAGAGTTACAAAGAGGAGCTGGCACCATTTCTACTGAAACTATTCCAAAAATGGATTAGGTTGGGCTTCTCCCTATGAGGCCAGCATCGTTTGCTACCAAAACCTGGCAGAGATACAACAAAGAACCTTCAGCCCAATATACTTGGTGAAGAGCAATGCAAATGCCCTCAATAAAATAAAATACTGACAAATGAAATCCAACAGCACATCAAAAAGCTTATCCACCACAATCAAGTTGGCTTCATCCCTGGGAACCAAGATTGGTTCAACATATGCAAATCAATAAATGTGATTCATCACACAACAGAAATAAAGGCAAAAAACACATGATTATCTCAATAGACGCAGAAAAAAAATTTAATTGAAAAATTGAAAATACATCATAGTCTTTAACAGTGAAATTTATCAAGCAGAATAATGAATTAATGACTTTAAAGATAGGTTACTTGAAAATACTCAGGCAAGATGAAAGAAAAAAATAAAAAAGAATGAAGCACACCTACAAGGTATAGAAAATAGCCTAAAAAGAGAAAATCTAAGTAAGTTATTGGCTTTAAAGAAGATTTAAAAAGATCAGGTTAGAATGTTTATTTGAAGGGATAATAACAGAGAACTTCCCAAACCTAGAGAAAGATAATAATATTCAAGTACAAATAGGTTACGGAACAACAAGCAATTTTAACCCAGATAATATGACCTCAAAACATTTAACCAAACTTCCAAAGGACAAGAGAAAAGGAACAAATAACACATGAAAAAGCTCTAATATGTCTGGCAGCAGATTTCTCACTGAAAACCATACAAACCAATAGGCAGTGGTATGATATCTTTAAAGTACTAAAGAAAAAACCTTTTATGCTAGGATAGTATATCCAGTGAAAATATTCTTCAAACAAACATGAAGGAGAAATAAATACTTCCCAGGCAAACAAAAGATGAGAAATTTCATCAGCACCAGACCTGTACTACAAGAAATGCTAAAAGGAGTTCTTCAATTGGAAAGAAAAAGGATGTCAATGCACAATAAGAAACTATCTAAAGATTTAAAACTCACTGATAATAGTTAAGTACCCAGAAAAACACATAACACTGTAATTGTGATGTGTAAACTACTTTTATCTTAAATAGAAAGACTAAAAGATGAACCAGTAAAAAATAACTACAGGGGAGGGAGGGCATTAGGACAAAAACCTAATGCATGTGGGGCTTAAAACCTAGATAATGGGTTGATAGGTGTAGCAAACCACCATGGCACATGTTTGCCTATGTAACAATCCTGCACGTTCTGCACATGTATCCCAGAACTTAAAAAATAAAAAAAAACTATGACAACTTTTTAAAACATAGACTGTATAATATATAAATAGAAACAACAAAAAGTTAAAAGTGGGGGGACGAAGTTATACTATGGAGTTTTTGTTTCTTTGTTTGTTTATGCAATCAGATTTAAGTTGTTATCAGTTTACAATAATGGGTTATAAGATGTTATTTGCAAGCCTCATGGTAAACCTAAATAAAAAAAACCTACAATAGATACACCAAAATAATGAAAATCAAGACATTAAATTGTACAACCAAATAAAATTACTTTCCTAAAAAGAAAGGCAGGAAGAAAGATAGGAAGGGAAAAAGAGAAGATCAAAAACCATCCAGAAAACAAATAACAAAATGACAGTGGTAAATCCTTTCTTATCACTAATATTAAATGTAAATGGAGTAAACGTTCCAGTCAAACTACATAGAGTGGCTGTATGGATAAAAATACAAGCCTAGGCCGAGGTGGGCGGATCACGAGGTCAGGAGATCGAGACCATCCTGGCTAACATGGTGAAACCCCGTCTCCACTAAAAATACAAAAAAATTAGCCAGGCATGGTAGCAGGTGCCTGTAGTAACAGCTACTTGGGAGGCTGAGGCAGGAGAATGGCGTGAACCTGGGAGGTGGAGCTTGCGGTGAGCCAAGATCGCGCCACTGCACTCCAGCCTGGGCGAGAGCGAGACTCCGCCTCAAAAAAAATAAAAAAAAAACAAGCCTAAGGGAGTCCCAGCCAGAACAATTTGGCAAGATAAAGAAATGAAAGGTATACAAATAGGAAAACAAAAAGTCAAACTTTCTCACTTTCATGATCATGGCATTCTATACCTAAAGACTCTATTAAAAGAGCCCTGAAACTGAGAAATGAATTCAGTAAAGTTCCAAGATACAAAATCAATGTACAAAATCAGTAACATATCTATACAACCAATAATATTTAAGCTGGTAGCCAAATCAAGAACACAATCTGATATACAATAGCTATATACCCACATTAAATATATCTAGGAATATTAATCTTACCAAGGTGGTAAAAGATCTCTACAAGGAGAACTACAAACACTGCTGAAAGAAATTAGAGATATGACAAATAAAAGAAAATACATTCCCTGTTCATGAATTTGAAGAATAAATATTGTTAAAATGGCAATACTGCTCAAAGCATTCTGCAAATTCGATGATATTCCTTTATTTATTTATTTATTTATTTATTTATTTTTGAGATGGAGTCTCACTCTGTCACCAGGGCTGGAGTGCAGTGGCACGACCTCGGCTCACTGCAACCTCCGCCTTCTGGGTTCAAGTGATTCTTCTGCCTCAGCCTCCCAAGTAGCTGGGATTACAGTTGCCCACCATTACTCTGAGCTAATTTTTTGTATTTTTAGTAGAGACAGGGTTTCACCATGTTGGCCAGGTTGGTCTTGAAAACAGCAAGTGTCATTTTGCACAGAATTAGAAAAAGCTGGAACAAAAAAGATCCCAAATAGCCAAATAATCCTAAGCAAAAAGAACAAAGCTGAAGGCATCATACTACCCAACGTCAAAATATATTGTAAAGCTACAGCAACCAAAACAGCATGGTACTGATACAAAACCAGATAAATAAACCAATAGAACAAAATAACCCAGAAATAAAGCCATACAACTACAACCATTTGATCTTTGACAAAGAAAACAAAAATAAAAGATGGCAACAGGACTCCCTATTCAACAAATGTGTTGGAATAGTTGGCTAGCTAAATGTAGAAGAATGAAACTGGATCCTTGTGTTTCACCACATATATAAACTAACAATGAATTAAAAAATTAAATGTAAAATATCAGACTAAAAGAAATCTAGAAGAAACCCTAGGAAACACCAATTGCCACAAAACAAAAATTGACAAGCGACACCTATTTAAACTAAAAAGCTTCTGCACAGTGAAAGACACTATCAGTAGTGTAAACAGAAAACTTACAGAATGGGAGAAAATATTTGTATACTGTGCATCTGATAAAAGTCTAATATCCAGAACCTATAAGGAACTTAAACAAACTAAACAAATTTACAAGCAAAAAGCAAACAATTCCATTAAAAAGTAGGCAATGCACATGAACAGACACTTTTCAATAGAAGACATATACATGGCAAATGAGCATATTAAAAAATGCTCAAAATCACTAATCATTAAATAAATGCACATGAAAACCATAATAACATACCATCTCACCCCAATCAGAAATAGCTATCATTAATTAGGCAAAAAATAACAGATGTTGGCAGGTCATAGAGAAAAGGTAATGCTTATACAATGCTTGTGGGAATTAGTTCAGTCACTGTGGAAAGCAATTTGGAGGTATCTCAAATAAAACATAATGACTGCGGGTGGCTAGAAAGATGGCTGAATAGCAACAGCTCTGGTCTGCAGCTCCTGGCAAGATCAATGCAGAAGGTGGGTGACTTCTGCATTTCCAATGGAGGTACCCAGCTCATCTCATTGGGACTGGTGAGACAGTATGTGTAGCCCACAGAGGGTGAGCTGAAGCAGGGTGGGGTGTTGCCTCACCCAGGAAGTGGAAGGGGTTGGGAACTCCCTTCCTAAGCCAAGGGAAGCTTGAGGGACTGTGCCATGGGAACAGTGCACTTTGGCCCAGATATTATGCTTTTCCCACGGTCTTCACAACCCACAGGCCAGGAGATTCCCTTATGGTGCCTATGCCACCAGGGCCCTGGGTTTCAAGAACAAAAACTGCGCAGCTGTTTTGGCAGACACTGAGCTAGCTGCAGGAGTTTTTTTTTCATACCCCAGAGGCACCTGGAATGCCAGTAAGACAGAACCGTTCACTCCTCTGGAAAGGGTGCTGAAGCTAGGAGGCCAAGTGGTCTAGCTTAGCAGATCCCACCCCCACAGAGCCCAGCAAGCTAAGATCAACTGGCTTGAAAATCTCACTGCCAACACAGCAGTCTGAAGTCGACTGACCTGGAACGCTTGATCCTGGTTGGGGGAGGGGTGTGCCCCCATTACTGAGGCCTGAGTAGGTGGTATTCCCCCACAGTGTAAACAAAGCTGCTGGGAAGTTCAAATTGGATGGAGCCCACTACAGCTGGGCAAAGCCACTGTAGCCAGACTGCCTCTATAGATTCCTCCTCTCTGGGCAGGGCATCTCTGAAAGAAAGTAGCAGCCCCAGTCACAGACTTATAGATAAAACTCCCCTCTCCCTGAGACAGAGTACTTGGGGGAAGGGGCAGCTATGGGCCCAGCTTCAGGAGACTTAAATGTTCCTGCCTGCTGGCTCCGAAGAGAGCAGCGGATCTCCCCGCACCATGCTCAAGCTCTGCTAAGGGACAGACTGCCTCTTCAAGTGAGTCCCTGACACCTGTGCCTCCTAACTGGGAGACACCTCCCAGCAGGGGTAAACTGCCACCTCATACAGGAGAGGTCTGGCTGGCATCTGGCAGGTGCCGCTTTGGGACAAAGCTTCCAGAGGAAGAAACAGGCAGCAATCTGGTGATACAGGCGGGTCTGGAGGGGGACCTCCAGCAAACTCCAGCAGAATTGCAGCAGAGGGACCTGTTAGAAGGAAAACTAACTAACAGAAAGGAATAGCATCAATGTCAACCAAAAGGACATCTACACAGAAACTCCATCTGAAGCTCACCAACATCAAAGACCAATGGTAGATAAATCCAAGAAGATGAGGAAAACCAGTGCAAAAAGGCTGAAAATCCCAAAAACTAGAATGCTTCTTCTCCAAAGGAACACAACTCCTTGCCAGCAAGGGAACAAAACTGGACAAAGAATGAGTTTGACAGAAGCAGCTTTCAGAAGGTGGGTAATGACAAATTTCTCTGAGCTAAAGGAGCATGTTCTAACCCAATGCAAGGAAGCTAAGAACCTTGAAAAAAGGTTACAGGAGCTGCTAACTAGAATAACCTGTTTAGAGAAGAACATAAATGACCTGATGAAGCTGAGAAACACAGCACAAGAACTTGGTGAAGCATACACAAGTATCAACAGCCGAATCAATTAAGCGGAAGAAAGGATATCAGATATTGAAGATCAACTTAATGAAATAAAGTGTGAAGACAAGACTAGAGAAAAAAAGAATGAAAAGGGAACAAACAAAGCCTCCAAGAAATATAGGACTATGTGAAAAGACCAAACCTACATTTGATTGGTGTACCTGAAAGTGACGAGGAGAATGGAACCAAATTGGAAAACACACTTCAGGATATTATCCAGGAGAACTTCCCCAACCTAGCAAGACAGACCAATATATAAATTCAGGAAATACAGAAACTACCACTAAGATACTCTTTGAGAAGAACAACCCAAGACACATAATGGTCAGATTCTCCAAGGTTGAAATGAAGGAAAAAATATTAAGGGCAGCCAGAGAGAAAGGTCCTGTTACCTACAAAAGGAAGCCCACAAGACTAACAGCCAATCTCTGTGCAGAACCCCTACATGCCAGAAGAGAGTAAGGGCCTATATTCAACATTCTTACAGAAAAGAATTTTTAACCCAGAATTTCATATCCAGCCAAACTAAGATTCATAAGTGAAGGAGAAATAAAATCATTTCAAGACAAGCAATTGCCGAGAGATTTTGTCACCACCAGGCCTGCCTTACAAGAGCCCCTGAGGGAAGCACTAAATATGGAAAAGAAAAACCGGAACCAGCCACCTGAAAAACATAACAAATTGTAAAGACCATCGACACTATGAAGAAACTGCATCAACTAATGGGCAAAGTAACCAGCTAGCATCATAATGACAGGATCAAATTCACACATAGCAATATTAACCTTAAATGTAAATGAGCTAAATGCCCCAATTAACATACACAGACACAAATTGGATAAGTCAAGACCCATTGGTGTGCTATATTCAGGAGACCCATCTCACATGCAAAGACAAACATAGGTTCAAAATAAAGGGATGGAAGAAAATTTACTAATCAATTGGAAAGCAAAAAATAAAAAAAGCCAGGTTTGAAATCCAAGTCTCTAATAAAACAGACTTCAAACCAACAAAGATTAAAAAAGACAAAATGGGCATTGCATAATGGTAAAGGGATCAATGCAACAAGAAGAGCTAACTGTTCTAAATATATATGCACCCAATACAGGAGCACCCAGATTTCCACTTAAACTTAGACTCCCATACAATAATAGTGGGAAATTTAACATCCTAATGTAAATATTAGACAGATTAATGAGACAAACAATTAACAAGGATATTCAGAACTTGAACTCAGCTCCGGACCAAGTGGACCTAATAGACAACTACAGAACTCTGCACCCCAAATCAACAGAATATACATTCTTCTCAGCACTACAACAAACTTATTTTAAAATTGACCACATAATTGGAAGTAAAACACTCCTCAGCAAATGCCAAAAAAAAAAAAAAAAGAAAGAAAGAAATCATAACAAACTGTCTCTCAGACTTCAGTGCAATAAAATTAGAACTCAGGATTAAGAAACTCACTCAAAATCATAAAACTACGTGAAAACTGAACAACTTTCTCCTGAATGACAACTGAGTAAATAACAAAATTAAGGCAGAAATAAATAAGTTCTTTGAAAGCAATGAGGACAAAGACACAACTTACCAGAATCTCTGTGACACAGAAAAAGCAGTGTTTAGAGTGAAATTTATAGCACTCAATCCCCACAGGAGGAAGCAGGAAAGATCTAAAATCGACACCCTAAAATCACAATTAAAAGAACTAGAGAAGTAAGAGCAAACAAGTTCCAGAGCTAGCAGAAGACAAGAAATAACTAAGATCAGAGTAGGACTGAAGGAGATAGAGACATGAAAAACCCTTCAAAAAAATCAATGAATCCAGGAGCAGGTTTTTTGAAAAGATCAACAAAATAGACCACTAACCAGACTAATAAAGAAGTAATGAGAGAAGAATAAAATAAACACAATAAAAAATGATAAAGGGGGTATCACCACTGATCTCACAGAAATATAAACTACCATCAAAGAATACTGCAAACACCTGCACACAAACTAGAAAATCTAGAAGAAATAGATAAATTCCTGGACACATACACCCTCCAAATACTAAACCGGGAAGAAGTCAAATACCTGAATAGACCAATTACAAGTTCTGAAATTGAGGCAGTAATTAATAGCCTATCAACCAAAAAAAGCCCACGACCAGATGGGTTCACAGCCGAATTCTACCAGAGGTACAAAGAGGAGCTGGTACCATTCCTTCTGAAACTATTACAAACAATAGAGAAAGAGGGAATCCTCCCTAACTCATGTTATGAGGCCAGCATCATCCTGGTACCAAAACCTGGTAGAGACACAACAAGAAAAGGAAATCTCAAGCCACTATCCCTAATGAACATCGATACAAAAATTCTCTATAAAATCCTGGTAAACCGAAACCAGCAGCACATCAAAAAGCTTATCCACGATGATCAAGTTGGCTTCATCCCTGAGATGCAAGGGCTGGTTCAACATATGCAAATCAGTAAACACAATTCATCACATAAACAGAACCAATGACAAAAACCATGATTATCTTAATAGATGCAGAAAAGATCTTTGATAAAATTCAACAGCGCTTCTTATTAAAAACCGTCAATAAACTACATATTGATGTGTGGTGGTATTTCGAAGGCCTCTGTTGTGTTCTAACATAGGAACACGACAATATCTCAAAATAATATCTCAATAAGAGCTATTTATGACACACCCACATCCAATATCATACTGAATGGGCAAAAGCTGGAAGTATTCCCTTTGAAAACCAGCACAAGACAAGGATGCCCTCTGTCACCACTGCTATTCAGTGTAGTATTGGAAGTTCTTGCCAGGGCAATCATGCAAGAGAAAGAAGCAAAAGGTATTCAAATATGAAAAGAAGTCAAATTGACTCTGTTGCAGATGACATGATTGTATATTTAGAAAACCTCATCATCTCAGCCCAAAATCTCCTTAAGCTGATCAGCAACTTCAGCAATGTCTCGGGGTACAAAATCAGTGTGCAAAAATCACAAGCATTCCTGTACACCAATAATAGAGAGCCGAATCATGAGTGAACTCCCATTCACAATTGCTACAAAGAGAATAAAATACCTAGAAATACAACTTACAAGGGATGTGAAGGACCTCTTCAAGAAGAACTACAAACCACTGCTCAAGGAAATAAGAGAGGACACAAACAAATGGAAAAACATTCTGTGCTCATGGATAGGAAGAATCAATATCATGAAAATGGCAATACTGCCCAAAGTAATTTATAGATTCAATGTTATCCCCATCAAGCGACCATAGACTTTCTTCACAGAATTGGAAAAAACTACCAATCCTAAGCAAAAAGAACAAAGCTGATGGCATCACTACCTGACTTAAACTACACTACAAGGCTACACTAAGCAAAAGAGCATGGTCCTGGTACCAAAACAGATTATATATATATATATATAATCTGTATATATATATATATAATCTGTATATATATATATATAATCTGTATATATATATATAATCTGTATATATATATATAATCTGTATATATATATATAATCTGTATATATATATATAATCACACACACACATATACATACCTATATATGTATTTTATATATATTTATATATTTTTTTATAAATAATATATATTTATATATAAGTATATAAATATATAACTATAAATATTTATATATAACTATAAATATTTATATATTATATAAATATAAATATATTTATATTTATATATTATATAAATATAAATATATTTATATTTATTTATATATTATATATAAATATATTATATATATTTATATAAATATATATTTATATTCACTTATATTTATGTTACATTTATTATATAATTTATTATATAATATATTATTTATTATATAATAATATATCAATAATATATTTATATATTATCATATATTTTCATATATATGATTATATATTATATATAATATGTAATTATATATTTTCATATATATTATTATATATAATATATAATTATATATTTTCATATATATTATTATATATAATATATAATTATATATTTTCATATGTATTATTATATATAATATATAATTATATATTTTCATATATATTATTATATATAATATATAATTATATATTTTCATATATATTATTATATATAATATATAATTATATATTTTCATATATATTATTATATATAATATATAATTATATATTTTCATATATATTATTATATATAATATATAATTATATATTTTCATATATATTATTATATATAATATATAATTATATATTTTCATATATATTATATATAATATATAATTATATATTTTCATATTATATATAATATATAATTATATATTTTCATATATATTATTATATATAATATATAATTATATATTTTCATATAAATTATTATATATAATATATAATTATATATTTTCATATAAATTATTATATATAATATATAATTATATATTTTCATATATAATTATATATAATATATAATATATAATTATATATTTTCATATATATTATTATATGTAATATATAATAATATATATTTTCATATATATTATTATATATAATATATAATTATATATTTTAATATATATTATATATTACGTATAATATATAATTATATATTTTCATATATAATTATATATTTATATAATATATAATTATATATATTATTAAAATTATATTATTTATTATATAATATTAATTATATAATTAATATATAACGTATATTTATTATATAATATTATATAAATAATATATAATATATATTTATTATATAATATATAATCTATATTTATTATATAATATTATATAAATAATATATAATCTATATTTATTATATAATATTATATAATAATATATAATATATATTATTATATAATATATAAATAGTATATAATATATATTTATTATATAATATATAAATAATATATAATATATATTTATTATATAATATATATTTATTATATAATATATAAATAATATATAATATATATTTATTATATCATATATAAATAATATATAATATATATTTATTATATCATATATAAATAATATATAATATATATTTATTATATCATATATAAATAATATATAATATATATTTATTATATCATATATAAATAATATATAATATATATTTATTATATAATATTATATAAATAATATATAATATATATTTATTATATAATATTATATAATAATATATAATATATATTATTATATAATATATAACATTAAATAATATATTATATTTATTATATAATATATATTATTAAATAATATAACATATTTATTATTAAATTATATATATTTATTATTAAATTATATATTATCTATTATATAATAAATAATTTATTAAATATTATATTTTTTATATATATTTATTTATATTATATATATATATTTTATATATATACATACATATATATATACATACATATATATATATATATATACAAAAAAAAATGGAACACAACAGAGGCCTCAGAAATAATACCACACATCTAAAACCTTCTGATCTTCGAGAAACTTGACAAAAAGAAGAAGTGGGGAAAGGATTCCCTCTTTAAAAAATGTTGGGAAAACGGGCTAGCCATTGGCAGAAAATTGAAACTGGACCCCTTTCTTACACCTTATACAAACATTAACTCAAGATAGATTAAAGACTTAAATGTAAGACCTAAAACCATAAAAACCATAGAAGAAAACCTAGGCAGTACCATTCAGGACATAGGCATGGGCAAAGACTTCATGACTAAAACACCAAACGCAATGACAACAAAAGCCAAAATGGACAAATGAGACCTAATTAAACTAAAGAGCTTCTGCCCAGCAGAAGAAACTACCATCAGGGTGAACAGGCAACCTAGAGAATGGGAGAAACATTTTGCAGTCTATCCATCTGACAAAGGGCTAACATCCAGAATCTACAAAGAACTTAAACAAATTTACAAGAAAAAAAACCATCAAAAATTGGGCAAAGGATATGAACAGACACTTCTCAAAAGAAGACATTTATGTGGCCAAAAAACTTAAAAAAAAAAGCTCCTTACCACTGGTCATTAGAGAAATGCAAATCAAAACCACAATGAGATACCGTCTCACGCCACTCAGAATGGCGATCATTAAAAAGGAAGCAATATATGCTGGAGAGGATGTGGAGAAATAGGAATGCTTTTACACTGTTGGTGGGAGTGTAAATTAGTTCAACTATTGTGGAAGACAGTGTGGCGATTCCTCAAGGATCTAGAACCAGAAATACGATTTGACCCAGCAATCCCATTATTGGGTATATACCTAAAGAATTATAAATCATTCTATAAAAACACATGCGCGCACACACACACACACACATATATGTACATTGCAGCACTGTTCATAATAGCAAAGACTTGGAACCAACCCAAATGCCCATCAATGATAGACTGGATAAAGAAAATGTGGCACATATATACCATGGAATACTATGTAGTCATAAGAAAGGAAGAGTTCATGTCCTTTGCAGGGACACAAATGAAGCTGGAAGCCATCATTCTCAGCATACTAACACAGGAACAGAAAAACCAAGCACCACATGTTCTCACTCATAAATGGGAGCTGAACAATAAGAATACATGAACACAGGGAGGGGGACATCACACACTGTGGCTTGTCAGGGGGTGGGGGGAGGCTAGGGGAGGGATAGCATTAGGAGAAATACCTAATGTAGATGACGGGTTAAGTGGTGCAGCAAACCACTATGGCACATGTATACCTACATAACAAACCTGCATGTTTTGTATATGTATCTCAGAACTGTCTAATAATAATAAACAGAATGCCCGTTTGACCCAGCAGTCTCATTACTGGGTATATATTCAAAAGAAAAAAATTATTTTACCAAAAAGAAACAAACATGCATTTCTATGTTCTTCACAACACTCTACACAATGACAGACATGGAATCAACCTTGGTGCCTATTAACAGTGGATTAGATAATGAAAATTTGGTACATATTCACCACGGGCTATGACATAGCCATGGGAAAAAAAAATCATGCCATTTGCAGCAACTTGGTTGCAGCTGGAGACCTTTATCCTAGGTAAACTAACATAGCAACAGGCAACCAAATACCACATGTTCTCACTTACAAGTGGGAGCTAAATATTAGTTACTCATAGACATAAAGATGGCAACAATAGACAATGGTGACTGCTAGAGGAAGGAGCTGGGAAGGGGGCAAGGGTTGAAAAGCTAACTATTATGTCACCTAGGTGACAAAATCATTAGTATAACAAACCTCAGCATTATGCAATATACCTTTGTAACAAACATGCACGTTTCACCTGAATTTAAACTGAAAGTTGAAACTATAAAAAGTCAAAAGGTAAAAACAAACATTTAATGAATTAAATATAAAACGAAAAAAACACTCAACTATCTGATTTTTACAAGAAACAGTTTACCTATAAAGACACACGTTGACTGAAAATAAAGAAATAGAAAAGGTATTTCATGCAAATGAAAACCAAAAAAGATCAAGAATAGCTATACTTATAGCACATAAAATAGCTTTCAAGACAAAAACCAGAAAAAGAGACAAAGAAGGCCATTACATAATAATAATAATAATAACAAAGGGGTCAATACTGCAAGAGAATATAACAGTTATTAATATATACATACCCAATGATGGAGCACCCAGATAGAGAAAGCAAATACTATTAGAGTTGGAGGGAGAGATAGACACCAATACAGTAATAACTGGAGACTTCAACACTCCACTTTCAGCATTGAACAGATCATCCAGAGAATAAATTAAATAAGAAACATTGAATTTAGTATGCACTATAGACCAAATAGATACAACAGATATTTATAGGATATTTTATCCAACAGCTGCAGAATACACATCCCTTTCCTCAGCAAATGGGATATTCTCAAGGATAGAACATATGTTAGGCTACAAAACCAGTTTTTTTAAAAAATCAAAAATTGAAATTATATCAAGTGTCTTTTCTGACTAAAATGCAATGAAACTAGAAATCAATAACAAGAGGAATTTGGAAACTATATAAACATGTAAGAATTAAACAATTTGCTTCTGAATGACCAGTGGGTTAGTTAAGAAATTAAGGATTGCTGGTAAGATGGCTCAATAGGAAGAGCTCCAGTCTGCAGCTCCCAGTGAGATTGATGCAGAAAGCAAGTGATTTCTGCATTTCCAACTGAGGTACCTGGTTCATCTCACTGGGACTGGTTGGACAGTGGGTGCAGCCCAAGGAGGGAGAGCCAAAGCAGGGTGGGGTGTCTCCTCACCTGGGAAGTACAAGGGGTCGGGGAACTCCCTCTCCTAGACAAGGGAAGCCATTAGGGACTGTATCATGCACTCTGGCCCAGATACTGTGCATCTACCACAGTCTTTCCAACCTGCAGACCAGGAGATTCCCTCTGGTGCATATGCCACCAGAGCCCTTGGTTTCCAGGACAAAACTGGACGTCCATTTGAGCAGACACCGAGCTAGCCACAGGAGTTGTTTTGTTTTGTTTTGTTTTGTTTGTTTGTTTTGTTTTTCATACCCCAGTGGTGCCTGGAATGTGAGCAAGATGGAACTGTTCACTCCCCTGGAAAGGGGGCTAAAGCCAGGGAGCCAAGTGGTCTGGCTCAGCAGGTCCCACCCCAACATAACCCAGCAAGCTAAGATCCACTGGCTTGAAATTCTTGCAGCCAGCACAGCAGTCCCAGCTTGACCTGGGATGTTGGAGCTTGGTGGGGGGAGGGGCGTCCACCATTGCTGAGGCTTGAGTAGGCTGTTTTCCCCTTACAGTGTAAACAAAGCCACTGGGAAGTTCGAACTGGGTGGAGCCCACCACAGCTCAGCAAAACCAGGCTGCCTCTCTAGATTCCCTTTCCTCTGGGCAGGGCATCTCTGAAAAAAAGGCAGCAACCCCACTCAGAGACTTATAGATAAAACCCCCACCTCCCTGGGACAGAACACCTGGGGGAAGGGGCGGCTGTGGGTGCAGCCTCAGCAGACTTATCCGTCCTTGCCTGGCAGCTCTGAAGGGAGAAGCACATCTCTAGCACAGTGTTTGAACTCTGATAAGGGACAGACTGCCTCCTCAAGTGGGTCCCCGATCCACAATTATCCTGACTGGGAAACACTTCCCAGTAGGGTCCAACAGACACCTCATACAGGAGAGCCCTGGCTGGCATCTGGCAGGTGCCCCTCTGGGAAAAAGCTAACAGAGGAAGGAACAGGCAGCAATCTTTGCTGTACTGTAGCATCTGCCAGTGATACCCAGGAAAACAGGGTCTGGGGTGAACCTCCAGCAAACTCCAGCAGACCTGCAGCAGAGGATCCTGACTGTTAGCAGGAAAACTAACAAACAGAAAGGAATAGTGTCAACATCAACCAAAAGGACTTCCACTCAGAGACCCAATCAGAAGGTCACCGACTACAAAAACCAAAGGTAGCTAAATCCATGAAGATGGGGAGAAACTAGTGCAAAAAAGCTTAAAATTCGAAAAACCAGAACACCTCTTCTCCTCTAAAGGATCACAACTCCTCACCAGCAAGGGAATGAAACTGGACGGAGAAAGAATTTGACGAATCGACAGAAGTAGGCTTCAGAAGGTGGGTAATAACAAACTCCTCCGAGCTAAAGGAGCATGTTCTAACCCAATGCAAGGAAGCTAAGAACTTTAAAAAAGATTAGATGAATTGCTAACTACAATAACCAGTTTAGAGAGGAACATAAATGACCTGATGGAGCTGGAAAACGCAGCACAAGAACTTCACAAAGCATACACAAGTATCAATAGCCGAATCGATCAAGTGGAAGAAAGTATATCAGAGATTGAAGATCATTTCAATGAAATAAAGTGAGAAGAAAATATTAGAAAAAAAAGAGTGAAAAGAAACAAAGCCTACAAAATATGGGACTATGTGAAAAGACCCAATCTACGCCTGATTGGTGTACCTGAAAGTGACAAGGAAAATGGAACCAAGTTGGAAAACACACTTCAGGACATTATCCAGGAAAACTTCCCCAACCTAGCAAGACAGGCCAACATTCAAATTCAGGAAATACACAGAACACCACAAAGGTACTCCTGGAGAAGAGCAACCCCAAGTCACATAATTGTCAGATTCACTGAGGTTGAAATGAATGAAAAAATTTCTAGGGCAGCCAGAGAAAGGTCAGGTTACCCACAAAGGGAAGCCCATCAGACTAACAGCAGATCTCTCAGCAGAAACCTTACAAGGCAGAAGAGAGTGGGGGCCAATATTCAACATTCTTAAGGAAGAGAATTTTCAACCCAGAATTTTATATCCAGTGAAACTAAGCTTCATAAGTGAAGGAGAAATAAAATCCTTTACAGACAACAAATGTTGAGAGATTTTGTCACCACCAGGCCTGGCTTACAAGAGCTCCTGAAGGAAGCACTAAAAATGGAAAAGAAAAGCCAGAACCAGCCACTGCAAAAACATACCAAATTGTAAAGATCATCAATGCTATGAAGAAACTATATCAACTAATGGGCAAAACAACCAGCTAGCATCACAATTACAGGATCAAATTCACACATAACAATATTAACCTTAAATGGAAACAGGCTAAATGCCCCAATTAAAAGACACAGACTGGCAAATTGGATAAAGAGTCAAGACCCATTGGTTTGCTGTATTCAGAAGACCTGTCTCACATGCAAAGACACACATAGGTTCAAAATAAAGGGATGGGGGAATATTTACCAAGCAAATGGAAAGAAAAAAAAAAAAGCAGGGGTTGCAGTGCTAGTCTCTGATAAAACAGGCTTTAAATCAATGAAGATAAAAAGAGACAAAGAAGGGCATTACATAATGGTAAATGGATCAATTCAACAAGAAGAACTAACAATCCTAAATATATATGAACCCAATACAGGAGAACCCAGATTTATAAAACAAGTTCTTAGAGACCTACAAAGAGACATGGAATCTCTCACAATAATAGCGGGAGACTTTAACTCCCCACTTTCAATATTAGATCAACGAGACAGGTAATTAACAAGGATTTTCAGGACTTGAACTCAGCTCTGGACCAAGTGGCCCTAACAGACATCTACAGAACTCTCCACCCCAAATCAACAGAATATACATTCTTCTCAGCACCTCATTGCACTTATTCTAAAATTGACCACATAATTGTAAGTGGTCCTTCCAATTGAAACACTCCTCAACAAATGCAAAAGAATGGAAATCATAACACACAGTCTCTCAGACCACAATGCAATCAAATTAGAACTCAGGATAAAGAAACTAACTCAAAACTGCAAAATTACATGGAAACTGAACAACCTGCTCCTGAATGACTAAATAACTTCAAAAGCTAGCAGAAGACAAGAAATAACTAAGGTCAGAGCAGAACTGAAGGAGATAGAGACACGAAAAACCCTTCAAAAGAATCAATGAATTTAGGAGCTAGTTTTTTAAAAAGATAGTAAAATAGATAGACTGCTAGCCAGACTAATAAGAAAAGAGAGAAGCATCAAACAGATGCAATAAAAAAATGATAAAGGGGATATCACCACCAATCCTACAGAAATACCAACTACCATCAGAGAATACTACAAACACCTCTATGCAAATAACCTAGGAAATCTAGAAGAAATGGATAACTTCCTGAAAACATACACTCTCCCAAGACTAAACCAGGAAGAAGTCGAATCCCTGAGTAGACCAATAACAGGTTCTGAAATTGAGGCAGTAATTAATAGCCTACCAACCAAAAAAGCCCCCGGGACCAGACAGATTCACAGCTGAATTCTACAAGATGTACAAAGAGGAACCGGTACCATTCCTTCTGAAACTATTCAAAACAATTGAAAAAGAAGGAATCCCCCTAACTCATTTTAGAAGCCCAGCATCATCCTCATACAAAAACCTGGCAGAGACACAACAAAAAAAGAAAATTTCAGGCCAATATTTCTGATGAACATGGATGTGAAAATCCTCAATAAAATACTGCAAACCAAATCCAGCAGCACATGAAAAAGCTTATCCACGATGATCAAGTTGGCTTCATCCCTGGGATGCAGGGCTGGTTCAACATACACAAATCAGTAAACATAATGCATCACATAAACAGAACCAATGAGAAAAAACACATGATTATCTGAATAGATGCAGTAAAGGCCTTCGATAAAATTCAACAACCTTTCATGCTAAAAACTCTCAGTAAACTAGGTATTGGTGGAACATATCTCAAAATATTAAGAGCTATTTATGAAAAACCCACAGCCAATATCATACTGAATGGGTAAAAACTGGAAGCATTTCCTTTGAAAATCAGCACAAGACAGGGATGCCCTCTCTCACCACTCCTATTCAACATAGTATTGGAAGTTCTCGCTAGGTCAGTCACGAGAAAGAAAGAAAGTGTATACATTTGGAAAAGAGGAAGTCAAATTGTCTCTGTTTGCCAATGACATGATTGTATATTTAGAAAACCCCATAGTCTCAGCCCAAAATCTCCTTAAGCTGATAAGCAACTTCAGCAAAGTCTCAGGGTACAAAATCAATGTGCAAAAATCACAAGCATTCCTATACACCAATAACAGACAAACAGAGAACCAAATCATGAGTGAACTCTCATTCACAATCACTACAAACAGGATAAAATACCTAGGAATACAACTTACAAGGGATGTGAAGGACCTGTTCAAGGAGAACTACAAGCCACTGCTCAAGGAAATAAGAGAGGAAATAAACAAATGGAAAAAATTCTATGTTCATGGATAGGAAGAATTAATATTGTGAAAATGCCCATGCTGTTCAAAGTAATTTATAGATTCAGTGCTATTCCCATTAAGCTCCCACTGACTTTCTTAACAGAATTGGAAGAAGCTACTTTAAATTCCATATGGAAAGAAAAAAGAACCTGCATATCCAAGACAATCCTAACCAAAAAGAATAAAGCTGGAGGCATCACACTACCTGACTTCAAACAATACTACAGGGCTACAGTAGAAAAAAAAAACAGCTTGCTACTGGTCCCAAAACAGATATATAGAACAATGGAACAGAATAGAGTCCTCAGAAATAACACCATACATCTATAACCATCCGATCTTCGACAAACCTGACAAATACAAGCAATGGTGAAAGGATTCCCTATTTATTTATTTATTTATTTATTTAATTTTTTATTATTTTATTTTATTATTATTATACTTTAAGTTTTAGGGTACATGTGCGCAATGTGCAGGTTAGTTACATATGTATACATGTGCCATGCTGGTGTGCTGCACCCATTAACTCGTCATTTAGCATTAGGTATATCTCCTAAAGCTATCCCTCCCAACTCCCCCCACCCCACAACAGTCCCCAGAGTGTGATGTTCCCCTTCCTGTGTCCATGTGTTCTCATTGTTCAATTCCCACCTATGAGTGAGAATATGCGGTGTTTGGTTTTTTGTCCCTGCGATAGTTTACTGAGAATGATGATTTCCAGCTTCATCCATGTCCCTACGAAGGACATGAACTCATCATTTTTTATGGCTGCATAGTATTCCATGGTGTATATGTGCCACATTTTCTTAATCCAGAGTATCATTGTTGGACATTTGGGTTGGTTCCAAGTCTTTGCTATTGTGAATAGTGCCACAATAAACATACATGTGCATGTGTCTTTATAGCAGCATGATTTATAGTCCTTTGGGTATATACCCAGTAATGGTATGGCTGGGTCAAATGGTATTTCTAGTTCTAGATCCCTGAGGAATCGCCACACTGACTTCCACAATGGTTGAACTAGTTTACAGTCCCACCAACAGTGTAAAAGTGTTCCTATTTCTCCACATCCTCTCCAGCACCTGTTGTTTCCTGACTTTTTAATGATTGCCATTCTAACTGGTATGAGATGGTATCTCATTGTGGTTTTGATTTGCATTTCTCTGATGGCTAGTGTTGGTGAGCATTTTTTCATGTGTCTGTTGGCTGCATAAATGTCTTCTTTTGAGAAGTGTCTGTTCATGTCCTTCACCCACTTTGTGATGGGGTTGTTTGTTTTTTTCTTGTAAATTTGTTTGAGTTCATTATAGATTCTGGATATTAGCCCTTTGTCAAATGAGTAGTTTGCGAAAATTTTCTCCCATTTTGTAGGTTGCCTGTTCACTCTGATGGTAGTTTCTTTTGCTGTGCAGAAGCTCTTTAATTAGATCCCATTTGTCAATTTTGGCTTTTGTTGCCATTGCTTTTTGGTGTTTTAGACATGAAGTCCTTGCCCATGCTTATGTCCTGAATGGTATTGCCTAGGTTTTCTTCTAGGGTTTTTATGGTTTTAGGTCTAACATTTAAGTCTTTAATCCATCTTGAATTAATTTTGGTATCAGGTATAAGGAAGGGATCCAGTTTCAGCTTTCTACATATGGCTCGCCAGTTTTCCCAGCACCATTTATCAAATAGGGAATCCTTTCCTCATTTCTTGTTTTTGTCAGGTTTGTCAAAGATCAGATGGTTGTAGATGTGTGGTATTATTTCTGAGGGCTCTGTTCTGTTCCATTGGTCCATATCTCTGTTTTGGTACCAGTACCATGCTGTTTTGTTTACTGTAGTCTTGTAGTATAGTTTGAAGTCAGGTAGCGTGATGCCTCCAGCTTTGTTCTTTTTGCTTAGGATTGATTTGGCAATGCAGGCTCTTTTTTGGTTCCATATGAACTTTAAAGTGGTTTTTCCAATTCTGTGAAGAAAGTCATTGGTAGCTTGATGGGGATAGCATTGAATCTATAAATTACCTGGGGCAGTATGGCCATTTTCATGATATTGATTCTTCCTACCCATGAGCAGGGAATGTTCTTCCATTTGTTTGTATCCTCTTTTATTTCATTGAGCAGTGGTTTGTAGTTCTCCTTGAAGAGGTCCTTCATGTCCCTTGTAAGTTGGATTCCTAAGTATTTTATTCTCTTTGAAGCAATTGTGAATGGGAGTTCACTCATGATTTGGCTCTCTGTTTGTCTGTTATTGGTGCATAAGAATGCTTGTGATTTTTGTACATTGATTTTGTATCCTGAGACTTTGCTGAAGTTGCTTATCAGCTTAAGGAGATTTTGGGCTGAGACAATGGGGTTTTCTAGATATACAATCATGTCATCTGCAAACAGGGACAATTTGACTTCCTCAGGATTCCCTATTTAATATGTGGTTTTGGGAAAACTGGGTAGCCATATGCAGAAAGCTGAAAATGGATTCCTTCCTTATACCTTATCTAAACATTAACTCAAGATGGATTAAAGACTTAAGTGTAAGATCTAAAACCATAAAAACCCTAGAAGAAAACCTAGGCAATACCATTCAGGACATAGGCATGGGCAAATACTTCGTGACTAAAACGCCAAAAGCAATGGCAACAAAAGCCAAAATTGACAGATGGGATCTAATTAAACTAAAGGGCTTCTGCACAGCAAAAGAAACTATCATCAGAGTGAACAGGCAACCTACAGAATCGGAGAAAATATTTGCAATCTATCCGTCTGACAAAGGGCTAATATCCAGAATCTACAAAGAACTTAAATAAATTTACAAGAAAAATCAACCCAATTGAAAAGTGGGAGAAGGACATGAACAAACACTTCTCAAAATAAGACATTTATGCAGCCAACAAACATATAAAAAAAACCTCATCATCACTGGTCATTAGAGAAATGCAAATGAAAACCACAATGAATACCATCTTTCTCCAGTTAGAATGGTGATCATTAAAAAATCAGGAAACAACAAATGCTAGAGAAGATGTGGAGAAACAGCAAAGCTTTTACACTGTTGGAAGTGTAAATTGGTACAACTGTTGTGGAAGACAGTATGGAAATTCCTCAAGGATCTAGAACTAGAAATACCATTTGACCCAGCAATATCATTACTGGGTATATAACCAAAGAATTATAAATCATTCTACTATAAAGACACATGCACACGTATGTTTATTGTGGCACTGTTCACAATAGCAAAAACATTGAACCAACCCAAATGCCCATCAATCATAGACTGGATAAGGAAATTCTGGCACATATACACCATGGAATACTATGCAGCCATAAAAAAGGAGGAGTTCATGTCCTTTGCAGGGACATGGGTGAAGCTGGAAACCATCATTCTCAGCAAACTAACACAAGATCAGAAAACCCAACACTGCATGTTCTCCCTCATAAGTGGTAGTTGAACAATGAGAACATCAACACAGGGAGGGGAACATCACCCACCGGGGCCTGTTGGGGGGTGGGGGGCTAGGGGAGGGATAGCATTAGGAGAAATACCTAATATAGATGACACATTGATGGGTGCAGCAAACCCCTATGGCACGTGTATACCTATGTAACAAACCTGCATGTCCTGCACATGTACTCCAGAACTTAAAATATAATTTAAAAAAGAAAAGAAATTATGAAGAAAATTTAACAATTTATTGAAACAAATGAAAATGGAAATAACATACCAAACTTATGGGATACAGCAAAAGCAATAAGAGGAAAGTTTATAGCAATGAGTGTCTCCATCAAAAGAAGTAGACCATCTTTAAACAAATAAAGATGAATCTTAAATATCTATAAAGCAAGAGGAAACAAAATAAAAAATTAGTAGAAAAAAGGTAGTAAAGATCAAAGCATAAATAAAATTTATAAGAAAAAATGTACAAAAATCAATTAAATAAAAAGTTCACTTTCTAAAAAGATAAAACAAAATCAGTAAGCCTTTAGTACTCTAAAAAAAAGAGAGATGACCCAAATACATAAAATCACAAACAAAAGAGAAGATATTACAATGGATACTGAAGAAATTCAAAGGATCATTAAAGGCTACTATAACTACTATGAGCAACTGTAAGACAATAAATTGGAAAACCTAGAATAGCCAAATTACTAGATGCATTAAACCTATCAAGATTTAACTATGAAGAAATCAAAAACCTTAGTAGACAAATAACAAGTAATAAGATCAAAACTTTAATAAAAACTCTCTAAGCAAAGTCTGCAAATTAATGGATTCACTTATGCATTTTACTAAACATTTAAAGAAGAACTAATATCAATATTACTCAAAGTATTGTGAAAAATAGAGGAGAAAGAAATACTTCCAAACACATTTCACAAGGCCAGTATTATCTTGATACCAAAACCAGACTAAGAGACATCAAAACAAACAAAAAAACTACAGGCCAATTTATCTGCAATGAACATTGATATAAAAATCTTCAGCAAAATGCCAGCAAATTGATATCAGCAACATATTGTGAACATTATTTATCAAGACTAAGTGGGATTTGTTCCAGGAATGCAAGAGTGGTTCAACATACATAAATCAATCAATGTGATACATTGTATCAACAGAGTGAAAGACAAAAGCCATATGATTATTTCCATAGATACTGAGATAGCATTTGATAAAATTCTACATCCCCTTATAATAAAATCCCTTAAAACACTGGGTATAGAATGAACATATGTCAACACAATAGAAGCCATATATGTCAGGCACTCAGCTAATATTATACTTAGCGGGAAAAAATGGAAAGTCTTTCCTCTAAGATTGGGAACATGACAAGGATGCTAACTTTCACCACTCTTATTCAACGTAGATAGTGCAGGAAGTCCTAGCTAGAGAAATCAGACAAGAGAAAGAAACAAAGGGTATCCAAATTCAAAAGAAAAAATTCAAATTATCCTGTTTGCAGATGATATGATCTTAATTTTGGAAAAACCTAAAGACTCCACCAAAAAACGATTAGTAAAGTTTCAGGATACAAAATCAATATACAACAATCAGTAGCATTTTTTTTTTTTTAGATGGAGTCTCACTCTGTTGCCCAAGTTGGAGTTCAGTGGTGTGATCTTGGTTCACTGCAACCTCTGCCTCCCACATTCAAGTGATTCTCGTGCCTCAGCCTCCCAAGTAGCTGGGACTACTGGCATGCACCACCATGCCCGGCTAATTTTGTATTTTTCTAGTATAGACGGGGTTTCACCACATTGGTCAGGCTGGTCTCAAACTCCTGACCTCAGGTGATCTGCCTCCTCGGCCTCCCAAAGTGTTGGGATTATAGGCATGACCGCTGCGCCCAGCCGATCAGTAGCATTTCTACATGCCAACAATGAATAATCTAAAAAAAAAAAAAATAGCCTCAAGAAATAAAATAACTCGAAATAAACCAAAAATGTGAAAGATCTCTATAATAAAAACTATAAATATTGATGAAAGAAATTGAAGAGGATACACACAGAAAGGAAAGATATTCCATGATCATGGATTGTAGAATAAATATTGTAAAAATGTACATACTACCCAAAGCAATTTATAAAGTCTATGCAATCCCTATCATCACAAACTGGTGCCTGTCAGAAGATGCGATGAGGGGAGGGAGAGTATTAGGAAAAATAGCTAATGCATGCTGGGCTTAATACCTAGGTGATGGGTTGATAGGTGCAGCAAACCACTATGGCACACGTCTACCTATGTAAAAAACCTGCACATCCTGCACAGAACTGGAAATAAAAAATTAAAAATTAAAAAAAAAAAACTATGGTGGTCAGAATGCAATGGCATGACATACTAAAAATGCTGAGAGAAAAAACCATCAATCAAGAATTCTACACTCAGCAAAAGTATTCTTTGAAAACGAGGGAGAAATCAAGACATTTTCAAATAAACACAAAAACTGAGGTAATTCATTAGTAGCAAATTTGCTCTTCAAAAACTACTCAAGGAAGTCTTTTGGGCTAAAATGAAAGGTCAATAGACTGAACTTGAAACCCCATGAAGAAATAAGGAACACTGGTAAACATAACTATATAGGTAAATAGAAAGCACAAATTTCTTTTTGTTTGTAACTCTTTATCTGATTTGAAATATAACTTTATAAAGTAATTATAAAAAATACAATAAAATACCAATGACAGTGTTCATTGAAATAAAAAAAAATCCTAAGTTATATATGGAATCACGAAAGACCCAAAACAGCCAAAGCCACAAAAACAACAACAAAAAGAAAACTTCAGGTATCACATTACCTGACTTCAAATAATATTATACAGCTGTAGTAATCAAAACATCATGGTACTGGAATAAAAACAGGCACATAGACCAATAAAACAGAATAGAGAACTAAGAAATAAATCTATAACATATATAGTGAACTCATTTTTTATAAAGGTGCCAAGAACATACATTGGGGAAAGAACATTCTCTTCAATAAAAGGTGATAGAAAAACTGAATTTTCATATGCAAAATAATGATACTAGACCCCTATTTCTCACCATATGCAAAAATCAAATCAAAATTCATTAAATCTAAAACCTGGAAATATAAAACTACTAAAAACGAACATTGGAAATATTCTCCAAGACACTGTTCTGAGCAAAGATTTCTTGAGTAATACCTCAAAAGCACAGCCAACCAAAGCAAAAATAGATAAAAAGATTAATATCAAGTTACAATGCTTCTGCACAGCAAAGGAAATATTCAATTAAGTGAAGAGACAACTCACAGGATTGGAGATAATATTTGCAAACTATCCATCTGACAAGGGATTAATTATAAAATATGTAAGGAGCTCAAACTACTCGATACAAAAAAACCTAATAATCTGATTTTAGAAATGGGCAAAAGATCTGAATAGCTATTTCTCAAAAGAAGATATAAAAATGGCAAACAAGTATATGAAAAGGTGCTCAACATTATTGATCATCAGAAAAATGCAAATTAAAACTATAATGAGGTGTCATCTCACCCCAGTTAAAATAGTTTTTATCCAAAAGGTGAGCAATAATGAATGCTGGCAAGGATGTGGATAAAAGACAACCCTCATACGCTGTTGATGGAAATGTAAATTTGTGCAACTACTATGGAGAAAAATATGGAGATTTTTAAAAAAAACTAAAAATTGAACTCCCATATAATCCAGCAATCCTACTACTAGATATATATCCAAATGTTAGGAAATCAGTATATCAAAAAGATATCTGCACTCCCATATTTATGTTCAGCAATATTCATAATAGTCAAGATATGAAATAAACTTAAGTGTTCAACTGCCAAATAAAGAAAATGTGGTACAAATATACAATGGAGTATTATCAATCCATAGAAAATAATGAGATCCTGTAATTTGCAACAACATGGATGGAACTGGAGGACATTATGTTAAGTAAAATAAGCCAGGTACAGAAAGATAAACATTTCATGTTCTCACCTACTCATAGGAGATAAAAATTAAAACAATTGAACTCATGGATAAAGAAAGAGTAGAATGATGGTCAGCAGAGGCTAGGAGGGGTAGCGTCTGTGTGGGGGGCATGTGGTGATGATTAATATGTACAAAAATACAGTTTGATATAATGAATAAGATCTAGTATTTTATAGCACAACATGATGACTACAATCAACAATAATGTACTGTACATTTAAAAGTAACAAAAAAAGTATAATTTGACTATTTGTAACACAAAAGATAAATGCTTGAGCCAATGGATAACCCATTTACCCTGATGTAATTAGTACACACTGTATGACTATATCATGTATCCTATACATATATATACTTACCATATACCCATAAAATTAAAAATTAAAAAAAGAAACTTATAAATACATTTTTATACCTTTTGCTGTGGTTCCCACATCTGAGCATACCTTCTAAGAGAGTAATTTTAAAAAGTACAAATGCTGTAGGTGTATATGTAGATATTAAAATGTTATTTATAATGGCAAAGATTGGGGTCATCTGTGACACTGGCAACAGAGGAATGTTGGATACATTTTAATACTGTGTTTCTCCATGCACCATCTAACCAAACACTTAGTGTATATCTGTAACAGACAAAGATATTTTTTAAATCACAACTTCAATATCTTATCAAAACCAATACAATAAAGGTCATTTAGAAATATCTTTAAATCACTTAATACAAGTCTGTTTTAAATTTTCCTTAATTTTCACAGAAATATCTGTTTAAATCAGGTTCCAAACAAATTTTATGCATTATTGTTTAATATCCCCCTAAAGTCTTTTTAACTTTTAACAAGCTAAAACTGACCCTGTATTCTGTATCGTTTTCTTCCAAATGCCAGTTAGTTATTCAAAAATCTGGGTCATTTGTCATATAGAATTTCCCACATTGTATTTGGCTAACTCTTTGTGGTTATCATTTAACATGTTTTTCTAAGCTTCATTTTTTCCTGAAAACTGGCAGTTGGATCTAAAGCCTTAGCAAGATAAAAGCTTATTATTATTATTTTTTTACTCCAGCAAGAGCAAGGCAGAGATGGTACTGTATGCTTCATATTGCATTATATCAAAAGAAATGAAATATTTTCTTTTCCTACCTTTAGTAACAGTAGATTTCAATGATGAAAGTGGAATTCATTTTTAAATGAAGGTCCCAATTAGCTTTCATCTGAAGGGTTAAACAGCCATTCATGACTAATACCTAGATCCACTGTTTCTTTATTTTCTTTCTATTTTTGTTGAGGTAGGGTCTTTCTTTTGCCCAGGCTGGTCTCAAACTCATAGTCTCAAGTGATCCTTTCACTTCTGCTTCCCAACTGGCTGGAATTACAGGTGTAAGCCATGCCTCCAGCTATTATTTCATTAGGAAAAAAATTATATAACAATCTTACTTCATTTATAAGCTGTATTTATACTACAAAGAATAACTTTTTATTATTCTCTTTCTGGTTTCACTGAAATACAATCCACGCAGAGTAAATACATGATATTTTCCAATTTTCAGAATAATGAGTTAGTTCCTGTGAAAACCCCAACTTTGATGAGAATTTTTAAAAGATCATGAACACATGTATTTTTAATGTTTTGATGTGTTTCAATTCATTGAAGTTATTACTATTTAGATAGTTATGTTTGGCCCCTATTTTTGGCCAGTAAGCTTCCCTAAAAGTCAATTTGTATGTCCTTCTGACATTACCCCACACTTTGCATATCTCTTGGCTTTTAGAGACAACAAGATAACCACACTCATTTTGGAGTTGTCTTGCCCTAGAGAGGAACTACAGTCTCTTTCATTCCAAATTTTGGCAGAAGAAGAAGAGTGTTTCATACTGGTGTGTCTGCAGGCTAGGAAGAGGGAAGAGTCTGAAATTGGGAGTAGGGGGAATGGAGATAATGCTCCTTCTGTGGATTTCAATAAGAACTGGCTCTGTAGGGGGTTTCTCTCTGTGTATTTCTTTCTGTTATTTTTTGAAAGCCTAAGGGCTTTCATCACTGACTTCTTGAATGATTATGTCACATTTATCTCACTACTTTCTAGTTTGTTTTTACTAAATTTGAAAAATAAAGTTTGGAGCCAGAAAGCACTTTTAGCCAAGAGTCAAAACACTTGGATTCTCAGAACCTGCTAACTATGTGGCCATAGACAAAACCTAAAAATGCTCTGGCTCTCATTTTTTTTTCATTTACAAAATGAGGATTATAATAAGTGCCAACTTAACTTTCAGAAAAGATGTGCAAATATTACTAAAGCAAAAGTGGGATGTCTTCAAAAAACACAAGTGTACAATTGTGTATTGCTTAATGACAGGGATACACTTTAAGGAATACATTGTTAGGTGATTTCATTGCTGTGCAAACATTATAGAGTGTACTTTACGTAAACTGAGATGGTACAGCCTACCACATACTTAGGCTATATAACATAGCCGATTGCTCCCAGGCCACAAACCTGTATAGCATGTTGCTGCACTGACCAGTGTAGGCAATTTTATTTATTTATTTATTTATTTATTTGACAAGAATGAGACTTTAATCAGTTTTAAGTGGAGTTTATAGTGTATGCAATTTTAACACAATGTTAAATATCTGTGTATCTAAACATATCTAGATGGAGAGGACAGAGCAAGATGGCCTAATAGAAGCCTTCATTGATCATCCCTCCCATAGGAACACCAATATAACATCTACACAAAAAAGCACATACACAAGAATGAAAAATTATGTGAGGTATCACAATACCTGGTTTTAACTTCATATCACTAAAAGAGGCACTGAAGAGGGTAGGGAAAACAGCCTTAAATTACTGATGCCACCCTTCTTCCATACTCCCAACAGTGGCCATGTGGCAAGGAGAATCTATGTGTTTGGGTGAGGGAGAGTGTGGTGAATGAAGTGCTGCTCTGTCACAGCAGAAAGGAAAACATGGCTAAACTCAGCTGATGCCTACACATGGAGGGGGGATCGTTTAGACCAGCTTTAGCCAGAGGGGAGTTAGCCATCCCAGTGGTTGAATTTGAGTTTTGGGAAGCCTTGCCCATGAGGGCTAAGGGGCTCTGGGGTCCTAAATACGCTTGAAATGCAGTCTAGGCTACAAGGACTTGCAATTTCTAAAAAGTCCTAGCAGCATACTGGGCTCAGAGCTAGTGGATATGGGACATCAGCCAGGGTGACTAAGGGAATGCTTGTGCCTCTCCCTCGACAAACCCAGGCAGCACAGCTTGCAGCAACAAAAATGACTCCTTTATTTTACTTGAGGAGAGGAGGAGGGAAAGAAGAGTAAGGGGGACTTTGTCTTGCATCTTGGTTACCAGGTCAGTCATATTAGGATAGGGCACTGGGAAGAGTCATGAGTCCCCCATTCCAGGCCCTAGCTCCTGAACAACATATCTAGACATACCCTAGACCAGATGAGAACTTGCTACCTTAAGGAAAGAAGCCAGTCTGGCAGGATTAATCACCTGCTGACAAAAATGCCCTTGGGCCTTGAAGAACCAGCAGCAATACCTACATAGTTAGTCATGGGCCTTGGGTGAGTCTCTGAGATATGCTGGCTTCAGGCACCAGCTTGGCCACATTGGGTAGAGCACAAAGAGGGCTATTGACTTCCCTGATTCTAGGCCTTGGCTCTTGGGTGGCATTTCTCAACATGTTCTGGGCCAAAGGGGAACCCATTGCCCTGAAGGGTGAGTCGCAGGCCTGATGGCTTCACCACAGGCTGACTGAAGAGCCCTTGTGGTCTTTAAGTGAATATCTGTGATAGCCTGGTAGTACCTCTCTTGAGTCTCTGGTGGTGGTGGCCACGAGGAAAGGCTCCTCTGCCTGGGGAAAAGGGAGGGAAGAGTAGGAAAAATATTATCTCATGGTTTGAGTGACACCTTAGCCTCAATACAATAGAACACCAGGCAGATTTCTAAGATCTTTGATTCCAGTCCCTGGCTTCCAGACAGTACCTGTGGACCCACCCGGGGACTGAGGAAACTCACTAACCTGATGAAAAAGACAAGCCTGGTTGGTTTTGTTACCTGCTGATTATAGAGTCCTAGGGCCTTGAGCAAACAGAAGCAGTAGCCAGGTAGTGGTTACACTGGGCTTTGGGTGAGACCAAGTGCTGTGTTGGCTTCAGTTCTGACCCAGTGCAGTCTCAGTGGTAGTGGCCACAGAGGTGTTTATGTCTAGCTTCAGGCAGCTCAGCAGATAGAGAGAGACTCTGTTTGTTTGGGAGAAATTAAAGGAAGAGAACAAGAGTTTCTGTTTCTGTCACTTTCAACTTTTCCCCACTAAGTATAATGTTGACTATGAGTTTATCATAGATGGCTTTATTACCTTAAAGTATGTCCCTTCTATGCCGATTTTACAGAAGGTTTTAATCATAAAACGATGCTGGATTTTGTCAAATGCTTTTTATGCAGCTCTATTGAGGTAATCATATGATTTTTGTTTTTAATTCTGTTTATGTGGTGTATCACATTTATTGACTTGCATATGTTAAACCATGCCTGCATTTCTGGTATGAAACCCACTTGATCATGGTGGATAATTTTTTTGATATGCTATTTGAATACTCGCAGTCAACTGATCTTCAAAAGAGCAAAAAAAAAAAAAAAAAAACAACAACAAAACAAACAAACAAAAAAAACATAAACTGGGAAAAGGCCCCCCTATTCAACAAATGATGCTGAGATAACTGGCAAGCCACGTGTGGAAGAATAAAATTGGATCCTTATGTCTCACCTTATACAAAAATCAACTCAAGATGGATCAAAGACTTAAACCTAAGACCTGAAAACATAAAATTTCTAGAAGATATCAGAAAAACTCTTCTAGACATTGGCTTAGGCAAAGAGTTTATGACGAAGAACCCAAAAACAAATGCAACAAAGATAAATAGATGGGAGTTAATTAAACTAAAAAGCTTCTGCACAGCAAAAGAAATAACAAGCAGAGAAAATAAACAACCCACAGAGTGGGAGAGAATTTTCACAAACTATGCATTAAAAAAGGACTAATTACCAGAATCTACAAGGAACTCAAACAAGTCAGCAAAAAAACCCAAATAATCCCATCAAAAATTGGGATAAGGACATGAATAGATACTCTCAAAAGAAGATATACAAATCACCAAAAAGTATATGGGAAATGCTTAACATCACTCTTTATCAGGGAAGTACAAATCAAAACCACAATGAGATATCACCTTACTCCTGTAAGAATGGCCATAATCAAAAAATTAAAAAATAATAGATGTTGGCATGGATGTGGAGAAAAGGGAATGCTTTTACACTGCTGGTGGGAATGTGAACTAGCACAACCAATATGGAAAACAGTATGGAGACTTCTTAAAGAACTAAAAGTAGATCTACCATTTGATCCAGCAATTTCACTACTGGATATCTACCCAGAGGAAAATAAGTCATTATATAAAAAAGACACTTGCATATGCATGTTTATAGTGGCACAATTCACAATTGTAAAAATATGAAACCAGCCCAAATGCCTATCAATCAACAAGTGGATAAAGAAAATATGATACACACACACACACACACACACACACCATGGAATACTACTCAACCATAAAAAAGAATGAGATAATGACATTTGCAGCAATCTGGATGGAGTTGGAGACCATTATTCTAAGTGAGGTAACTTAAAAATAGAAAACCAACATTGTGTGTTCTCACTTGTGAATGAGAGCTAAGTTATGAGGACACAAAGGTATAAGAATTATAAAATGAACTCTGGGGACTCGGGGGGAAGAGTGGAGGGGGAAAGGTTAAAAGACTACACATTTAGTACAGTGTACACTGCTTGGGTAATAGGTGCACCAAAATCTCAGAAACCACCATAAAGAAATTATCCATGTAACCAAACACCACATGTTCCCCCAAACTATTGAGATTTTTAAAAAAGACAAAAAAAATTAAGATAACACAGAAAAGGAATTCATAATTCAATTAGATATATTTAACAAAGAGATTGAAATCATTAAAAAGAATCAAGCAAAAATTCTGGAGTTGTAAAATGCAACTGACATACTGAAGGCATCAGAATCCCTTATTGGCAGAATTGATTAAGCAGAATAAATAATTAGTGACCTTGAAGAGAGGGTATTTGAAAATACACAGTCAGAGGAGATTAAAAAAAATAAGAATATAGCACACTTACAAGATCTAGAAAATTCTCTCAAAAGATCAAATCTTAGAGTTATTGGCCTTAACAATTTATGGGTTAACCCATTATGGGAAGGGGTAGAGAAAGAGATAGGGGTAGAAAGTTTTTTCAAAGAGATAACAGAGAACTTCCCAAACTGAAGAAAATATATTAACATTCAAGCACAAGAAGTTTATAGAACACTAAGCAGATTTAACTCAAAGAAGACTACCTCAAGACATTTAATAATCAAACTCCCAAAGGTCAAGGATAAAGAAGGATTCTAAAAGCAACAAAATGAAAGAAACAAATAACTCACAAAGGAGCTGCAATATGTCTGGAAAGTTTAAAGGCCAGGCAAGAGTGGCATGACATATTTAACTTGCTGAGGGAAACATCTCTTAACACAGAATGTATCTGGCAAAAATATCCTTCAATCATGAAGGAGAAATAAAGACTTCCTGACAAACAAAATCTGAGGTATTTTATCAACACCAGACTTGTCCTATGAGAAACACTAAAAGGAGTTCTTCAATCAAAAAGTAAAGAACATTAATGAGCAATAAGAAATTATCTGAAAGTATAAAGTTCACTGTAAATAGTAAGTACTCAGGAAAACAGAATATTATAACACTGTAATTTTAGTGTGTAAACTACTCTTAAGTAGAAAAACTAAAAGATTAACCAAGCAAAATAATAACTACAACAACTTTTCAAGCATAGACAGCATAATAAGATATAAGAGAAACAGCCAAAATTAAAAAGGGGAGAGATAAAGTGTAGAGTTTTTATTAGTTTTTTTTTGCTTGTTTGTTCATTTGTTTATGCAATATGTGTTGTCTTCAGTTTAAAATAGTAGGATATAAGATAGTATTTGCAAACCTCATGGTAATGTCAAATTAAAAACCCTACAACAGATACACAAAAAATAAAAAGTAAGAAATCAAATCATACCACCAGAGAAAATCACCTTCATTGAAAAGAAGGAAGGAAAGAAGGAAGAGAAGACCACAAAATTACCAGAAGAAAATGGTTATTTTCTTTTAATGGCAGGATTAAGAGTTCTCACTTATCAATAATAAAGTTGAATGTAAATGAACTAATTTCTCTGATCAAAAGATATAAAATGGCAGAATGGATTAAAAAAGAAGACCCAGTGATCTGTTGCCTACAAGAAACACACTTGATCTATAAAGACACACACAGACTGAAAATAAAGAGATGGGAAGAGATATTCCATAACAATGAAAATCAAAAAAGAGACAGAGTAGCTATACTTATATAAGAAATAATAGATTCAAGTAAAAAACTATAAAAAGAGACAAAGAAAGTTACTATATAATGATAAAGGGGTCGATTCAGCAAGTGGATATAACAATAGTAAATATATATGCACCCAACAATGTAGCTCCCATATATAGAAAACACATATTATTAGAGATAAAGGGAGAGATAGGCCCCAATATAATAATAGCTGGAGATGACAACACATCACTTTCAGCATTGGACAGATTTCCAATTTAAAAAATCAACAAAGAAACATCAGACTTAATCTGCATTATAGATCAAATGAACCTAATAGATCTTGACAAACATTTTATTTTGTGACTGCAGAACACACATTCTTCTCTTCAGCATGTGGTTCATTCTCAAAAAAAGACCACATGTTAGTACACAAAACATGTCTTAAATTCAAAAAATTGAAATAACATCAATCATATTCTCTGGTTACAGTGCAGTAAGACTAGAAATTGATAATGAGGAATTTTTGAAACTACACAAACACATGCAAATTAAACAATATGCCCCTAAATGACCAGTGGGTCAACGAAGAAATTAAAAATAAAATTGAAAAGTTTCTTGAAACAAATGATAATGGAAACAAAACATATCCAAACCTATGAGATACAGTGAGGGCAGTACTAAGAGCAAAGTTTATATCTATAAGTGCCTACATCAAAAAAGTAAAATAACTTCAAATAAATAACCTAACAATGCATCTTAAATAACTGGAAAAGCAAAAACAAACCAAATCAATAATTAGTAAATAATATCAGAGCATAAATAAAATTGATATGAAAATACAAAAAACAATGAAATAAAAAGTTAGTTTTCTAAAAAGATAGACAACATTAACAAACCTTTAGCCAGATTAACTAAAAAAACAAGAAGAGACCCAAATAAACATAATTATTGATGAAAAAGGAAACACTAAAACTGATACTAAAGAAATTCAGAAAATCATTAGTGGCTACTATGAGCAACTATATGACAATATAATGAAAAATTAAGAAGAAATGGATGATTTTCTAGACATATGCAACCTACCAAGATTGAACCATGAAGAAACCCAAAACCTGAATAGACCAATAACAAGTAATGAGATTGATTCTATAATAAAATCTCTCAACAAAGAAAAGCCTGGGATCCAAGAGCTTCAATGCTGAATCTTACCAAACATTTAAATAACTAATCCCAAAAACTACTCCAAAAACCAGAAGAGATAGAAACACTTCCAAACTCATTCTATGAGGCCAGTATTAATCTGATATCAAAACCACAGACACATAAAAAAATACTACAGGCCAATGTCCCTGATGAATAATGATGCAAAATCTCCAACAAAATGCCCACAAAATAAATTTGACAACACATTAAAAAGATCATTCATTATGACCATGTGGGATTTATCCCAGGGATAAAGTTTGGGTCAACATATGCAAATCAATCAATGTGATACGTCATATCAACATAATGAAAGACAAAACAATATGATCATTTTAATTGATGCTGAGAAAACATTTGATAAAATTCAATATCCCTTTATGATAAAACCCCTCAAAACACTGGGTATTGAAGAAGACATATACCTCAACATAATAAAAGCCATTTATGACAGATGCACAGCTAGTATCATACCAAATAGGGAAACACTGAAGGCCTTTCCTCTAGGGTCTGGAACACAAAGATGCTCACTGTCATTCAAGATAGTACTGAAAGTTCTACCTATAGCATTCTGACAAGGAAAAGAAATAAAGAGCACCCAAACTGGAAAGAACAAAGTCAAATTATTATTGTTTGCAGATGATACAATCTTATATTTTTAAAAACCTAAAGACTCCATGATATGGGTTGGATCTGTGACCCTGCCCAAATCTCATGTCAAATTATAATCCTCAGTTTTGGAGATGGAGCCTGGTAGGAGGTAATTGAATCATGGGTGAGAATTTCCCCTTTGGTGCTAATCTTGTGATACTGAGTGAATTATTGTGAGATCTGGTTGTTTCGAAGTGTGTAACACCACCTGCCTCTCTTTCTCCTGTTCTAGCCATGTGAAGTTATAGCTCCCTCTTTGCCTTCTGCCATAATTGTAAGTTTCCTGAGACCTCCTCAGAATTTGCAAAAATGCTGTCATGTTTCCTGTACAGCCTGTGAGATCATGAGCCAATTAAACATATTTTCTTTATAAATTACCTAGTTTCAGATATTTTTTATAGTATAGAAGTGAGAGCATAGACTACACTCCACCAAAAAAAAATTAGAACTGATAAATTCAGTAAAGTTGCAGGATACAAGATCAACATTCAAAAACAAGTAGCATTTGTATATGCCAACAGCAATCAATCTGCAAAAGAAATCCCACTTTCAATAGCTACAAACAAAAAACAATACCAAGGAATTAATCAAAGAAGTAAAAGCTTTCTACAATGGAAACAATAAATATTGATGAATGTCCAACTACCCAGAGCAATCTACAGATTCAATGCAATCCCTGTCAAAAAACCAATGACATTCTTGAAGTAGAAAAAAAAAATCCTAAAATTTACATAGAACCCCAAAAGACCCAGAATAGCCAAAGCCATCTGGGGCAAGAGAACAAAACTGCAAGCATCACATTACTTGAGTTCAAATTATATTACAGAGTTATAGTAACCACAACATCATGGTACTGACATGTAAGCAGACATATGGAGCAATGAAACAGAATAGAGAACCCAGAAATGAATCCATACATTTACAGTGAAATTTTTTACAAATGTGGCAAGAACATACACTGGGGAAAGGATACTCTCTTCAGTTAATGGTGCTAAGAAAACTGGTTACTCGTATGTCTAAAAATAAAACTAGACCCGTATCTTTCACCATATGCAAAAATCAAGCCAAAATTTATTAAAGACTTAAATCTAAGACCTCAAACTATGAAACTACTGCAAGAAAGAGAAACTTTAGGACATTGTAGTGGGCAATGATTTCAGTAATACTCCACAAGCCTAGATAACAAAGCAATAATGGACAAATGGGATCCCATTAAGTTAAAAACCTGTACAGCAAAGAAAATGATCAAAAAATTGAAGAGACAACCCATAGAGTGGGAGAAAATATTTGGAATCTATCCATCTGACAAGGTATTAATAACCAGAATATATAAGGAGCTGAAACAAGTATATAGAAAAAAATCTAACCATGTGATTTAAAAGTGTACAAAAGATCTGAATATATATTTCTCAAAAGACATACAAATGGCAAATACGTATATGAAAAGGTGCACAACATCATTCATTATCAGATAAATGCAAATCAAAACTACAAAGAGATGTCTTCTCTCCCCAGTTAAAATGGCTTTTATCAAAAAGGCAGGCAATAAAAAATATTGGTGAGGATGTGTATAAAAGAGAATCCTCATATGCTATTGATGGGAATGTAAATTAATACTATTATGGAGAACAGTATAAAGTTTCCTCGAAAAACTAAAAATAGAGCTACCATATGATCAAGCCTTCCCACTTATGGGTATATACCCACCCCCCCGCCCCACCAAAAAAAAGAAATCAGTATATTGAAGTGATGTCTGTACTCCCATGTTTATGGCAGCACTATTCACGGTAGGCAAGATTTGGAAGCAACTTGTGTCCATCAACAGATGAGTGGATAATGAAAATGTACATATACATAATAGAGTGCTATTAATCCATAAAAAATAATGAGACCCTATGATTTGCAACAACATAGATGGCACTGGATTTCATCATTTTAAGTGAAATAATCTCAGGCTCAGAAAGACAAACTTTGCATGTTCTCACTTATTTTTAGGAGCTAAAAATTAAAACAATTGAATTCATGAAGGTGGAGAGTAGACGAATGGTTACCAGAGGCTGAGAAGGATAATGAGGAATGGGGGGAAAGTGAGAATAGTTAATTAATGTAAAAAAAAAAAGAATATCCAAATAAACACAATCTTTAATGACAAGGGGCATTACCATCAACTCCATGGAAGTTCAAAAAAAACCCTTAGAGTCTACTACTGACACCTCTCTGCACATAAACTGGAAAATCTAGAAGAAATAGGCAAATTCCTGGAAACTTACAACCTCCTAAGAGTTAACCAGGAAAAAATTGAATCCCTGAACAGACCAATAGTGAATACCAAAATTGAATCAGTAATAAAAAGCCTTCCAACTGGAAAAAAGCCCAGGACCAGACAGATTCACAGCTGAATTCTACCAGATGTATAAAGAAGAGCTGGTACTATTCCTACTGAAACTATTCCATAAAATTGAGGAGGAGGAAGTCCTCTTTAACTCATTCTCTGAAGCCAGCATCATCCTGATGGGAAAACCTGGAAGAAAGGCAGAAACACAACAGAAAAAGAAAACATCATGGAATATCCTTGATGAACACAGAAGCAACAATCTTCAACAAAATACTATCAGACCAAATCCAGCAGTACGTGAAAAAGCTATTCCACTATGATCAAGTAGGCTTTACCCCTTTGATGCAAAGTTGGTTCGAGATATGCAAATTAATGTGATTCATCACATAAACAGAACTAAAATTTAAAAAATCATATGATTATCAGAAAAGTCATTTGATAAAACTCAACAACCCTTCATGTAAAAAAATCCTCAATGATAATAGCCATCTATGACAAACCAATAGTCAACATCATACAGAATGGGCAAAAGCTGGAAGCATTCTCCTTGAGAACTGGAACAAGGCAAGTTTGGTAACTCTCACCACTCCTATTTAACATAGTACTGGAAGTTATAGCCAGAGAGATCAGGCGAGAGAAAAAAATAAAAGGCATCGAAATGGGAAGAGAGGATGTCAAACTATCTCTGTTTGCAGATGATACAATTCTATACCTAGAAAACCCACAAGGTTCTGCCCAAAGGTTTCTAGATCTGTTAAACTACTTCAGCAAAGTTTCAGAAAACAAAATCAATGTACAAAACTCAGTAGCATTTCCATACACCAACAATGTCCAAACTGACAGCCAAATCAAGAACACAATTCAATTCACAATAGCCATAAAAAGTATAAAATACCTAGGAATAGAGCTTAACAAGTGAGGTCTAAGTTCTCTACAACTAGAATAATGCAACACTGCTCAATGAAGTCAGAGATGATGTAAAGAATTGGACAAACATTCCATGCTCATGGATAGGAAGGATCCATGTTGTTAAAATAGCCATACTTCCCAAAGCAATCTAGAGATTCAATGTTATTCCTATCAAACTACAAATGACAGTCTTCACGGAATTAGGAAAAAACTATTTAAAAACTCATATAAAAGCAAAAAAGGAGCCTGAATAGCCAAGGTAATTATAAGCAAAAATAACAAAGCTCGAAGTGTCTTGTTACTGGCTTCAAACTATGCTACAAGGCCACAGTAACCAAAACAGCATAGTACTGGTATGAAAACAGACATTTAGACCAAAGGAATAGAATAGAGAGCCCAGAAATAATGTCAGACACCTATAACAAACTGTCTATGACGAAGTTGGCAAAAATAAGTAATGAGGAAAGGACTCCCTATTCAATAATTGATGCTGGGATAACTGGCTAGCCATATGCAAAATATTAAAACTGGACCCTTTCATTACACCATATATAAAAATAAACTCAAAATGGATGAAAGACTTAAGTGTCAAACGTAAAGTTATAAAAACTTTGGAAGATAACCTAGGAAATATCATTCTGAACATAGATCTTGGCAAAGACTTCACAATGAAGATGCCAAAAGCAATTGCAACAAAAACAAAAATGACAAGTGGCACTTAATTAAACTAAAGAGCTTCTGCAGAGCAAAACAAAACTATCAACAGCATAAACAGACAACCTACAGGATGGGAGAAAATATTCACATACTGTTCATCTGACAAAAGTGTAATATCCAGCATCTATAAGGAAGTTAAACAAATTTACAAGTATAAAGCAAACAACCCCATTAAAAAGTCGGCAGCATGTGAACAGACACTTTTCAAAAGAAGACATGCATGTCGATAACAGGCATATGAAGAAATGTTCAAAATCACTAATCATTAGAGAAATACAAATCAAAACCACAATAAGGTACTGTATTAGGGTTCTCCAGAGGGACACAACTAATAGGATATATGTATATATGAAACGGAGTTTACTAAGGAGAATCAACTCACAGGATCACAAGGTAAAGAAATCCCACAATAGGTCATTTGCAGGCTGAGGAGCAAGGAAGCCAGTAGTGGCTCAGTCTGAGTCCCACAGCCTCAAAATTAGGGAAGCCAACTGTGTGGTCTTCCGTCTGTGGCCAAAGGCTCAAGAGCCCCTGGCAAACCACTGGTGTAAGTCCAAGAGTGCAAAGGCTGAAGAATCTGGAGTCTGATGTTCAGGGACAGGAAGTTCCCAGCACAGGAGAAAAATGAAAGTTAGAAGACTCAGCAAGCCAGATATTTTACTTTCTTCCGCCTGTTTTTTCCAGCCATGCTGGTAGCTGATTGGATGCTGCCCACCCACATTGAGGGTGGGTCTTCCTCTCCCAGGCCACGAACTCAAATGTTAATCTTTTCTGGAAACACCCTCACAAACACAGCCAAAAACAATAATTTGCACCCTTCAATCTGATCAAATTGACAATGTTAACCATCACAGGTACCATCTCGCACCAGTCAAAATGGCAATTATTAAACAGTCAAAAAATAACAGATGCTGGCAATGCTGTAGAGAAAAGGGAATGCTTATACGCTGCTGGTGGGAATAAAATTAGTTCAGCCATTGTGGAAAGCAATGTAGCAATTTCTCAAAGAACTCAAAACAGAATTATCATTCAACCTGGCAATCTTATTCTTGGGTATATACCCATAGGAATAAATCATTCTAGCAAAAAACATATGCATGAATATGTTCATTGCAGCACTCTTCACAATAGCAAAGACATGGAATCAACTTAATCCTCATCAATATAGACTGGATAAAGAAAATGTGGTACATACACACTATGGAATATTACGCAGCCATTAACAATGAGATCATGTCCTTTGCAACAACATGGATGCAGCTGGAGGCTATTATTCTAAGCTAACTAAAAGAAACAGAAAACAAAATACCACCTGTTCTCACTTATAAGTGGAAGCTAAACATTGAGTACACATGGATACAAACAGGAAACACAATAGACTCTGAGGCATACTTAAGGGTAGAGCATGGGAAGAGAGAGGATCTAAAAACTATTTATGAGAAACTATGCTTATTACCTGGATGATGAAATAATCTGTATGCCAAACCCCTGTGACATGCAATTTGCCTATATGACAAACCTACACATGTACCCCTGAAGCTAACAATTAAAGTAGTAACTACAATAATAATATATAGCAGCTTAAAATAAAAGAACTGATATATGTTTCCTGATACCCATTGCACATTTTTTTTCCTTTCACATTTTGTTTGTTTGTATTTTGTGTTTCTTTTTCTTTTTTTATTATACTTTAAGTTTTAGGGTACATGTGAACAACGTGCAGGTTAGTTACATATGTATACATGTGCCATGTTGGTATGCTGCACCTATTAACTCGTCATTTAACATTAGGTATATCTCCTAATGCTATCCCTCCTCCCTCCCCCCACCCCACAACAGGCCCTGGTGTGTGATGTTCCCCTTCCTGTGTCCATGTGTTCTCATTGTTCAATTCCCACCTATGAGTAAGAACATGTGGTGTTTGGTTTTTTGTCCTTGAGATAGTTTGCTGAGAATGATGGTTTCCAGCTTCATCCATGTCCCTCCCTACAAAGGATGTGAACTCATCATTTTTTATGGCTGCATAGTATTCCATGGTGTATATGTGCCACATTTTCTTAATCCAGTCTATCATTGTTGGACATTTGGGTTGGTTCCAAGTCTTTGCTACTGTGAATAGTGCCACAATAAACATACGTGTGCATGTGTCTTTATGGCAGCATGATTTATAATCCTTTGGTTATATACCCAGTAATGGGATGGCTGGGTCAAATGGTATTTCTAGTTCTAGATCCCTGAGGAATCGCCACACTGACTTCCACAATGGTTGAACTAGTTTACAGTCCCACCAACAGTGTAAAAGTGTTCCTATTTCTCCACATCCTCTCCAGCACCTGTTGTTTCCTGACTTTTTAATGATTGCCATTCTAACTGGTGTGAGATGGTATCTCATTGTGGTTTTGATTTGCATTTCTCAGATGGCCAGTGATGATGAGCATTTTTTCATGTGTCTTTTGGCTGCATAAATGTCTTCTTTTGAGTAGTGTCTGTTCATATCCTTTGCCCACTTTTTGATGGGGTTGTTTTTTTCTTGTAAATTTGTTTGAGTTCATTGTAGATTCTGGATACTAGCCCTTTGTCAGATGAGTAGATTGCAAACATTTTCTCCCATTCTGTATGTTGCCTGTTCACTCTGCTGGTAGTTTCTTTTGCTGTGCAGAAGCTCTTTAGTTTAATTAGACCCCACTTGTCAATTTTGGCTTTTGTTGCCATTGCTTTTGGTGTTTTAGACATGAAGTCCTTGCCCATGCCTATGTCCTGAATGGTATTGCCTATGTTTTCTTTTAGGGTTTTTATGGTTTTAGGTCTAACGTTTAAGTCTTTAATCCATCTTGAATTAATTTTTGTATAAGGTGTAAGGAAGGGATCCAGTTTCAGCTTTCTACATATGGCTAGGCAGTTTTCCCAGCACCATTTATTAAATAGGGAATCCTTTACCCCATTTCTTGTTTTTGTCAGGTTTATCAAAGATCAGAGGTTGTAGATATGCGGCATTATTTCTGAGGGCTCTGTTCTGTTCCATTGGTCTATATCTCTGTTTTGGTACCAGTACCATGCATGCACATTTCAATCATGGTAAATTACTGAGGTTTGAATCTGGCTTGATGTAAAGATGTGAACTCCTTGGTTGCAGAAACTGCATTTATTTTTCAATACTATGGACTTGTTTACCCAGTAGTCAGTGGAATACCTGGCACATGGTTAAGTAAATACATGTTGAATAAATAATTTTCTTTTGAAAGAAAGTTGATTAATGTAAGAGTTTAATGTATCACTGCCTCCAGAATGGGACAGGCTTTGATTCATTCACCAACAGGGTGGGACATAAACAGAAGTATAGCTATATTCATATTAAAAGGCATCACTCTAATGTTATGGCCATGTTCATTGACTGTTTCCATTCTACCCCCATCCAACTCCCAGAAAAAAGAAACAAAAGAACAGATCAGCTTGGATTCTATTACAGTGCTGATGGTAACAGCATCTGTGTAACCTACCTAATAGGTTGGTGCAAAAGTAATTGTGATTTTGCCATTTTAATGGCAAATTTTAAAAACTGCAATTACTTTTGCACCAACATAATAGTATGCCAGAACTTTTCTTCATGTTTGCTGAGTTTGCTTTCCCTTGAGCTTGTAACAAGTATTGTTTTCTGCAACATTTTATTAGAACTTGATTTCACATGGACTGTGGACAGATACATCCATACTTATTTCAATCAGCTTATAAACTATTATTTTTTAAAATAAAGACATAGACCTAGATTCATATTCTTTCATTTTCATTTGGGGCACTAACTATTATAATATCCCTTTTGAGTATATCAAGTAATTTTAAAGCTTTACTTCCATGTACTAATATATTTTTAAAAATCTCTTTAAGTAGTATCTATTGCCCTTAGGGCCATTTAATGTCAAATTTTAATTTTTTGATAATCATTCTCTTATGTAATTTTTGAGATAGAAGCTGTGATATTATTTGGGGAGCTGGGAGCAATTTGGGGCTTGTTATAGGCATTTTTCCTCAATAAATTATTGAAAGGAGACTAAGGAAAAAATTATGATTATTATAAAATAGCTGATTACATGATAATAAACAAGGAAGTCATCTGGTTATCTTTGTTTTTCCTTCAGACAGTGCTTCAGATTTCTATAGATACAAACATCTAGGTGATTGTATGAAATTGTCACCATTTCCAAAATATTTTCTCAAAAATATATGATGCAGGTTCAATCAAGCCTATGATGATAGGCTTCATTTGTGTGGGTGTGATTAGGGAGGGAGAAAATATCAAAGTACAAAGTAGAACATTTCTGAATAGAGCTACACATGCTTCGATTAGAAAAATCCCAAGATTTTTGTACCATCTTCACATTCCCAATAATTCCGTTTCTACAGACTCCTGTAAAAGGAAGAAATTGGTTGGCATCTCTGCAAGCCCCTCCTAGCCAGAGCAGTCAAGAAAATGCCATACAATGTGTCCCCTTGTTTATTCTACTCAACATGTGCAGATCTTTGTATTTTTGTCTTTTATTAACTTGGCTTTTTGATAATATGGTCATGCACCACAAAACAATGTTTTGTTAAATGATAGACCTCATAGATGACAACAGTGGCCCTATAAGATTGTAATAGAGCTGAAAAAGTTCTATTGCCTAGTGACATCATAGCATAATTACTTTATTTTAAAAATAAATTTAGTGTAGCCTCGATGTACAGTGTTTATAAAGTCTATATTAGTCTCCAATAATATCCAGGGCTTCACATTCACTCACCTCTCCCTCATTGACTCATCCAGATCAACGTCCAGTCCTGCAAGCTCCATTTATGGTAAGTGTCCTATCCAGTTGTGCCATTTAAACATTGTTTTGACCATATCTTTGTCCTACCTTTCCTGTTTAGTTACACAAATATTTATCATTGTGTTATAATTACCTACAATATTTAGTACAGTAACATGCTGTATAGGTTTGTAGCTTAGGAGCAATAGACCACACCCTCTAGGTTTCTGTAAATATCCTCCATGATGTTTGTGAAATAATAAAATTCTGTAAAAATGCATTTCTCAGAATGTATGCTATCATTAAGCAACATGTGACTGTATATGGTAACGGGACACACTTATAAATAAAAGAGATAAAATGGTTAAAATCTTGAGTAGCCTTTCAGAACAAACTGCTGAGAGAAAAATACATTGTGCATTGTGTGTTTGTAAATTTCCAAAGGAAATATATCACGAGGACAAATTGATAGAAGTGATCAAAGTTTTTTGAAAGCGTAACTGGATTGGTGTATAAAGGAATATGTATGATTTGAATTAATTATTTAACGAAATGGATACATGTGAAAAAGACGACGGCTTTTTTTTTTTTTTGCCTTTCTCTGAAGGACAACTGTTGCAGATGCTCTTAGATTTTACATACAACATGGAAAAACTTAAATCATCTTTAATTCTTGGGTGCAATATTTACAAACAGTAATAGCTCATATTTATATCACTCAAAGGTTTGCAAACCTTTTTTCTACATAGTTATTACCTTTATCCATATTGGTATATGGTGGGCAGATGAGAATTTGTCTTTTTTTACTTAAGGGAAATTAGCTCTGAGAGATTAAATAGTTAATGGGGCAATATAGGAACCTGGCCCCCTGAGCCCCTGTGCAAGGGTTTGCCTCCTATTCACCACACATCTTTTGGGCTCTGGGAGCGAATGCTTCTTATGGCACCATCTTGAGCAAATAATTTCAGTTTTTCTGTTTTTTTTTTTTCTTCATTGCCCCCATATCAGATGGATGATGTTGCAAGAATTCTTGGAGATTTACACATAATTTCTGTGTTTTCTGTTTTGCAGAAGAAAGAGACATTATACAAATGCAAGCTGTTGTCACAACAATGATAAGAAATCAGGAGTCGAAAGATGTGGAGTAAGGGGGAATTTCAGAGAAACCACAAAACACAAAATAGGAAACAGAGACAGGAGAAGATTGCTATGACAAAATTGCAGAAGGTGAAATCTTTGGCAGCCTCTTATTTCTCTGGAGAATATGATATTGTCAGGCTGAGGTGGAAGAATCACATGGTCATACTGTAAGTGCTATGGTTCCAAGTGGTAATGTTATTGATCAATTTTCAACCTGAGATTTGTAATGATAATCCCCACAAGTTGCTTGAGATCCTTAACAGTGAGGTTTTTAGTGAGTTTAACCAACTGTCAGTGCTTGAAAACTCGCCTACAGGGGGCAGCACAAATACAAGTAAACTTAGGGGTAAAGCATGAAATGCATCCAGATTCACAATTGTTTCAGGATCTGCTTGCAACTGAAGCACTGTCTGCACAAGATTCGGCTGAGGGAATATATATAAAACAGAATGTTCCTGTATGATGTTAGTTTTAAAGGTAGATTTTTGGCAGTGGGAGGGTTAGCATTAACATTCATAATGTCACCTGTTATATATGTGTTATTTTTACATTTTAATATTTTAGAATACAGAAATGAATATGCTAATATCATTTTGAAGAGACAATGCCCGTATATATATCACTTGGAATTGTTAGAAATTGGTTGAGAATAAAACATGATCCCTTCTTATGAACTTGGAATTGTTAGAAATTGGATAAAAATTAGAGATGATCCCTTCTTATGACTTCAGCCTAGGAGTACATTGTAGAAAGCCAGGACCAAATCTGACACACTGAAACTTTGATTCCTGATTTTCAAAAAAGAAAAAATACTAGGTGAGGTAAACTGGCTTAACAAGAAGTTATGAATCCAGAACCTGGATGTCAGATATAGATGATCTAGGCTGAGGTGCCTATTCTCTGCCCTTTGCCCTATCCTAAAACTGTATGGATGGAAATGAGCCCACCTTTTGCTCTGAACTGGTGCATTCCTTCCTCACTGCAGGTTGAAGAGGTCTTGAAACATTGGGCTTTCCTCTACAAGCGGAAGGATAGCACTGGCAGCCATCCACTGGCCCAGCAATATCCTGGATTGAGACGATATCATTTGCATTACTTGCTGAATGAAACATAGTGAAAATGACTGCAGATAACCTCAACTAAGTCCAAGATATCATTTTCAAATCTGGACCAGCCCTTGCCATCTAGACTGAACAGAGATTCCAGTTTCCAGGAGAGTAGATGGAGTAATGATAAAAGCACCTCCCAAAACTTTTGCCTTGGTAGGTTTTAGATTCAGGAGATATCCGGGTTTCCATTCCCTTCAGATTTTCAATGACAGTGACTTCCAGTTCCCCACAAATTTCCCTTGATTTCCTGACCATAGAGCCACATATTCATGTTCTTTCCATCCATATATTAATACATGGGTATAAGTCAAGGTATAGGACTTCAAGCACTTTGCATGGATGCCCAGTCCATCTCACTGACTGTGTATTCTCAAAGCTTACCACTGGGCCTTAAGCCCTTTATTGAATGTAAAGCATTCAATAAAGAGTTTAAGGGCTCTTTTCTTTATTTCTGCCACATCCAGAATGCTTGGTTTAGTTAGGATCTGAAGAGGAATTGTATTTAAACATCTCATTTAGACCCTTCTAAGGAAAATACCAAGAAAAGAAGGTTGTGATCTTTTTCTTGGTAGTTTCATAATAGAAAGTCTTAAGAACAGTTACAGTTGTTGAAATCCACCCTGTCTCTGATTCATTGAATTGGAGATAGCTATCCAACTACTAGTTGTCCTTTCTCACTAACTCTCTTAATTATTTCTAGGTACTACAGAGTGGCACATAACTAAACATTATCAAGGAATTTTACAGCCCTAGGCCTTCTATTACTGTGTATTACAGTCTGCTGTAATCATTCTAATGGTCTAAGATGTTGCAAGTAATTTACTCACGGCCTGAACACCAGAAGTGCCAAAATTGCCTGGGAGTTTTATTCTGCATCCAACCAGTACCAGGAAGGAGGATGTATTACTTCTCGTTTCTCTACAAGTGTCAGTGCAAATCCAGCCATCAAACAAAACTTAGACCTAAAAGCTTTTAGATTACAGCGATTATTGCAGATTTTACATGAGATAAAAATGTAATTGCTCCATTTCCTTTATTCTTTCTTTCATTTTCTTCCCTCTCACTGTATATTTTAGATTGTCCTGCTTGACTGCCAGGTCAGACCCAGCACACAAAGATATCTGTCATAAGACTGGGGAGCTGCAGTGTTCTTTTTCATAAGAAATGAAATGCTTGAAATTTCTCTTCCAAATGAATCACAAAACTTCCATGGTCATTTTCATTTTAAATTATTTTATGTCTATGTAAACTCATGCATTGCCTATAACGGAATAATATTCCCAGCCATGTGGATAGTGACAGAGAATGAGCTGAAGGCAGCAATACTTCACAGGCAAAGTGGTACATGCATTTTTTTTTCATCTTGCTTTTTTCCTTTTCCATATTCACTCATCCTTTTAAATTCTTTGAATCTACTTTTTCCTCCCTCGCTCCCTTCCTATCCTCCATCTCTATCTTTGTCATTTATTAATTCTTTTTCTTCTTTTTCTCCAGACTTGGATATTTCTCTATCCTCTCATCATTCTCTTTCATACACATTCTCTGACTTGTAGGTCCTAAGATTCTCATATTCTAAAATTAACCCTCTGCTTAACAGGGTATGTTTATAAACCATTGGACTGAGGAGGAATTGCCCAAGTTATCAAAGACATCCTATCAGGAATGTCAGCCTTTTACTCTCATTCATGCTCAGAGAAACAGTGCTGCAGGGATTATAGCCTGGAATATGGCAGAACCAGATTTTAAATTTGTTTGCCCTTTGCCTCCTAATATCCATTTTCCCCTAAGTTTAACTGGGCATATTTCCCAGTTTGCCTTGCAAATGTGTTGCCATATGACTGCACTTTGTCTAATAAAATGAAACTGAGTATGTTTTGTGTAGTTTCTGGGAAGAGTCCTTAAATAGAGAAGGAACTCTGTTCTTATTATCTACCTTATGTCCTGAAATGCTTGTGTGATGGCTGAAGCTCCAGCAGTCATTTGTAACCATTAAGACAAGAGTCTTTTCCTAGGGAGGATGAGATAGAATAAACTGATAACTTTGTGGATTACTCATAATAGTCCTGAATTGCCTATATTTGTGCTTTTTTGTTAAAAAAAAAAAGTGAAACAGATCAACTTTTATTATGTTTAAACTACTTTTTTATTGAAGTTATCTATTCTATGAAGCTGAATCTAATTCTAACTGATGCACCCAGATTTTCTTAATTCCTGTTTCTACTCCAGATGCCCTGATGCTTATCTGAGTTTCTGGAATGATTTCTCATTTGACTACTTCCTACATGTCCCTGTTTCCTAATACATTAATATTGGGTTTGCCAATAAGAAACTTTTTAGAGTTGGAATATTGCTGATCATTTCTGTTTGCTAGATTTTGGTAACCAAATCATTTTGACTTCTAGGATCAGCCATTATTCTGATCCAATTTTGATCCATGTTCTATTCTGCCTGTAAAATGTGCCCCAAAGTCATGTACATAACCTTGACCTTTGGGTTTTGGTAGTTTGAGACCATTTCATTGATATTTCTCAATATCAATGAAAATTCTAGATGTTAATTCTTCATATTTTAAAAATTTTCATGTTGATTCTCACTTTTTTCCTTTGCTAAAGTTTATCTCTTTATTTCTATTAACATTTTTTTCTATTAGTGAGTCCTTGTTATATGTTCAAAACAAAATACTGAACAACTTAATTTACATATATTTTATGATGTAACTTATATCTGACAGTTTAATCTTCCTTAGTACTTCTGGTGAATGCCCTTTAGAATGAGAAGGAGGAAAATTTTACCTAATTATAATAGTTTACATATGCAAATGTTATCAGATTTAATAATCATGTTTCCCTAGAAATGATGAACAAAGCCACATGTGTTTTAAGTGGATCATAAATCTTGCTGATTAAGTTACTGTCCTGAGTCATTTACTATAAAGAAATTATAGTCATTAAACCTCTAAACTTTAGCTTAGCTCATTTCTCAAGCAGATATTTCTGGGTTTAAGATTTAAACGTGGACCTAGAAGCAGCTTCTCCACTCCTTCTCGAATCTCTGCCTGGTTCAGCCTGCCCACCTCCACTCCTGCCTCCACCATTTCCATCAGGGTGACCCAGAAGTCCTACAAGGTGTCCACCTCTTGCCCCCTGGCCTTCAGCAGCCACTCTTACACGAGTGGGCCTGGTGCCCTATCAGCTCCTCGAGCTTCTCCTGAGTGGGCAGCAGCAGCTTCACGGGTGGCCTGGGCAGATGCTATGGCTGGCCAGCAGTATGGGACCATCACTGACATCACGGTCAACCAGAGCCTGCTGAACCTGGAGGTGGACCCCAACAACCAGGGCATGTGCATCCAGGAGAAAGAGCAGATCAAGACCCTTAACAAGTTTGCCTCCTTCATCAACAAGGTACGGTTCCTGGAGCAGCAGAACAAGATGCTGGAGACCAAGTGGAGCCTCCTGCAGCAGCAGAAGACAGCTCAGAGCAACATGGACAACATGTTCCAGAGCTACATCAACAACCTTGGGTGGCAGCTGGAGACACTGGGCCAGGAGAAGCTGAAGCTGGAGGCGGAGCTTGGCAACATGCAGGGGCTGGTGGAGGACTTCAAGAACAAGTATGAGGATGAGATCAATAAGCCTATAGAGATAGAGAATGAATTTGTCCCCATCCGTTCATGCGGATGAAGCTTACATGAACAAGGTAGAGCTGGAGTCTCGCCTGGAAGGGCTGACTGACGAGATCAACTTTCTCAGGCCGCTGTATGAAGAGAAGATCCGGGAGCTGCAGTTCCGGACACACCTGTGGTGCTGTCCATGGACAACAGCTGCTCCCTGGACATGGACAGTATCATCTCTGAGGTCAAGGCACAGTACAAGGAGATTGCCAACCGCAGCCAGGCTGAGGCTGAGAGCATGTACCAGATCAAGCATGAGGAGCTGCAGACGCTGGCTGGGAAGCACAGGGATGACCCGCGTCCTGCAAAGACGGAGATCTCCGAGATGAATTGGAACATGAGCCAACTCCAGGCTGAGACTGAGGGCCTCAAACGCCTGAGGGCTTTCCTGGAGGCCGCCATCGCAGATGCCGAGCAGCTCGGGGAGCTGGTCGTTAAGGATGCCAACACCAAGCTGTCCGAGCTGAAGGCCGCCCTGTAGCAGGCCAAGCAGGATATGGCATGGCAGCTGCGTGAGTACTAGGAGCTGATGAACATTAAGCTGGCCCTGGACATTGAGATCGCCACCTACAGGAAGCTGCTGGAGGGCGAGGAGAGCCAGCTGGAGTCTGGGATGCAGAAAATGAGTATCCATACGAAGACCAGCAGTGGCCATGCTGGTGGGCTGAGCTCAGCTTATGAGGGCCTCACAAGCCCCGGCCTGGGCTCCAGCATTAGCTCTGGCACGGGCTCCAGCTCCTTCAGCTGCATCAGCTCCACCAGGGCTGTGGTTGTGAAGAAGATCGAGACCTGCAATAAGAAGCTAGTGCCTGAGTCCTCTGATGTCCTGCCCAAGTGAACAGCCATGGCAGCGCCCCCGTCAGCCTACCCTTCCTGCGGCTGTCCCAGAGTCCATGAGAAAGGCTGCTGTGCAGGAGAGCACAGGGAACAGGAGACCCACCTGAGGCTTAGCCCTCGCCCTCAGCCCACCCGTAGGGGAGTTTACTGCCTGGGGTACCCCTCTTGCCCATGCCCCCAGCTACAAAACAATTCAATTTTTTTTTTTTTTTTCAAAATAAAACCTCAGCTGGCTCTGAAAAAAAAAAAAAAAAAAAGTAAACGTGGCTTACAATGAAGAAATCAATCGAAAATTTAGAGAAAATAGGCCGGGCGTGGTGGCTAACTCCCGTAATCCCAGCACTTTGGGAGGCCGAGGTGGGCGGATCACGAGATCTGAAGATCGAGACCATCCTGGCCAACATTGTGAAACCCCGTCTCTACTAAAAATACAAAAATTAGCTGGACGTGGTGGCACGTGCCTATAATCTCAGCTATTCGGGAGGCTGAGGCAGAAGAATCACTTGAACCAGGGAATCGGAAGTTGCAGTGAGCCAACATCACGCCACTGCAGTCCATCCTGGCAACAGAGTGAGACTCCCTCTCAAAAAAAGAAAAAAAAAAAAAAAAAAAAAAAAAAGAAAGAAAAGAAAATTTAGAGAAAATAAGCACAAATTAGATGCCTCCGGACTCTTAGCAATTGTTTTTTTCTCTTTGGCTTTAATATCATACCTTATTGCTATGAACTCATTTACACTGAAGATAATTTTAATATGGATTAAGAATAAGAAAAGTATAATACCTTGTATGATACATAAACACTCAGGTTCAGATGAGTGAACAAAATAACTAGAGTGAGAGAATACTGTATCACATGGCTTGATTAAACTTAGCCCTATATGCTTCCTAAGGGAAAAGAAAGGTAGCTGGATTAAACAGAGCAGTGGAAATTAGAGAGAACTTGACTTTAGCACTGAAACGTTTCACTGAATAAAATCTAATAAATATGAGAACGATGAAAGTTAACTTCTCCAGGAAAATAAAGATGGACTATTTAGTGTGAATTAAGACTCACTAGCAATGTCTTCTATTGGCAGTGTATATAAGAGTTGAAAGTACATTCACACAGATCCTCTCAATGTAATTCATGCAAGAACCAAGGGAAAGGTATAACACATATATCCTTATCTATATTATACAGATTTGCAGCCCAAGTCTCCAAGGTTCAGAGATATAAGTGATTTGGCATTAGGAAGTGACAACTAAGACTGGAAAATTGAACCCAGGCTTTCAGACTAAATGACAGTGCCATGTCACCCTATACTGTACAGTCAACTGAAGAGTCAGCCTGCCCACACAAAGGGGCTGTCAGTTGAAGGGGGAGAGTCAATTCATTCTCTATTGCACTGGAAATCAGGATGAGGACCAGTGAGTGGGATTTACAGGGAGGATGATTTTGCCTCAATTTGAGGAGGAACTTCCCAACAATTAGAGCTGTCTAACCAAGGAACAATATGCCTTGTCAAATAAATAAGCAACCTGTTACTGAAGGCATTTAAGCCTAAGCCTATAGACCACTTCTCAGGAATACTAGAGGAAAGATGACTTGAGGGACACATTTAACATCTAAGACTTTATTCAACCTAAAGATTCTGTAGATGATGTAGGATGACATTTGAAGATGATCTACTTGGAAAGATGCTTGTGGGCATTAGAAACAATATAAGGAAAATATTGTTATTGCACCTTGGACTTCAAAATCTTCAGGTTATATCTAAGCAATCCTGATGTGCTATGAAACGATGCAATTGATGTGCAACTCTGATATTTCTTGCAGAAGCTCCTTTTAGCTGGATTTTCAGTTCAACTGGTACATCCAGACTGGTTGAATGTGATGGGCTGGAGATCTACCTTCTAATATGTTTAAGATCTATTTCTTCTTATTGATGCTCCTGAAAACATTGCTATTTCTGAAATCATTAAGTGAGAATATTTCCTCTATTAAAATATCATCTCAAACTATGTTTTGCATTTCTTTTAGGGGCTTGAGAGTTCTCATAAGACATAGCAAAATAATTGAGAGTTTGGGGGGCAGGTAGGGAAAAATTAGGAAAATGTTTAAATCTGGGGTAGAATCAAATTTAAGAATTTCAGCCAGGCATGGTTGCTCACACCTGTAATCCCAGCACTTTGGGAGGCCAAGGCGGGTGGGCACTTTGGGATGCCAAGGTGGTGGATCACCTGAGGTCAGGAGTTCAGACCAGCTTGGCCAACATGGAGAAACCCTGTCTCCACTAAAAATACAAAAAAAAAAAATGTAGCCAGGAGTGGTGGTGCACACCTGTCATTCCAGCTACTCAGGAAGCTGAGGCAGGAGAATCGCCAGGAGACAGAGGTTGTAGTGTGTGGAGATTGTGCCACTGCACCCCAGCCTGGGTGACCGAGCGAGACTCTGTCTCAAAAAAAATTTGAGCATGGATTTAGTGCTAAAAGGGAATCCAGTTTGCCATCTGCCCACACGTGCATTTCTTACTTCCTTTCTTTTGCACTGCTGTGAAGCACAAACATTTCCTTATTCATCTTGTGCATTTCCAATGGCACAAATTAGTTTTCTAAGGAAAATTTTATGTCCTCAAGCAATTGTATTTCATATCTGAGAGTCAAATGTTTGAAGCTCTGCATGGGAGACCTCAGCGTGGCATTTAAGCACTTGTAGAGTCAACTAAACTTAGATTTTACCCTGAACCCAAGAACAGGGCAAGGTCATAAAACACTCAGAGACTCAATGCAGCACAAACAATTTTCGATCATGGCTAGGAGCTCATTCTCCACCTCATTTTTCCTCATATTTTGAGGAAAGAGAGAGTCACGTTTATGTTTGACTTTTGTCTAAGTACAAAGATGCTATATAGCAATAGTGCAATAATAATATTTTCCTTATATGGTTTCTAATGCCCACAAGCATCTTTCCAAGTAGATATGGTAATCTTCATATTTTATTTATTTATTTAAGTAACTCTAAGCTCCCATTAGTCACAAAAGATCAGGCCCAAACTAGAAATAAAAATAACTTTTCTGTTACTTCAAATGATAGGAGCTCCTATCATTTGTTGTTATTAATGACAACTTTTTAAAGAGAGCTAAACTGTGTGTGGGAAAGCATGCAGCTGAGCACCAGGTTCAACTAGACCTAGGAATTTAAAGTTGGCCAGTGTTGCTCATTCCCTCTCCATCTCTCAGCTTTTCATTCTCTGTGCCCAATTAGTACTGTTACCCTCTCACTAGAAAATGACTTTCAACATTTTAATTTCAGATACCAGTCACTTGTAATATTTTCAAATAACATGTATTTTAAATTAAATATGACTATATTATGGTTTTCATATGAAAAATTAATTTTAATTTAATATAAATTTTCAGTTTAAGGACTCTGTCAGCTTCTGTGTTTCTGCTGTTTTCATTTGGCAAAAACAATATTTATTTATATTTTCCAAAGTAGTTTTTGCTGAGTTATTACATTTTAACTAACATTTATTTACTCTTTAACTTTTTATCTTTTCCTTAAGTTTTTTCATTTTTAGTGTAGAGAGGTTGGTTTTTAAATTAATTTCTGATAAATTATGTTTTTGATGCTATTTGACATGGAATTCTGGTTATTTTCCAATTGTATTCTATTAGTACATAAAACTACAATTGATAGTTGTACTTTGACCTTGTATCCTGTGATGCAGCTGGAATTATGTATTAATTTAGCTTATTTAGTAATTAGATGTTTTGTACAGTGTTTAGGATTTTGTCCACTGACAATTTTTGGTGTTAGCTTTATGTTTACTTTTCAATTGTTAAGGCTTTTATTTTAAAAATAATTCTTGCTTTATTTCACTCTTTAGATCGAACATTGAATAGACCTGATGAGTGTGAGAATCCTTGACTTGTGTCCTACCTTAACAAAAAAGCATTCCGTGTTTCACCATTAAGAATGATGTTGGCTGCCAGTTTTTCATCAATACCCTTTTATCAGATTGATGAAGTTGCCTCTGTTCCAAGACTGCTGAAATGTTGTTGCATTTTATCATATTTTTTTGCATCTATTTAGATTATGATATATATTTTATTCTGTAAGATTGAATACATTGACTTTTTAAAAAATTTAAACCAATCTTACATTCATAGGATCACCCCCCACAAAGTATTTATTGCTTAATTTAATTTGCTAGTATTTTGCTGAGAATTATATGTATATTCTCATTAAGAATATTATTAATTTATATATTTTTAAAGTATTTTTCACTCTTTTTCAAGGCATTGTTTATTTCATAAAATGGAAAGTATTTTCTGTCTCTTCTGAAAACATTCTTATAAGAATGGTATTGTTGGCCAGGAGCGGTGGCTCACACCTATAATCCCGGCATTTTGGGAGGCCGAGGCAGGCAGATCACTTGAGGTCAGGAGTTTGAGACAAGCCTGGCCAACATGGTGAACCCCGTTCACTACTAAAAATACAAAAATTAACCAGGCATGGTGGTGCGCGCGAGGCAGGAAAATCACTTGAACCTGAGAGGAGGAGGTTGCAGTGAGCCAAGATTGTGCTATTTGCACTCCAGCCTAGGTAAGAGTAAGACTCTATCTCAAAAAAAAAAAAAAAAAAAAGAATGGTATTGTTTTTTATTAAAAGTTTGATATAATTTACCAATGACATAATGAAATAAGGAGTCTAGGCCGGGTGCGGTGGCTCACGCCTGTAATCCCAGCACTTTGGGAGGCCGAGGCGAGCGGATCACGAGGTCAGGAGATTGAGACCATCCTGGCTAACACGGTGAAACCCCGTCTCTACTAAAAATATGAAAAATTAGCTGGGTGTGGTGGCGGGCACCTGTAGTCCCAGATACTCAGGAGGCTGAGGCAGGACAATGGTGTGAACTCAAGAGGCGGAGCTTGCAGTGAGCCAAGATTGGGCCACTGCACTCCAGCCTGGGTGACAGAGCGAGACTCCGTCTGAAAAAAAAAAAAAAAAGAAAGAAATAAGAAGTCTAGAATTGTCTGAGAATATAACTTTTTCATGAGTATAGAGCTATTCATATTTTATGTTTTTTGTCTGTATGGCTTAGTTGAAGAAATGCATTAATTTCGTCTAAGTTGACCAATTAATGTCATAAAACGGCTCATAATATTTCCCTAGGATTTGCCTTTCAGATCTGTAGAGATACGTTATCTTCTACTCCAATATTTATCAGTATTATTAGGTGCTTATTAATCATATAAATCTTGTCAAACTACCAACTTCTGGATTTTTAAATGATTTTCTTTCCTATTTCACTAACTTTCACACATCTTTATTTCTCCCTGTTGCTTACTTTGGCTTTAATTTGCTCACCTTTTCTCTGTCATCTTAAGATATACACATACATAATTAATTCTAGAGTCGTCTTTTTTCCTAATGTTGGCATTTTGCTATAAACATCTCTTTAAGTACTACTTTAGTATGATCCTACAAATTACAATATGTCGTGAGATTCAATCATTCATTTAAAAATACTTTTTCACTGTAATTTCATCTTTGGCAGAGGTTATTTAGAAGTCTATTTTTTTTTAATTTCCAATATATGAAGCTTTTATTCATACGTGAAATTTTCATTGTTTTTAGGGAATCAACTCGGCCAGCCACGGTGGCTCAAGCCTGTAATCCCAGCACTTTGGGAGGCCGAGGTGGGCGGATGATGAGGTCAAGAGATGAGACCATCCTGGCCAACATGGTGAAACCCCATCTCTACTAAAAATACAAAAATTAGCCAGGCATGGTGGCACACGCCTGTAGTCTCAGCTATTCGGGAGGCTGAGGCAGGAGAATCGCTTGAACCCGGGAGGTGGAGGGGTTGCAGTGAGCCAAGATCCGCCACTGCACTCCAGACCGGCAACAGAATCAGACTCTGTCTCAAAAAAAAAAAAAAAAAAAAAAAAAACAACTCTTGAAATTTTTCTAGCGTTCTCCAGTATATGGTCTCTTTCAGTTAATGTTACATGTGCTTTTTTTTTTTTTTTTTTTCTGAGACAGGGTCTTGCTCTGTTGCCTAGGCTGGAGGGCAGTGGAAGGATCTCAGCACACTGCCACCTCCACTTCCCAGGTTCAAGTGATTCTCCCACCTCGGCCTCCCAAGTAGCTGGGATTACAGGTGTGCCACTACACCTGGCTAAATTTTGTATTTTTAATAGAGACAGGATTTTACCATGTTAGCTAGGCTTGTCTCCAAATCCTGGCCTCAAGTGATCTGACCGCCTCAGCCTCCCAAAGTGCTAGAATTACAGGCGTGAGCCACCATGCCCAGCCAATATGTGCTCTTAAAAAGGAGTTGTATTCTACACTAAGGTGTACTATTATATAAACGTAAAAACTTCTATCAAAGGGGTTGCTAGTGTTGTTCACATCATCATCTACTGATTTTTTTGGTGTAGATATAAGTAACTATAAGAGTCATGTCCTAATCTAACTGTGATTATAGATTTGTCTGTTTTCTTCTTTATTTCTGTTTTGCTTTATCTATTTTGAATCTCTGTTATTAGGCATATACCTTTCTATAATTGTGTGTTTGATGAAATGATCCTTCTAACATTTAGAAATATCACTTTTGCTTTTTGTTCACATACTAGCTTATATCTTGCTGTTAGAAATATAAACACTCCACTTTCATGTGCTTCAATCTGCATATAGTATAACTTCCTTTTACTTTCTTTCCCTTTGTTCAATTAATTTCTTTTTCAGTATATATTAACATTTTTATTAAATGTAATATACATATAGAAAAAAGTATCGTAATTCTTCAAACTGAAAAAACCCACACATAGCTTCCAAGTCAACACAAAAACATTATTATCACCCCTATAAGGGCTCTGTGAATTTGGTTCACATCATTATTTGTACCAGAGTAATGAATATCCTGACTTCTAATAGCATAAAAGACAGATTTTTCCCTATGTTGTCTTATTTTATATAAAATGAATCATGCCATGTATACTACTTGTATTATTTGTATGGTCTATAGTGTATGGTTTGTTAAACATAATTTGTGAGATTAATCCATATAGTTCTTTGCAGTTGTATACATTTATTCTAATTTCTGGATATTGTTACATTGTATAAATATGCAAAAATTATACCAATCCATTCTGCTGTTGTTGTGCTAATGGTATTGTGTTGAAGGGTATTTGGTAGTTTTAGTTATTGTTGTTGTTTTTGTTACTGTAAACAGTGGTTCTGTGAAAATTAGTATACTTATCTTTTAATGAACAGATGTCCATGGGTCTATTGGGTATACAGAAAAAAGTTGAATTGTGGTGCCATAGAAAATGCATATACTTAGTAGACTCTGTCAAAGAGTTTTCCAAAGTTGTACCAATTTACTCTCCTACCAGTTATGTATATTTCTGACTGTCCCATATCTTTACAAATACTGGGTATTGCATTTTTCATTTTAATCATTCTGTTCATCTATGAGGGGTATTTCATTTGTGATTTTGATTTGCATATTCTTGTAGACTAATAGAATTAAGCTACTTAAGTAACTTTTAATCTAATTGTTGGTCACTTGAATATCCCTTTTTGTGAATAATCTATTTAAGACCTTCCCCCCCATACTTTATTTGGTTGATATTTAAATCACCACATAAAACCCCTATATCAGTCTGTGTTCAAGCCTGTGATATTCACTGTGGCTCAATGTTCAAGTTCAAGCATAAAACTACATTATTATATCCTCTACTGTAGCGGTGTCTAAGCACATAATGTTGAAACATGTGTTTTATTTTAAGTAGCTTTCATTTTGTTTTTCCTTTGTATCTCAGGGTATCATATTGATATATTTTTTTAAATTATACTTTATGTTAAAATGGGCGAAGGATATGAACAGAAACTTCTCAAAAGAAGATGTTTATGTGGCCAACAAACATGTGAAAAAAAGCTCCTCATCACTGTTCATTGGAGAAATGGAAATCAAAACCATTCTTCTTTAAGATTGCTTTGTCTATTCTTGGCCTTTAAAATTCCATATGAATTGGAACCAAAAAAAAAGCCCGCATTGCCAAGTCAATCCTAAGCCAAAAGAACAAAGCTGGAGGCATCATGCTACCTGACTTCAAACTATACTACAAGGCTACAGTAACCAAAACAGCATGGTACTGGTACCAAAACAGAGATATAGACCAATGGAACAGAACAGAGCCCTCAGAAATAATGCTGCAAATCTACAACTATCTGATCTTTGACAAACCCGACAAAAACAAGCAATGGGGAAAGGATTCCCTGTTTAATAAACGGTGCTGGGAAAACTGGCTAGCCACATGTAGAAAGCTGAAACTGGATCCATTCCTTATACCTGATATCAAAATTAATTCAAGATGGATTAAAGACTTACATGTTAGACCTAAAACCATAAAAACCCTAGAAGAAAACCTAGGCAATACCATTCAGGACATAGGCATGGGCAAGGACTTCATGTCTAAAACACCAAAAGCAATGGCAACAAAAGCCAAAATTGACAAATGGGATCTAATTAAACTAAAGAGCTTCTGCACAGCAAAAGAAACCACCATCAGAGTGAATAGGCAACCTGCAGAATGGGAGAAAATTTTTGCAACCTACTCATCTGACAAAGGGCTAATATCCAGAATCTACAATGAACTCAAACACATTTACAAGAAAAAAACAAACAACCCCATCAGAAAGTGGGCGAAGGATGTGAACAGACACTTCTCAAAAGAAGACATTTATGCAGCCAAAAAACACATGAAAAAATGCTCATCATCACTGGCCATCAGAGAAATGCAAATCAAAACCACAGTGAGATACCATCTCACTCCAGTTAGAATGGTGATCATTAAAAAGTCAGGAAACAACAGGTGCTGGAGAGGATGTGGAGAAATAGGAACACTTTCACACTGTTGGTGGGACTGTAAACTCATTCAACCTTTGTGGAAGTCGGTGTGGCGATTCCTCAGGGATCTAGAACTAGAAATACCATTTGACCCAGCCATCCCATTACTGGGTATATAACCAAAGGACTATAAATCATGCTGCTGTAAAGACACACACACACGTATGTTTATTGCGGCACTATTCACAATAGCAAAGACTTGGAACCAACCCAAATGTCCAACAATGATACTCTGGATTAAGAAAATGTGGCACATATACACCATGGAATATTATGCAGCCATAAAAAATGATGAGTTCATGTCCTTTGTAGGGACACGGATGAAGCTGGAAACATCATTCTCAGCAAACTATCGCAAGAACAAAAAACCAAACACTGCATGTTCTCACTCATAGGTGGGAATTGAACAATGAGAACACATGGACACAGGAAGGGGAACATCACACACCGGGGACTGTTGTGGGGTGAAGGGAGGGGGGAGGGATAGCATTAGGAGATATACCTAATGCTAAATGATGAGTTACTGGGTGCAGCACACCAGCATGGCACATGTATACATATGTAACAAACATGCACATTGTGCACATGTACCCTAAAACTTAAAGTATAATAAAAAAAAATTCCATATGAATTTTAGAAACAGCTTATTAATTTCTCTGGTACCCCCCCAAATTTCTAAGTTTTAAAAAATTATTGTATTGAGATTATGTTGAAGTTATAAATCAATTTATCATGTTAAATCATCCAATAAATGAATATGGTATTTATCTATTTATTGTCATCTTTGATTTAGGCATTAATATTGTGTCATTTTCAGAATAAAACATTGCTTTTTTCTGTTACAATAAAAATAAATTTTATTAAAGTTATTTTTCTCTTTGTTGCTGATATATAGAATAAAATTCCTCTTTTTATCTAGTAACCTTGATAAATTCAATTATTTAATTGAATAATTTTCTGTAGATTATTGTGAATTTTTTACATGCACATTTATCTTGTCTAAAATTACTGACATTTTCTATTTCTTTCTTTGCAATAATTACAACTTTTTGGTTGTTTTTCTTGTTTCATTGACCTGGTTAGAAACTCTTAAAGTACTGAATAAAAGGGGTAATTTTCACTCATGTTTCATTCCCAGTCTTAGGAGGAAAGCTATCAAAAGTTTATCATTAAAGATGTCTCTCTACAAAACAACTAGCTAATAACTCTATGACAGGAATAAACCTCACATATCAACATTAACCTTGAACATAAATGGCCTAAATTCTCCACTGAAAAAAAATATAGACTAAGAAACTGGATGAAAAAGAAAAGTCAATCTTCTGCTCCCTACAAGATATTATGCAGGCTTAAGGTAAAGGAGTGAAAGAAGATATATTAAACTGAAAACAAAAGTCTGCAGAATTGGCCATTTTTAGATCAGGTAAAACACTCTAAACCAACAACAGTAAAAGAAGACAAAGAACAGCATCATATAATGATAAAACGTTTAGCACAACAAGATTTAAATGTCCTAAACATATATCCATCCAACATCAAACACCCAGATTCATAAAACAAATACTGCTAGACATAAGAAAAGGGATTAAGAGCAATATATTAATAGTGGGGGATTTCAATGCCCCATTGTCAACACTAAACAGGTCATTAAGTTCAGATAGTCAACAAAGACACTCTAAACATAAAATAGATTCTAGACCAAATAGACTTAATAGACATTTCTAGAACATTCTACCTAACAACTGCAGAATATACAATTTTCTCTTCTGCACATGGAAAATTCTCCACTATTGACTATATGCTTGACCATAAAGCAAGTCTCAATAAACTAAAAACATGCAAAAAATCATATCAAGAATTTTCTTGGAACACGGTGAGAAGGCAATACCCAGAGGAGCTCTCAAAACTACAGAAATACATGGAAAGTAAATAACTTACTTCTGAATGACTTTTGTGTAAAAAGGAAAAATTTTAAGGCATAAGCAAGAAAATCCTTGAAATGAAAGAAAATAGAGACATAACATACCAAAAACTCTGGGATAAAGAAAAAGTAGTACTGAGGAAAGTTCATAGTGTTAAATGCCTACATCAAAAAGATAAAAAAAAATTGAATTAACAACCTAAAATCACATCAAAAGAAACTAGAAATGCAAGAAATTTTCAAACCTAAATCTGGCAGAATAGAAGAAACAGCAAAGATTAAAGCATAACTAAGTGAGATTGAGGCCAAAAAATCTATACAAATAATCAAAAGCCCCAAATTTTGTTTTTGAAAGGATAAACAAGATTGAGAGGCTACTAGCTAGTTTCAACAAGAAAAAAGAAGATTCAAACAGGCATAATCAGGAAAGAAAAAAAGTGACATTACAACAGATATTACTGAAATACCAAAGATTTTTTGAGATTACCGTGAACATTTCTGTGTGCACAAACTAGAAAACCCAGAGGAAGTGGATAAATTCCTGGAACATACAATTTCCCAAGATTGAACAAGGAAGAAATAGAAATCCTGAACAAACAATAATGAGTAATGAAATTGAATCAGTAATAAAACATTTTTAAACAAAAATAAGCTCATGGCAAGACTGAGTCACAGCTGTATTTTACTAAATGTACAAAGAAGGGATGGCACCAATCTTATTGAAACTATTCTAAAAAACTGAGGAGAAGCGATTTCTCCCTAACTCATTCTATGAAACCATTATTATCAGAATACCAAAATCAGGCAAGGACATAACAACAACAAAATCTTACAAGCCAATATTCCTGATGAACATAGATGCAAAAATCTTTGAAAGAATACTAGCAAACCAAATCCAACAGCACACCAAAAAGATAATTCATTGTAACCAAGTAGATTTTATTCCAGGGATGCAAGGATGTTTCAATTTTTGCAAATCAATAAATGTGAGTCATCACAAAAAAGAATTAAAAGCAAAAACCATATGATAGTTTTGATAGATGCAGAAAAATCATTCAATAAAATCTAACATCACTTCATGATAAAACCCCTTTACAAACTATGCATTGAAGGAACATACCTCAAAGTAATAAGAGCCATATATCACAAACTCACAACTAAGATCATATGGAAAGGGGAAAAGTTGAAAGCATTCCCCCTGAGAACTGAAACAAGACAAGGATATCTACTTTCACTACTCCTATTCAACACAGTATTAAAAGTCAGCCAGAGCAATCATGCAAGATAAATAAATAAAGGGCATCCAAATTGGGAAAGAGGAAGTCAAATTATCTCTGTTTGCTGATCACATAATCTTATCCCTAAAAAATTCTAAAAACCCTTCCAACAGACTGCTAGACTTGATAAACAATTTCAGCAAAGTTTCAGGATAGAAAATCAACGTACAAAAATGGCTAGCATTTCTATACACCAATAATATTTAGGCTGAAAACCAAATCAAGAACTCAATCCTCTTTACAATAGCCATAAAAAGATTGAAATGCCCAGGAATACATTTAACCAATTAGATAAAAGTCCTCTACAAGAACTACAAAATACTGATGAAAGAAATAGATGACACAAAAAATAAAAGAAAATCTCATGCTCATATATTGGAAGCATTCATATAATTAAAATGACCATACTGCCTGAAGCAATCTACAGATTCAACACAATTTCAATAAAATTACCAATGTCATTCTTCTTCACAGAATTAGAAAAAATAATTCCAAATTTCATATTGATTGAAAAAAGAGCCTGAATATTACAATTAATTCTAAGCAAAAATAAGAAAGCCAAATGCATCACATTACTTAACTTCAAATTATGCTACAAAGCTGTAGTAACTAAAACAGCATAGTACCAGTACAAAAATAGACACATAAATCAATGGAACAGAGTAGAGAACGTAGAAATAAAGTCACATACCTAAAACCAACTGATCTGACAAATTTGGAAAAAGTAAACAATGGGAAAAGGACACCCTATTCAGTAAATGATGCTGGGGAAATTGGCTAGCTATATACAATAATGCAAAAGAGTGAATCTGAACCCCTATCTCTTGCCACACAGGAAAATCAACTCAAGATGGATTAAAGACTTAAATGTAATACCTGAAAGTATTAAAGTCCTAGAAAAAACCCTATAAAAAAACTTTTCTGGATATTGGCCTAAGCTAAGAATTTATAACCAAGACCCCCAAAGCAAATGCAACTAAAATAAAAATAGGAAAATGGGCTTAATTAAACTACAAAGCTTCTGCACAGCAAAAGAATCAATGGAGTAAAGAGACAACCTACAGAATGGGAGAAAATATTTGCAAATTATGTTTCTGAAAAAGAATATTTGGAATCTACAATTAACTCAACTCAACAAGAAAAAAATAAACAATCCCTTTAAAAAGTGGGCAAATGACATAAACAGGCACTTCTCAAAAGAATACAAGGGGTCAAAAAACAAAAAATGTTCAATATCACTAATCATCATAGAAATACAAATGAAAACTACAATGAGATATCATCTTATGCCAGTCAGAATGGTTATTAGTAAAAAGTCAAAAATCAACTGAGGTTCATGTTGACACAGACCAAAGGGAACCCTTGACACTGTAGGTGAGTATATAAATTATTACAACCTCTGTTGAAAACAATATGGAGATTTCTCAAGGAACTAAAGATAGAATCACTATTCTACCCAGCAATCTCACTACTGGGCGTCTATCCAAAGGAAAAGAAATCAGTATATTAAAAAGTTGCCTGCACTTAAATGTTTATCACAGCACTTTGCACAATAGAAAAGTCATGGAATCAACTTAAGTGGCCATCAACAATTGATTCAATCAGGAAAATGTGGTGTATAGATAGATAGATATAGGTATATATAGATATATAGATATATACAGGTATATATGTATATCTATATATCTATGTATATAGATACATAGATATTCGCTGGGCGCGGTGGCTCATGCCTGTAATCCCAGCATTTCGAGAGGCCGAGGCGGGCGGATCACCTGAGGTCGGGAGTTTGAGACTAGCCTGGCCAACATGGAGAAACCCCGTCTCTACTAAAAAATACAAAATTAGCCGGGCATGGTGGCACATGCCTGTAATCCCAGCATTTCGAGAGGCCGAGGCGGGCGGATCACCTGAGGTCGGGAGTTTGAGACTAGCCTGGCCAACATGGAGAAACCCCGTCTCTACTAAAAAATACAAAATTAGCCGGGCATGGTGGCACATGCCTGTAATCCCAGCTCCTAGGGAGGATAAGGCAGGAGAATCACTTGAACCTGGGAGGTGGAGGTTGTGGTGAGCTGAGATTGCACCATTGCACTCCAGCCTGGGCAACAAGAGTGAAACTCTGCCTCAAAAAAATATATATATATATAGATATCATGGAATATTCTGTAGACATAAAAAAGTAAGGAATCGTGTCCTTTGCAGCAACATGAAGGAGCTGGTGGCCATTATCCTATGAAAAATTACTCAGAAACAGAAAATCAAATACAGTATATTCTCACTTATAACTGGGAGCTGAATAATAGTTCCATACAGACATAAAGATGGAAATAATAGGTACTGGGGACTCCAGAAGTGGAGAGGATGGAAAGGAGGGTGAGAGTTAAAACGATTATCAATTGGATACAATGTTCACTGTTTGGGTGATGAGTATACTAGAGGCTCCAGCCTCACCTTTATGTAATATATTCATGTAACAAACCTGAACATGTACCCTCCTGAATGTAAAAATAAATAAATATGATGTCTCTGGTAGATTTTATAAATATTTTTCATCAGCTAATTAAATTTCTTAAATTTTTAGTTTGCTGAAATTTTTTAAAAATCATGAATAGGTATTTAGCTAAATAATTTTTTGTTGACTCTATAGAGATACTCATATAATTATTCTTTTTTTATTAATGTGTGAATAACTTTAACTTTTTTAAATATTTTAAGTTCTAGGGTACATGTGCACAACGTGCAGGTCTGTTACATATGTATACATGTGCCATGTTGGTGTGCTGCACCCAGTAACTCGTCATTTACATTAGGTATATCTCCTAATGCTATCCCTGACCCCCTCCGCCCACCCCATGACAGGCCCCCATGTGTGATGTACCCCACCCTGTGTCCAAGTGTTCTCATTGTTCAATTCCTCCCTATGAGTGAGAACATGCAGTGTTTGGGTTTTTGTCCTTGCAATAGTTTGCTGAGAATGACGGTTTGCAACTTCACCCATGTCCCTCCAAAGACATGAACTCATCATTTTTTATGGCTGCATAGTATTCCATGGTGTATGTGTGCCACATTTTCTTAATCCGATCTATCATTGATGGAAATTTGAGTTGGTTCCAAGTCTTCGCTATTGTGAATAGTGCGGCAGTAAACATACGTGTGCATGTGTCTTTACAGCAGCATGATTTATAATCCTTTGGGTATATACCCATTAATGGGATGGCTGGGTCAAATGGTATTTCTAGTTCTAGATCCTTGAGAAATCGCCACACTTTCTTCCACAATGGTTGAACTAGTTTACAGTCCCACCAACAGTGTAAAAGTTTTCCTATTTCTCCACATCCTCTCCAGCACCTGTTGTTTCCTGACATTTTAATGATCACAATTCTAACTGGTGTGAGATGGTATCTCATTGCGGTTTTGATTTGCATTTCTCTGATGGTCAGTGATGATGAGCAGTTTTTCATCTGTCTGTTGGCTGCATAAATGTCTTCTTTTGAGAAGTGTCTGTTCATGTCCTTTGCCCAATTTTTGATGGGGTTGATTTTTTCTTGTAAATTTGTTCAAGTTCTTTGTAGATTCTGGATATTAGCCCTTTGTCAGATGGGTAGATTGCAAAAATTTTCTCCCATTCTGTAGGTTGCCTGTTCACTCTGCTGGTAGTTTCTTTTGCTGTGCAGAAGCTCTTTAGTTTAATTAGATCCCATTTGTCAATTTTGGCTTTTGTTGCCATTACCTTTGGTGTTTCAGTCATGAAGTCCTTGCCCATGCCTATGTCCTGAATGGTATTGCCTAGGTTTTCTTCTAGGGTTTTTATGGTTTTAGGTCTAACACGTAAGTCTTTAATCCATCTTGAATTGATTTTTCTATAAGATGTAAGGAAGGGATCCAGTTTCAGCTTTCTACATATGGCTGGCCAGTTTTCCCAGCACCATTTATCAAATAGGGAATCCTTTCCTCATTTCTTGTTTTTGTCAGGTTTGTCAAAGATCAGATGGCTGTAGATGTGTGGTATTATTTCTGAGGGCTCTGTTCTGTTCCATTGGTCTATATCTCTGTTTTGGTACCAGTACCATGCTGTTATGGTTACTGTAGCCTTGTAGTATAGTTTGAAATCAGGTAGCGTGATGACTCCAGCTTTGTTCTTTTTGCTTAGGATTGTCTTGGCAATGCAGGCTCTTTTTTGGTTCCATATGAACTTTAAAGTAGTTTTTTCCAGTTCTGTGAAGAAAGTCATTGGTAGCTTGATGGGGATGGCATTGAATCTATAAATTACCTGGGGCAGTATGGCCATTTTCATGATATTGATTCTTCCTATCCATGAGCATGGAATGTTCTTCCATTTGTTTGTGTCCTCTTTTATTTCGTTGAGCAGTGGTTTGTAGTTCTCCTTGAAGAGGTCCTTCACATCCCTTATAAGTTAGATTCCTAGGTATTTTATTCTCTTTGAAGCAATTGTGAATGGGAGTTCACTCATGATTTGGCTCTCTGTTTGTCTGTTATTGGTGTATAGGAATGCTTGTGATTTTTGCACATTGATTTTGTATCCTAAGACTTTGGTGAAGTTGCTTATCAGCTTAAGGAGATTTGGGCTGAGATGGAGTTTTCTAAATATACAATCATGTCATCTGCAAACAGGTACAATTTGACTTCCTCTTTTCCTAATTGAATATCCTTTATTTCTTTCTCCTGCCTGATTGCCCTGGCCAGAACTTCCAAACTATGTTGAATAGGAGTGGTGAGAGAGGGCATCCCTGTCTTATTCCAGTTTTCAAAGGGAATGCTTCCAGGTTTTGCCCATTCAGTATGATATTGGCTGTGGGTTTGTCATAAATAGCTCTTATTATTTGGAGATATGTCCCATCAATACCTAGTTTATTGAGAGTTTTTAGCATGAAGTGTTGTTGAATTTTGTCAAAGGCCTTTTCTGCATCTATTGAGATAATCATGTGGTTTTTGTCTTTGGTTCTGTTTATATGATGGATTACATTTATTGATTTGTGTATGTTGAACCAGCCTTGCATCCCAAAGATGAAGCCCACTTGATCATGGTGGATAAGCTTTTTGATGTGCTGCTGGATTCTGTTTGCCAGTATTTTATTGAGGATTTTTGCATCGACGATCATCAGGGATATTGGTCTAAAATTCTCTTTTTTTGTTGTGTCTCTGCCAGGCTTGGGTATCAGGTTGATGCTCGCCTCATAAAATGAGTTAGGCAAGATTCCCTCCTTTTCTATTGATTAGAACAGTTTCAGAAGGTATGGTACCATCTCCTCTTTGTACCTCTGGTAGAATTTGGCTGTGAATCTGTCTGGTCCTGGATTTTTTGGTTGGTATGCTATTAATTATGCCTCAATTCCAATTTCAGAGCCTTTTATTGGTTTATTCATGGATTCATCTTCTCCCTGGTTTAGTCTTGGGAGGGTGTATGTGTCCAGGAATTTATCCATTTCTTCTAGATTTTCTAGTTTATTTGCGTAGAGGTGTTCATAGTATTCTCTGATGGTAGTTTGCATTTTTGGGGATTGGTGGTGATATCCCCTTTATCATTTTTTATTGCATCTATTTGATTCTTCTCTCTTTTCTTCTTTATTAGTCTTGTTAGCAGTCTATCAATTTTGTTGATCTTTTCTAAAAACCAGCTCCTGGTTTGACTTTTTGAAGGGTTTTTTTGTGTCTCTTATCTCCTTCAGTTCTGCTCTCATCTCAGTTATTCCTTGCCTTCTGCTAGCTTTTGAATGTGTTTGCTCTTGTTTCTCTAGTTCTTTTAATTGTGATGTTACTGTGTCAATTTTAGATCTTTCCTGCTTTCTCTTGTGGGCATTTAGTACTATAAGTTTCTCTCTACACACTGCTTTTAATGTGTCCCACAGATTCTGGTATGTTGTGTCTTTGTTCTCATTGGTTTCAAAGAACATCTTTATTTCTGCCTTCATTTCGTTATGTACCCCGTAGTCATTCAGGAGCAGGTTGTTCAGTTTCCATGTAGCTGAGCGGTTTTGAGTGGGTTTGTTAATCCTGCATCTAGTTTGATTGCACTGTGGTCTGAGAGACAGTTTGTTATAATTTCTGTTCTTTTACATTTGCTGAGGAGTGCTTTACTTCCAACTATGTAGTCAATTTTGGAATAAGTGTGATGTGGTGCTGAGAAGAATGTATATTCTGTTGGTTTGGGGTGGAGAGTTCTGTAGATGTCTATTAGGTCTTCTTGGTGCAGAGCTGAGTTTAATTCCTGGATATCCTTGTTAACTTTCTCTCTCATTGTTCTGTCTAATGTTGAGAGTGGGGTGTTAAAATCTCCCATTATTATTGTGTGGGAGTCTAAGTCTCTTTGTAGGTCTCTAAGGACTTGCTTTATGAATCTGGGTACTCCTGTATTGGATGCATACATATTTAGGTAGTTAGCTGTTCTTGCTGAATTGATCCCTTTACCATTATATAATGGCCTTCTTTGCCTCTTTTGATCTTTGTTGGTTTAAAGTCTGTTTTGTCAGAGACTAGGATTGCAACCTCTGCCTGTTTTTGTTTTCCATTTGCTTGGTAGATCTTCCTCCATCCCTTTATTTTGAGCCTACGTGTGTCTCTGCATGTGAGATGGGTCTCCGTAATACAGCACACTGAAGGGTCTTGACTATCCAATTTGCCCGTCTGTGTCTTTTAATTGGAGCATTTAGCCCATTTACTTTTAAGGTTAATCTTGTTATGTGTGAATCTGATCCTATTATTATGATGTTAGCTGCTTATTTTGCTTGCTAGTTGATGCAGTTTCTTCGTAGCATTGATGTTCTTTACAATTTGGCATGTTTTTGCAGTGGCTGGTACTGGTTGTTCCTTTCCATGTTTAGTGCTTTTTTGAGGAGTTCTTGTAGGGCAGGCCTGGCGGTGACAAAATTTCTCAGCATTTCCTTGTCTGTAAAGGATTTTATTTCTCCTTCACTTCTGAAGCTTAGTTTGGCTGGACATGAAATTCTGGGTTGAAAATTCTTTTCTTTAAGAATATTGAATATTGGCCTCCACTCTCTTCTAGCTTGTAGTGTTTCTGCCGAGAGATCCAGTTAGTCTGATGGGCTTCCCTTTGTGTATAACCCGACCTTTCCGTCTGGCTGCCCTTAATATTTTTTCCTTCATTTCAACTTTGGTAAATCTGACAATTATGTGTCTTGGAGTTGCTCTTCTCGAGGAGTATCTTTGTGGCATTCTCTGTGTTTCCTGAATTTGAATGTTGTCCTGCTTGCTAGCTTGGGGAAGTTCTCCTGGATAATATCCTGAAGACTGTTTTCCAACCTGTTTCCATTCTCCCTGTCTCTTTCAGGTACACCAATCAGACTTAGATTTGGTCTTTTCACATAGTCCCACATTTCTTTGAGGCTTTGTTTCTTTTTACTCTTTTCTCTAAACTTCTCTTCTTGATTCATTTCATTCACTTGATCTTCAATCACTGATACCCTTTCTTCCACTTGATGGAATCAGCTACTGAAGCTTGTGTATGCGTCATGTAGTTCTTATGCCATGGTTTTCAGCTCCATCAGGTTATTTAAGGTCTTCTCTTGCTGTTTATTCTAGTTAGCCATTCATCTAATCTTTTTTCAAGGTTCTTAGCTTCTTTGCGATGGGTTCTAACATCCTCCTTTACCTTGGAGAAGTTTGTTATTACCGATCATCTCAATTCTTCTTCTCTCAACTCGTCAAATTCATTCTCCATCCAGCTTTGTTCCATTGCTGGCGAGGAGCTGCATTCCTTTGGAGGAGAAGAGGCACTCTGATTTTTAGAATTTTCAGCTTTTCTGCTCTGGTCTCTCCCCTTCTTTGTGGTTTTTATCTACCTTTGATCTTTGATGATGGTGACGTACAGATGGAGTTTTGGTGTGGATGTCCCTTCTTTTTTGTTAGTTTTCCTTCTAACAGTCAGGACCCTCAGCTGCAGGTCAGTTGGAGCTTGCTGGAGGTCCACTCCAGACCCTGTTTGCCTGGCTATCACCAGCAGAGGCTGCAGAACAGCAAATATTGCAGAATGGCAGTTGTTGCTCCCTGATCCTTCCTCCGGAAGCTTTGTCTCAGAGGGGCTGTATGAGGTGTCAGTCAGCCCCTTCTGGGAGATGTCTCCCAGTTAGGCTACTCGAGGGCCAGGGACCCACTTGAGGCAGCAGTCTGTCCATTCTCAGATCTCAAACTCCCTGCTGGAAAAACCACTACTCTCTTCAAAGCTGTCAGACAGGGACGTTTAAGTCTGCAGAAGTTTCTGCTGCTTTTTGTTCAGCTATTCCCTGCCCCCAGAGGTGGAGTCTACAGAGGCAGGCAGGCCTCCTTGAGCTGTGGTGGGCTCCACCCAGTTCAAGCTTCCCAGCTACTCTGTTTACCTACTCAAGCCTCAGCAATGGCGGATGCCCCTCCCCCAGCCTTGCTGCTGCCTTGCAGTTGGATCTCAGACTGCCGTGCTAGCATTGAGAGAGGCTCCGTGGGCATGGGACCCTCCGAGCCAGGCATGGGATATAATCTCCTGGTGTGCCGTTTGCTAAGACCATTGGAAAAGTGTAGTATTAGGGTAAGAGTGTCCCGATTTTCCAGGTACCATCTGTCATGGCTTCCCTTGGCTAGGAAAGGGAATTCTCCAATTCCTTGCATTTCCTGGGTGAGGCGATGCCCCACCCTGCTTTGGCTCACACTCCGTGGGCTGCACCCACTGTCCGACAAGCCCCAGTGAGATGAACCCAGTACCTCAGTTGGAAATGCAGAAATCACCCATCTTCTGCACTCAACCTGGGAGCCATAGACTGGCACTGTTCCTTTTTGGCCATCTTGGACCCTCCCTTTTTTTCTTGTTTGTTTTTTTTTGGAGATGGAGTTTTGCTGTTGTTGCCCAGGTTGGAGTGCAATGGCATGATCTTGGCTTACTGCAGCTTCCACCTCCTGGCTTCAAGCGATTCTCCTGCCTCAACCTCCCAAGTAGCTGTGATTACAGTGAATAACTTTAACTTTTGAATGCTAAAATATCCCAAATTTTTTGAAAAAACCTGAATTGATGATGATGATGTAATATCTAATTAATATCATTCTGAATTTGTGTTTTTTAATATTATCTTTAGGATTTTAAATCTATGATTATGTTAGACTATTACATTATTTTCTTTTAGTTATCTTGTCTAGTTTTGGTATCTAGGATATGTTTGTTTCGTAAAAAGAGCTGGGATGTTTTTCCCTCTCCTCTGGTAAGTGTTATGTAATAGGAGTATTATTTTTGTCTAAAACGTTTGAAAAAATTGACCATTAAAGTTATCTCGGCCTGAGATCTTTGAAAGTTTTACATAATGATTTTACTTTCTTTTACATTTCTGTATTTTTAAAAATACATTTCATTGAAGTTTAATATTCAACTTGGAAATATAAATTTCATACATAAATACCTACATATTGTTTAAAAATTGTAGTAAAAACATTTAACATGAGATCTACTTTCTTAACAATACAGTATTGCTAAACATAGGTGCACTGTTGTTCAGTAGATCTCTAGAACTTATTCATGTTGTATAACTTTATACCACTTGAAGAGCAGCTCCCCATTCTCCCATTCCCAGCCCCTGACAACCACCTTTCCACTCTCTGCTTCTATGAATTTGTTTATTTTTGATACTTCATATGAGTTAACTCACCAGTGTCCATCTTTCTGTGACTGATTTTGCTCACCATATTTTCCCAGTTTATCCATTTGTTGCATATGACAGAATTTCCCATTTTTTAAGGCTAATATTTTATTGTGTGTATATATATCACATTTTCTTTATCCATTCATGCAACAATATTGTTTCTAATATTTTGTCTATTGTGAATAATCCTGTAATGAACATGCTTGTACTACTATCTCTTTCAGACTCTAATTTCAATTATTTTGTGTATATATATTCAGAAGTGTGACTGCTGAGTCATATGGTGGTTCTATTTTTAAGCTTTTGAGAAACCTCATACTGTTTTCCATAGTGGCTGCACTAATTTACATTCTCATCAGTGGTTTTAGTTTCATGGATAGATATTGGGTTATTAAATTTTTTTTTGTATTTCCTGTCTCTTTAAGTGGTTAATTCATTGAGAAAAGTATTGATTTAATCCAAACTGTCAAATTTATTGGCATAAAGGTGTTAATAGTAACCTCGTATATTTAAACTGTATAGAATTAGTTGTTACCTTTTTTAGTCTCTCTCTCTCTCTATATATATATAATATACACCATTTGAACTGTAACCTTTTATATATATGTATATGTTTATAAATGACTATTGTTAATTTCTAGATATATATGTGTATATTAATGTTGAGTTCAAATTATATACAGTCTGCATATATACTATATATATTCATATATATACAAAGACAGAATATATATATATATATATATATATATATTCTTGATCAGTCTTGAAGTTTTTTTTTCCTTGATCAGTCTTGATAGTTGTTTTTAATCATTTTGAAAAACCAACAACATTCAGCTCTTTTTGATTGTTATTAATTTTCAGATAGTTGGAAAGTTTCTTTGTCATTGATTTAAAGCTTAGTTCCTGTGCAGACATTCTCTAAGTGATTTAAATCTTTTAACATTTTCTGAGACTTTCTTATGGTGCCGCAAGTGGTTGACTATGGTACATATTGTATGCATGTGTGAAAAGAATATGGTCTGTTTTTGTTATGTTGGTCTTTTTTACATGTCTATAAGACCAACTATATTAATTAATCCTCTTTTATCCTATTTTTTTAAATCGTTTAGAATATATGTTAAATTCTTCCCTAGGATTATCCTTTTGTCTGTTTACTCTCTCAATTTTAGGTATATGTACTTTAAATCCTCTTAATGAGTTGCTACAGATAAAAAATGTCCACGTCTTCCTAGAACATTGATTGTTTGGGTACTGAAACATCTCCCTCTTTATTACTACTAACACTTCTTGTATTAGAACCCACTTTTATATTAGTTGTTAATATTTGAGTGTTACGTATTTTCTTAACATTTCTCATCTAAATTTTCTGTCATTATATTTAATTTTTGTAAACAGCACAGTTTTAAAAATTCAGTATTTGATTGAAATATTCAATTGATTTATACAAACGTAATTACTGACAGAGTTGGCTTTATATCTACCATTTAACATGTGTTTTAAATTTGATTTTTTAAAATATATTTTTTCTTTTTGGTCTGTTTTAGATTATTTTTGGATTGAATTTTGGTGTTGGTTTGTTAACCTACATTATCTTGACTAATACACAGTTGATTATTTCCTCATGCGGTTTGTAAATTTCTTTGATAGATTATTTTGCCTTAGTAGTAGAGATTTGTGACCATGCTTATACCAGATTATGGCAACAGTGCTGCAGAGAGATTTTTGGTTAGTTTCTTCTGGAAATGCCAGGGTTTTCAACAATTTTGGTGTTTTTTTTTCTTTTCTTTTTTTTTGGTGCCAGTCGTAACATTAACATGTCAGTTTTGGAATACCTTCATGATGAGAGTAGAGATTTAGGCTTGGAGATTTCTTGCCTTTTGGGAGATATTTTTTTTCCTACCTAGAGCTCTAGGCAGAGACTTTATGCTTTCTTACTGCCTTGCCTTAGACAATGATTTTCTAGTATAATTAGATTCTCTAATCTTCTTTTCTTCGAAGGGGCACTGCTTCCATGATCTCAACTTATGCAGATGTTTTAGGGACATCCTTACCTTCCCTAGTCCAAAACTTCATTTTCTGTTTTGCTGTGAATATTAAATTATAAGTTTCCATTTTTAAGGCATGCTTTGGCTTTAATTTTTCTATTTCTGGCACTTAATAATTTCAACTCTTTTAAGCTCAAATGTATTATTGTTTGTTTCCTTCCTATGTGTTTGTAGTGAGAGTGGGTCCATGTTAGTCTGACATTTGCTGGGACCCAGTTTCATTTTATGTAATGCTTATCCCTAGAACATAAGTATTAGTAAGCTTAACTTTCAGTTAAGAAAAGTGTTGTTTTAGAGATGTTCATTGCTCAATCAAGACTTCTCAGCTTGTAGGTGTGTAGAATATTAATTTGTTTCCATTCTGGGCTGGCTTTAAAGCCCCTCTCTTTCGAAAGAGCAAGAAAGAGGGTTCAATTTCCGATTAGCATATTTTACTTGGAATATGTGCTTCAGACTGTCAATGATTTGGATAATACCCAGCTTCTATAAGATGGGACTTTTCTGAACCACTGCCTTAACAAACTAGTGATGGTGAATTGTTCTTAATTTTGACTCAACTTCAGTTTCCCTGGACATTGTAGTTCATAATAAATATTAGGAATTTCCTGTTATTTGTGAAACAACAGTCATGGGTCTTGGTTGTCACTGTATAGTTTCCTACTCTGTACACCCACAGTGTTTTATTTATTTTTGGGTGATATTACTTACTAAATTTTTCAGTTACAGGTTTTTGTTTACCCAACTGTCCTTATTTCCCAAAGTAGACTAACAGCTTCTAGAGGATGAGAACCTGGCTGATTATCATAGTAACTTTTTATTCCTTAAACACCTAGAAGAAAACTTTTGTTGTGTGTGCCATCCAGTGGTACGAGTGTTTGCTTCAGACTGACATAGCTGAAACCCACACCAGGAGTTATCCCTAGTTGATGGAAATTATCTCTGCCAAGATTATTCCCCCATCCTGGGAAAATCCACATCCAATAATTGGTTGATCTGAGGGTACAAGGGTCCAGCTCCCATGCCTCTACTGGGACATCTCTGAAGGGCTATCCTAGAATCAGAAAACCCATTAGATTGGCTGAAGCCCCTGTTGTTCTTGCATTCCAGTTGAGTTGGTCCGTCTGCCCAGTCATGATGCTGTCAGTAACAGACCCCAATAACCTTTCTGGTACTCTAAACTCAGAGTCTTAGAATCTGACTCCCAGGACAACTGACCAAAGACAGCATTGTTTAGATGGGAGATTCAATTAAATGTTTTACTTGAGTTGGATCCATTTGAATGATTCTGGACTGTAAAGGCTCATAGAAAAAAATATAGATTAATAATCTATAAATCCAGGTATCTATTCTTCACTGAGAAGACACTTTAATTTGGCTTCCTCCTGTTGCTACTATGATACTGAGTTACTTGCTACATATTTGGGGTATTGGATGCCTAAAATTATTATTGTAAAAATGTTATCATGAATTATTGATGCACACTTACTTATTTCATTTATTTTTCAAAATAAATGGTAAGATTCCCTATGTTTACATTTGGAGAACTCAGCATCAGCTACACCTGAGGCATAGAACACATAGATGCATCATTGTTACTCCCATTTGACAAGCAAACATTAACTATACTGATATCTTAAATTTCTTGCAATTTCAATTTTTATATCTAAATTTGGAATTTCCTTCTAAACTGTAATTTTCCAAGATAAGATAAGTTTATTTTTACTACAATATCCCCCTTGTGACTAACAAGACATTCTTCATGGGGCTGATGCATGATAGAATTTTAATTAATTGAGATGTTGATAGATCATCTTACACAGTATTTATGAAAAAAGTATTCAATTGAAAAAAAAAGATGACCCCCCATTTAATAATAAATAACATTTTAATGATTCAAGTTATTAGGCCATTTTCACAATGATAGTTATTCAAAGTAGACCAAACTGAGTTTAAAAATTAATTGAAGTTCATTTTCTTCTGTAAAAGTGTTTGTCAAAGTTGGAAGTTGGTTGTGTATGGGTGTGAGTGTACATGCAGGGCATACAACATGGCTGAGACAGCTGGTTAAGTATGTTTTTAATGACCTATGAAGATAAATTCTCTATATCACAAAAGTGTTGTTTGATGACAGATTCATGTATATATTCAGAAAACTTAGCTTTGGCAATTTCCTATGGGTATTATTCATCAAGCAATATATGAATTGTACACTATAGGAAGATAAACAGAGCGAGTTCAATGTTTTGGCCAAAGAATGCAATGTGGAGTCAGGACTAAAGGAGAGAAAAAAATACCACTACACGAGAGTTCCAGTTTGAGTAACATAGCAAATTACCTGTCAGTTCAAACAATGCCCTATGGCAGAAAAGTTTGTAGTGATTTCACTCATTCTTTGGGCTTAGCTATTTGGGGGATGCCAGAAAGCACCAGACATAGTTCAATCTTCTTAGGACAAAGGAACCAGCCAAACAACTAGCAGATACATAGGAATAAATGCTATTGCTCAGGTCATTAGTGACAGTTCTGTATAGCCTTTGTGGACCCGATTCCAGAAATAAATAAGTTCACAAATGGAAGGTGGTTAGAAATACTTCCTGGAGGATTTTTTATATTTAATAAACTTTATATTTTAGAATAATTTTGGATTTTTAGAAAAGCTGCAAGATTATAACAGAGTTTCCACATACCCCACAGCCAGTTTCATAGTTAATATTTTCAATAAATGTTTGAAAATAAGGTGTTTCTGCATAGACATATGGGAAGAAGAAAGATACTTATAGCATTCACAACACTGAGAGAGGACCCCGACATAAATTAGATCCTCAATAAATATTTCTGATGCGAACAAATAAAATGTAGATTGTGCTCCATTATTACAAGGCCTTTGATACCCAGGTGAGGTAAGATGTAATAAATCCTGTAGGCAATGGTAAACTATACTTTCAAGGATAATTTGATACCCAGAAAAAAAACAGAACTTAAAAATTTTTGAAATAATTACAACATTTATATTTATCTTGGAAAAAAACAATAATGATGATGACAACAAAAACCCCAAAACTGAGTTCATGTTCTGACCCTCAAAAGACCAAAAGTTTTACTTCTTTGTTCCACAAATCATAGGCGTAGTATGTGTAATCAAAGTTAAACCCAGTTAATCCCAAATAGGAATGAATTATAATTTGAGTTTATTTTCTAATGGTCAGTACAGTCCAGATGAAGAATACATATATTTCATATAGTTTGTTTTCAGTTCATTAACAAAGTGGACATTTGGAATTTGTGTTGGCTTTCCTAAGTCAAAAAAGATAGTATTCTATATAGTGCAGTTTTACGGTCATTCACATGTCTTCATAGACATCAAATGTTCCCCCAACCAGTGTGTGAGGTTATACCAAGGGTGAGCTTTTCATTTTTCATTTGGGTTTAGTATTGCTTCTAGCCCATAGTAAAACTCTGATATCCAAAAAAAAAAAAAAAAAAAAAAAAAAGGGAGAGAAGAAGCCATTAACACCACATAGAAAGAAGTCATGTAATTTTGTCATTTAACATTGGGGAAAATCAGGTTCTTTATGTGTAAAATGAGATATTGTAATAATTAAGCAAAATAACACATTTAAAGCATCAAGCACACTGCCTATAACAGAGTAGCTGCTTACCTTCTATTAGGTTACCTCTTCTTCATCTTCATTACCCTTCAATATTGCTTTTCATGACTGGACATTTACTTCTCAGAAGAGAGTGCATTTCTGTGAGGAAACTTGTTGTCTCGTTACCTGTCCACATTTTAGGGACTGAACTACTTAGAGTGTAAAAACTCTTTGTTGGGGCCTGGTGAGAGGGGGATAATTAGGTCCTACATCAGGTCATGCTAAGCACATGAAAACAGAAAGCAGAAACCCTGCATCTAAGAGCTGGATTATATTAGGTTCCCCTCTGCTGAGAAAAGAATGAGAATGGCTAGCTGCCAGAACTATTTTCTTTCATGGTTCCCAAGAAAGATGTACACAAAGACGAAGAGGCCAGGCAAATCCTACACCATTTGTTACTGTAAGTATCCCCTCTCCCCCACCCCTTGCAGGCTCCTGGTGAGAGATGCTTGGCCAAGTGGAACTTGCAAGAACACTCCTAATGAGACTAAGGGGCTTCCTTTCCCATGGGAGTTGGCCTGGTTTCTGATGGCAATGGCTTTCTGCATCCTCCAAGAATTTAAAAAGGATTAATGTTGGAACAAAGAAGGTCAGGCAGCCTTTGTTGCTCAAGGCCCATGTAATTAAACAACTCTATGGAAGAGCAAAAGGGGAGATCCTTAATAAAAAAAAAAGTGAAAAAGAGAGATCTTCCACCAAACACCCTATCCCTAGCACTATGACCAAAATCTGACACTCCAGTATTCCTCCTCTATCCACCTGGACTTCACATTAGTTCCTTCATGTGCCCTCCTCCTATTACTAGCATAACAATCGGTGCTTAGGTTACGCTGGCTCTTTAGCTTTCCATATTTAATTGGCACAATTTCCCCAACATTTCTCCATGTGATTCTTGCTTTCTATTTTTGTAGCATTCATGCTAGCCTGGCATTAGATGTAAAAGCTTCCTAACCCCATCATTTCAGAGTTAACCTTAGAGCCTCGACTAGTGCTTTACATATAGGCACTAGTCTAGGTGCTAAGATTCTCAATTAATATTTGTTACATGAATGAATGAATGCATACCCTTCACTCTATTCTAATCAAGGTTCTTTTTCCCTGTGTGAGCAATATATTAAACACATAGCTTTGATTCTCCAAAGTTAGGAATATTTTTATTTTCATCCTATTCCATCCCCTTTAATCACATTTTGAAACTAAACACAGCCGTGTTTCCCCAGATACCCTACCTAATACCACTAAATTGACCAGCCCTACGTTTTCTGCTCTTTTACTCCCCTCTCTGGAATTTCTTTTTACTATCTTCCTTCACATCAAGGTATTCCTGTGAAAATTATTTTCATGTGTTTAAAACTTGCATCTGTATCAAACACAAATAATTCAAGAAAAATTATATTTTATTCTTATCTTTAGCCCTCTTAACATATAGCATGGTACCTTATACACTTACTAGCTACATAGTAAATATTCATTTAATCAATATCAATTTCAAAGACCTCATTAAAAATCTTGGCATATACACAGAACACTGAAATAAAGACACTATATAATACACATTTTCTGTGATTTATAGTGATTGGCAAAAAAGAGAGACATCAATATGGACTGAAGTCACAGAATGAGTTTCCTGGGAGAGATGCTTCTTGATATGACCCTAGAAGGTAACACTCTCTTTTTGCTAAGGAATCAGCCAATTCATATGGTAATATTATTCTACTTCATGAATGACTATGTTCACGCAGCATAGGAAGATTCAGAATTGAAAAGATCTATAGGCATTTAGAGAATATGGGAGGAAATGAAGAAAGAGAGAAGTCAGCACTATCACAAGGTCCATGTAGGGAGAAGGAATCCAGGTGCCCACAAAGAGAGAATCCTGGACAGGAATTTGAGGTTTTGCCATCTCCATCAAGCTACACCATCACCTGGGCTTTACTTGTCTCATTTGAACAACAAATTTGTTTAACTGAATGGTCTGTAGGTCTTTCAGCTGTAATAGAGCTGGTATTTCCTGATTCAAACAGCAGGCAGATAGAGAGCTTAAGAGAAAACCACCCCAGGTTTTATCTACAAGGGCCAATTAAAGACAAATTAGAGTCGTAGAAAGTCTTTCACCCCTTCCGAAGTACTCTGAACATTTCCACACTCTTGAGACTCTTGATATATATAGTCTGGAAGTGACTGAAGGTTTAAACCTTTATTTGCTGTTAACACATACTGCCTAAGAAATAAAATGATCCCTAAGTATGATTTCTGTGTATAAACTCCTTGTAGCTATTATTGAGCTCGCCAAAGATTCTCCAAACTTCTATTAAAATATCCATAGTATTCTTCAGAGCTTAAATTGAGCGGTGATTTTATTTCAGGCTGATCCTATAAACCACTTTTCTTCAAAGATTCTCATGTTGTTGCTAAAAATGAAAGCCATTCAAACGAGCAGTGATTGAAACAGTGAGAAAGAAGGGGAAAAATCAATACCGCATTTTCCAGGGCACTATCTCTGCTTTTGAAAAGAGACCATTAATAATGTACTTATGCGAGAGGCAGCCAGTTGCTCAAAGTGCATTCAGTGGTGAGCTGAAAGGACAGATTTCTGGGAAGCCTCTCAAGAGAGAGATTGCTGAGAAGTCAAAGCTCACTGGTGGAATCTGCACCAAACTAACTCAAGACACACTCAAGATCTGGAGCTAAGTGGACTGCTTTGCAGCCTGGGAAATGCTTCCTCTTGTAACTCACCTGCGCATCAGTGGAGACAAGGCTAAGAGTGGGGTAAAGCAAACAGGAAAAAATAAGCATCAGTTCCCAGTGACTCATGTGCTTATTGTGTCTCCCAGTCTGATCTGTTAAATCAAGACCAAACTCAGCAGCCAACCTAAGTCCTCAGTAATGGGGTGACCATGATTGCCTTTCTAGGCTTCACTTCCATTTCTCTCCAGTGTTCTCCTTCTGCTCCAGGCTGTTTAGTAGGCACAAAACCAGAGAAGTTCTAGATGAGAAAAAGTCTGTGGTTATACTTGAAATCTGAGAGGTTTTGGAGTGAAACATGTTTTGTAATTGCTAATTGATATCTCTCTTCATATGAGGGAATTTCAGAAAACCTATATTTAAAAAATATTCTGACTTATTAAGCAGCAGGAAGGACTCCAATATGGAAAGAAGATGCCAAATAATAGTGGTAAAAAGAGAAATATTTCAGGAAAGTAGAGAGGGATTAAAGCCAAGATGAAGGGTGAAAACCTGTCCTAGGTAGAAGAATGATTAGTACAAATTTATGGTCACAAGAGGTATAAAACAGACCTAGACTGAACAGAATGCAAGGTTCTATGTGCTACAGAGTGATAAAGTAGATTGAAAGATGCCAAAGAATGCCAGAGCCCCTGTTACTGGCACAGAATAGAGTGATATGCAGTGGGTGTGTCCATTTCCTTCTGAGATTTGAGAATACTCTGATGTGCGTAACTGAGAGGTGAGTGCCCTGTCTTCCTGTAGCACATAACTAACCCATGAAATTCTTTGAGAAACCGTCAGGCACATCAGTGGATACATTTTTCTTTTGGCTGTTTGAAATGCAAAAGCCTTCAATATCTCTTAGTTTGGCAGTAATAGATAATAGCCATTAACCTGGGCCACAGATGTAAAATGTCCTCGAGTTCAAATTTTGCACAGCTCTTGCTTAGTCATTTGGCTCACTTTCTGTCAATTTCTTGACCTCTTTGGGTCTTAGTTTTTTCAGTGCGAAATGGATATGATATTAGTACCCAGTTTATGTAATTGTTAATAGGAGTAAATGAGTTAATGTTGGCTCGTATGTCCATCTGCCAATTAACGTGTTTAAAAGCTGTACTCCTGATATCTTCTACCTTTACCCCAGGGAAATTGGCTTCTCCTGTATTCGTGTACACCTCAGTTAATGACAACTCATCTCTCCCAGGTGTTCGAGGCAAAGTATACACAACAACAGACAAACAAAACTAGCATTGAGCTTCACCTTCAAAATACACCTAGAATTTAACCACTGATACTATTCTGCTCCAAGCCATAATCCTCTCTTGCCAGTATTTCTGCAAGTCTCCTCATTACTCTGCTTCTGCTCTTGCCAGCGTATTATCTGGCCTTAATGCAGCAGGTAAAATGATGATGTTAAAACGCGTCAAATCTTGTCACTCTGCTTAACAACCTCCAGTGGGTTGCCATTTTTAATTCAATAAAAGGCAAGGTCATTTGTTATGTCCCCACATTTATTTTCTGATCCTCTGTTTTTCTGTCTTTTCTTCTTTAGCCATATGGGCTTCTTTCCTGTTCATTGAATAAACTGGGCACACTCTTGCCTCAAGGCCTTCATACTTTCATGTCTCCTTGCCTAAAATTCTCTTCATACAAGTCACCGTGTCTATAATATATCTGCATGCAATCTATTTCACCATCCTTAGATGGTTACTCAAAAATTACTTTCTAGGTGAGTTTTTCCCTGTCTACCCATTGAAAATTTGAAACCTACCCCACCCATCATTAAACAATATAGGTCTTGCACGGGTATAACTTTTCCTTCTTCTTACTTATTACCAATGTAATGTGTACTCAACTCATTGTCTCTTTTCCCTACTAAAATAATTGCAGGTAATTTTGTTTATTATTTTCACTGCTGTATGCTCAGTGACAAAAAGAGCTGGCAAATAGCGAGTGCTTGATAAATATTTGCACAGACATATGTGCATGTATGTGTATACACACATACATTGTTTCCTAGCACAATATCTGACATATGTAAGAGTTCAATAAATTTTATGTATTATATTAAAATTTGCTCCTTGGGCTGCTACTAGATATTCCATGATTAAGAAATTTCAAAAGTATTTGGAAATGCTGGATTAAACAAAGTTATGCTGCTTTATTATCTTAGTATTGATGGCAGGATCTCTCTGCATTTTTATTATGGGGATAGAAATCTACAAATTAGGGATATGTGAGTCAGCCTTTCTGAAGCTTCTGTAAGCACAGAAACCTTTGTGAGTATAGCTTCTCATAGGATTTGTGATCTATTGGTCATACTCTGAAATGCTGCTGTAGCAACTTTGGAGTTATGCATAAGAAATGGTAGTGAAAGAGGATAATTGCTTTTATTCCACTTGGAGGTCATTTTCTAAAACAGTAAAAGAACTTGGGGAAAGCATACAATTGGGAACACAGTAAGATTTCTGGATCATTATTTTTGAAATCAGAAAAATAAACCTGTGGCAAGGGGTGGAGTGCAGTTTATACACACCCAAAAAAAAGGGTTTGGTAGAAAGCCAGCAGATTTATTTAAAAAAACAGCAACTGAAATTTGAAGAAGAAGGAGAATGTACAGAAATATAACTGTAAAAAGGGCATGATAGAGGGGAGCAGAAATGATCAGGGAAGAACCAACAGCAGCATCACAACTTATCAGAAGTACTGAAAATTAAATAATACGGAAGGAGATTTAGACTCAAAGGTTTCCATAGATGTGGACAGAGTGTGGGTAATAAAGTAACTGGAAACAATAACATATTTGTAAGTTCCTTAGCAAAAAAAAATGTACTATCCTGAACTTACATAAATTTGGTTAGGTAGTATCTGTGTGGTATCCTAAAATGTTGAAAAGAAACAACTTACTAGAATTAGAGGGCAATATCAAGAAAATAAATGTGTCAATAAAACTTCAACATCTTGAGCTTTATCTTAGAGGAGAAGATTTGGACAGTATGAAAGAAGAGAATATCAACAACTGCAATGTTGGAAGTAGACACTAGGCTGCTTGAACTGTGGGGCATCTGCTCTGAAAGGCATACTCACAATGGAGTACATAGATTTATCCTGTGCCCAGAAGATAGTAGTGAGTGACAAGAGGAGTCTCACGTATCTGGATGACTGTTTGAAGTCTCTAAAAGAAAAATCTAATAAACTCTTAACTTGCCTTCCTGACAATCTCAGCTCTCAGGAGGGCCTAAAAAGGCAATGGAGGAGAACTGCTACTCTGGAATTAATTTTGACTAACAAGGAAGAACTGCTTGGTAAAGCAGAAGTGACAGACACCCAAGGAGAAAGTGACCATGTCATCTCAGAGTTTATAATAATCTAAGAAGGGAAGGCTGAGTATAAGAGCACTACATTATAGATGCTAGTCAAAGATATTTAAAAATATTTCAGAAAGCATGGCCTCTGAAAGAAAAAAAATGACTATCAACATAATAGTGTGAAAGGGAAAAAATGAACAAAAATAAATGACTACCAATATACGAGTATGAAGGGGAAACATAAATAAGTTCAACTTATTAATATATCAATAAGTATATACATATACTATGTATATACACATGTATATATTATATACTATTCCAGTATATATAATGTATGACAGTTTAGGTTACATATACATTTTATTATTAGGCAATTCTGAAGTAGTTTTTTTTTTTTTTGCCATTTATAGATTAAGCACTTTTCACAGAAATTAAGTGATTGAATTAAGGTCATTGAGTAGCAAAGTTAAGTCATAACTCTATTGTTCTTGAAAAAACACTTCTCTCTCTATAAACAATATTGCCTCTTACAGATAATTTTATGATTACCTTGAGCTATATTAGAAATAAAAGCAACATATACGGAAGATGCAAAAGGATAACATAAAATGATAAAAAATTAATAAAAGACAAAAAACTGGAATGAATTTGTGCTTTTATGCCAAGAGTAATTAAGAAAATACAATACTCTTAAATTTCTAAATAGAACAAGATAAAGTAGGAAGTCCGCTGTTTAAGAACAGCTGGTGTCATGTTAATAAATACTAGAGCAAGCAACACATTGTTCAACTTTACCTGCTCTTTACTCAATCCAGGAAAAGTTTTTCATAATCGGATGAGGTAGAATAAATATGATGATTAATGACCTAAAAAACAAAAGAGAATGAGAAATTACTTAGTATCTTTAGATGAATTCAAGTTTCCAGACCAAATGAATTAAATCTCAGAGAACTAAAATAATTTGCAACTGTAATTATAAATTATAAAACTATGATTGAAAATCCTTAAATAATAATGGAGAATAGAATTAGTATCAGGAAACTAGAATTGGGAGCAAAACATATACCAAAAATGTGGGTAGGGTGAGTCACCGGATTCTGTAAAATACAAACTGAGAAGATAAGGAAGAAAGCAATTAATTTCATATCTTTGCATAGAACCTTAGACTAATACGAACACATTACTAGAGTTAGCTAGGAAAGCAGTGGTTATTATTAGGAGTCTTCCCAGGTTCTCTAAAACATGATTATCTCAAACTTGTTTCAGTTATTAGTTAAAATAGTTTGATAGAATGTTTAGATTGCTAGATAAGAAAATCCTGTTATAGTATGGCTCTGAATTTCTGGACATTTAATATGGTGGGAAAGAATTGATTTCTGAGAGTTCTTTACAAATGATTTTCCCTTGCCTTCTCCAGTGTGCACAATGAATTACATTTATGATTATCGCTGATACTTGCAGGCATTCAAATTTGTTCAACTTTTATTCAGTGACTTTTTGGAATACTTGAGAGTTATAGCACATCAATAGAGAAACAGCCTTTTTAACACAATCTTTTACATTTATTAAAATATACACTACATAGAGGATAGTCCCCCAAGTAAAAGTGTATAATTCAATAAATTTTCAAAATTGACTACATTTCTGTAACCAGGAAACAGATTAAGAAATAATATGTTTCCAGACTCCAGAAGCATTGCATGTGGCCCTTCCCAGTTACTGTTCTTCTCCAGAGAAATAACGTCCTAATGTTTAACAGCATAAATCAGCCTTGTCTGTTTTTACACTTATATAAATAGAAAAACACAGATACACTCTTCTATGTCTGCCTTCTTTTGTTCAATATTATGTTTGAAAGATTCAGACATGTTGCTCCTTATGGCAATGGCATACTTGTTCTCACTGGCATATAGAATTTCTTCCTATAATTATACCATAATTTATATATCCATTGTACCAGTGATGGATATTTGAGTTTTTTTCTAGATGGGGCTATTGTGAACTGTGCTGCTATGAACATATTTGTACAAACTACGAACGCTTACACAAAATGAAATGTATATTATCAATAGTCTGATATCTATTAAAGAAATTAAATTCATAGTTCAAAACTTTCAATATAAAATGAAAAGAAATAATGCCGCACTGAAGATCCACTGATGACTGCTTAAATTCATGAGTAACTCTTAAAGGAGAAACACAATATTTATATAGTCTCAGAGTATCTCACCCCAAATATTTATTAGTTGCCATGTTAGCTTCAACAAATATTAAAACATTCCTCGGGGGATGGATTACTTTCCCTCTGCTTGAGGGTGAGCTGGGATAGTGCTTTGCCTCTAATGAAGAGCATACGGGCAGGGAAAAATAGTAACTTTGTAGAGAAACCTGCAGGATACCACCTTAACCAAGTGATCAAGTTTTATATCACTAGCAATACATATCAACATCATTTATCCACTGATACGATGTGCCAACAACATAATATATCTGTGGTATTCTACCCTAAAATCCATAATCCTAAGCTAAAAATGAGAAAGCAAATTTCAATTGAGTGTCATTCTAAAAAAAAAATCTGTTCAGTATTCTTCAACAGTGTCCAGGTCATCAAAGTCAAAGGAAAACTGAGAAACTGTCACAGATTAGAGGAGACCACAACTAAATTAGTATCTGGGATTGGATTCCAAAACTAAAAAAGTACATTAGTAGAAAAAAATGAATGAAATCCAAATGAAGTCGATAGTTTAGTTAAAACTCTTAGTTTAACTCAGAATTTAATGTTAATGTTAATTTCAAGGTTAATTTCTTAGTTTTGGTAAATGCACCATGGTTGTGTAAGATGCTAACTTTAGTAGAAGCTGAGTGAAGAGTGTTGGAGAACTCTGTACTATCTTCATAACTCTTCTATAAGTCTAAGGTAGTTCAACAGAAGTTTTTAAAAGAGGAAAGTGATTGTAAATTACCTCAGAAAGCAAAAAACAATACATGTTTCAATATCTGTTTTCTTGGAAAGTTTTTGGTAATAAAGGTCTGTTTCTCTTTTCGTATGTCCTTGAGTCCTTAGAGTGGCATTCTATACTCTAGACTGTAAGATAATGTGCATGTTTGAGTGGCAGAGTTGTGTATGGAGAAGTTCCTTTCTAAAGGATCACTACAGTGGCATTGCTAGTACCAGAGCCTATTAATCGTTTATCAACATAGCTAGTGCTGTAACCCCTCTTGTCATAAGAGCTTAAAATCGTTTCTGCCATCTTCTTTAATATTCTCCTGTCTCTTCTCCAAAACAGTGTGTATACTCAGTCCCTTGCTCCACCAGACGGTAGCAAAAAACTTCCTTTCAATTAAGCTCATGTAAATAGCACAAGAAGGTGTCGTAAGTTCCAGAACCATCCAGAATCTATTTCGATTTAGCTAAAGCTTCTTGTTAAAATATACATTAACATGGACATTTAATTAATTTATTAGTTAATTAATTTACATTTTACAGGCATGTAACCAACAAAATCTTTTAAGTTAGAAAGAACCGGCATTGCAGTATCTTTTAACTGATCAGAATTTTACAATGTTTAAAGTGAGTTAGTCCTAGAGCCAAATAAAGGCACTCAAAAAACAAAACCTATTGAGTGATTTTTCACTTCTCTGTGTTATCTTCAACTGAAATAGATGCAAGCAAAGTTATATTAGAGCAATAAAGCATCACTATACAAACACTAAATAATTCTAGGAGATATTAACAGCAGCCTTTAGTAGCATGAACTGAGCAGGAGCAAAGGGAAGTTTTGAAAGTTAATGATGATTTCTAAGAACAGGCTAAGACTTGGAACCTCTGGATGGATATTTTTCCAGTGAGCAGGCTTTTTAAGGAAAATCTTAGAGGAAGGTAAGTGGCTGAGGACAGGGTTATCAAGGAGCTAGCTTTGAAGGTACTGTGACAATAATGAAATTTGGCTTTCTTGTGGACACCCATGCATTATTCAATTACAAATATTCCTGGGGTGGGGAGGGCTGTATAATTGAGTGTGAGACATTGTTCTAAGTGCTTTATGTATCTATGCAGTCTATCCTATAATTATACTTTTGGGGAAATGGAGGCTTTGAGAAGGAACACAACTGGTAAATCGCTCAGCCAGAATTTGAACCTAAGCAGCGATACTCAAGACCCATTCCCTAATTCCCCATGTGCCCTACATCCCAAATAGGTCTTTATTTTTCTCTCAGAGTCATATGCCAAAGGCAATCTCTATCCTGAATCAATAGTGTTCATATGGGAGCCTCAATTTTCAAATTGCTCTTTGCCTTAGTAGCCTTTTGAGAAAGATGCTTTTCCTGTAATAGATATTTGCTTTGTATCATAGGATAGAGGAAATGCTCAAAGAAAAACATGAAATAAGAGATATCAGAGTGCTTTGTAAATCTTAAAGTAATAAGGACTGTTAAGATGTAATTTTGGCCTAATAAGGGAGCTACCTTGGACATTGAGAGGAAAGGTTTATTGTGAATAAGCAGTTTTCTGAGAATAAATAAAGCTTTTAGAGAAGGGCAGAGGCCTTTACACTAAGGGCATCATTATCAGTTAATAAGTAAAGCTAATAGAGACCCCATGGCATTGGGGGTTGTTCCTGTTACATATTGAGAGAAATTTATTCATCTGAAAAAATCTAATCTACTAGGTAAAATTACTTTGCTTCCCTTACAGAAAAAAAAGGAGGGACTGCCTTATAAATACAGAGGTTGATTTTTATTTCTACTGCATGTGCCATTAGAAATTAGGATTCCTTTATGAGCTAGAGAAACTTTAAAAACCTTGCATTAGTACCAAGTAATTAAAATATACAGTTAAGCCTAAATCATATGAGCTGAAATGAATTGGAATCAATGTCTTTTTTGATTAAGTGCCAGAGCTGCTCAAGAACAAACTAATGAATACACTAACTACAGAGTGCCAGTTAACAGCTGATTATAGTGATGATTTTGCAATTTAGCACTCAAAGACCTGGTATCTGAATATCCATGGGGCTAAGAATTTTTATAATTATTTTAGAAGAGTCCCTGGTCTGTCTTTCTGGCAGAAATGCTTCAGAGATAGAAGGTTGATTGGCAAATGATTTTTATCTGACCAGCACACCTTATGCAGCTATAAAGGAAGGAGGAAAATAAGAAGCCCATCTTTATTGATTACACATATTGAGACAGAATAAAGAGAAAATACGCCTTAATATATCTTTGAATTTTCTCCATCAATATCTACTAGCAAATATATTAAAATTCATAACAGCAGCTATTTTATGAATCAACCAATCAAATGAATGGGTTTTCATTCACTCAAGTGGTTACTTCCCCCTTAGTAGTAACAATTGCTAATTTCTAGTAATGGACTCTATCGTTCTTCAAGTCCATTTTTGCCCTCAATTCCCATATCCAGGCAATTACTGAACCTCTTAATTCTACTTTTTAAATAGCTTTAAAGCACACTTCCTTCAACCTCTTGTTATTGTCAATACCTCAGATGAAGCCCCATCTTTTACAAGTCACCAATAACCTTATCTTTTCACCACCCACTACCCTGTCCTTACAGTTGCCCCTAGCATGCCATCAGGTTATGCTCTAATCTAGAACATCCAGTGACTTGTATCACCGATAAGATACATACATCTTTGGAGGATATGAAGGACCTTACTGAGTGTGGTCTTGGTTTCTCTAGCACCATATCATATACCACTGCCCTACTCCACATTCTGAATCCATAGAGTTGTTCACCATCCTTCAAGCCTCAAATATGCAATAGTGTTGCTTATTTTGTATTTTATACCTCTGGTCCTTATTGATATAGAATGTCCTCACTCCATTTGCTAAACACTTCAGTACCGACTTCAAATTTTCAACTACTTAGTCTTTTAGTTTTCATCTTATATTCACTCCCACAAAACCCACCATAAGCCAACCACTCATTCCTAAGCAAGATATTCACTTCATTTTCCCATTTGAACAGTAAGAAGTGATCCCCTTTTCACTCTTTCAGGTTTGCTATATCTTATATAATCTTGCACTTGATGAATGTGCTTTCTCATTATATTTACATTTTGTTGCAGCTCCATCAAAACTTATAAAATCTTGGGAAGAGGAACTGTGGCCCATCACTGATCATTTCATCTATTAAGTGACCACTTATTGTCTTATAATAGGAGATGTTCTGGAAACATGCATTGAATCGAAGTGGCTTTGAGGAAGCATGAAGAGAAAACAGGATGGCATCCTTTTGGCACCATTTCTTATGCTATAATAAGGATTCCTTCTGTTTACACATAAAACAGAAGAGTTTAATCACCCCAGCAATCTTTAACTTGGTAATGAAGGCCATAAATTAAATTTTAAGCAAAGTTAAAGAAGATGAGATGAAATATAAAACAAAAACATCATCAGAATCTGCCCAGGAACAATATTCTTGACACCAAACCATGACATTATGGGGCTCAGTTGTTTGTTTCTAGGGCAGCCCCTTGTTTTATGTGCCAAATAGCATTTCCCTAAATAAAACTGCATGGAACAAAATGCCATTATGATTTCTAACATTCATTTCCGGTGAAGTTCTTGTTAGGTTGCAGCCATAACTATGATGGAAGGGGTGTGAGGAGAGCCCGCTGCAGTAATAACTGTGTCTTCATACATCAAACTAGGGGATTATAGGCCAAGCTTCTACATGGAACAGGAAACTAACTGGAGGGGTAACACTCACCAGGCTGGCTTTAAAATGTGACAGGAAATAATCAGAAAGCAAATGTTCTGAGATATAAAAAGTTAGGGTAAAGGTAGGATGCTTCTTATACATATAAGCAGGAAATCTATTTTTTTCTTTTGTGCAACTGCTTCCAACAGGCATCACTGTTAGCAGCTGACTTATGAACCCCAGGAAAGCAAATTTGCTCTAAAAGCATGCAAGGATCTTTAGTGTCTTGGACACATATAAATCTCTAAGCACAAAAGTAGGACACAGAAATGGCAGAAGGAAGATTCTAAGACTCTTGAATGTAATTCCACTGTCCCTTCTCTTTAACCCTAACCTATGTTCAATGGCTGAATCATAGAAAATCAAATTTCTTAAAATCTCTCAGATTAGTCCCTGATTCTTCTTCCACACTGCTGTATCTTTAACTCATTTAGTCTCTCTTTTCTGTGCTCACTTTCCACCTAATAGCGCTGCCTTCCATATTGACTTCATCCAACACAAAGATGTCACTATTATGTTTTTAAATGCCCAAATAACCATATCATTTCCCGATTAAAAAATTTGTATGTGATCTCTACTGCATCGACAAGGAAGTCCAAACTCTGTAGCAGAACACATGAGGCCAATCAAGATCAAGATGATCAAGACTTTCAGTGTCTCCCTTTCTCCCTCATTGCCCTCTACACTCCAGGAACATTAGATTAAACAGAATATTAACCTACTGTGTTTTCCCATACGTGCCACATTATTTCCAGTTTTCTTGCCTCCTAACTGAACTTCCTGGTTCCATCTTTACCCCTGCTATAGCTTAAACTAAACTTAGAATGGCAATAAGAGAGATCAACTTAAATATGAGTTATAGCATGTCTTCCCTCTGCCAAAATCTTACACCTTTCCATTTATCTTACTGTAAAGCCAATGTTGTTACAAAGGTCTAACGTGCTACAAGACGTTACCTCTCACTACTATTCTGACCTTATCTACAATCACTCTCCCCTGTTCAATTGCTCTTCCTTGAAAATTAATAGGTTTACCACAGAGCTTTTGCACTTGCTGCTCTCTGCTTGGAAGGCTCTTCCTCCAGACATCCCAATGTCTTACTCTCACATGTCCTCCCTGTCTGCTCTAAAGGCCTCTTATTGTAGAAACTTTTGCTGACCACCTTGTTATCTGTCATAGATATATATTATGTTTATGGTTTATCTTCTTATCATCAGACTGAACACTTCATGCAACCAATGACCTTGTTTTATTCACACTGCTCTATACTCTATACAAAGTTTCTAACACATAGCATGTGCTCAATACATTTTTTTCAAATAAAAAAGCCTTTTTCCTTGTTCTTTTCCTGATGCCTGTCTTGCTAACTGCTGTTTGTTCCCCCAAAGTACAGCTTATACGTCACCTTCCCTGTAAAATCACCTCTGTCCAACAGAGAGTTAACTATACTACCATCGTATTTTTCTACTGCTTCTGTCTATATCTAGCTCTCTGTTGGTGGCGAGGGTGGGGGTGGTAGGTGGGTGGGTGGCTTTTGTTTCCCTTTGAGACTCTGCAATAAGCTGAAGACTCTTGGAGGATATATACTGTGTTTTATTTGTCTTTTGCCAAATATAAAGCATTTGGTGGCTATTTTTTAATTGCATGGGTTAATTGCGGATATTTTAATTGCATGGGCTAATTTGTGGATATATAGTGTGTTTTATTTGTCTTTTACCAAATATAAATCATTTGGCTTTATCAAATATAAAGCATTTGGCTATTTTTTAATTGCATGGGCTAATTTGTGGATATGATTAAGCAGAAAACAGATTGTCTCAAATACCTGCTTGATTGACCAAGCTTGTAGCTGTTACCATTTCTTCTCTTTCCATGAAACAAGGGAAATCACAAAGAAGAAAAGAATATAGACAGAAATTGCCTCACCAGAAGCATGTATTCAGCACCACCCTCTGACTAAGATCTTAAGACTTCCAAGGCAACCCAAAGTACTGCCTCACATGGAAATGTCAGGCAAAACAGCTTTTGAGATTCTCTTTGTAAGGTGAACACCTGCCTGAAAGGTGCTGCCCATTTATCTATCAACCCAAAGAAAAGAGGATTATCCTCAGAAACTTTCATGAGTATAATGAAAATAACTCTGAACTCTCCTTGGGTAATACTGAGGCACAGATTTTTTTTATTATTATTATTATACTTTAAGTTTTAGGGTACATGTGCACAATAATGTGCAGGTTAGTTACATATGTATACATGTGACATGCTGGTGCGCTGCACCCACTAACTCGTCATCTGGCATTAGGCATATCTCCCAATGCTCTCCCTCCCACCTCCCCCCACCCCACAACAGTCCCCAGAGTGTGATGTTCCCCTTCCTGTGTCCATGTGTTCTCATTGTTCAATTCCCATCTATGAGTGAGAATATGCAGTGTTTGGTTTTTGGTTATTGTGATAGTTTACTGAGAATGATGATTTCCAACTTCATCCATGTCCCTACAAAGGACATGAACTCATCATCTTTTATGGCTGCATAGTATTCCATTGTGTATATGTGCCACATTTTCTTAATCCAGTCTATCATTGTTGGACATTTGGGTTGGTCCCAAGTCTTTGCTATTGTGAATAATGCCACAATAAACATACGTGTGCATGTGTCTTTATAGCAGCATGATTTATAGTCCTTTGGGTATATACCCAGTAATGGGATGGCTGGGTCAAATGGTATTTCTAGTTCTAGATCCCTGAGGAATCGCCACACTGACTTCCACAATGGTTGAACTAGTTTACGGTCCCACCAACAGTGTAAGAGTGTTCCTATTTCTCCACATCCTCTCCAGCACCTGTTGTTTCCTGACTTTTTAATGATCACCATTCTAACTGGTGTGAGATGATATCTCACTGTGGTTTTGATTTGCATTTCTCTGATGGCCAGTGATGGTGAGCATTTTTTCATGTGTTTTTTGGATGCATAAATGTCTTCTTTTGAGAAGTGTCTGTTCACATCCTTCGCCCACATTTTGATGGGGTTGTTTGTTTTTTCCTTGTAAATTTGTTTGAGTTCATTGTAGATTCTGGATATTAGCCCTTTGTCAGATGAGTAGGTTGCAAAAATTTTCTCCCATTTTGTGGGTTGCCTGTTCACTCTGATGGTAGTTTCTTTTGCTGTGCAGAAGCTCTTTAGTTTAATTAGATCCCATTTGTCAATTTTGGCTTTTGTTGTCATTGCTTTTGGTGTTTTAGACATGAAGTCCTTGCCCATGCCTATGTCCTGAATGGTATTGCCTAGGTTTTCTTCTAGGGTTTTTATGGTTTTAGGTCTAATGTTTAAGTCTTTAATCCATCTTGAATTGATTTTTGTATAAGGTGTAAGGAAGGGATCCAGTTTCAGCTTTCTACATATGGCTAGCCAGTTTTCCCAGCACCATTTATTAAATAGGGAATCCTTTCTCCATTGCTTGTTTTTGTCAGGTTTGTCAAAGATCAGATAGTTGTAGATAAGCGGCGTTATTTCTGAGGGCTCTGTTCTGTTCCATTGATCTATATCTCTGTTTTGTTACCAGTACCATGCTGTTTTGGTTACTGTAGCCTTGTAGTATAGTTTGAAGTCAGGTAGCGTGATGCCTCCAGCTTTGTTCTTTTGGCTTAGGATAGACTTGGCAATGCGGGCTCTTTTTTGGTTCCATGTGAACTTTAAAGTAGTTTTTTCCAATTCTGTGAAGAAAGTCATTGGTAGCTTGATGGGGATGGCATTGAATCTGTAAATTACCTTGGGCAGTATGGCCATTTTCATGATATTGATTCTTCCTACCCATGAGCATGGAATGTTCTTCCATTTGTTTGTATCCTCTTTTATTTCATTGAGCAGTGGTTTGTAGTTCTACTTGAAGAGGTCCTTCACGTCCCTTGTAAGGTGGATTCCTAGGTATTTTATTCTCTTTGAAGCAATTGTGAATGGGAGTTCACTCATGATTTGGCTCTCTGTTTGTCTGTTATTGGTGTATAAGAATGCTTGTGATTTTTGTACATTGATTTTGTATCCTGAGACTTTGCTGAAGTTGCTTATCAGCTTAAGGAGATTTTGGGCTGAGACAATGGGGTTTTCTAGATATACAATCATGTCATCTGCAAACAGGGACAATTTGACTTCCTCTTTTCCTAATTGAATACCCTTTATTTCCTTCTCCTGCCTAATTCTGCCCTGGCCAGAACTTCCAACACTATGCTGAATAGGAGTGGTGAGAGAGGGCATCCCTGTCTTGTGCCAGTTTTCAAAGGGAATGCTTCCAGTTTTTGCCCATTCAGTATGATATTGGCTGTGGGTTTGTCATAGATAGCTCTTATTATTTTGAGATACGTCCCATCAATACCTAATTTATTGAGAGTTTTTAGCATGAAGTGTTGTTGAATTTTGTCAAAGGTCTTTTCTGCATCTATTGAGATAATCATGTGGTTTTTGTCTTTGGTTCTGTTTATATGCTAGATTACATTTATTGATTTGCGTATATTGAACCAGCCTTGCATCCCAGGGATGAAGCCCACTTGATCATGGTGGATAAGCTTTTTGATGTGCTGCTGGATTTGGTTTGCCAGTATTTTATTGAGGATTTTTACATCAATGTTCATCAAGGATATTGGCCTAAAATTCTCTTTTTTGGTTGTGTCTCTGCCCGGCTTTGATATCAGGATGATGCTGGCCTCATAAAATGAGTTAGGGAGGATTCCCTCTTTTTCTATTGATTGGAATAGTTTCAGAAGGAATGGTACCAGTTCCTCCTTGTACCTCTGGTAGAATTCGGCTGTGAATCCATCTGGTCCTGGACTCTTTTTGGTTGGTAAGCTATTGATTGTTGCCACAATTTCAGCTCCTGTTATTGGTCTATTCAGAGATTCAACTTCTTCCTGGTTTAGTCTTGGGAGAGTGTATGTGTCGAAGAATTTATCCATTTCTTCTAGATTTTCTAGTTTATTTGCGTAGAGGTGCTTGTAGTATTCTCTGATGGTAGTTTGTATTTCTGTGGGATCGGTGGTGATATCCCCTTTATCATTTTTTATTGCGTCTATTTGATTCTTCTCTCTTTTTTTCTTTATTAGTCTTTCTAGTGGTCTATCAATTTTGTTGATCCCTTCAAAAAACCAGCTCCTGGATTCATTAATTTTTTGAAGGGTTTTTTGTGTCTCTATTTCCTTCAGTTCTGCTCTGATTTTAGAGGCATAGATGTTTAAACAATTCTTTGCTAAATGACTGAAGCTCCCTTGATTCAACCGAATGTTGGCGGGTAATGGAGGAGTTGCCTTGAAGCCTGGCAAAGACAGGCTTTTGAGCTCCCCTCCTAGGTCTGGGTTCTAACATCCATGTTAGTGCGGAGTTACAGGATAGTTTAATTATGCAGATGGAAAAATACAAATGCAACTCTTAGGAAGCATGGAGACTTTTCCTGTGCTTGGGGACAGAGAGTTTCTCAACTCCCCTAGAATGTTGACACAGGTGGAATTCTCATCTTTATTTATCACAATCCCACCGATTACTCATCTGTGGAGTTAGAAAGTACCTTCTTTTAACCAACATGTCATTGCTTCTTACTGTTTTTTTGTTGACACTTAAGAGACAAAAACAAAATCTAAACACTATAAAATAATCTGTCCTCATTTTTATGCCATGTTGACATCAGATGGTATCATGTTTTCCACTATACAAACATTTGAAGGGCAACCAATGAGTAGTTAATCCGCTTACATACTAGAGAGCTCCATTATGAAGTTGGTACTAGGAAATACAGCCAACCCTAAGTTTGAGGCCTTTCCTGGTTTTGAAAGTGTATTTTATGTCACTAACATTAGTCTCACAATTTGGAAACATAATATGCACATTCAAACCATGAAAAACAGATAAGGGGGTGGGTGAGAACTTTGAAATTGAAATAACTATAGACTTCACAAAAACTAAAAAAATAAAAAATAAGCAACTCATACACACACAAAGTGGTTGCCCATTTGGCCTGTATAGAGGACTTTCAGGAAAAAATAAAGGTTATTAATTAGGAGAGATTTATTGAGCAGGTTTCCCTTAGGAATGAAAGAGAAGAGTTATGTGTGTAAAAAATACCCTTGCCTGGTGCTGTTGCCGAACAAGGACATACATAGAAAAGAAACATGATTCAAATTTCTGAGTTCGGGTTGGGAGCAGGGGCCAGCAGATGGAAGAAGCTCTCCAAGCAAAGAAAAAAAAAAGTTGCTTTTAAAGTAATACTCTGTTTTGCTTCATCCTTTATAAAACAAATGCTAATTTTGTTTTTAAGCTGCCAGTACGTAAGGAAGTGATCCGAATCCTCTATACCTTTGAGAGATTTTCATGCTTTACATATTTCAATTCGACTTAAAATATTTTGCAATTGCCAAACCTCATATATAAAATATGTGCTTATCATTCAACTCAGGGTAATATTAGCACACTGAAAACTGCATTCTAATTAATAAATCAGAGCCTTAACCCCTGAAACATCATTCACACATATGAGATGGCAATAGTGAGAACCATTAAAGTAGTAGCATGTTGTCACCCTTCCAGGAAATATGGAAATATGCCTTTTCGGGATTATTGGTCTACATTATTTATCAATGTTTGGCTTTAATATATGGATTTACTCAACATTGAATGACTATCATATTTCTCCTAGAAGATACAGCATTAATTTGTGATCTTGAACAAACTGTCAATAGGATAACAAGCCCACTAGGGGGGCATGCAATCAATAATTTGTATCCAGTGATTTCTTCCCTTAGGTGGTTTTGGAAAAATATTGCATTCTCACTTTCACTCTTGCTCATAAGCACAAAACAAGCAAACATGGAACTTACAAAAAATTGAACAAAACACAAAATACTTTTGGTCTGGCAAGATTACATTACAAAAAGCAAACTATTAATACTTTTATCAATGTATTAGAACGTGGCAGACAACTCTTGTTCCATCTCAAAACCAACAAATATACATAAAATGAAAATAAAACAAACAAAAATATTGGTTCTTAGAGAAATCTTTGAAAATATGGACATATCCCTAAGCCACTAGGTTATACTATGGAACAGGAAACAAACAAAATAACTGCTGATGTAAGCATCACTTCCTTCTACCTTCATTATTACTTCCTCCTCCTCTCTTCTCTCCATGCCTCTAGGCTGGGACTTTTATTTCTGTGGTCTTATGCTTTATCCTCAGACAAAATTCTTTCAACAATGTGTATGCTCCTCAGATAGATGATGCTCTTGTTACCAGGGTAGAGCTCCCAAGCCTGGATGCCTAGTCTGGATTTTATTATTATTTTTTAATTTTGTGGGTAGAAAGGATGTATTTTGTTGGGGTATGTGAGATGTTTTGATACAGCCATGCAAAATATACATGAAATAAGCACATCATGGAGAATAGGTTATCCATCCCCTCAAACATTTATCCTGTAAGAGACAAATAATCCAATTACACTCTTCAAGCTATTTTAAAATGTATGACTATTATTAACTATAGTCACCATATAGTGCTATAATATATAGAGTAGGTCTTATTCATTCTGTTTATTTTGTACAGTAGAAGGATGTTTATGAGCCTGGATTGTGAATATCCAGCCTGGTGTCACTCACGTCACCTTCCTTGTACTAGTTGGTTTTTCCTTGCATGAAACTGGATGCCTGGCCTCAAGATACCTCCCAGGATGGCTCTTCTCTAGCTTTACTCTCAACATTTGCCAGCCCAAATTCTAAAAGTCCAATAACTTCCCATATTTCACAGGATTTTTTTTTTCAATGAGACTAATATTTTCACCTGGAGCTAGATGAAGTCAAGTCATATATACAACAAAGAGGTCACAGTGATTACAGAGTCTTTACTTATTGAGACTAGCAAACACAGTTTCGACTTGAGTCCCTAAAATATGGCTGTCCTACTTTCTCTCACCCACATTCCTAGTCTAGGCATCAAGAATCACAGGAGGAAGAGCTGACTTTGAAGGGTAACGCAGCTTCATATTTCACTCCCCCATCCCCACACCAAATACAAACAAACCAGCAGAAGACATGTGTTAGGAAAGTAGACAATACATGATCCACAACCTTTGACAACTGATGTAAGCCAATAGAGAAATGTAGAAGATTGAGTACCAGTGTCAGGATCTCAATATCTCACCAGTGTAAAATTTGATTCTTCTCATGTAAAGTAATGCATAGTGGCATCAGCCTCTTCCCTAGTACTTACCCTGGAGAGTAGAAAGGGCTGGGGAAAATTACTATTGTATAGGTTTGAGCTGAATGAAGGGAAAGGTTAAGAATGATTTTCTCAAATTTACTTGGCTCTTCCACCTTTTTACTACCTTGACATAAATGTGGTTGTTACTATTTAGTTACTTCCAACTTGAATTTGACCACAAAGAAATTGAAGAAAAGACACATTCAAAGATCCCTGCTGCCCTACATTAAAACTATAAACCTAAACAGGACTGAGACCAGACTTCTGACTATTTTGTAACTTCTATAACACACACACATGAAAATGTATATACACAGAGTAGTTACTCTGTAAGCGATTTTTTTTTTTTTTTTTTTAAGGAGACGGTGTCTTTTTACTTTCATTCAGTTTGGGTTGCAAGCAACAAAGACTCACTGAACTTTATTCCAATGAGAATCCATGTAAAATAATTCCAGTAAAAGATGAATACTCTGAACTAATGCACAGCAGACACCACAGTGAAGTGGAACTACAAGAAGGAATTGCAGCAGAGACAGACTGTAGATTTTCACTCCCAACCAATGCCTTTAAAAGTGTGGTCCCTGGGTCAGCAGCATCAGCCTCACCTGGGAACTTACCTTCCAGTGGATATTGATCCACTGCCCTGTAAGGTATGAAAATTACTGCTCTAGTTCATTGCCATTATTCATATGGCTCAGCTATTTTCTATAGATTTGCTTTGCAGCATCTTGAGAGAAGTTGCATTCTTATAATGATTGGGGCTATATAAGGTCAGGAAGAAAATGAATGTATTTTGGTCTGTCTAAACCAGAGAGATGGACATTTCCAAGATCACAATGGTATAATACAAATATTCTAAGGAAATGCTTCATAAGAAGAATTGGTTTTTGGATTATTCTCTCTCTAAACACTGGATAATGGAGAGTTTACGATAATCGAACAGTGTGAGCCATGTATCCTTGTAACAGAAAGTCTCACTTCCTTCATTGCAGAGGGCTGTCTCCAAGAGAGGAGCTGCCTTTGATGTGTGGGGAGGACTGCCTCTAGGGGAAAAATAAATTTGACAGGCACATATTTTAGAAATGTTTTGCAGGTAAAGTTTTCATCCGTAAAATCATATTAACATTTCAAACATGCGACCCTCCAGAATTGAAAAATGTAGTCTCCAGAGAGATTTTTCCTCCTTGTAGAGGGAATATTTTTCTAGGACAGAGACAACATGATTTTCTCCAAATGCTTTAAGTGCACCCCTATTTCCATTTTAAAAGCAAACCTTTAACAAGTTGAGGGGTTCTGATATAGGGTGGTAACAGGAGGCCAAAGACAGGGGGAAAAAGATGCTTTCAGTATTACAACTTCTATCTTAATGACAAAAAATAAAGTGCCCACCCCAAGATCGCCATGGGATCATTCAGAAAGCTTGTAAATAATCATAATTATGATGACGCACAAGACCAGAGTCCTAGCAAAGCTTCAGCTCTACACAGCCTTGCTGTTCAACATTCAAAATTGCTCATTTCATTCCCTTTGATCACCCTATAAATGACAGATCAATCTGGCATGATATTGCTTCATAATGGATATAAAACAATCAAAAGGAGTGTGATTACCAACAACTAATATCCAGAAAATTAACAGGATAAGGAAGTAACACAACCTAGGTATTGGCAATTCGGGCTTATTGCATAGGTCCCAGAGCACACAACATAAAGGCAGCTGCTCCACTGTTGCATAAGTGACTGTGTTGTATATCTCAATGCCAGTTTCAGTCATTAGTTTTAATGTGCATTTTTTTGTGTGTTTAGTTAATATTTCTGATGTCTATTATGATAAGCCTGTGTTTTTTTAGACTGAATTCAGGAGAAGCAAAATGAACACATTCAAGTTTAGTTATGTAAACACAGATGGACTTCATTATTATTACTAAAAGAAAATACTGTACCCTTCTTTATTCCAAATATTTATTCCAATACCAAATATTCCCTTTCTTTAAATAGCTGATGTCACACAATTTGCTAACTGAAAAGGCAAAATTGCTTAGGTAGCCCATGTTAGTAGAAATGATCATTTTGTCTGCCATTCACAGAGTGCCACCATGTGCCAAATACTGCCAAGAAATTGTCATTCATTACTGCTAATCCTAATAAATACGTAATGTAAGTATTATCATCTCTGATAATACCTATTGGTCTCCAGCTCTACACATCTACTAGATTATGTGTCCAGCAATGTTCCTTCACTGCATAAATATTTACATTAGGCCTCTATTAGGTGTTAAACACTATTTGAAGTCTTACTCTTGTTCAGCATATACTATCTCAAGTACCAGATAGTATCTGCAGCAATAAAGCTATCTAGAAAATTACCACAGGATAATGGAGAGTAAATGAGTAGCTACTTTAGAGTAGTGGTTAGAGAAAGGGTCTTTGGGAAGGTGAGATATAAGTTGAGACCTAAATAAGAAGAACCAGTTATGCAAAAGTCAGAGGGCCTTTCTAACAAAGAACAGCTAGGTTAATTACACTAAAGTAGAAACATCTTTTTGGATATAAAATAAACATCTAAGTTACATACAAAATAACATTTTTATTCACTTTTTAGGAATTTTATTTTATTTTTATTTTTGTAATTGACAGATTGTCATACATATTTATGGGGTAAAACTTTATGTCTTGATATACATATATGTTATATAATGATCAAGTCAGAATATTTATCATTTATCATGCATTTATCATTTCTTTGTTGTGAAGACTTTCAAAAGGCTCTCTTCTTGCCATTTTATCATATACAATACCTTATTGTTAAACATTATCACCCCCACTGTGCAATAAAACACCAGAATTTATTCTTTCTAATTGTAACTTTCTACCCATTTGAACCCACTGGCTATCTGACTATCCTTCTCATCCCTTCACTCATCCCCAGGCTCTGGTAGCCTGGTAAATGTCTACACTCTGCTTCTATGACATCAACTTTTTTTTTTTTTTAAGATTCTACATATGAGTGAGAGCATGTAGTATTTGTCTTTCTGTGTCTGGCTTATGTCATTTAATATGTCTTTCACATTCATCGATGTTGTTACAAATGACAGAATTTCATTCTTTTAATGGCTAAATACTATTCCGTTGTGTATATAAACCATATTTTTTGTGTGTTTATTTGTTGTTAGACATTTTGGGCGATTTTATATTTGGCTATTGTAAGTAGCACTACAAAAACATGGAGGGGCAGATATCTCATCAACATATTTATTTTATTCATTTGGATACACATCCAGCAGTAGGATTGTGGCTCATAATAGCTCCAATTTTTAATTTTTTTGAGGAATCTCCATACCGTTTTTTTTCCTAATGGCTGTACTAATTTACAATCCCATCAACAGTGTTTATGTGTTCCCTTTTCTCCACATTCTCACCAACACTTGCTTTATTTTGCCTTTTAGAGTACAGCCATTCTAATTTGAGTGAGGTGTTATCTCATATGTGGTTTTGATTTGCATTTCCCTGATGATGAGTGATGTTAAGCATTTCTTCATGTACGTGTTGGCCATTTGAATGTCAGTCCTCAAAGAAATGCCTATGCAAATCTTTTGCCCATTTTTTAAATTTTTTCTTTTTGTTCTTATTTTTTGAGACAGGGTCTAGCTCTGTTACCCAGGCTAGAGTACAGTGGCATGATCTCGGCTCACTGCAACCTCCACCTCCCAGACTCAAGTGATCCTCCCACCTCAGCCTCCCAAGTAGCTGGGACTACTGGCATGCACCACCATGCCCAGCTAATGTTTGTATTTTTAGTAGAGATGGGGTTTCACCATGTTGCCCTGGCTGGTCTTAAACCCTGGAGCTCAAGCGATCCACCCGCCTTCGCCTCCAACATGGGAATACGAGCCACCACCTTTTGCTTTTTCACTCTTAAGTTGTTTTAAGTTCTCTATATCTTCTGGATTCTAAACCCTTGTCAGATGTATAGTTTGCAATTATTTTCTCCCATTCTGTAGGTTGTCTCTTCACTCTGTTCACTGTTTCATTTGCTGTGCAAAAGCTTTTTAGTTTGAGGTAGTCCTATTTGTATTTGATTTTGTTGCCTATGCCTTTGAGTTCTTGGTTAACAAACCCTTGTCCGGCCCAGTGTTGTCAAGTGTTTCCCCGATGTTTTCTTATAGTGGTTTCATAGTTTTGGATTTTATATGTAAGCCTTTAACCCATTTTTAATTTATATTTATATATGGTGAGGTAGGGGTCTAGTCATTCTTCCACATGTGGATATCTAATTTCTTCAGCACTATTTACTGAAGAGACTGTCTTTTTTCCAATATGTGTTCTTGGCCCCTTTGTCAAAAACCAAAAATCAATTGGCTATACGTGCATAAATTTACGGTATTTCTAGGCTCTCTATTCTATTCTATTGGTCTATGTGTCAGTTTCTATGTCAGTATCATGCTGTTTTGGTTGCTAAAGCTTTGTACTACGTTTTGAAGTCAGGTAGTGTGATGCTTCCAACTTTGTTCTTTTTGTTCAGAATTGCTTTGGCTATTTGGGATTGTTTGTAGTTCTGTATACATTTTAGTAGTATGTTTCTCTATTTCTGTGAAGAATGTCTTTGATATTTTCATAGAGATTGCATTAAATCTGTATATTGTTTTGGTAGGAGGCCATTTTAATAATAATTATTCCCATCTGTGAGCTGGCATACATTTCCCTTTATTTGTGTTTTCTCAATTTCTTTCATCAATGTTTTATAATTTTCAGTATAGAGATCTCTCACCTCTTTGGTTCGGTTTATTCCTAGTGGGTTTTTTATTTCCTGTGGCTATCCTAGGTGAAATTATTTTCTTCAGATAGTTTACCATTCGCATATTGAAATGCTACTGATTTCCGTATCCTGTGACTTTACTGAATTTGTTTATTAGTTCTTACAGAATTATTATTATTATTATTTTGGAGACAGTCTCACTCTGTTGCCAAGGCTGGAGTGTAGTGTAGAGCTATCTCGGCTCACCACAACCTCTGTCTCCTGGGTTCAAGCCATTCTCCTGCCTCAGCCTCCTGAGTAGCTGGGATTACAGGCACCGGACCATCATACCACGCTAATTTTTTGTATTTTTAGTAGAAATGGGGTTTCACCATTTTGGCCAAGCTGGTCTCCAACTCTGACCTCAAGTCATCCCCCTGTCTCAGCCTCTCAAAGTGCTGGGGTTACAGGCATGAACCACCATATCTTACAGGTTTCTGATAAAGTCTTTGGAGTTTCCTCTGTATAAGTTTAGTTTATGTCACCTGCAAACTGGAACGATTTGACTTTCTCCTCTCTGATTTGTATATGTTTATTTACTTATTTTATTTAATCTTTCTGGCTAGGACTCCTAATACTATGTTGAATAGGAATGATAAAAGTGGACATCCTTGTCTTGTTCCTGATCTTATAGCTTTCATTATAGAGACCATTCATCTCCTTGGTTAAGGAGCTTTTCCTCATTCAGTATGATTTTAGCTGTGGGTTTGTCATACATGACCTTTATTGTGTTGAGGTATATATGTTTTAGAACTAATTGGTTGAGAGTTTTTATTATGAAGGGATGTTGAATTTTGTCAAATGCTTTTTCTGCATTTATTCAAATGATTGTATAGTTTTTTTGTTGTTGTTAAAGTATCACATTTATTGATTAGCATGTGTCGAATCATCTTTGTATCCCTGGGGTGAAACTTACATGATCATTGTAAATAATCTTTGTGATGTGCTATTGAATTTGATTTGCTAGTGTCTTGAGGATTTTTGCATCTATGTTCTGTAGGGATATTAGCTTGTAATTTTCTTTTTCTTGGTGGTGATTTGCCTGGTTTTGGAATTAAGGTAATCGTAGTCTCCTAAAATGAGTTTGAAATTATCCCTTCCTTTTCAATTTCCATGACTATTTTGAGTAGAATTGGTATTAGTTCTTTAAGTGCCTGGTAGATTTCAATGGTGAAGCCATCGGGTCCTGGTCTTTTTATATAATGAAATCCTTTTTATTGCTTATTTAATTGCCTCACTCGTTGTTCTGTTCAGATTTTCTATTCATATTTTAATCTTGGTGGATTTTATTTGTCCAGAAATTTACCTATTTCTCCTATGTTCTCAAATTTGTTGGTGTGTGTATGTTCATAGTAAACATGATCCTTTGCATTTTTGTGTTATCAGTTGTAATGTCTCATTTTTTTATCAGATATTATTTATGTGTGTCTTTTCTCTTTTTTGTTATTCTACCTAAAAGTTTATCAGTTTTCTTTATTCTTTCAAAAAAAACAGTTTTGTGGATCTTTTGAATTGTTTTTTACAGTCTCTTTCCTTTATTTCTGCTCTCAGCTTTATTTCCTTTCTTCTACCAACTTTTGGTTTAGTTTGTTCTTGTTTTTCTCGTTCTTTGATGTGCATGGTTAGGTGGTTTATTAGGAAACTTTCTGTTTCTTTGATGTAGGTGTTTATTGCGATTAGATTTCCTCTTATAAATGCTTTTGCTGTGTCCTATAGGTTTTGGCATGATGTGTTTCCATTTTCATTTGTCTCAAGGAATTACTTCATTTGCCTTTTAATTTCTTTATTGACCCATTGGTTACTTAGAAACATATTATTTAATTTCTATATATTTGTAAGGTTTCCAAAGCTTTTTGTTTTGCTGACTTCTAGTTTTAGGCCACTGTGGTCTGAAACCATGTTTCATATGACCTCCGTCTTCTTAAATGCAGCTGCACAAACTCCCAGCTAAATCTCTAGACAGGATTTGGGGCCTGTGAGGATTGAAGGGCTCTCCTATAGCAAGGATTCCTGGCATTCGTGGTGGTAATGAGGACTGTTGGGAATCTCCAGCTTACTTTTCCCGCATAGGAAGAGGTCCTCCCTGACTTTGAGCTGAACCTTGTAGGGTAGAGAATGTGGCAGAGGCAAAATGCCTCACTCCCCTCTGTATGGTGCTATTCTGGGTTTCCACACTCCATAGAGATTTTACCCTTCCCATGGTACTCTCCAGCATACAACTGCAGTCACTCCAGTTGAAATATAGTTATTTTTTGTTTGGGCCCCTTTTTGTTGGGGGGAATAAGAATCAAGTAGCTCTAGTCAGTCATCTTGCTGGTATCACTCTTAAGATGTATCAAAACGTTTTTCCACTAATTTTTGCTGAATTGCTTTTTTCTCAGTCTTCAAAACTCAGTAATAGCAGCAGCATCAACTCTACACAAGAAAGGCAACTCCTCTCCCAGTGCTAAAAAACTAGCAATTTGGAGCCAGGCACGGTGGCTCATGCCTGCAATCCCAGCACTTTGGGAGGCTGAGGTGGGCAGATCACTTGAGGTCAGAAGTTCAAGATCAGCCTGGCTGAGATGGTGAAACCCCATCTCTACTAAAAACACGAAAATTAGCCGAGCATGGTGGTGCATGCCTGTAGTGCCAGCTACTCAGGAGGCTGAGGCAGGAGAATCCCTTGAACCCAGGAGGCGGATGTTGCAATGAGCTGAGATCATGCTACTGGACTCCAGCCTGGGAAACAGAATAAGATTCTGTCTCAAAACAAAACAAAACAAAACAAAACAAAAACAAAAAACAAAAAAATTAAACAAACAAAAAAAAAAACGAGCAATTTGTATCTCTTTTCTCAGTTCCCACAGCTAATGCTTTGACAAGCCTTGTTGGTTGTAACTCTAAAATTTACCTGAAGTTCACTACTCTTCATCTCCAATAAAGTATTATCATTTTTTACCATGAGATACTGTGACCAGATGTCCTTCAGTCAGTGATTAGGTACACAAATTGTCCTTCATCTATACCATGAACTACTATTCAGCAATGAAAAAAGAAGACACTATTGATAAACCCCCAAATTTGGATGAATCGCCAGAAACTTATGCTGAATGAGAAAAGCCAATCTCAAAGGTCACATGCTGTATGATTGTATTTATATAACATTCTTGAAGTAACAAAATTATAGGGATAGAGAAAAGACTAGTGGTTTCCAGCAGTTAGAAAGGAAAGGTGGGCAGTGTGTCTGGCTATGAAAGGGCGATAGAAGTGATCTTCATAGTCATGAAAATGTTCTGTCTCTTGACTATATTGCTCTAACATCTGGGATGTGATATTATAATATAGTTTTCAAGATGTTAGCATCAGATGAAACTTTGTAAGGACTACATGGAATCTTTCTGTATTATTTCTTATAACTGTAAGTGAAACTAAAGTTATTTCAAAAAAAATATAGTTCTTTATAATTTTAGTGTGTAATCTTTACATTAAATCAATTGACTGTACTTTTTTTGTTTCTGGACTCTACTTTGTATCGTTTGTTTATCAGTTTTGCTCTAACACCACAGTTTTAATTATTTTTATTTTTAAAAAAGATTCACTGGTAGTGTATGGCCTTCAATATTGTTATTTATTAACGTGGTGTTATCTGTCTTTGCCCTTTGCATCTTCCTGCATGTTTTGGAATCAGCTTTAAATTTTTCACAAATAAAAAAAAATGCTACAATTTTTATTGTGATTGTATTGAATCTTTAGATCAATTTCAAGATAATTGACAATTTGACTATATTAAGTGTCCTAATCCATGAGAATAACACTTGTTAATATAATTTAATTTTCTTTAAGGAGGCTATAAACAACTTTTATTAAGTTCAAGCCTACGTCTTCTCTTTTCACAATTATAAATTTTATTTATTTTATAATTTGTTTCCACTATAAAATATTATTTATGCTTATATATCTTAATACACCACATAACGTATCATAGCATAATACAGTGGTAGTCACATAAAATTATGAAACTGTATTTTTTTGTACCTTTTCTCTGTTTAGATCTGTGTAGATACACAAATACCATTTTGTTACAATTGCCTACAGTATTTAGTACAATAACATGCTGTACAGGTTTGAAGCCTAGGAGCAATAGGCCATACCACACAATGTGGTCTGTAGTAGGTTATGCCATCTAGGTTTGTACAAGTACACTCTATGATGTTCACACACTGAACTTGCCAAGCACATTTTTCAGAGTGTATGTCTGTTGTTAAGCAACATATGTCTACATTAACCTGCTATTGAGTAGCCTTGCTAAATTTGCGTACATATAATTGAATTTATCTACATATCAATGGTATTTTAAATGAATAATATTACTTTTATTTTTAATTTATTAAACGTGTTATTTCTTTTTCTTGTCCTATTACATTGGCTGGAAATTTTCACTGTTGCTATACTAACAATGAACAGAAGGTGGGTAAACTACAAACAGTTTTTTCTCAAACCTATAAGATACCTAAAATTGCACAGTAAACATATAACCTGAAATCCAAATATAAAGAGTCTCTTTCTCTCCTACCAGGATAGATAGGACAGGTGTTTCTGTAACCTGTGGCAGAGTACAAGAAGTAGCCATCATAGAAGCTAGTAAGAAGCAATCAGTGAAAATATTAATGAATTTTTAAAGGATGAGTATGGACTGGTATGACAAAAAATGATTCACTTGCAGGCTTTTTTTCAAAGGACCTCCACCTGGTGCGTATAAGGACTCAGGGCAGGGAAGAAGATTGAACAGAGACTCCCTCAGTGGTGCAGGTATGAAGAAGAAAATTGGTTGCCATGGCAGGAAATAGATTATGGTCTGTCACCAGATTCTTCCCAGAAAAGACACATCGCCGAAGCTGGGACAGAAAATCTTGTTGTCCTATAAAGACCCATTGTTCCCAAGGGAAAAATAAAGAGGAAGAAAAATGTCCCCTACCTCTATAGTAGAGGCAACAAGGGATCCTGATCCTAGGATCTTATGCCAGTACAATTAAAGCCTTCTACCAATAAGGGTGGGACAGTAAATCTTCCAGCACATGGCCTGGCACAGCTATATTGTAGAGATTGGCTACCACAGGAGAAGATGAAAGAATGCTAAGAATGTTCTATCCTCAAGACTTGAGCAAACAGGGGTTAGGACTGAGATTGAACCCAGAACACAGAGGACATCTCCTTCTTCTGGATACGAGGCTCATAAAAATTATGCATAATAAATAGAAACATCCTAACAAAGGAGAAAGCAAGTACATGGCAAGGAACCTCTTCTACAGCATGGGCTTTCAGAATTAACAGAAAACTGATGGTAGCTCTCTGATACTGAGAAAAACAGTCATTAAATCCACTCATGCTGTTAAGTCCAAACCATTTTTAGAGGAATTTGAACTGGATTAATGCCCAGGTAAAAATAGTATTTACTTCGATTTCTCCTGTTTTAGACAAGATGCCTTGATTTCAATAAAATTTGAAGATATAAAAGAAATCAGGTAAAATCAAGTCATTATCAAGAGACCAAACAATCAACAGAACCAGAGTCAGAGGTTACTCAGGTGTTGGAATCATAACACAGGGATTTTAAAATTGCGATGATTGATTTGTTAAAGAATCCAGTTGAAAAAGAGGCTAACACGTATAAACAGAGGAGAAATTTTGGCCAAAAATTGGAAATTACACAAATACACAACGAGAAAAAAAAAACAGCAAAATTAAAATAAAATGATGGAGCAGAGCATCTGCATAATGGAACTCATTTGTCAGTGGTCAGACATCTGTCCACTCTACGTGAGCTCTGGAAATTTTTTAGCTATGACTCACTGGTTCTTTTCTATCTAGGTGTTTAGAGTTTCATTTTATATATGGTACCATGACACCGAGCAACACACCCCTGCATAGATCCTTGGAGTTCTTCTGTTTTGTACATTTCCCTCCTTTTCAAAATTCTGTCCTGTAACTTCCAAAACTCTCAGTCTCCTTGATCCTGGTTCTCTATCTGCTTAACTCGGTAAGCCAACAGGGCCTTGTTTTGGTTTCCTTCATGGTCAGGAAAATAGGACTTTGTTCCTCTTTTCCTGAGGTGTACCATCCTGCAATCTAGTCTCTACAAACAATTTTTTTACGTATTTTATCTGGTTTTCTGTTTGTTTATGGTGGGAGGTTAAGTCCAGTTTTTGTTATTCCAAGATTTCTAGAAATAGAAGACCATATTGTATTATCTTATCTGAAGTTATGTCATTCAATTCTTAAATTTCTAATTGGATCAAAAATTATACTGGAGATAAAAAGTGATAGAAAAAAGTCAGGAGTCCTGAGATACAGTCACGACTTCCTGCATATGGCTAGCTCCATCACTTTGAGCAAATGTGATGCCCTCTTTACAACTTAGTTGTCACATCTATAAGTTGAGAAAGTTATACTTGTTTCTAAATCTCTCCCAGCTCTAACATTCTGCATCTGTGGAAAAGAACTATTTGCAAAATCTCTAAGTGGATAGGTTGGCCTTTTTGTGGTTTACCTGAAAGTTGATTTTCAACATAACTCTTTAGAGCAAGACAAAAACTAAGCTCCCAAATTGTTCTGCTGCTGCAACTCCTGCTAACACTAATAGGAATTACACACAAGCATCTCAGAGATAATGGAGCCATCAATCTCTTTTATGAACCATGACAAGTATCCAAGAAATGGTGGATTTCAAAGTAAACATCCAGCATATCAGCATAGAGTCAGCAAGAATGTTTTATACCACTTCTCCTCTTCCCTTCCAGAATAAAAATATCCATGAAATTCATCTACCTCTTAGGCACCTAATGGCTGTCTTTGTTGAGATGGAGGTAACAGCTGAATAAGATGGTACTTAGACTGGAAATAAAATCCAAACAGTTGATAACCTTCCTCTTTGGTTTCAGATTCCTGCTAATAAGATAATTGTGGATTAAACGACTCACTCTATACTTCTGAAGTCACAGCAAAGACATTCAAGTGTTTCTGTTGACCTTCAGAGCATTAGCCTGAGAGGAAATGGCAACTGATGTAGGTTCTCCTCCTGAGATGGCATTTTCTGGTGCCCTGGCAACCCAAACTTACTTAGAATCTTTTGTCCTTACGAGCCTCAGTTGAACTGGATCTGAAACTTTGCCTACCACTATGCCATCATCCTAGCTTCAGGAAAAGTGTCAAGACAATATTTTAAATAAATCTGCAGTGGGAGCATTGTTTATAGTAAGCATGGCATTGTACAGCCTGTTTTGGGGTTCTTCTCGTCCCTGTTAGGTTGTTTATTGATGCCAGATTCACAGAATATTAAATACGGCGGGGACTTTAGAGATAAGTTTGTTCTACCATATCACTTTACAAAAAAAACAAAGTGAATTGTTGGGTATTGTAATTCCTAAAGGAGAAAAGCATGTGCATACATTTTAAACAATAAGATAAAAACAAAAATATTTTCTAGTTAACCCTCAGTAAAGCAGAAAATTAAATTTACTTGATTACTTTTCCTTCACAGATCATTCCAACTAAATTTACTTTAATTGAATTTAGAAACATGGAACAAATCTCAGGAGAATTTTTTAAACAAAGATAATAGTGTAGAAATGCATTGCAGGTTGGGATGAATGAATGATAGCCTGCTGTTATATGTATGAACGGGTCTGAGAACTTTCTGAACTCGCACATAGAATGGGTCATGAGGGAGTTATGTTCCTCTTTATACCATTAGCTCACTATCGCCATAGTACCTGAGGTCAGGGCTGACATTTCTTTATGGAGAAAACCTTCCTAATATTGCCCTACTTGGGAGAACTGAAAAATAAACTTGTTTCAATTCTAAGAAAGCTGGGTTACTCACAACACTTTATCACTTCTGAACTAGAGAGACCTGCTGATTAGAATCCTCCAGGGGAGAACTTGACAAGATTTTACCTCTTTGATACAAGCAACACTTGCAGTTTAGGATGATTTTGCATATATAAACTGAGACAAAGAGTTACTCTGTATTATTTATGTGCACTCTAAGTGTTAGAATTGGTTTGTGTATACTCCTTTGGAAAAACATCTAGTGTTCTTCCTGCTCAATATATTTAATTTTAGTATATTTTATTGAGTAGCTAAAAATGCTTTTAAAAATCTATTCTTGGGTAGTACAAGTAGAATAGAAAGAACCTTGGAAGTGGAAGGTTTTAGTTTTATATATGTATATATACACCATGTATATGTATATATACCTTATATGTGTATATAAATACTATATATGTGTGTGTATACGCACACAAACACACAATTTTTCCATGTTTTAGCCAGTGGTGAACTTATCACTCAAGTTCACCGCTGGCTAAAAAAAATGCTAAAAATGCAACAATTATCAATTATATGAAAAATAATACTTGAGATAATGTAAGTATTTTTATGCATGTATATAGCAGGAATTTTAACAAGTGCTTTACATGTATTATTTAATTAAATCCTCTTAAGAATCCAACAAGATAGAAATTGGTATTACATTACTTGACCAAAAAGTTCAATGATATGTCCTAGGTCAGAAACTGTTAAGTGGCTGAGCTGAGATTTGAACCTGGGTCTGGCAGACCACTGAACTGCAGTGTTTATCCTGTTGCTTTGACAATTTGGGAGGGAACAGAGGTGGGTGTGGCTTTGTTGAAAGCCAGAGTAAAGCATTACTGTTGGCAGCACCTTGATTTCTCATGAAGTAATCCAATTTTAGTGGAAGTTTCACTAATGTATTTGTACCCACACTTATGTGTCCATGGATTGTAAAGCTCAGAAAATAAAGACATCCCTGGAAACAGCCTCCAAGTTCAGCATTTGGCATTTGGAACTTCTGACTGACCTATGAGATGCTTCAAACCTCCCTGCCAAACAACTCCCTTTTGCCTGCACAGGCTCTGGAGCATAAATAGTTCAGCAAGTGTCTGCATTAAATTATCCTACACACTTTGTCACTCCCAATTGCTAGATTTTAATGGGTTGCAGGAAAAGAAAATTCTATGTTTTTAGTAACATATTCTTAATTCTGGCCTAACAAGGCCTTTACTAGTATCTAACTCCAATGTCTTTCAGACAATATGCTAGCAGGATCTAGCTTTCTATGCAAAGTTTGTTAAAATTGTCCATCTGTGAGAAATTTTCATTGCTCTCTTGGAGCCACAGGTGGCCTTGACTACCCCTGTGCTTGCTCATTTTCTTTCCTTGAATATTTATGATTCTCTCACCCATTGATTTTGAGAGAAGGGTATGGAAATTGATTGGCAGCACTGGCAAATACCTGATGGGAGAATTTGGCCTCAGAATGAGAATGAGCCACTAATGACAGAACTGTGCCCAGTGTGACTAATGCATATGGAGTAAGGAAGCTCTAAGGCTCCCTCCATGCATACAATCCTCAGCCATGTGGATGTCAGCAGGCAGGGAGAAGTACTTTCCCCCACCATGAGGGAGGACTCAAGGATGTTTAGCATTCTTAGTATTAAGTTCAACATGCTCTGTCAATCCTTTAATTGCAAGATAGGGTGGCTCTTTGCAATTCTCAGAAGTATCTGTTCATTAGAGGCATTTTCAGCATTGGGAATGCTTGCAGTCTGGATTGGTAGTCTTAGGATGGTGGTAGTATGGAGTGCTATAATTATAGAGCTTTATTTTCCATGGGGAGTGAAGTGATCTTTTCCACCATTGAAAACCCAGTTTGTTTGCACCTACTTCCCTTTCACTCTCTGCCTTTTTCCATAGGTTTTTTTCCCAAGGTTTTTGAAAGGTAAAGAATAATTATTCTTGCTCATGCAAGTGTGAATGTGGTATCAACACTACAGGAAAAGTGAAGTTTAATCCACTTATCAATAATTTGTTTCATAAGAGGACAAAACAAATAAACACACACACACTGGTGAGGTAGATTAGATTTCCTACCCACAGCCCTACACTTAATTGAAGAATCACAATATTCATAGAGTTTTTCTACTTTCTAATCATTTTCACAGGATAAACACTTTATAAATATTTGTTGAATGAGTAAATAGAAACACACATGCATTCGTACATCAAATTGGATTCTCTGTCACTACCGGGGGGTCAATTAAGGCTGACAAAGTAACCATTACTTCCTCTACATATGAGTGAGGAATGAAGCCCAGGCAAAAATACTTAGGTGTGGCACATAAGACCACAGGGAAGAACATAACAGCACTAGATTATCAGCTCATGATAGCACACAGTGAGTTGGAAGTGATGAATCCATCTACTTGAAAGGTTGAGATATTTTCAGTAGCATAGAAGTACGAACTTGGCGCTTGGGGGAAACTGCCCAATGCTAGAACTGCCATCTTTAAGGGCAGTGCTGAAAGGGATAAGAAACAGGCAGGAGAGGAACAGATATCAGATGAGCAGGAAGAAGGGGGATGCAAAATAACACAATGGGCAAGTTCCAGAGGAGAAAGGATGAGACAAGACTGAAGAGGGCCCAAATGTAGGTGCTTGCCATGTGGGGTTGGAGGAGAGACAACTCCTGGTCTGTTCTGGTCCCAACTGAACAGATGGAAATAGGCAGCCAGGCATTCACATGCTGCCTTAACCCCTTCCTAGAACCAACAGCTCCACCAGTAACCCTCACTCCATTCATTATTGCTCTTGAGACAGAGTTACCACTAATTTCTTTTGTGTATTTGCCAAAAAGTAGAGATTTCAGGACGTATGTGAATTCAGGAAGTAAAAATTTCACACAAAAAAGTGACAATGATGCTATTTGTAATTTGAACATTTTCCCTGGATAATAAAAGTTTTTTTAAGTTGGAATTTTGGACAACGTTATCCTGTGTTACAGAAAACTGGCTGAATGTTTCTTCCCAATTCATGGCTACTTGTTATCATTTTCATGTATCTATCCCAGCCTTATTATGCTTTTTGGGACAAATAAAAAATTTGGAAATGAGGCTTACTTACTTTTTAAGCCTCCCACAATTTGTACTCTGCCATTTCAAAGCCATGACCTTAACATACACACTCTTTTGTGAATTTTCTCTTCTTCTTTCCCTTCTTCTGACCATACCCATATGAGAGCTCACGTATCTGGTCCATAACAGGTATGGATATGGATATATGAAATAGTTTCTGGAGTCACTTTCAAGATGGCTGAATAGGAACAGCTCTGGTCTGTAGCTCCCAGTGAGATCAATGCAGAAGAAGGGTGATTTCTGCATTTCCAGCTGAGGTACCTGGTTCATCTCATTGGGACTGGTTGAACAGTGGGTGCAGCTCATGGATGGTGAGCCAAAGCAGGGAGGGGCATCACATCACCCAGGAAGCACAAGGAGTTGGGGGATTTGGGGGATTTCCCTTTCCGAGCCAAGGGAAGCTATGAGTGACTGTACTTGGAGGAATGGTGCACTCCTGCCCAAATTTTTCCCATGGTTTTCCCATAGTCTTCACAACTGGCAGACAAGGAGATTCCCTCTCATGCCTGGCTCGGTGGGTCCCATGACCACGGGGCCCTGCTTGCTGCTAGCTCAGCAGTCTGAGATCAACCTGGGATGCTGGAGCTTGGTCAGGGGAGGGCCTTCTGCCATTGCTGAGGCTTGAGTAGGCGGTTCTATGCTCACAGTGTAAACAAAGCGGCAGGGAAGCTCAAACTGGGCGTAGCCCACTGTAGCTCAGCAAGGCCTACTGCCTCTCTAGATTCCACCTCTGGGGACAAGGCATATTTGAACAAAAGGCAGCAGACAGCTTCTGCAGACTTATATGTTCCTGCCTGACAGCTCTGACGAGAGCAGTGGTTCTTCCAACACGGTGTTCGAGCTCCGATAATGGACAGACTGCCTCCTCAAGTGGGTCTCTGACCCCTGTTGTAGCCTGACTGGGAGACACCTCTCAGTAGGGGCCAACAGACACCTCATACAGGCGGGTGTCCCTCTGGAACGAAGCTTCCAGAAGAAGGATCAGGCAGCAATCTTTGCTGTTTTGCAGGCTCCACTGGTGATACCCAGGAAAACAGGGTCTGGAGTGGACTTCCAGCAAACTCCAACAGACCTGCAGGTGAGGGTCCTGTTAGAAGGAAAACTAATAAACAGAAAGGAATAGCACTGACATCAACAAAAAGGACATCCACACCAAAACCCCATCCGTAGGTCACCAACGTCAAAGACCAAAGGCAGATAAAACCATAAAGATGAGGAGAAACCAGAGCAGAAAGGCTGAAAATTACAAAAATCAGAATGCCTCTTCTCCTCTGAAAAAACACAACTACTCACCAGGAAGGGAACAAAACTGGATAGAGAATGAGTTTGACAAGTTGACAGAAGTAGGCTTCAGAAAGTCAGTAAAACAAACTTCTCCGAGCTAAAGGAGGATGTTCGAACTCATTGCAAGGAAGCTAAAAGCCTTGAAAAAAGGTTAGACAAATGGCTAGCTAGAATCACCAGTGTAGAGAACTTAAATGACCTGATGGAGCTGAAAACCACAGTACAAGAACTGCGTGAAGCATACACAAGCTTCAGTGGCTGATTCACTCAAGCAGAAGAAAGGATATCAGTGATTCAAGATCAAATTAATGAAATAAAGAAAGAAGACAAGATTAGAGAAAAGAGAGTGAAAAGAAATGAACAAAGCCTCCAAGAAATATGGGACTATGTGAAAAGACCAAATCTACGTTTGATTGGTGTACCTGAAAGGGATGGGGAGAATGGAACCAAGTTAGAAAACATTCTTCAGGATATTATCCAGGAGAACGTCCCCAACCTAGCAAGGCAGGCCAACATTCAAATTCAGGAAATACAGAGAAAACCACAAATATACTCCTCGAGAAGAGCAACCCCAAGACAAATAATTGTCAGATTCACCAAGGTTGAGATAAAGGAAAAAATGTTAAGGGCAGCCAGAGAGAAAGTTCGGGTTACCCACAAAGGGAAGCCCATCAGACTAACAGCGGATTCTTGGCAGAAACCCTACAAGCCAGAAGAGAGTGGGGGCCAGTATTCATTCTTAAAGAAAATAATTTTCAACCCAGAATTTCATATCCAGCCAAACTAAGCTTCCATATATGAAGGAGAAATAAAATCCTTTACAGACAAACAAATGCTGAGAGATTTTTGTCACCACCAGGCTTGCCTTACAAGAGCTCCTGAAGGAAGCACTAAACATAGAAAGGAACAACTGGTACCAGCCACTGCAAAAACATGCCAAAGTGTAAAGACCACTGATGCTATGAAGAAATTGTATCAATTAATGGGCAAAATAAACAGCTAGCATCATAATGACAGGATCAAATTCACACATAACAATATTAACCTTAAATGTAAATGGGCTAAAAGCCCCAATTAAAAGACACAGTTTGTCAAATCGGATAAAGAGTCAAGACCCATTGGGGTGTTGATTCAGGAGACCCATCTCATGTGCAAAGACACAAATGGGCTCATAATAAAGGGATGGAGGAAGATCTACCAGGCAAATGGAAAGCAAAAAAAAAAAAAAAAAAAAAAAAAAAAAAAAAAAGGCAGGGGTTGCAATCCTGGTCTCTAATAAAACAGAATTTAAACCAACAAGGAACAAAACAGACAAATAAGGCCATTATATAATGGTAAATGATCAATTCAACAAGAAGAGCTAACTATTCTAAATATACATGCACCTAATTCAGGAGCATCCAGATTCATAAAGCAAGTTCTTAGAGACCTACAAGGAGACTTAGACTCCCACACAATAATGGGAGACTTTAACACCCCACTGTCAATATTAGATAGATCAATGAGACAGAAAATTAACAAGACTATCCAGGACTTGAACTCAGCTCTGGACCAAGCAGACGTAATAGACATCTACAGAACTCTCCACCCCAAATCAACAGAATATACATTCTTCTCAGCACCTCATCACACTTATTCTAAAATTGACCACATAATTGGAAGTAAAACACTCCTCAGCAAATGTAAAAGAACAGAAATCACAACAAACTGTCTCTTAGATGACAGTGCAATCAAATTAGAACTCAGGATTAAGAAACTCACTCAAAACCGCTCAACTACATGGAAACTGAACAACGTGCTCCTGAATGATTACTGGGTAAATAAAGAAATGAAGGCAGAAATAAAGATGTTCTTTTAAACCAACGAGAACAAAGACACAATGTAGCAGAATCTCTGGAACACACTTAAAGCAGTGTGTAGAGGGAAATTTGTAGCACTAAATGCCACAAGAGAAAGCAGGAAAGATCTAAAATCAACACCCTAACATAACAATTAAGAGAACTAGAGAAGCAAGAGTGAACAAGTTCAAAAGCTGGCAGAAGACCAAAAAATAACTAAGATCAGAGCAGAACTGAAGGAGATACAGACAAAAAAACCCTTCAAAAAAAACCAATGAATCCAGGAGCTGGTCTTTTGAAAAGATTAACAAAATAGATAGACCACTATCAAGATTAATATAGAAGAAAAGAGCAAAGAATCAAATAGACTCAATAAAAATGATAAAGGGGATATTACCACCGATATCACAGAAATACAAACTACCATCAGAGAATACTATAAACACCTCTACACAAATAAACTAGAAAATCTAGAAGAAATGGATACAATCCTGGACACAGACACCCTCCGAAGACTAAACCAGGAAGAAACTGAATCTCTGAATAGACCAAAAACAGGTTCTGAAGTTGAGGCAATGATAGCCTACCAACCAAAAAAAAGTCCAGGACCAGATGGATTCACAGCCAAATTCTACCAGAGGTACAAAGAGGAGCTGGTACCATTCCTTCTGAAACTATTCCAATCAATAGAAAAAGAGGGTCTACTCCCTGACTCATTTTATGAGGCCGGCATCATCATGATACCAAAGCCCGGCAGAGACACAACAAAAAAAGAGAATTTTAGGCCAACAGCCCTGATGAACATCGATACAAAAATCCTCAGTAAAATACTGGCAAACCAAATCCAGCAGCACATCAAAAATCTTATCCACCATGATGAATTCAGCTTCATCCCTGGGATGCAAGGCTGGTTCAACATATGCAAATCAATAAACGTAATCCATCACATAAATAGAACCAACGACAAAACCACATGGATTATCTCAATAGATGCAGAAAAGGCCTTTGATAAAATTCAACAGCTTTTCATGCTAAAAAAATCTCAATAAACTAGGTATTGATGGAGCATATCTCAAAATAATAAGAGCTATTTATGACAAACCCACAGGCAATATCATACTGAATGAGCAAAAACTGGAAGCATTCCCTTTCAAAACTGGCACAAGACAAGGATGCCCTCTCTCACCACTCCTATTCAACGTAGTATTGCCAGGGTAATCATGCAAGAGAAAGAAATAAAGGATATTCAATTAGGAGAAGAGGAAGTCTAATTGTCTCTGTTTGCAGATGACATGACTGTATATTTAGAAAATGCCACCGCCTCAGCACAAAATCTCCTAACACTGATAAGCAACTTCAGCAGTCTCAGGATACAAAATCAATGTGCAAAAATAACAAGCATTCCTATCCACCAAGAACAGACAGAGAGGCAAATCATGAGTGTACTCCCATTCACAATTGCTACAAAGAGAATAAAATACCTAGGAATACAACTTACAAGGTATGTGAAGGACCTCTTCAAGGAAAACTACAAACCACTGCTCAACGAAATAGGAGAGGACACACACAAATGGAAGAACATTCCATGCTCATGGATAGAAATAATTAATATCATGAAAATGGCCATAATGCCCAAGGTAATTTATAGATTCAATGCTATCCCCATCAAGCTACCACTGAATTTCTTCACAGAATTGGAAAAACCTACTTTAAATTTCTTATGGAACCAAAAAAGAGTCTGCATTGCCAAGACAATCCTAGCAAAAGAACAAAGCTGGAGGCATCACACTACCTGACTTCAAACTATACTACAAGGCTACAGTAACCAAAACAGCATGGTACTGGTACCAAAACAGATATATAGACCCATGGAACAGAACAGAGCCCTCAGAAATAACACCACACATGTACAACCATCTGATCGTTGACAAACCTGACAAAAACAAGAAATGGGAAAGGATTCGCTATTTAATAAATGGTGCCGGGAAAACTGGCTAGCCATATGTAGAAAGATGAAACTGGATCCCTTCCTTACACCTTATACAAAAATTAGTTCAAGATGGATTAAAGACTTAAATGTAAGACCTAAAACCATAAAAACCCTAGAAGAAAACTTAGGCAGTACCATTCAGGACAGAGGCATGGGCAAACACTTCATGAATAAAATGCCAAAAGCAATGGCAACAAAAGCCAAAATAGACAAATGGGATCTAATTAAATTAAAGAGCTGCACAGCAAAAGAAACTATCATCAGAGTGAACAGGCAACCTACAGAATGGGAGAAAATTTTTGCAATCTATCCATCGGACAAAGTGCTAATATCCAGAATCTATAAAGAACTTAAACAAATTTACAAGAAAAAAACAACCCCATCAAAGAGTGGGCCAAGGATATGAACAGATGCTTCTCAAAAGAAGACATTTATGCAGCCAACAGACATATGAAAAAATGCTCATCATCACGGGTCATCAGAAAAATGCAAATCAAAACCACAATGAGATAGCATCTCATGCCCGTTAGAATGGCGATCATTAAAAAGTCTTGAAACAACAGATGCTGGAGAGGATATGGAGAAATAGGAATCCTTTTACACTGTTGGAGGCAGTGTAAATTAGTTCAACCATTGTGGAAGACAGTGTGGCAATTCCTCAAGCATCTAGAACTAGAAATACCATTTGACCCTGCAATCCCATGACTGGGTACATACCCAAAGGATTATAAATCATGCTACTATAAAGGCATATGCAAATGTATGTTTATTGCAGCACTATTCACAATAGCAAAGACTTGGAACCAACTCCAATAATAGACTGGTTAAAGAAAATGTGGCACATATACACCATGGAGTGCTATGCAGCCATAATGAAAGGATGAGTTCATGTCCTTTTCAGGGCCGTGGATGAAGCCGGAAACCGTCATTCTCAGCAAAATATCATAAGGACAGAAAACTAAACACATATTCTCATTCACAAGTGGGAATTGAACAATGAGAACACATGGACACAGGGCAGGGAACATCACACATTGGGGCGTGTTGGGGGCTGGGGGGCTGGGCGAGGGATAGTGTTAGCAGAAATATCTAATGTAAATGATGAGTTGATGAGTGCAGTAAACCAACATGGTACATGTATACCTATGTGATAAACCTGCACGTTGTGTACATGCACCTTAGAACTTAAAGTATAATAAAAATAAAAATAAAAGGAAATAGTTTCTAATCATCAACCTCCCTGGGATCATAACTCCGGCTCCTGTGGCATACATGCTAGGGACATGTGACTCTTTCTTCTGCCCTAGGGACACTTCTCTCACATTGTGCTATGTGGTTAGAGACATGCTGGAGTATACAATGCATTCAACATTTCTGATAGGACTAGCATTGACACTTGGATACAAGGTCAAGTGTCCAAAAGTGTCCTTAGAAAATATTACCCAGAAAAAGAACGTAAGTCTCCAAGTTCATAGAGCAGGATGCCCAAACAAAACAAAATTAGCATGATTTTCCTGCCTACCGCTAACTATACTTTTCTTGTAAATAGAATTAAGGCACAAGGTCAAGCCCTGAACATAGTTTTGCAGTAGGCAAAATTGATCCTTTCATCTTAACCCACTAAACTGGGAAAATATATTTGCTTTTATGTTCATATCATAGGCTTCTATTTCTACAGCCTGTGCCAAATGCAAATTAGGAAAGAACAGAGTCAAGCATGGCTGGGCAGGCCGACCTCAGTCTCCTATTTAAGAAGAATGCCTATTGGGGGAAGAGCCGACTGCAGTGTAATGTTGGAGTCAGGTTTCAATGACTGGTATTGATCCTGATTAGTCTGGGGATAATGCCTTGCCTTTCTTTGCGACCTGTTCTTCTGGAAAGGCCAACTTAATCCATTTCGGACAACTTCTTGGCAGGTTTATTTGACATTGACTCCATAAGCATGATACAATTTGAAGAGGAGGGTATGTATGTATGTATGTATGTATTTATTTATTTTGAGATGGAGTCTTGCTCTGTCACCCAGGCTGGAGTGCAATGTCACGATCTCGGCTCACTACAACCTCCACCTCCCAGATTCAAGCAATTCTCCTGCCTCAGCCTCCCGAGTAGCTGGGAATACAGGTGCCTGCCACCACTCCCAGCTAATTTTTGCATTTTTAGTAGAGACGGGTTTCACCATATTGGCCATGTTGGTCTCAAACTCCTGACGTTGTGATCCACCCACCTCAGCCTCCCAAAGTGCTAGGATTACAGGTGTGAGCCACCACGCCTGGCCAGGTCTTTAAATTTTGACCTCCAGATTTGAGTTTTAGTTCTGATGCTTACTACTTGCATTGTGCAAGAAAATTCACTGTTAGTCTCCATTTCTTCATCTTTAACCTGAGGACAATAACATCATCATTAAATGGTTGTAGATATTACCATTTTCCTACTGTATACATTCAAAAGAAGCAGGCTATGTTCTATGGCAGCTGGAGCAAACCATCTTTAGCAGTAGGGGCTCACCCCTGAGTAACTATGAGAAGGAGGAAAAGGAACTTAAAACCTGGAAAGTACTGCTATCAAGGTTGATCAAAAGCCTGTGTCATTGTGAGATGAATGTGTGAGTTTCATTTTATGGAATCTAAACATTTATCAAGCTGCTTATAGCTGTTTTTGAATTTTATTTTACAAATTATTTCTTAGTATTTAGGAATAATCTAAATAGTTTAGAGGCAGATTTCTGATTAATTAAATGAGGTAATAGCTATTTCCACGTGATAGTTAATTTTCATCTATTTGTGAACAGCACCTGCTATAATAAAATTTATTTACAAGTTCTTCTCGTCTCACTCTCTGAGGAGCAGACTTAGGCAATTCTCTTTTGGAGGGTATACAATCTACTTTACACAGGTGGGTTTCTGTAGTCCCATTTTACAGATGAAGGGGTTTATTTTATATTATTTTTTGAGGGAGAGTTTTGCTCTGTCACCCAGGTTGGAGTTCAGTGGTGTTATCACAGCTCACTGTAGACCTCCTAGGCTCAGGATCCTCCCACCTCAGCATCCCGAGTAGCTGGGACTACAGGCATGCACCACTATGCACAGATAATTTTTGCATTTTGTTAAAATAAAGATGAGGTTTCACAGTGTTGCTCAGGCTGGTCTTAAACTCCTGGGCTCAATCAATCCACCTGCCTCAGCCTCCCAAAATGCTAGGATTATGGATGTGAGCTACTGCACCTGGCTTTTTTTTTCTTAAGCAAAATTTACAAATAAAATTGTATATATTTAAAGTGTAGAATGTGATGTTTTGATATACATATACATTGTGAAATGATTACCACAGTCAAGTGAATTAACACATCTACCACCTCATGTTACTCTTTATTTTTATTTTGATAAGAATGCTTTAAGAGCTAATCCTTTAGCAAGTTTCTAGTATGCAATAATACATAATACAGTATTTTAACTATAGTCACCATGTTATACAGTTTTATCAGATGTGCTTCCTAATGCAGTCCTCCTCATATCTGAATAGTGTTTTCCTTTGCTCTAGTTTACTGTGGCCCTGGCTGTCTATCGTAATCTAAAGAACACAGAGTGAGTCTAATGGTAGTCAGGAAGAGTGAATACCCAACATCTAAAGTAAAGTCCAACATGGAGTTGAATGCAGTCTTGGTGTTATTGTTTTTGTACTAACATTTCATTATTATTAGCTGCCCCATCATGACCACATAGTACCCCCCAGGCACAGTGCTAAGTGTGTCAATATCCTTTTAACTACCCTGAGTTCGACATTGCCTTAACTCTAAGGTAAGAATCCTGAAGCTCAGAGGGGATAAGGGGATAATATGCTTGAGGTCACAGACATCAATAACAAAGCTTGAATCTGAACCATAACCTCAAAATCCATGTTAAACTCTAGTGTGAGGTCAGAAATTATTGAGACATTTCTAAACTCAAAATACTGTGAGGTTCTTAATGTGTCCAAATTTGATTTCTCCCATTTTGTCTTCTCAGTCTTATTCAGCACCCTCATTTTTTTATGCTCTAGAAAGAGCATAGGTTGTATGAAGGAGAGTAGTGGAATGGAGTGAAGAGAAAAAAAGAGAAGGATATGTGAACAGAAGCAGCAACAAACCTTAAAACTGGGGGAAATAGATGTGACAGCCTCCAATGACCCCATCTATGTCACTCTTTCCCCTGAGTTTTTCCTGAACCACATTCTGTGTCCTTCAGTTCTTGAAGAATTTTAACCTCAATTTTCATAAAACAACTACCCACCAAGATTTTAACTAATAATAGCTTAAAAGATTTTCTCTCCCCTAAGGGACATTTTCATTTTAATAGAAGACAGTGTGCAGAGTAAAAATACTTTGGGATCAAAGGCAATGAATATTTTATGGTGGGTTTGTGGCACCAAGATAATTTGTGAGGAGGATGTCTCTGGATGGATGGCCAGGATACACAACACTTTTTCTTAATATATTCTTGGCCACTTAGTTTGAATCCTAGACCATAAGCAAAGGAATAAGATTTGAAAAGAAAGAGAAGGAAGAAGAAAGGATGGAAAGGAAAAGTGGGGTCTGACTAGCTTTAAATTCAGTGGTCTGGCTTCCTTTCCTGAAGGTTTTCCAATATCCACAGTTAAGCCACTTTAACTCCATTGGCAAGCTGGGCTCTGCACAAAAATCTAGAACCGATCATACTCTTAACCATTCCTGGAATCCTGGGCTGAGCTGGAGCTCTGCATTTCAGCATCACAGATAATGCACTCTTCGTCCTTTTGCCTGGACCCTCAGCCTATTACCTGTATGTATACGTTTTATATATTTGGGAATCAGGCCAATTTGGATCCCACTGGCACCACTCACTAGCTGAGTGGACTTGAATAAGTTACTTATTTTTTTTTAGCCTCAGCTTTTAGATCACTCTAATATGGACAATAATCTATGTATTGTGGAGCTATTGATACAATCAAGAACAATTCTGATAGTAACATCACTCACCCTGTGTCCTAAGTGTGATATTAACCATTTCATTTACGTCAGCTCCCCTAGAGAAGAAAATCCTTAGGTAAAAATAGATTGAAAAGTTCTCTCCAGGTCACACAGCTCAGAGTGGGCTTTGCTGTTATATACCTAGGTCTGTATGACTCCAGAGCTTATGCTTTCAGCTCAGAGCCTGGCGTATACTATAGGCTTGATAAATGATAACTATTCTTCTCTACTCCAGACATAGCCTGTCCCTTTCATCAGGGCTGCCTATCTGGACCCATCCTGGGCTTATGTAAATGCGCTGTCCATGGTGGTACTCTCTGCTGTTTATCATCTCCCATTTAAGACCTTTGCCTACTGATGTCAGTCACTAGGAATTCTTGATGCCTGTCTACCTGTCTGTTCAGGCTTCCTCATGCCATTAATTGTTTGGGACCTCTGTGACCCATCTTGGAGCTAGATGATCATGCTATCAAATACACCTCATATTAAGGAGAGAACAGCTTGCATTCATCCAGCAGCTCCTTCACCACCTTTATCTACAAAGAGCTGTGCTCTGTCTAGAGCACAGAGCTGAGAATTGAAGATGTACAAATAATTCAGAGCATGGTCTACTACCTCCAAGTTAACAATCTAGTCCAGTAGGAGAAAACAAGAAAGCTCTCATTGAAAACTCAAGTGACCACACAATACATCACAGAGAAGGTGGAAAATTATTTTGATCTTGAGGACTAAATAAATCTTAGGCAAATATAAAAGAAGTCATTAATGTAATAAAACTTACATCTTCCCCTGGTTTGGGTGGGAAAGTTTAGCAACCACCTGAGAAGAACATTATTGCCTAGCAATAAATGCTTTTCTCCTCAAATAATTCTTTTTCCTGGGAAAGAAAATGAGTAAGACTTCCAAAGCCATGTTTGAAGATGAGTACGTAGACTTGGAAACAGTATGTTTACAAAAGTTCCAAGAAGTTTTCACAGAAATGAATCTATTTTCTTTGAAATGTAATACATCAACTTCAAAAAAGTGTATACAATTTTATTTTGGGCTCTGAGAATACTCTCGTGTAATTAAATAAAGTGAATGAAACTGGTGTTTAGACAAACAATACCTTTTAATAAAAGCTTTTAAAGTGAAATTAAGCCAATGCACGGTTTCTTTGGACAAACATGTATTAAGGGAAGCCAACATGTATTTGCCATTGCAGACACTGATACTGGAGCAGATACAGTTATAATCAAAGCCAGAGCTCTTGCTTTATTTTTCATCCCAACCCATGCATCCTAATTAAAGCCATATGAATGAACTTCAGCTATTAATTTTACATAACCTGATATACATGCAATGCTGAATAAACCTAGGATCCTTTAACCAAATTAGAGAAGTTAACTGTAACGGATATATTTGTTGGCTGGGGCCTAACATATAATTTACTTAAACCAATATTAAAATGGAAACCATCGTATCTGTATTTCAACCACATACATTTTCCCAGCATATGTGATTGTTATATAAATAGATACATATTCCTCTAGACCACTTCATATTCATGAAACCAATGAATTAACTGCATTCAGCAGATGTGACAGAATAATCACCCTGCCTCTCATTTCCTTTTTTAACCTATTTAAACATAAACTTTAAAAAAATAATTTTTGTGAAACAGGTCAGCTAGGGAAAAAGAAAAGAATATATTACAAGGCACAATTAATGAGGGAAAAATTGCTATCTGTTGGGAGGAATGTGGGCCAGGATTTAGGGGTTACAGATCCTGTTCCAATTTTGCAACTTTGTGTGTTCTTGGATAAATCACTTATCTATGCCTCATTTTTCTCACTTCTAAAAATGAATATAATACTTCCCAAATCAAACAAGGCTGTTGTAAGAATGAAAAGGAGCTAGATATGTAAACTTACTTTGAAGTAGTCTTTTAATCATTACACAGATAATAGGTATTGTTATTAGTAATTCTCATGTCATCAGGTTCAATAAATGGTTGTCAGTGGCCAAATGAAGTCATAATAGAAGCAGCCATACCAAATTCTATTGTATGTTTCTTCTTTTTCTGTGAGTCACAGGCTAAAACAATATTCTGAATGGTCAGCTGCGTACACCAATATTTATTCCGTATATTAAGCCTCATTACATGTTTTCTTGGCCTCTTCAACAGGTAAGTGTTTAACAGCCAAGACAGAAGAACAGCTGATGCTGTTATCTAGAATCAGTCACCTTTTATCTGCTCCAAATGGGGGAAAAATGTAGTAGGATTTTTTTTTTCTTTGAGCAAGTAAGAAAATAAAGAGCATATATCTCAGCAAGTCCTATATAAATGTTGTTCAAGGGAGAGATAATGAGAAATGCCTCATCCATTTTTGGACAATGTCTGATAAAAAAAAGAAATCAATGTTGATCCTGCATGTACAGAATAAGATTGGAAAAATCTAATAGGAGTTTAATAAAAGACCTAGTTCCTCATAGGTGATAGGCACCTGCAGACTTCAACATGATTTTGCTACAGGAACTTTTCACCTCTGCATTTCAATGACTTTATTAGTTGAAAAAAGAGAACAGCCATTCAATGCAATCTACGAAACTCTAAGGCTTGACAGTCCTTTCTGTATTGTTGCTCTTTTTGTTTCAAGGTCCTTCTGGGCCTCTCTCTCTGAGATGAGATAATTTCCCTGCCCTGGGCATCCTTCTATTTGTTTAGACCAGTAGCTTTCAAACTTATGTTTTTCACGACTAATTACATTAGAAAACATTTTACCTTGTCACTTGGTGTATACACCCATATGTGCACTTCTATGTAATCAAAAAAGATTTCTAGAAAAAAAAAAAACCCTTATCCTTACTACATTATACCTCAGGAATTTTTTTTACTGGATTCGATTCCTTTGGGTAATATTTCATTAAATATTGTTTGTTGATACACAATTGATGTTATAATTCATTAGCAAGTAAACATTCACAGTTTCAAGAACATTGATCTAGACAAGAGTTTCTCTTCAAAGCACCTCTCAAGTCTGCTGAAGAATCAGAGGTATGTGTATTCACATGAGCATGTTTACTGATAAGAATTTTTTCGCTGCACTCAGGGATATTTGTTTCCAAATGTGTATTCTAAGGGTGTTAAAAAAATCACTGTTTTTAGGGCCAGATTTAATCAGGTTTGAATCCTATCTATGTATGGAATGATTCATAAAATTACTGATTTTCTTCATTTGCAAAGAAATAAATGATGCTTACCTCGTTGGGTTGTTGTGAGTTACTGTGATAATACGTTTGTGAAGGTGATACATAATGGGTGTTCAACATATATTGGTTTAATCCCATCTATCTGACCCCCTATTTTTCATTTTCTTTTTGTTTCTTCTCCCCTTCTTTAGAAAGCAGTTTTATAGTAACCTAAAGGACTGAATCTGAAATGGTTAGAATGAAAGGTACAATGCGTACAGTGTAGGTGGTTATTTGCCAAGAAGTAAATTCAACTCTTCATGAAGGAGATTGTCAGAGACCAAGAAACAAAAATATTCTCAACCACTGACCCAAGAAAAATCTTACTAGCAAATCTGGCAGAGAAAAGAAGAAATGATATTTGTGGCTTTGGACAGCTACAATGCTAAGAAGTTATAGGATCTCCTGTTTGCTTTGTATTTTATACTTGGTAGTCTTTCTAGCCTAGTGGAACCTCAAATTGGGGGTATGTCTGGAGAGCAATTATCTTTAAACCATACTAATCTAAGCAGCATGATTCCCAGAGACTTTTAGCATGGGTCAGCCCTAGAAAAACATGAGATAATTGTTTTCCTACAACCCTTTCTTTGTCTCTCTCTGCCTTTGTTCCTTCCAAGACTTGAGTCTCTTCTTGCTGCCTGGAATTTTTACTCAGACTTTTTTCAGTTTTTACATTACTGCCTAAATTCATCTATCCCTCATCTCACCATCTAAAATAACAATTTGCTTAAGATTCTCTTTAAGAATGAAAAGCAATTAGATAAGTCAATTTACTCAAACTTGCAAATTTGAAAGTGATTAGAACCAGCTTAGTAGTTTGTCCCATCTTGATTCTGAAAAGAATGAAAACCAAATTTAATAGTTCTCAGGTTTTTGCCTGCTCCTGAACCACCTACAGAGTCTCTAATTCTAGACTTTACATCTGGTAATTATGATTCAGTAGATCTGGAAAGAGATGATAATTTTTCTTTTTACATATTTTTATATCTTCCAGGTTGTTTTAATTTTGCCTGTGATCAATACATCAAAACTTTCTGCCTTACTCAAAAGATGATTCACAAATGAAAGAGTAGATGGAGAAATCTTTTTTAATGAGTTTTCTTTCTTAAAATTGCTCTAGAAAAGGAATTGCTCACAAAATTTATACCTAAACTCTACCTTATCTTTGGGTTTTCAATGTGGATTAGAACATGAGGTTTTCACATTTTATGAGTTTTAACTATATCCCATAGCACAGGTACCTCCTAGAGACTCCAAAAGAGGTACCTGTGCTCTGGGAGACTGTGTTGTAATAGGCATGGTTCCATTGTGAGCTTCTCATAGAGGCTTGTGGACAGGGCATGAACCTTAAATTAGATTCTCCAGTAACTGTAACAACATCAACAATAATAATAGTTAAAGAAATTTTGAACAAGAATGATCCTTGAATAATATCTAGTGCAACACATTGATTCTTCTAAATAAGAAGACAAACACCTGGAGAAGAAAAAGATGGGTATAAAGTCATACAATACAATTTCATAATTCTCATATGTTTATGATAAACCATCCAGGTAGAATGGGTATGCAATATGATGTTTGTCTACAGGCATAAAAACTGAAACTCGGATAATATATTTGACATATTTGTAATAACACCTCTAGTCAATGGCAGAGTTAGGAATTAAATCAGATCACCTGATGCTAATTCAGGACCGTTAACTACACTGTATTTTCCACATCAGGGTGAAGAATGAATTCTTTTTTTTTCCCCCCAAGAAGTTTTTGGGAAAAAGGCAAAATTGATGTATCAAATATCTATTGCTTAGTGGCTTTCAAAATTAATTTAGTTTATCATTTTGTAGGTCAGCAATTTGGATTGGGCTCAGCTGCTCTGTTTTTCAATCATGGCTTGGCTCGCTCATGTTGTGATCAGCTGCTGATCATCGAGTGGCTCTGCTTCTGGGGATTGGCTGACTCTCAGCCCAGTGGAAACTGGTAGAACATGTGTCTCTCTCTTCGTCAAACAGATTGGTTCAGGACTGTTTACATGGAAACTTGACACAGTCCCTAGCAAGAGAGTAGAAGCCGCAACGCCTTTTGAGACTGATGCTCAGAGCTGGCACATTCCTTTTGCCACATAAAGTTCACAAGATAAGACTAGGTTCAAAGGATAGAGAAATAGATTCCACTTCTTCATTGAAGGAGCTGCAAGTTATTTTGTAAAAGAGTACAGAAGGGGGAGAATTGGAGCCATCTGTGCAATCTACCAATTTGATTTAGAAACTGTGTGTAAATGTATATACACACACACATACGTGTGTGCCTATATGTATACAAAAACGTTTAAATATTTTAGAAAATTTACTGTGTTTTATATATTTTCATTTATGCTTTTCTCTATTTTCCTAATTTTCTACATTGGGAAAAAAACAAAAATGCATTTAAAAAAATATTAGGCAGCAGAAGCTTTGTGGACAGTTTAAATAATGAGGATCAAGCAAACTCTGAAGTGCGGCTGGATAATCTTTCCAGTTATGAGGACACAAATTATCCTTCTCCATATTTGTATGGTGAAATGGCTCTAAATAGACCTTTGTACACTGAAGAGTATTAAAGTTGTGTGAATATTCTCGTGAGGGTTGTAAAATCCTTGACTACATTATGTATTGTGTAGGTGGGTGAAAAGTGGTGGATTTGTACCATCTCTCATCATTATTTTAATCTCTTAGATGCTCAAATGAGGCTCTAATCCAAGCTTGTTCAACCCACGGCCCAGGGTGGCTTTGAATGTGGCCCAACACAAATTTGTAAACTTTCTTCAAACATTATAAGATTTTTTTGTATTACTTAAAATCTCATCAACTATTGTTAGTGTATTTTATGTGTGGCCCAAGACAATTCTTTTACCAATATGGCCCAGAGAAGGCAAAATTTTGGACACTTCTGCCTAATCTATCTCAAATCACTTAAAGATGCTCAAAGGAGGCTCTATAATACAAAGACTTGGGTTTAATTGATAGCTTTGCCACTCCTAAGTTGTATGACTTATCTAAGTTACTTCAAAGATGTTAGCGTTGGTTTTCTTATCTGTAAAATGAAGGTAAACTCTATTTTATCAGGTTGTTGTAGGATTACAGGAGATTATATATCAATTGATTTTGCAACCTATATTCAAGGGAATAAAATATAAAGTGCCAACTTCACCTGAAGTTATTTCATCAGTACCAGAGTGCTGTTTTTATAATAGATCTTTAATTAAGGTCATGATAGAATTAGAGATGTGCAGTGGCCACTTTCAACATTTTTATTTTTGTACATTTTGCTTTATGGCAAATTTTATTTGTTCACTTCCTAAAGATAGATGTTTTAATTTTTTTCAAGCTCATATTTAAATGTAATATCTCAATCAAAAGTCTCCTCGCTTGTAACTCTTTAACCAAAATCTACGCAAATTAAGTTATGTTCTCTAAGGCAGGACTCCACAACATTGCTTTGTGGAGAGTTTCTTTCAGTTCTAGTCACATACGGAAGAATAGATGCATTGGCCCAGGTAGAGATGAGTCCCATCAAGTTCCTCAGACCAGAGTTGCTGTTAAGTTTCTCCTCTTTATAAAAGTCAGATTTCATAAACATTCTTTGTGAACATAATTAAGTGCACAAGACATATAGAGTCTCTCCAGATTAGGACTCAGGGAACAAAGCTTTATCATGTTGGCTTCTGCCCCATACAGAAGGGTCTCAGGAGGAATATAAATATAGTCTAGATGGATCTTTTGCATTGGTTTACATATTTCTCAGAGTGAATTTGGTGATTTTATAGATAAAAGGTGGGCATGAGAGCCAATTGATTAACACTAACAGCCCAGTCATATCCCTGGTTTTTCTTTTAATGTTTCACCATCCACATTTTTCAATGGATTTTTCTCCATTCTTAATTTTCAGTTGAGCACTACACCAGGACAGTGTCCACTCCTACGGCCCTCAATTAGACTATATTTTCATTAATAGATGACAGCCCACTTCTTTTGTTTTTGTTCATTCCTGCCCTCATTTTTTAAATTTATGAATATTTACTAAGTACCTTTAAATGCCAGGCACTGGATTAGGTGAAGAAACCACATTAGCAAATGCCAGACCCAGTAACTACATTGTGGGGTTTAGAGTGTGGGAGTTTTTGGCAAATATTAGATAATGACTCAGATGAATGTATAATTAAAAACTGTGATAAGAGAGGTAAAGGAAAGATATAGGTACTTCCAAGAATACACTAGAAGACGTAATCTAGATGGGAAGTGGGGTCAGTAATATTCCTGACTGCTATTAGGAAATGGCTTGAAGGAGGATGGAATGAATTCAGGGACCAGTATCATGTCAGTCTAAGCAAGTAATAAATTGATGATGGTAGCTTAGACTTGAGGGATGTCTTTGAAGTCACAGGGAACCGGATGAACTGAAAATGTACTGTACATATGAAGTTGATCATGATTTTTTGGAGTATTGAAGTCCTAAGATAATTTTCCTTCAAGTCTTTTCTCTACCCATGGTCTACAGTTTCAAATATTTTTCCAGCATTCCTCTGATCCCACTCTTATTAGTCAGATAAGAAAAGTATCATCTACCATGGTCTCCTTTCTCATCCCCAGGTGCCCTGAACAGGAAGTTCTAAGATTCTCCACTGAAGTGACTAATCTCTTAGCAGTATACAGCCCACATGGAATTTTTAAAGCAGCAGTGAGGCACCAAAACGATTCAATATTCAAACAGCAAAGTCTTTTTAAAGTTATATATATTTTTTTCTATATCTGTGAATGCTTAAAAACATGACTCCTAAGCTCTAAAACTTCCCTCCTGTTAATAGTAAAATGAGATGACATTTAAAATGTTCGACCTCCCCACCATCCTCTCAGGTTCAAAATTATGTATTTAAGAATTAGCTTTGAAAAATTAATTCCTTCTTGTATATGGACTTTGTTTTCTTTTGGTCTGATTTAAAAAGGCAGGAAGGGGTTTTCATACAATGTTTTATCACTAATAATAAATAGCTGCTGAAACACCACATCCATTTCCCTAGGGCTTTCTTACCATGCCAATCCACCTTCCCAGTGAGACTAGCATAATCTTGAACACATAATCTCACATCAACACACACATGTGCCCACACACTCATTTTTCTAAACAGCCACAAGTTGAAAATATTAGAAAAAGCATATTTCTAGTTTGATAATCTGCCAGGGATTTTCCAGAAGAGATCTTGATGGGATAATTTCTCTAGGATATGAATCAAAAGATACTTTCACTTCCATTGGAGGTGAGACGACATACTGAAGGCTACATTCAGCTCTGATTTATGTTTGTGCTTTTTTTCTCTAACACGGTATCCTCCCTTTCCATTGCCTGTGTGACATCTATACCTCATTTAAGAGCCAACCTATCTCAACACTTACATAGAAGTTTTTCCCAATATTTTTATATTGTCAGATAATACTTGATAATTTTTTATGTACTTGAGTTTTCTCTTCTTAACCAAAAATAATATTCTTAAAGCTAAAATATCTAGTCTTCCCCATGTTTACATCCAGTACTATATTCAGCTGTTGTATGGAGACTAAATTTTTCTCATTGATTGGCAGCTCATATCAGAGCGAGTGGTCTACTGAATCAAAGATGATAACTAAATTTAAAAAATTTGTTGGGCATTTTCATATCCTAACATAAAATATAAATTCTTAGTGAAGCACAGGTCATTAGTTATATATTGCTGCCTTAACAAGTTACCATAAATTTAGAAGCTTAAAATAACACAGAGGTATTACCTCACAGTTCTGTAGGTCAGAAATCTGGGTTGGTTGAGTTGAGTTCTCTGTGACAGACTTCACAAGACTAAAATAAAGGTTGTGACTGTTTGGGATCTCTTTAGGAGACTCTGGGAAAAACCCACTTTTAAGCTGATTCAGGTTGTTGCCAGAATTTAGTTCCACGTGGTTGCAGGACTGAGGCCCTTATTCTCTTGCTGATGTTGGCTGAAGGTCATTTGCAGTTCATAAGAGTGTTCTACATTCACTGATTTCTTAGCTCATGGCCCCTCCATCTTCAAGGCCAGTAATGGTATATCAAATCTTTCTTTTGCCTCAAATTTCTCTGAGTTTTCCTTTTGTTGCAACTCTCTTCTGCTTTTCTTCTTCTGTTGCATCTTTTTGCTTTCCTCTTTTACTCTTTAAGGTTTATAAGATTATATTGGGCCCACCTGGATAACTCAGGCTATTCTATTTCATTATCAGCTGATTATCATTATCAAATGTGGAATTCCTTTATACAGTGCCTAGATGAGTATTTGATTGAATAACCAGGGAACAGGGATAATGAAGGGACATCTTTAGAATTCTGCCTACTACACTCAAGAGCTCATGAAGCTGCTTGGGTGATTTTGATGATTAGCCAGGTGTGGGAGACAACTAATTTACCAAATAATTAGTGAGAGCAGTAGTTAATGTGGGATATACAGAAATACACTTACATCCCAATTTGCACAGAAGATTTTTAATAAATAAACATAAGAAATTTAAAGAAACGTGTCTTTTTTATTCTTTCTTTTATTTCCAGTGCTATTGTCCTGAGGTTCCAGCCAGCTGAATATAGGAGAAGCTTATATATATATATGGCCATTAAATTTTTCCAACTAATCTTAACACTATAATTCTAGTCATTACGCTTGGTGAAAACCATTGCATATAACCTTTATCCTGAAGTTTTCACAGTGGCTTCTTTTATGTGCTTGATTGGAGTGTATGTTTTAGCTGTTGACATAGTTTCACGTACTCTAGTTCCATTCATTTTTATACTTCTACGATATGTTCAATTTTGACCCTTCTTTGTCTAAATCTTCAAACTAGATTTACATTAATCAAGAGAGAAGAAAACTCAGATAACAGGTTAAAAGGTCACTTATGTGTATTTGTCAGAGTTCTTCAGAGAAATTGAACCAACAGGATACATGAACACACATGCACACACATGCACACATACACATATACACACAGAGAAAGACAGAGAGAGAGAGAATGTCTCCTCTGAAGACAGAAAAAACAAAAACAAACAAAAAAACCAAAGTGCCTGCTTCAGGCAGTCAAGCAGAAGAAATTCCCTGTTGCTTACAGGAAGGCCAGCCCTTTGGTTCTGTTTAGGTTTTGAACTGATTGGATGGGGCCCACTCACATTATAAAGTGTAACCTGCTTACTCAGTTTACCAACTTAAATGTTAATTTCATCCAGAAACACCTTATAGACACACCCAGAATATTGTTTGACCAAATGTCTGGTCACTCCATGGCCTAGTCAAGTTGACATATAAAATTAACCATCACACTGTGGATAGGCTGAGTAACGGCTCCCAATATATCTACATACCAATCCTTAGCACTTGTGAATATTAGCTTGTATAACAAAGAAAACCTTGTAGATATGATTAATTTAAGGACCTTGGCATAGGCAAATTATTCTGGATTATGTAGGTGGCGCCTAACCATAATCACAAGTGTTCTTATAAGAGAGAGACAGAGAGAGATTTTGTTTGAGAAGAAAACAGTATGACCACTGATGCAAGATGCTATACTGCTAGCTTTGCAGATAGAGGAAGGGATCATTAGCCAGGGAATGTAAGGAAAGCAGCTCTGGAAACTGGAAAAGGCAAGACAATGATATTCTCTCCTAAAGCTACTAGAGGAAGCCTGGCCCTGCCAATATATTGATTTCAACCCAGTGAAACTGATTTTGTACTTCTGGCCCCAAAACTCTAAGAGAAATTCTAAGTTGCCAAGTTTGTGGTAATTTTTTACATCAGTGGTAGAAAACTAACACACCACTTTATGTAGAAGTATTAGCAAATAGTATTGTTTATCAAATGCCACTTATTTTATGGGAATATCTTACATTATATTTGCTACTCCACCCCCACCCCCTGCCCACCAATTCCTTACTAGCAGAGGCCTATCTGAATGCCAGGGAAAGAAAGAAAAAGGACTGTCTCTTGACTCCTGTATAGTTCACTGATTCAGTCATTATTAGGGAAATAATATGAGACTCTCAATTATCTATTCCATTCAAATATTTTATAACATAATACTTGGATAGTTTTTCCTTTAAAAGTATTATTAATGTTATCTAATCATATATGACAGTCAAGGTCTCAGCAAGAAACACAAATCCAATTTGAATGGCTCATATGACTGTAATAAAGAAACTACTTACAGAGATGCGGGTAACAAAGTGAATTGACAAGGAATATTCTGACATCCACAGATTAGCAAAAATAGGAAGTTATAGGCAAGCCTGGGTCTGAAGGAGCAAGAGGGGAAACAAACACCAGTGCCCTGTGAACAGTAGAATTCTGGAAAACATGCTGCCTGTCAGGAGCTGTAATTTTGGAGGGACATGGCTGCTACCACAAAACATGGCCCAGAAGAGGCAGACAGCAGGCTAGACATGCCACAGTCTAGCTTTCCTCCCTTCCTCTGAGCTCCTACTAAGGTCTATCATTGGCTACACCCAACCAAAAACTGAGGGGTAAGGGTTTGTCTCTTGGAACACAAAGCAGCAGAACAAAAAATAACTTTTAAAATGCATCTGGTGGCAGTGGGTGGAAGAAAGCAGAATAATTAGCATATGATAGAAATAAAGAATGGTAGAATTAAAAGAAAAACAAAGTACATTTGGGTCAAGTTTCTTTGTTTTACAAATGAGATGAGAGAATCTCAGAGGCATTTGAACCAGAGTGACTCCATCTTGAATAGTGAATTGGTAAAATAAGGCTGAGACTTACTGGGCTGCATTTCCAGGAGGTTAGGCATTCTAAGTCACAGGATGCGATAGGAGGTTAGCACAAGATACAGGTTATAAAGACCTTATTGATAAAACAGGTTGCGGTAAAGAAGTCTGCCAAAACCCAAGATGGTGACAGAAGTGACCTCTGGTCATCCTCACTGCTCATGATAGGCTAGTTATAATGCATTAGCATGCTAAAAGACACTACCCCCAGTGCCATGATAGTTTACAAATGCCATGGCAACAATAAGAAGTTACCCTATATGGTCTAAAAAGGAGAGGAGTCCTCAATTCCAGGAATTGCCCACCCCTTTCCCAGAAAGCTCATGAATAATCCACTGCTTGTTTAGCATATAATCAAGAAGAAATAATAAGTATGAGCAGCTGAGTGGCCCATGCTGCTGCTCTGCTTATGGAGTACCCATTCTTTTGTTTCTTTACTTGTCTAATAAATTTGCCTTCACTTTACTCTATGGACTCCCCCTGAATCCTGTCCTGTGCCAGATCCAAGCACCCTCTTTTGGAGTCTGGATCAGGACCCCTTTCCAGCAACACGAGGACTTCCCTGTGACACTGGTAGAACTTCTTCTTTTCAGAGGAAATGCAGTTCTCTTTTTAGTTTACCAGGAGAGGCTGAATTATGTCTATAACAACCTTCAGTTGTTTTGTTATCATTGATGTGATTTCTTACCACAGGTAGTTAAAGCCTGCCTTCATTTGTCTCTTGGTCAATTATTCTTCTGAGAATATCAGAGGTTTTGAGGTTTCTGAAGTATTTGGAATAATGGGATGATATTGAACTATACCAGGGGCTCTCAAGCTCTGGATTCTTTACTACAATTAAAAATAAAAGAACAGTCTGTGCAAGGTTTTGTAGACCTGCTCATTGGAGATAAATCTTTGCCCAATAAAGATTATACAGACACAAGAATACAAGGTGTGGAATGCTAGAAGCTCATATTAGCCTTACTCCCAATGATCTGGAATGGCATGGAAATTTTTGCTCTATACCGATGCATGAAGCATTCAGCTTTTTGAAAATTTAGGAAATCAAGGGCTTCATTAGTCTGTAATATATTCAGAAGTCTGTGTCACTAAAAATTAGAGATTTGGATCCAGTGGATGTGAGGGCTCAGGCTGACTGATCTTTCCTCATCAAACAAATGCTTTTAGATCCATGTCAGAGTTAGGTCTAACACACATAATCTTAATAGCCCATTGCCTTCCTGGAGATGGAGAAAAGCAGATTATTTCAGAGAACACTGAGAGGACCTCTGCTGTATATTAATGCTTTGGTACGGTCTGAGGAATATACAAAAGGCACATAAATCAAAGCCTCTTCTTGGGGCAGCCATCAATCTTCTTGTAATTAAAGAATTCAACCTGACATAATGATATTATGACACCAGTGCTTTAGCATCCATGATTATAAGAATGGTACTGAGAAGGGAAGACTGTAGAGTCATCAGCATCTTCAAAAAAGTGTAAATTTTTGCAGTTTTTGTTGATGCATAAAGTTCAAAAAGCCAGAGTAGAGGAGAGAAGGCATTCATATGTAATTACAAAAATAGAAGCAAGAATAAGGAGCTGGGAAGCAACTGATAAATGGGAAGAAAGGAAAGACCCAAGGTGTCTCTTAAAAGATTTTAAAAGTGAAGTGGTAGAAAACAAAGCCAAATAAAAGTTTATGACTTTGGCAGTTTATGACATGACAAAGGCCTTGTTAATGGAGATGACTGCATCAACTGTTTGCTGAAAGAGTAGAAGAGAGTGCCAGAAGGGAGGGAGGCAAGCTGAGAGCCTGCTACAGCAAACCACCCCCACAAGGTTTACATACACACAAAACTGAATTATAAAACTTTAAGAGCATGCTATGCTTCTATTATCAGTTTTATATTATACTTCGTCTGACTTTGTTTAAAAGGCAGCAGAAGGTTCCATAAATGGTTTGGTGTTTCCCTCACCAAACATACACAATTCTTCTCCAAGATTTGATCAAGGAGCAGTCTAGGTATGCAGGAGGGTCTGAGTAAACAGCAACAAGCCTTCTCTTTTGGTTCTACTTTCTCTTTAGGGTCCCCTCATTGTGATTTCTGCTGCCACTGTCTCGAACATTCTTCAGGAAGACTGTTTTGCTTTAAAACTTCAGGCCCAGCAGAGACATGCACCCCGTACTGTGTTCCTAGTACAGTTAAGGTGAGTGTCACTGTTAGAAAGGAGAAAAAACATAAATACAACTTGACTGAATACCAAATAATACAAGAAAGACCACAATTACCCATAGGCAGCCGAGCTTCAAAGCTCATGTTTTAATCCTGTGGTAACTGAACCTTTGGGCCAGAGGCTGGTATGGTGTCTCAGCATCTCTGGTTCCTTCCTTGTCAGCCTTCACTTCCTGCCTTCGTATTGTGGGTGCCACCTTACATTTCTCTGAAGAACAAAAGATCTTCCTAGGTTCAAGATTTATGGACCCCTGACATATTTCATTTAGTTCAGTATTGTGGCCGAAGATCAATGTCATATTTTTTCATTATTATTTACCAGAAATGTGTTTATTGGCACAGGGAATACTCCATTTTTTGGCTTTGACAATGCATAGGAAACTCTCCTCATCCTATGCAAGAAAAATCTGTAATAATTGCAGACCCATCTAAAGCTTATACCTTCAAAAATTTAACAAACATAACATACATTAAAATGAAATGAATAGTTATAGAGAGTAACGTAAGGACTTTGTGACACTACCTCTAGTTATTATATTGAGAAATCCAGAGTCTAACAAAAGTTGAAGGCACCATGGATCAGATGGCTCTGGCCGCATAACACGTAAGTTTCTTAACGTGGTGGTAGATATTGGTGATTTAAAGCAAGCATGTTGAAGTAAGCTCATGAATGCAATCTGGATGTCCCCTCTAAGAAGTATTTCAAGATAAGTAAACCAGCATGTATTGAGCCTAATATCATGACAGGTGGGGAAGAGATGATGGAAAGCAAAGAAAAGCTGGTTTTCAGAAAGCTTGCTAAAGAAAGAAATAAAACAAACATTCACGGAATAATTCAAAGAAATACAGATAGAATATGGGTAAAGTGGTAGGAATTTGAGGAAAGAGTAATTAGCATCAGCAAATAGATATTCCTTTTTATACGGCTAGTTATCTATCTATCTCTCATTTATGTATCTCTTTAGAGAACATCAAATATTCTGGAAAGAGACTTTTAATGGAAGGAGAATCCTTACCACTTGGGGTACCCCTGGGATTTATGTCATATCCCTTGAGAGAGCTGAGGTTTTTCATGATTAAAGTGTTTAAGCACAGTGCCTTGTATATTACAGATACTTAATAAATATTTATTAAGTATTGAATGAATTAAAAATACTTGTTGATCCATTCTCCCAGACTACCCCAATTAGCTGATAATAATATAAAATAAGTCCACATCAAGCATCTTCTAGGTGCTGTACATTTTGAAGTATAAAGAAAAAGAAAGTCTACAGCTTCTATTTCAATGTCTAGCTGGGGAGTCTATTCACAGGATATACTTAGAAAAATACACAAGTTGGTGTATGATTAAATAAGACATGGCATATGAAAGCACTTTATGCACTTTATGCATGTAAAATACCGTACAAATATTAGAATTATAAATGCCAAATAGGGTATAAAACTTATGAGTGCAATGTCAGATCCAAAAAAGTAACTCACTATTTGTAGGTCAATGGGTGAAAGAATTCCCTAGGATTTCGGCATTGCATTACTTGGAGGAAATGAACAATTTCATTCTCATATGCCTGACATATATTAGGAGCTCAATACATGTTTTATGAAGATTTCTGCATTAAAGTTCACTGATATAAGTGAGGAAGACTTCTTCAAAGGCTTAACATTTGATTTTAATAGTAGCATTGAGGTAAGTGGGGAATCAAGGTGAGACGAGATGAAGAAACAGTGTGGAAAAGAACAGATCATGGTGTGTGAATTGCCTGAAGCAGTTACCTGGGGAAGATAATTTGTCCTAGGATGTAACTGAGACATTCATGAAGTATTTAGAGAAATATTTATTATATTAACTTAGGATGGGCCTATAGAAATATAATTTCAAACGGCAAAGTAATTATAGACTATTTATCTACTGTTCCTGGCACAATTTGTTAAATGTGTGGTTTTGTGATGGTCCACTCCTTTCATTGTCTCCATGTTTGATGTCAGCAAGCCACAGTGGGAAGGGTGGTCCCTGCCAGTAGATTGGTCCCAAGCTGAGATTCCTTCAGTTTCATTTCCAATGGCTCTGTCATTTCTTCTAGCCAATTTTCCTTTTGATATTAAAGTCCCTGGTTTCTTTCCCAGGACCTCCCACATCTTAGCCGAAGGGCTCTGGCAACTTGATTTGGATTCAGCTTTGAATTCCTCCCCTCTTTTCTCACAGTGAGTTTTCTGCCAGGGATGTGCTGGGAGGAAGCCAAGTTTCCTGTGCTCTAGCATTGCCCTGCTGCCAAAGAACCCTGCTCCAAGTCAGCTCCTCCTGCAGGCAACAGGCCGGGCCTGGTGGGGTGTAGTGTTCCATTCATGCTCTGTGCTTTATTCAACTGTCACATGTCCAGTCACTTCCACTCAGACAGGTACATTTTTCTAAGGAACCCTTGAGTGAAGAAAAGCAGGAGGCCCAGTAAATGAGTCATTTGTTCTATTTGTCTCTCCCAGAGACGTAACTTCCCACTTAGCATAGCTTGGACCACTAAAAAGAATTCACCATCTTAGGGGTAAGTGTGTAGGAACTGTCTAGCTACAGATTTAAAGTGCCTCTGTTCCTAAAAAGGGGCCCTCAAAAACCCAGGATCTTTATTTTTCTGTCATTATGGTTCCTCTCTCTGAACTCTACCATTTCATAGTTATCCAATATTCAGCAAACCATTTCACCTCAATTTGACTTTGTTTCTCAAGAAGACAAAATTTGCAGTGTCTTCTTCATAGGGTTTTTAGGAGCATGAAATGTGTTAATGGGTGCTAAAGTGCACTGTAAACTATGAAAATCTACATGTTGTTTTTTTTTTTTTTTTAAATACAAATGCTCCCCGGTAGAACAGGTAAGACTATAGAATTAGTAATGTAATATACACATTACCTCACTTAATTGGCCTGAAAAACTTCAATTGCAGAAGAAATGTTACATTCCAAGATCTCTAATTTTTCCTCTGTCATTAATATTTGATAATTTTATAAGTTATTTTCTTCCATAGAGAGAGGATGTTCATACTTACTGTGGGGCCCAGAATTTGTTCTGATTATCTTGCTTCTGCACTTCAACACTGACTTTACTGACAGCCCCAGAAAATACTCATGTTTTGAGTACCTGCACTTGGTGTAAAACAATGGGTTCATGCAGTGAGTGCGATGGTGAATAAGACACATCCAGAGCCTTCCATCAAACATCAAACTAAGTGTGAGAACTCTTGTTATAATCTCCTAAATGAACTCTCCTTTGCCTATCTCCTTTACCTGTATTACCTCCTGCACCTAGCAAGGTTCTAGGTACAAAGTAGATGCAATTAATCTACAAATCAGTTGAAAGTTCTGACATCTTTTTGTAAATCCCAGACTCTCTACAGATATACCAACCCATGAGGAAGATAGATGGAGGTGAATACAGATTGTATGTAGATCATATAGGGGTCTAATCGTGTATGGTAAGTTTGAATGCAGAGCTAATTAGTTTGTATGACTGTCCTGTATTGTAGAAACTATATTATAGCTGCACATTTGTTTTTATGAAATCAGTTAGCTGCCAAGGAAGCCCATTGAAATGAATAGAAACTAATTGAAAGTAATAGTGAATTACCTGAACATATATAGCCAGTAAATTAAATTAATTGAAGGTAATTGATAGTGACTGGAATTAATAAAAGTAATAGAAACAAATTGTACTTAATTGAAATTTATTGAAATTGAATTAAACTGAATAGCTCAAAGTCTATTAAATTTAATAGATTCTAATTGATATTAATTATAGACAATGCATAATAATAACATACCATTCTTAAAGGCTTCCAACTGCATTTGCACCATACTATTGTCTTTAAAATGTAAAAATAAATTCTAAAAAAACCCAAGGTATTCATGGGAGTAAAATACTACTTCGGGATTTTAGATTTCTCTGTGGAATAGCATAGCAGTATTAGGAGAATTTTCTTCTGCTAAGAGAGCTTTCCTTGATAACTTAGGAAGGTAAAAATGGTTTTATTTCCTTCAGGAAAGAGACTTTTATCGATTTAATGAGAACATTTTACCTGTTAAAACATTAGCTTCGATTTGATGAATACTCTTGCAGTAGATGTTGTATTCAGTGTCTGCTATCTTTATAGCTATGTTGTCATATTCATTTACTTTTTATTTCCTTCCCTCGGTTATAAAACTTCCAAAACCCCCCTAAGATTTCTCATAGACTTATGTTGGAGGATGCAAAGACTTCCATTTTTAGCTTCTTTCTTCTGAACTTTGGGCATTTGGGAAAAAAAAAAAAAAAAAAGCAAAAAACCCCATGCTGGATTTCCCATTGCAGAAATTGTAATCAGCTGGTTCCTTCCACTTCAGCGACAGTTCTTGCATGCATTTGGTGATGTTCATATTCTTCATGTTTTTACCAACTTTGCTGCTTGCTGAGTAGTATTGTTTTGTGAAAAAGTAATTTTCTCTCAAAATAACTGCATCAAATTTATTTTACATGAAATATTTATTCAATGTTTGGAGGACTGTAGATGAAGTTCACATGTGGAGTGGGAATAAATGCCAAATCATCCAGCTTACATCAGGAGAAGCCCAGAATTCAGAATGTAAATCAGGGATTCTCATGCTAGCTGTATATCAGAAGCATCTATGTGGCATATTAAATATGCTCTGGTCACGAGAGGGCCTGGACATCAATAGTATCTTTTCTTGTTGTTGTTGTTGTTTTTAATTTCCAGGTGACTTTGAAGGAGGGGCAGGGAAAACTACTAGGGTACTGGCAGGTTTGGTTTAGGCGCTGCCTTCTTTTTCCCCTGCCCATGTTTACTTTCCCTTAGCACTGGAGCCCTTAAGCCAGTTCTTCATTCTCCTTTGTTTTAAAAACTGCTTATAGTCACTTGATTTAAGGTATAAATTCATAAAAGTTGAGAATAAGATTACTCCCAAATGAAATTGAACACAGACCCAAGTTTGATGAAATGTTTAGGCATGAGCAGTTTAGATGGGATAAAAGCTCCAGGACCCTGGAAATCTATGACAGAGTCCTGACAGGTGCACAGTGACTTCCCTGATGGTGGAATTCCTGCTCACCTGCACTTCATTATAACCCAAGCTGAGGAAGTAATCTGGCTCCTAAGGAAGGCCTCTGTAATTCCATGAGAATTTATCTTATGATAGGGGAATGTCAACATCAGTTATGATAGAGGAAGATCAATATATATTTTAACAATATGTGAATGTATTTAGCCAATATCTCCTTGGGTTTTCTCAATATCATAAAGTTCAAATTTCCTAACTCTCCAGTGTCACTGTACATACTGTAATACAAGCAGTTCACAGGCTGCAAAATGAGGTTTGTATCTGGGCATCTGTTTAAACCTCAAGCATCCAGCCCACAAGATGTCTACTCTTTAGTTAGTAAAATTACAATGAAAACTTTAACACTCTACCACCAACATCTAACAGTTTGCTTTGTATGGAACAATTCAAAAAGAATAGACTACTAAACTAATAGGGATTTCATCACCAAACTAATCCAAATGCAAATAAATGTAAGAAAATATTCAAACAAACATCAGAGAATACTATACATAATTGTATGCAAATAAACTAGAAAATCTGGAAGAAATGGACAAATTCCTGGACACATCCACCTTCCTAAGACTGAACCAGAAAGAAACTAAATCCCTGAGTAGACCAATAAATAGTTCTGAAATTGAGCAGTAATAAATAGCCTACCAACCAAAACAAAGCCCAGGATTAGATGAATTTACAGCTAAATTCTACCAGAGGTACAAAGAAGAACTGGTACCATTTCTACTGAAACTGTTCCCAAAAATTGAAAAGGAGGGACTCCTCCCTAACTCATTCTATGAGGCTAGCATCATCCTGATAGCAAAACCTGGCAGAGATACAACAAAAAAAAGAAAACATCAGGCCAAAATCCCTGATAAACATTGATGCAAAAATCCTCAATAAAATATTGGCAAACTGAACCCAGCAGCACATCAGAAAGCTTATTCACCACTATCAAGTTGGTTTTATCCACAAGATGCAAAGTTGGTTAAACATATGCAAATCAATAAATGTAATTGATCACATAAACAGAACTAAAGACAAAAACCACATGATTATCTCAATAGATGCAGAAAAGGCCTTCAATAAAATTCGACATCCCCTCACATTAAAAACTCTCAATGGGCCAGGTGTGGTGGCTCAAGCATGTAATCCCAGCACTTTGGGAGGCCAAGGCAGACGGATCACCTGAGGTCAGGAGTTCGAGACCAGCCTGACAAACATGGAGAAATCCCGTCTCTACTAAAAATGCAAAAAAATTAGCCGGGCATGGTGGTGCATGCCTGTAATCCCAGCTACTCAGGAGGCTGAGGCAGGAGAATCACTTGAACTCGGGAGGTGGAGGTTCGGTGAGCCAAGATCATGCCATTGCACTCCAGCCTGGGCAACAAGAGTGAAACTCCATCTCAAAACACACACACACACACACACACACACACACACACACACACTCTCAATAAACCAGGTATTGAAGAAAAATGCCTCAAAATAATAAGAGCCATATATGACAAACCCATGGCCAATATCATACTGAATGGGCAAAAGCTGGAAGCATTCCCTTTGAAAACCAGCAAAAGACAAAGATGCCCTCTCTCACCATTCTTATTCAACATAGTATTGGAACTTGTTGCCAGGGCAATCAGACAAGAGAAAGAAAAACGGTATTCAAATAGGAAGAGAGGAAGTCAAATTATCTTTGTTTGGTGATGACATGATCCTATATCTAGAAAATCCCAATGTCTTAGCCCAAAAGCTTCTCAAGGTGATAAGCAATTTCAGCAAAGTCTCAGGATAAATAATCAATGTGCAAAAACCGCTAGCCTTCCTATACACCAACAACAGTCAAGCAGAGAGTCAAATCACGAAATAACTCCCATTCAGAATTGCCACAAAAAGAATAAAATACCTAGGAATACAGCTAATAAGGGAAGTGAAGAACCTCATTGTTGAGAACTACAAACCACTGCTCAAGGAAATCATAGAGGACGTAAACAAATGGAAAAATATTCCATGCTCATGGATAGGAAAAATCAATATCATGAAAATGGCCATACTGCTCAAAGTAATTTATAGATTCAATGCTATTCTTATCAAACTACCATTGACATTCTTCACATAATTAGAAAAAAATTATTTTAAAATTAATGTGGAACAAAATAGAAGCTCAAATAATCAAGAAAATTCTAAGCAAAAAGAACACAGTATACTACAAGGCTGTAGTAACCAAAACAGCATGGTACTGATACAAAAACAAACACATAGACCAATGGAACAGAACAGAGAACTCAGGAATAAGACTGCACATCTACAAATATCTGATCTTCCACAAACCTGACAAAAACAAGCAATGGGAAAAGGATTCCCTATCTAATAAATAGCTCTGGGGGAACTGGGTAGCCACATGCAGAAAATTGAAACTGGACCCATTCCTTACACCCCAACAAAAATTAACTCAAGATGAATGAAAGACTTAAATGTAAAACCCCAAACTATAAAAACCCTAGAAAAAAATCTAGGCAATACCATTCAGGACATAGGCACAGGCAAAGATTTAATGACGAAAATGCCAAAAGCAATTGCAACAAAAGCCAAAATTGACAAATGTGATCTCATTAAACTAAAGAGCTTCTGCACAGCAAAAGAAACTATCATCAGAATGGGAGAAAATATTTGCAGTCTATCCATCTAACAAAGGTCTAATATCCAGAGTCTACAAGGAACTTAAATAAATTTACAAGAATAAAGAAACAACCCCATTAAAAAGTGGAAAAAAACATTAACTTCTCAAAAGAAAGACATTCACGCGGCCCACATATGAGAAAAAGGTCAACATCCCTGATTATTGGAGAAATGCAAATAAAAACCACAGTGAGATACCATCTCACATCAGTCAGAATGGCTATTAATAAAAAGTCAAAAAATAACAGATGCTGATGAGGTTGTGGAGAAAAAGGAACACTTCTGCACTGTTGGTGGGAGTGTAAATTAGTTCAACCAGTATGGAAGACAGTGTGGCAATTCCTCAAAGATCTAGAGGCAGAAGTACCATTTGATCCAGAAATCCAATTACTGTGTATATACCCAAAGGAATATAAATCATTCTATTATAAAGATACATGCATGTTTATGTTCATTGCAGCACTACTCAAAATAGGAAAGACATAGAATCAACCCAAATGCCCAACAATGATAGACTGGATAAAGAAAATGTGGCACATACACACCATGGACTACTATGCAGCCATAAAACAAACAAGATTATTTCCTTTGCAGGGACATGGATGGAGTTGGAAGCTGTTATCCTCAGCAAACCAACGCAGAAATAGAAAATCAACCACTGCATGTTCTCACTTACAAGTGGGAGCTGAATGATGAGAACATATGGACACATGGTAGGGAACAACACACACTGGGGCTTGTCAGGAGTAAAGGGGAGGGGAAGGAGAGCATCAGGAAGAATAGCTAAGGGATGCTGGGCTTAATCCCTAGATGATGAGTCGATCTGTGCAGCAGACCAACATGGCACACGTTTACCTATGTAACAAGCCTGCACATCCTGCGCATGTACTCTGGAACTTAAAAGTTAAAGGAAAGAAAAAAGAAAAGAAAATATTCAAGTATTCAAAAATCATATGAATGTACAATTCTACTTGATGTTGATATTACAGTGAGATTCCTCTGCCTTTCTCCTCTCTCCCATCATTTCACAGAGGTAATGAAGAGCATGGTTGGTTGAATTTTCTTCCATCTCCTCAGAAATTCAGAAAATTGTTACTCATTCTAGATTTTTAAGAAATAGTATCCTAGAGGTGACTAGTTTTTAAATTTATTTTCAGAGGTCTCTGGTTGCTGTAAGTGTGTGGTTTGCTAACTTCTATTGGCTTCTCCTGGTAGGGAAAAAGACTGAGCTGATGGAGATCATGGAGAGGGAAAAACGCCTGAGATAGATATTGATATTTGGTTTACTTTTGTATTTAACTCTCATTATCTATCAGGTTTTAATTTAGAGAGAAATAATTTTAGCTTATTTTAACAAATGCTTCGAGGCATTTTTTATCCAGCAATTATTGTGATAATTGGGTTTCTTTCTTAATTACTGCCCTCATATTATTTGTATACTTCTATACTTGGCTATATTGTCTTTAGAGACTTTACTATGTTCCAAAATAATTATAATTAATTAATTTATATAAATATTTGTTCTGAAATTTGGTTAGTTTTATTTTAACCTTAATTCGGGAATTTCTAGAACTTCCTTCTACCCCTTTTTCCCAGTCTTGGTCAAAAAGTTAGATTGCTGGCTGAATAGATGGATTAGATAGGTTAGATTGGTAGATGGACTCACAGATTTTCAAATAGATAAGAATATGTGTTTATCCCTGAGAACCCCAAATAACTAATGTTTCCATAATTTTAAGCATATTAGTATGGATTTAACATAGCAAGTCATATTAGAAAACTTGAATAGCCCTCACTCTCACAATAACTAAAATATTAAATGAACTATGTATCGATGACCTGGCAAATGTAAGAAAATGTAAGAAGTCTCAAAAAAATGAAGGTTGCAAATATAGAAAGAGTGAACCACTTGTTTTACCTGGTGAAATTGAACTCTGGTCTTGGCTCTCTGAAGCACTACCCATGGAAGCCAGGCCCAACCTTTGGTAGAGAGGTAATAGGTAATCACTTGTATTAAGCTGGAATCACTAACACCCACACCCTCATTGTAATAGTGAAGAGGAAAACAATCTTATAAATGAGGACGTTTGTATTTATCATAAAATTTAGCACTTTGCCTGGTACTCATGCAAGTTTGACATAGGCCGGGCACAGTGGCTCAGCCTGTAATCCAAGCACTTTGGGAGGCCGAGGCAGGTGGAACACTTGAAGTCAGGAGTTTGAGACAATCCTAGGCAACATGGTGAAAACCCATCTCTACTAAAAATACAAAAGAAATAGCGGGTGTGGTGGTGGGCACCTAGAATCCCTGCTCTGAGGCAGGAGAATCGCTTGAACCAGGGAGGCGGAGGTTTCAGTGAGCCGAGATTGTGCCACTACACTCCAGCCTGGGTAATGTTGCGAGACTCTGTCTGGAAAAAAAAAAAAGTTTGATACATATTTTTGAATGATCATTTTTGTTATTAGGGCTCATAGAAGGTAGGTTTTTTGTTGTTGTTGTTCTGAATAAAGCCTATTGAATATCCTACAGTGCATGGTAATGTGTACAATCAATAAGAATAAAAGACCTCATACAGGAAGCTGAAGGAAAGAAAAATCACATTCTTCTCTCCAAATCGTTCTTTCAGAAATTAAGCTTGCAAAAATATGATATAGATTTACATTACTCATTAATTCATTCACTAATCCAAGTAAGTCTCACTTGGGAGAGTTTTGTTTCTTGATATTTTTCTGGAAACTATTGTCCTAGAAAAGCTCGACCTCTCCTGAGATTCAGCCCCACGGCACTCACCAATGATCTGGATTCTGTACCACAAAGATGGTGGAAGTTTTTGTATAAATTGTCAGTCACTACTCAATCACCATGGCATATTTTGGATGTTCATTTATCTTTCTTCAGCCAATGACAATATTGATTTCCCACTATTTTTTTAAACGCTTATCTCATGGAAGCAGGACTATTTTGCTTCTAGTTACCCTTTGAAGATATCCTTCACCCCAACTCTTTCCTCATTTCTTCTTTGTTTTCCCCAATGCAGGGACTATTTTTGAGACCCTTGTAGACCTTTATCCGCGTTTGATTTCTAGTATTTAGCATACCTCTTACGTAGCTGTGAATATTCTTCATTCAATGCATCAATGGAAAAGTAACTTCTATTACCCGTAATATGAGAGCCCTCTATATTACCCCAATATATTAATTTATCCAGTTAATTTGGCATCATTACTTATTGTGCAGAAATTTCTCAGCTAAAGTATATAGTGCAAGTAATGCAACCTGAGACACATTTGTAATAGCTGCATTGGTTGTAAATTCTCAGAATTTGTGTCTGGTTTCTGATTCCCATTCCATAATAATCCTCAATAGAAATAATTCTAGTAGTGCACAGTGAACTTCCTGCTGTTATGTCATCCACTCATTAGACAAAACATGAAGACTTTGAATCATGACACACAACTATATTTACTTGTGTGATGATAGATACTAAAGCTCTATTATGTGAAATTTCATGTTGAGGTCAAACTAAATTTTATATTTTCTTGTTTATCAATTTCTTGTTTACCAATTGTGTTACTTTTTCATAAGAGGAAATTGAATCATCTCCTTTATAAGGTCTGGTTCTCCATTCTGTATTAGTCAGGGTTCTCCAGAAAAACAGAACCAATTGAAGATTAGACAGATATATAGATAGAGACAGACAGATAGATAGATAGATAGATAGATAGATAGATAGATAGATAGATAAAAAAGAAATAGAGATAAATATAGGTAGACATAATGTTTCAAGGATTGGCTCACAAGATTATGGAGGCAAGAAGTCCCATGATCTGCCATCTGCAAGCTGGAGAACCAGGAAAGCCAGTGGTATAATTCAGTCCAACTCCAAAGGACTAAGAACCAGAGGAGCCAATGGTATAAGTGCTAGCCTGAGATTGAAGAGTGGAGAATCAGGAGTGACGGTGTACATTGGCAGAAGAAGATGGATGTCCCAGCTCAAGAACAGAGAGTGAATTTCCTCTTCCTCTTCCTTTTTGTTCAGAGGATGATGTCCATCCACATTCATGAGGCAATTTTCTTTAATCAGTTTACAAATTCAAACACTAGTCTTTTCAGGAAACACTCTCACAGACAAATCCAGAAAAAATGTTTTACCAGCTATTGGAGTGTCTTTTAGCAAAGCCAGTTTGACAGATAAAATTAACCATCATATCTTCCTATAAAATTGAGCATATATTCATGTGTGTCCCAACTGTTTCTTTTACATACATTTATCACAGCATCTATGATAATTTAATGTCCTTTTTAATTTTCACTTACAGTGATGTGACACTAAATGATGTTTTGGGCAACAATGGAACGCATATGTAACAGTGGCCTCATAAGATTATAATAACACATTCATACTGTACCTTTCCTTTTTTGTAAGTTTTAAGTTTGGAGTATATGTGCAGGTTTGTTATATAGGTACACTTATGTCACAGGAGTTTGTTGTACAGATTATTTTATCACTCAGGTATTAAGCCTAGTAACTATTCATTATTTCCTGATCCTTTCCTCACTCCCACCCTTTACCCTGTAATAGGCACAATGTCTGTTGTTCCTTTCTATATGTCCATGTGTTCTCATCATTTAGCTCCCACTTATAAGTGACAACATGCAGTATTTGGTTTTTCTGTTTCTGCTTAGTTTGCTAAGGATAATGGCCCCCAGCTCCATCCACATCCCTGCAAAGGACATGATCTCATTTGTTTTTATGGCTGCATAGTATTTCATGGTATATATGTACCACATTTTCTTTATCCCGTCTATCATTGATGTGCATTTAGATCAATTCCATGTCTCTGCCACCGGGAATAGTGCTATAATGAACATATGCATGCATGTGACTTTGTAATTGAAAGATTTATATTTCTTTGGGTATAACCAGTAAAGAGATTACTGGGTTGAATGGTATTCCTGTCATTAGGTCTTTGAGGAATCCCTACACTGTCTACCACAATGGTTGAACTAATTTACACTGCCACCAACAGTGTATATGTGTTCCTTTTTCTTCACAACCTTGCAGCATCTGTTATTTTTTGACTTTTTGATAATAGTCATTCAGACTGATGTGAGACCGTATCTCATTGTGGTTTTGATTTGCATCTCTCTAATGATCAGTGATGTTGAGCTTTTTTTCATATGATTGTTGGCTCTATGTATGTCTTCTTTTGAAAAGAGTCGGTTCATGTTCTTTGCCACTTTTTAATGGGGTTATTTTCTTCCTGTAAATTTGTTTAAGTTCCTTAAGTTCCTTAAAGTTGTTTAAGTTAAGATGCATAGTTTGCAAAAATTTTCTCCCATTCTGTAGGTTGCCTGCTTATGCTCTTGATAAGTTTCCTTTGCAGTGCAGAAGCTCTTTAGCTTAATTAGATCCCATTTGTCAATTTCTGCTTTTGTAGAAATTGCTTTTGACATTTTCATCATGAAATATTTGCCTGTGCTTATGTCCTGAATGATACTGCCTACGTTGTCTTCCTGGGTTTTAAATTTAAGCATTTAATCCATCTTGAGTTAATTTTTGTATATGGTGTAAGGAAGGGGTACAGTTTCAATATTCTGTATATGGCTAGCCACATACTGTACCTTTTCTATGTTAGATATGTTTAGATACATAAGTACTTATCATTGTGTTAAATTGCCTATAGTATTCCATACAGTAACGTGCTGTACAGGTTTGTAGCTTAGGAGTAATGGGCTATACCATATAGCCTAGGTGTTTTCACAACAATGAAATCACCTTACAGTGCATTTCTCAGAATATATCCCCTTCATTCAGCAGCACATGACTGTATTTTTTTCTCTCTTTTTTTTTTCTTGTTTAAAAAACAAGTTCTCACTCTGTTGCCTAGGCAGGAGTGCAGTGGCGTGATCATGGCTTACTGCAGCTTCGACCTCCTGGGCTCAGATGATCCTCCTACCTTAGCCTCCTGAGTAGCTGGAACCAAAGGCATGTGCCACCAGCCCTGGCTAATTATTTTTGTAGTTTTTGTAGAGACAGGATCTCGTCATTTTGCCCAGGCTGGTCTCAAACTTCTGTGTTCAAGCAATCTTCCACCTAAGGCTCCCAAAGTACTGGGAGTATAGGCATGAACCACCATGCCCAGCTGACTGTATTTCTTTCAACAGGAGCAGTAAAGGATATATATGTTATAAAACATGGGATCCAGATCTCTATAGGTAAGAGCAAAGCATCTTTGGCTTAAAATTGTGTGACCTTGGGCACATTCCTTAAGCTCTCTCTGCCTCAATTTCTTATCTTTGAGATGAAAATAATAAGAACACCTGCTATATAGGATTATTGTACAAATTAAATGAATTTATTCATGTAGCGTAACTAGCATGGAGTAAGAGCTCAAACATATAAGAGAAAAAAAATAGGATGTCAATCTTCTTGAGGGCAAAGTCAGTGTCTGATCCCCTACTGTGTTCGCATCACCAAGTTCAGAACTTTATTACACCAGAAATGAGATCTCATCACACCTGAAACTCCTAAGTCACATAGATTTAATAACTCTCCCTTGTTCATGGTTCCCAGTGCTCCAATTCCTTTCTTACCTTTCTCATTGCTCACTGAACCCATGCTTTCTACATAATAGATAAATATAATTTTGAGTGATAGTCCTTGATGGCAAATCCACATGATATCTACATATGGATGACACTAAAATAAATCAATTTAATGAAGCTACTGAATTTTTATATGATTTTAGACATTAAAATTTTTTCAATGATTATAAACAAAAATACTCTACTAAAACATTTACCTTCTTGTGAAATGCTTGAGTATCACAGAACATGTCTCCAGAATGAAACTGTCTATTCAGAGGTTTTGGATTCTTTCATTGAAAACCTGCATAATTAACAACATTCTCCATTTTTATCTATTTTTTTGTACAAAGCACTCTGTCTTTTGCTGATTAAAATAATTTTTTGGTGAAATTTAACACTTTATTCCAATAATTTGCCTTTGGCCTTGCTATTCTACCTTGAAACTCTGCAGAATATTCTTCAGGATATCACCTTAATGTGTTTATAGACATTTTTATTTTTAATTCTCCACATGTCAGAAAATTTCCTCATTGGATGAATTGTGAAAGATATAGCTAAGGTCTCTTGCGGCTTTCAAGATGTAGCTGTGACCCTACTCTGGTTGACATTTGTTTTTCTCACTATTTTTGTCTCCCTGGAAATTCAGTTTAATCACAACAGAAGCATGGCTTCTTTGGATTTGGTGGGAGAATTTGAAAGCATATATATATATGCTTATATATATTCCATTTTAGTGCTACCAGGCAACAAAGATCTGTTGATAGCAGCCTGCCATATGACCTTCAACTTTACCAGCCTTCTTCAGAGCTAGCCAAAAAATGGAAAGCTTGATGCGCTGAGCCAGCTAGAAATGGATACCTTCATCAGACCACTTTATCAACACGAAAACCATGCTAAAATTCTAATGCATTTCTGAGACCAATCTGGTTTTACAAATGACTTAGAGTGGCCTACTAGCTTTCTGAAAAGACAGGTTAACTTCCATGAATAGCTCAGCTCATTTAAGACTGCTGTTCAGATATTCTAAACTGCCACATCACATCCTCATATGAAATACACTTTTGCCCTTTCCTATAAATTTTGTATAACAGAATACAACATTATTCATTGGGTTTTTCCCTTTCTCTCTCTTCTTGAGATAATCACATCCTTAGGGCATTATAAGGAAAGACATGTATCCAAGCTCCTATAATCCCCAGGAGTGTGATTGCCTTTTGGTAACTATACCCTCCTTCCAAGATGTCTTATACCATTATTATGGTGCCTTATTGCTCAAATACGACAGAGACATCTGATAATGTAATTACTTCACCTTATCACGCTTTAATAAATAATGTAGGAAGGACAGCCTCTGTAGTGAGCCTGTCTAAAGAGGCCAAGCATACAAAGGGACAGTATCTGTGATACAGCTGATATTAATTTGCAGAGCTGAAGGTAAGCAACAGAAACATTAAGATCAGATATTTTACCATGAATGATTAGGCAAATGCATAAGCCAGGGTGTATCAAAGCACAGCTCCCTCTCTAGACACTTGGAGAACAGATTGCCTATCCAAGTGTGAACGTTTGCTACTTACATGCCTTTTGAGGCATGAAGAAATGCCTGAGATTTATTGTTTTTTATATTCCTGGACTTGCCCCTGCCCTGCCTCTAGCATAAGTGTCATAAAGGTGAATCAATATGTGTTTGAAACATTGGCTATTATACAAAAAAATTGAGCTCACTGTGGATGTTGATTTAATAATATCTACTGATTATTCCTCTCACTTTCTTGAAGATTCTCTGCTTTTCCCTTCAGCTTTTTAAATATCCAAGGACTGATCAGTACTTTGGCAGACAACTCTGATTATAATTGAAAACCATCATTGTATACATGAAGAACTCTTTCTTCTAACCACAGAGTGCCATGTTTATAATCTGATTAAGAAATAGTCTTCTGCATATAGCCAAGATGAAGACTCCTACTAGGTAAAGGCAACCTTGAACTGTCTACTCAAATAAACACTATCAAAAATGTACTTGGATCAGAGGCTTTATGAGGGATAGTGCAAGAAATTTCTTTGAAATTGTAGAATAGAGTAGGCTAGGCACCATGCACTGAGCACTGTGTTAGGTGCTATGCTCTCCAAACTGAGGACAGTGATTGCCACAAAATCAGTATCCAAATAATGTGGAACAAATGGACAAATTAATGAATGAGCCTAGTGAATTGGAAAACTTTGAGGAAATTAAACACCAAGTCATCTGGATAAAGATTAAATTAGTTAATTCACACACACACACATACACACACATGCACACACACCAGACACATAGTAAATATTTTTAAATGTTAGATATTATTACTAGATTATTTCATTGCTCAATCTGTTATAATGTGATTATCTAAGTATGTTCCCAATAAAAAACATAAAGGAAATTTAAATGTATTGCAAAATGGAGTTGCAAGCGGTAGAAAAAAGAATGGACAAAAAGAAGATGAAGTCAGATTCCACATAATAAAGAATATCCACAAGCAACTTTGGCAGCTTAGATTTTAAAGGTAAAAAGATTGAGGCTCTCCGTTCTGCTATGCAGCCCAAGATAGAACAGAATCATTGATACCTATTACGTAATGGACATAATCCTAGATCTTGATTTATACAAAACAGAATAAAAATCAATGTCTGTTCTCAACGTCTTTTCAGTCTTGTAGTAAATATGTGATATGTGCATAAATACATAAACATTAACAAAACAGGAAGTAGATACCTTTAAAATGAACAGTATATTAGTATTCTATTGCTGTAACAAGCTGTCACAAATTTAGTGTCATAAAACAACATAAATTTATTTTCTTACAGTTGTAGAGGTCAGAAGTGTAATGCAGATCTCACTGGGTTAAAATAGAGGTGTAGGAAGGCTGTGCTGCTTTTTGGAGGTGCTGAGAAGAATCAGTCTCTTTGCCTTTTCCAGCTTCTGCAGGCCACCCACACTGCTCAGCTCATTTGAAGGTTTTTGTGTGCCTTCAAAGCCAGCAACGTGGACTTTTCAGGTCCTTTTCATATCACATTATTCTGATCTTCTCTCCTACCTGCTTCTTTCATTTTTCAGAACCCTTATGTTTATATTATATGAACCTGGATAATCCAAAAATAATCATCCTATTTTAAAGTCCGCTGATTAAATTACAATTTAATTTCTTTTTGTCATATAATGTAACACATTCACAGGTTCTGGCAATTTGGACATGAATATTTTTTGTAGTTAGGGCACTATTCTGACTGTCAAGGGCGAAGAATTTCAGTAACTGCTTTAAACATAGATTGTACAGTGGACTTTGGAACTGGTCTTCACATTAGCTAAATCTTGGACAAGCAGAAAGGAAACTAACATTCAGTTGTTTTCAGTCATTTCCCTTTTAGTCCTTCTTATGTTATGTCCTAAAAGGAACCTGTACCTATAGAACAAATATGATGGGTTCTCTCCCTTGAGATTGAGGATGAAATATACTCCCAGAAACTGGAAGAAATATAAGAACCCTCCAATGTAAATAACCAGAACAAGGAATTGGGCAAATAGTCTCATCACAAACAAATATCTAAAACAAACAAAATTAAAAAGGAAAAATCTTTGTAGCCATAACCTTGTTTTAGTCACAGTATATTTGCTGTTGTTTAATCATGAAAAGATCATTGTTAAGGTGTTGCCTATATCCAGATGTTTTCCATAAAGTAAAAAATACCCAACTACTTGAAAAAGTTACTTATTGGGATTAAGGCCATGTGTCTCCTGGAATTTCTCCCTAACATTAAAACAACAACAACAACAACAACAACAACACCTGGAGAAGATAATGCACAACTATTGCCAACAATTAATGCAACAAAATGAAATATTTTAATGCAAAAGTAAAAATTACTGTTGTATTTTTCAGGATTCAACCAGAGACACACAGCAAGTAGAAGATACATCTTAAGAGATTTATTACAAAGAATTAGCTTGGCAAATCTGAAATGCAGAGAGCAAGCCATTAGGAAGGGAAGACCAGAGCTCTTGGATACAAGCTTTATCTGTTGTCCATAGGCTTAATTTCTTTATCTTCAGGGAAGCCTCTGCTCTTCCCTTAAGACATTTCAACTGATTGAATCAGAGTCATCTAAATTACCTAATCTGCTTTACTTAAGAAAGTCAATTTATAATGGGCTTTCATATGTACAAAATACTCCCACTGCAAAATCTGAATTAGTGTTTGATTGATTATCAGGGATCATAACCTAGCCAAGATGACACATAAAAATCATCACAGCCTACAAATTGGAACTCTGTACATCCTCTTAAAGACAACAACAAATCCATATTTTCACATAACATGATACAACACTCCTACATTCAACCAAAACATGCCAACTCTTTTCCTAGAAGAGAGTGCAAAGTCCTAAGGTGATTCTCATTTATGTTAATAGCTTGTAGCTTAAACAGTATGCTATAAAGTTAACTTATAAAACATCCTATCTTAGCTAATAAGGGCATGAGAGAGGGAAGGAAATAAAAACATTTGGTTAATATACATGCAAACATATTCATAGCAAATTAAGAAAGAAATATAACTATCGTAGTCCTCATTTCTGCAATTGGTCATGTGGTCTTAACTGGTATTTTTAACTATTTTCTTCTACTACCCATTCTATGTTCCCTTTGTACTCAGCAGACACCTCAGCTGGCTGTTGTTCTTTGTGACCCAAACCTCCATTCTTGAAAGGAATGAACCATTAGCAGTCTTGCCTGAATGAAGTAATTATACTTTTCAATGATTTTTTTTTGAACTTTTATTTTTTAGGTTTGAGGTTACCTGTGCAGATTTGTTACGTAGGTAAATTGCATATCACATGGGTTTGGTGTATAGATTATTTCAACCACTCAGGTAAGAAGCATAGTACACAAATAGGTAGTTTTTTAATTCTCTCCCTCCTCCCACCCTCTACCCTCGAATAAGCCCTGGTGTATGTTGTTCCCTTCTTTGTGTCCACGTGTTCTTAATGTTTAGCTCCCACTTATAAGTGAGAACATGGTAATTGGGTTTCTGTTTCTGTGTTAGTTTGCCTAGGACAATGGCCTCCAGCTGCATCTATGTTGCTGCAAAGCATATGACCTTGTTCTTTTTGATGGCTGCATAGTATTCTATGGTGTATATGTACCACATTTTTTTAATCCAGTCTACTGCTGATGAGCCTTTAAGTTGCTTCTGTGCCTTTGATATTGTGAATAGTGCTGTGATGAACATACATGTGCAAGTATCTATATGGTAGAATGATGCATATTCCATTGAGTATATACCCAATATACCCCAGAATGGTAGTTCTAAGTTTTTATTTTAAAAATTAAAACAGAGAGTCCTCAAATCACCCCACTGCTTTTCACAATGGCTGAACTAATTTACATTACCACTAGCAGTGTGCAAGTGTTCCCTTTTCTCTGTGGCCTTGCCAGCATCTATTATTTTTTAACTTTTAATAATAGCCACTCTGGTGAGAGATGATATCTCATTATGGTTTTGATTTGCATTTATCTAATGGATGTTGAGCATTTTTTCTTTTCTTTTTTTTTTTTTTTTTTTTTTGAGATGGAGTCTCGCTCTGTTGCCCAGGCTGGAGTGCAGTGGCGCTATCTCGGCTCACTGCCAGCTCCACTTCCCAGGTTCATGCCATTCTCCTGCCTCAGCCTCCCAAGTAGCTGAGACTACAGGCGCCCGCCACCGCGCCCGGCTAATTTTTTTTTTTTTTTGTATTTTTAGTAGAAACGGGGTTTCACCGTATTAGCCAGGATGATCTCGATCTCCTGACCTCGTGATCCTCCCGCCTCAGCCTCCCAAAGTGCTGGGATTACAGGCGTGAGCCCCCGTGCCCAGCCAGGATGTTGAGCATTTTTCATATGCTTGCTGGCCACGTATATATTCATTTTCTTTCCCCACTTTTTAATGTGGTTGTTTGCTTTTTGCTTGTTAATTTGTTTAAGTTTCTTGTAGATTATGAATATTAGACCTTTGTCTGATGCATAATTTGCAGATATTTTCTCCTATTCTATAGGTTGTCTGTTCACTCTGCTAACAGTTCCTTTTGCATGCAGAGGCTCTATACTTTAATTAGGTCACTTATGTCAATTTTTGTTTTTATTGCAATTGCTTTTTGTGTTTTTGTCATGAAGTCGTTGCCTGGGCCTATGACGAGAATGATATTTTCTAGGTTATATTCCAGGGTTTTTATGCTTTAGGTTTTACATTTAATTATTTAATCCATCTTGAATTGTTTTTTGTATGTGATGTAAGGAAGAGGTCCAGTTTCAATCTTCTACAAATGGCTATCCAGTTATCCTAGCACCACTTATTGAATGTGTAGTCCTTTCCCCACTGCTTGTTTCTGTCAACTCTGTCAAAGATCAGATAGTTGTAGGTGTGTGGCCTTATTTCTGGGCTCTCTATTGTGTTCTGTTGGTCTATGTCTATTTTTCTACCAGTACCATGCACTTTTGGTTCCTGTATTTTGTAGTACACTTTTAAGTCAGGCAATGTGATGCCTCCAGCTTTGTTCTTGTTACTTAGGATTGCCTTGGCTATTTGGACCCTTTCTTGTTTCCATATGAATTTTAAAATAGTTTTTTAAAAAATTATATGAACAATGTCATTGATGGTTTGATAAGAATATCATTAACTCTGTAAATTGCTTTGGGCAGAATGACCACTTTAACAATATTGTTTCTGTTTGTAGACAATATGATTCTATACATAAAAACACCACAGTCTCTGCCCAAAGGCTCCTTGATCTGATAAACAACTTCAGCAAAGTTTTAGGATACAAAATCAATGTACAAAAATCAGTAGCAATCCTAAACACTAACAACATCCACTCTGAGAACCAAATCAAAAACACAATTCCACTCACAAGGCAACAAAAAGAATATACCCAGGAACATAACTAGCCAGGGAAGTGAAAGATCTTTAAAATGATAATTACAAAACACTTCTCAAAGAAATCAGAGGTAACACAAATAAGTGGGAAAAAATTCCAGGCTCACTGATTTTAATCACAGGGCATGGTAGTACTAAGATATGCTGTAAGGAATCTCATATATTCCAGTCATATTCTTCCTACCTCTTTGTAGACAAGTAGTCCAACCACCCAGCCATGATGTAACCCCCATCTTTGTTGATTCAGAAGTAAGGGACACTCAAAATAGTTGGGTGGCAGTCTTAACTTTCACTTCAATTGAATCGTGTTTCCCAGAAGCATTTCTTCATTTGGAACGATGTTCTCTAGGCTGGCAGAGTATAAGGGACAGCAAGCAAGAATCCTGTTAGTGGGTTATGAGGGCTAATAATGAATGGCGACACTCCCATTTCCACTCTTTGATTTCTAAGCCCATAAATCCTGGCTGTAGGAGAAAAAGCACTATATATTTTATGCTGACTTGGAGCATACTCAGTGTCCTAGAGAAACTTGTCCCAGTTCTGAAAGGTATTTCTATGTATAGCTATGTATAGCTGGCACTGAGTCTTCAAAAGGCCATTCCATTGTTCTATCAAGCCAACTGCTTCAGGATAGTGGGGAACATGGTAAAACCAGTGAATTCCATAAGCACGGGCCCATTGTTACACTTTATCTTCTATGACGAGACATTCTTCATCAGAAGCAATATTGTGAGATACCATAGTGGCGTATAAGGCATTCTGTAAATTCACAAATTGTAGTCTTGGCAGAAGCATTGCATATACAGAAGGCAAATCCATATCCAGAATAAATGTCTATTCCAGAAAGAATAAAGAGCTGCTCCTTCCATGATGGAAGTGGTCCCATATAATCAATGTGCCGCGAGGGGTAGGTGGCCGATCACCTGGGGAATAGCGCTGTGTCAGGGACTCTGATGTTGGTCCCTACTGCTGGCACTGTGGACACTCAGAAATGGTTATAGCCATGTCAGTTTTGGTAAGTAGAAGTAGATGGTTTTGAGGATTATTTTCCTTTCTCTAGCATATAATCACTCTAGTAAATGGTTATAAATTCCTTTGGGGAAGGCTGAAAATAAGATTAACAGTATAATTTTTTTTCAGTGTAGCAGGGTGGGGACCTGGACTCTCCTTTCTTAAAGAAGTATCCATTGTGTAAATTGGATCAAGTCTGAGAATTGATTGAGGAGCCATGACTCTCTGCTTTAGCAATTTAAGTTCACAAGACTTGGAACTCTTCCCCATATACAGATCAAGTAGGAATAGATTGCTTATCTATTTCTTTCTAGGAACACCAACATCAACTATCCTATGCAATAGCTATTTGCAAGCCAGACTCTTCTGATTACTGCTTTGACTGCAATCCATTACAGTAGCCACATCCACCTTGTCTTTGATGATTATGGGCCACTATCTGGCCCCTGCCAACCTGTGAGCCAATTATCCTCATTCCTTTTTTGGATCTCAGCTAGATGGCAGGAGTCCCACAATAATTTCTGACCATGAAAAAAGCACCCAGGGAGATCTTGAAGGATACAGGCGTCTCTTCACAAATTAATTTTTCGCAGTTGGTGGCAAAAGTTTTCTCCTCTGGATGCTCCCAGGATGGGTAAGAAGGTCTTACATAATAAATCCACTCCAATGTTCCTGTTTTCCTAAGCCCTTAGATACTTTTCTCTGTAGCATAACAAGGCAGTTCTGACATTCTAACTTCATTTGGTGTTTGCCATCTTAAGGTCCATGTTTTAGCCAACAAACCAACCAAACCATAGAGACTTTTTAACTTATTGAGCTAAACATTGATTCTCTAGAATCTCTCTAAGGCTCATATCAGTAAAATTAGTCTTATTCAACTTTATGTCTCTTTTTGCATTATCCCACGCCATTAATATTCATATACACACATATTCCTCAGATTTCTGTCCATATAAATTTAAAAAAACATGCAGTTGTTTTGGTATATAATGTACTTTCTAGTGAGTCACACTAATTCAGCTTTTGGGATCTCTGGGCTCAAGTATAGATACAGATCTAAAGGCAAAGAGAGATGATGGAGTAGTCCTTGAGAAAAATCAACAGTGTTTTGCAAAGCAACCATCTCAGGGGAGACCATTATAAGTTCTTCAGGCAAAGAAGGGCTAACTTCCCTAGGCAGGGATAGAAGGACAAAGAAGACTTGGTAGAATTTAGGGTTTCAGCATCCCCAGCTTCATTGAGATCTCCTCAAATGTCCCCATTCTGATGGGACCCTGTTATTTCCTAATAATTCTTTTACTTTAACAGAAGACACCCAGAAGTGTTGGGAATACAAAGTTGTAATTCAACCACTCACAGTGTGAGAGTCTGAGTTTGGTTTTCAGAAATCCCAGCCAGACAACTAATAGGACATGAGAAAAATTTTAAAACATAAATAAACATTTTGAATTTTCACGTCATTTATGAAGAGCTGGAACTGGGAGACCTGAACTCATTCTTTTTCTCCCTTCTTACTCCAGAAAAGAGTAATTATTGCTATTGCACACTAATAAGCAAACACCAAATTTCATTATCCTCACTAGTAATGACTAAAATATTCTACAGTAGCCAAACACAGTCATCCAGAACCTTGCCTTCTATAGGCATTTGATTAAAAGAGTCATGGAGTTACACTTTTATTTTTCTGAAAATTATCTTTTAATGGCTTTGGAGATTTTCCACCGAGATGCCTAATCATTTTATTTACCTGAGCCAGATAAACTTTGTTGTCAAAGAAGTGCAACTCATAGATGTTTTAAAGCCAGATACATCTTTCTTTGCTTCCTGGGGTGAACCCAAATACAAATAAAACTTTACTTTCAGTTTTTCTAATTTTAATTTTCTTCTCTACTACTTCTGCTTTGATTTGCATTTAGTTTGTTTACAGATAATAAGTTATTCCCCAGCGAGTGTTTGGTTTTATGGTCAGACTATTCAATGATCTCTGTAAATGAATTTATAGAGATTTTGTCTCTGTTGGGTGAGAGAGTGTACAGAGTTGGCTAGTCTCTTCTGTTTATTTGTCTATTTAAATCAAATAACTGAAGAATTCTTACCCACTGGGAAGAGACAAGCTCTTTGATACAGACTGGTGAGTTCTATAATTTCTGTTTATTCTTGACCCACAGCTGAAATTTTAGAATTAATTAGTTTCCTCTATTTGTGTCTATATCTCTGCTTATTTGTAATTCAGAAAGGAATGTGTATAATATTTTTAAATTTTCTGGATTGTATTAATAAATAGGAATATATAATTTCTTTAGTTCCATGCTGACTGGCATTAAAAAATTAATATTTTTATAAATTAAATGATCCTAAAATTCCCCCAAAATAAGGAAATTGAACTTCCAATATTTTTCATATTAGATTTAAAAATAATTTTTAAAGAAACTCAGAATGTTTCAGACATTCGAATTCATATAATTTAGGAAAATCTTTGGCAAATGAGACTAGTTAAATAATTTTGTTTTAATAAAAACAGCTGTTTTCTCTGATTTATCAGTGTTAAGTGTAATATAATCTTATATTTTTATTCTATTTGGATATGTTCTTCTTAAACTTATACAGGTTTACCAATCAATAAATTAGTATTATTTCTAATGTTTAAGATTATAAAACACGTAAATTTATGTTTAACTAAATTAATTGAGTGTTCTGATAAAATTTTAATTCCACAGAAGTTATGTTTTGTAGTATGCCAGATTGAAGATAACTTCCAAAAATCTGTAGGTGACTTAATTAATGGAAATTTATTAGTTACCTTGATCATTTCTAAGATATAATAGTAAAACATTGATTACTAAGCAATAATTTTAAGTTTGTTTTTGCTTTGTATTTTCATATGCTATATCAAAGTAACATCTTTGGGTATCTTAATGAACATGTTCATTTTTGCTACTTTGAGAGGTTGTGTAAAGCATAACGCTAGGAAATTGTGTTGAGTGTATTCATGAGCTCTCCTGGACTGGCAGGATGCTGGTGTATAATATTCATGGTTGTCCATAGGTTTCTATGTGAGATAGAAGTTACTTTAGTTAAAATTTCCTACTTAGGAGAAATAGTTTCAGAGAAATATAATTGTGTATATACCAGGAAAATAGTATTTTGTCCTGAAAGAGGGTTGTTTTTTAAAATCACTAAACCTCTTCATGCTCTTTAATCTTATTGAGGGCTACAATATCTTTATTGTGGTGTGTAGTTACTAATATTTGCTGTATTGTAAATTGAACAGGTAATTTTGGAATCTTTATTTATTGTTTCATTTGAAGATTACATGTATAAAGGCACTGCATACTAGCAACAACTCGGGAATATTATAAAATTTTTGCCTTACTAACACCATGAAGTTGGTCCTAAGGTAGTGTCCACCTGTTTCAGAATATGAAACAGCATAATGAAGTACAAAAGTTAAAAGAGAATTTTAAATTGCCATTGTTTGTAGTACCTCAGTTTGAAAAGCTATGGCATGTGTTAAAATCTTAACAAAGGATGCTGAGTTTTGATGGGCTTTTTTCACTATTTACTGTTGATACTTTCTCCTGCAATGTTGCTTCTACTTTTTTTTTTCTTTCCGTGTAAACTGCCTAGACAACAAAGATTTGAAGTCTTACCAGAATAACTTGCTCTGGTTTATGTTGATGTTACTATATCTCTGATTATTTCAGAAAACAAAGTTTTTTCACTTAATAAAAAAGCAAAGTTTTTTTTTATTATTATACTACCTTTTGTTTACTTTATTAATGTTTTATTTTCACATTGAAATAACTAAGCCATCTATTGTTTCTCAGGCATCTATATTCCAGTTCCTAGCTTAGGTGCTAAAATCTCTGACAACTTTTGTTTTTTGCTTCATATCAGATGAATAAAGCAGATCATTTAACATGTGTGTATTTTTATATCTCTGTGATAGTCATGATTTTACCTTTTTCTCAAAACTATCTTTTAATTAAACTGTATTTTATTTTTATATATCTATAAAATTCTAAAACTGATAGAAATATTAAAATAGAGTAATTTTAATGTCATTTTTACTTTTTGACAGATTTATATGGTAAAATAAAAATAAAACAGAGGTTATTCAAATGACTTCACTCAATGATTGTGGCTTAAACTATACTTACTAATAAAGAATACACATTCTTTTTAAATGCCCATAGAAGGTGTTTAAAATTATTCATTTGCTATAGCATAAAGCTCAATAAATCTCCAAGTTATAAACATTATATAGCTCATAGTTGAACCACATGAACACGACACTCAACAAAATATTTTTACAAATATTATTTTCAATTTTACCCTTAAATCAAAGATGAAAATGAACTGTAACAAAAACTAATTTGGAAATATTTTAAATTTTAGTGTTAAGAGTAAATAATTTTATAATCAGTAAATCAAATGTTAATGTATATTTTGTGCATATATATATATAAATATGTGATTGTAAACATTTGATGGTAAATTTTGTTATTTTTTATTTTTAAAACATTTCAAATTTTGGCCGGGTGTGGTGGCTCACGCCTGTAATCTCAGCAGTTTGGGAGGCCAAAGTGGGCAGATCACGAGGTCAGGAGTTCAAGACCAGCCTGGCCAATATGATGAAAGCCCGTCTCTACTAAAAATACAAAAATTAACCAGATATGGTGGCACACGCTTATAATCCCAGCTACTCGGGAGGCTGAGGCAGGAGAATCTCTTGAACCTGGAAGGCAGAGGTTGCAATGACCCAAGATTGTGCCACTGCACTCCAGCCTGGTGACAGAACAAGACTCCTTCTCAAAAAAAAAAAAAAAAAAAAAAAAAATCCAACTTATATTGTAGATACAAGGGTACATGTGCAGGTTTGTCATATGGGAATGTTGTGTGATGCTGAGGTTTGGGGTACATGTTGTCACAACCCATGTTGTAAGCATAGTACCTAACAGGTAGTTTTTCCACTTGTGCCTCCCTCTCTTCCTGCCCTTCTAGTTGTGTCTATTTTTCCCATGTTTATGTCTGTGTGTGCCCAATGTTTAGCTCCTACTTATAAGTGAGAATATGTAGTATTTGTTCTCTGTTCCTGCATTAGTTTGCTTAGTGCTATGACCTCCAACTGTTTCTATGTTTCTGCATATGATGTGATTTCATTCTTTTTTATGGCTGTGCAGTATTCCATGGTATATATGTACCACATTTTCTTTATCCAGTCTACATTGATGGGCACCTGGGTTGATCCTAAGTCTTTGCTATTATGAATAGTGCAGTGATGAACATACAAGTGCATGTCTCTTTTTGGTAGATTGATTAATTTTCCTTAGGGTATATACTCCCTAATGGGATTGCTGAGTCAAATGGTAGCTCTGTTTGAAGTTATTTCAGAAATCTCCAGACTGCTTTCCACAGTGGCTGGACTAATTTACATTCCCACCAACAGTGCAAAGTATTCTCTTTTCTCTGTAGCCTCACCAACATCTGTTTCTGGCTTTTTAATAATAGCCATTCTCACTGGTATGAGATGGTATCTCACTGTGTTGTTGATTTGCATTTCTCTGATTAGTGAAGATGAGCATTGTTTCATGTTTGTTATCTGTTTCTATGTCCTCTTTTGAGAAGTGTCTGCTCATGTCTTTTGCCTACTTTTTAATTGAGGTTGTTTGCTTTTTGCTTGTTGATTTGTTTGAGTTCCGTATAGATTCTGGATATTAGGTCTGTGTCAGATACACAGATTGTGAATATCTTCTCCCATTCTATAGGACGTCTGTTCACTCCGTTGATAGTTTTTTCTGCTATCGTTTTTTCTGCTATGCAGAAGCTCTTTAATTAGGTGCCACTTTTATATTTTTATCTTTGTTACAATTGCTTTTGGGGACTTAGCCAAAAACTATTTGCCAAGGCCGACATCAAGAAGAGTATTTCCTAGGTTGTCTTCTAGGATTTTTATAGTTTAAGGCTTTATATTTAAATATTTGCTTCATTTTGAGTTAATTTTTGTATATGATAAAATGTAGGGTGTCCAGCTTCAATCTTCTGCAAATGGCTAGCCAGTTATCTCAGCACTATTTATTAAATAGGGACTTCTTTCCCCACTGCTTGCTTTTGTTGGCTTTGTCAAAGATAAGATGGTTGTAGGTATGATGTTACACACCTACATGCTTCTGAATTTTCTATTCTGTTCCATTGGTCTATGTGTCTGTTTTTGTACAAGTACCACGATGTTTTGGTTACTGTAGCTTTTCAGTATAGTTTGAAGTCAGGTAGAGTAATGCCTCCAGCTTTGTTCTTTCTGCTTCAGATTGCTTTGGATATTTGGGCTCTTTTATGGTTCTATAGGAATTACAGAATGAATAATTTTTCTAATTCTGTTTGTAGAATGACATTGGTAATTTGATAGAAATAGCGCTGAATCTGTAGATTGCTTTGCACAGTATGGCCATTTTTACAACATTGACTCTTCCAATCCATGAGCATGGAATTTTTTTTCATTTATTTGTGTCTTCTCTGATTTCTTTCAGCAGTGTTTTGTAGTTCTTTATGTAGAGATCTTTCATCTCCTTGCTTAGCTGTATTTCTAGGTATTTCATTTTCTTTGTGGCTATTGTAAGTGGAATTGTGCTCGTAATTTCACTCTCATCCTGGATGTTGTTTCTGTGTAGATATGCTACTGATTTTTTACATTGATTATTTTCCCATGAAACTTTACTAAAATTGTTTATCAGTTCAAGAAGCTTTTTGGGCAGGGTATTTGGGATTTTCTAGGTATAGAATCATATAATCAGAGAAGAGAAATAGTTTGCCTCTTCTTTTCCTATTCACATTACTTTTATTTATTTTTCTTGCCTGTTGGTCTGGCTAAGATGTCCAGTACTATGTAGAAGAGGAGTGGTGAGAGTAGACATTCTTATCTTGTTCCGGTTCTAAAGAGAATGATTCAAGCTTTTTCCCATTCAGTACAATGTTGGCTGTGGGTTTGTCATAGATGGTTCTTGGTATTTTCAGGCATGTTCCTTCAATCCCTAGTCTGTTGTGGGCTTTTATTATGAAGGAATGTTGAATTTTATCAAAATCATTTTTCTGTGTCTATTGAGATGATCATATGGTTTTTGCTTTTAATTCTATTTATGTGGTAAATCAAATTTGTTGATTTTCATATGTTGAACCAGGTTTACATCCCTGGAATAAAGGCTACATGGTCGTGATGTGTTAACTTTTTGATGTGCTGCTGGATTCATGTTTCTGATGTTTTGTTGAAAATTTTTGCATCTATGTTCATCAGTGATATTGGCCTGAAGCTTTTTGTTGTTGTTGTTTTGTTTCTGCCAGATTTTGTTATCAGTCTTATTCCGGCTTCACAAAATGAGTTAGAGAGGAGTCCCTTCTACTCAGTTTTTTCAAATAGTTTCAGTAGGACTGGCATCAGTTTTTCTTTGTGCACCTGGTAAAATTTAGGCATGAATCCATCTAGTCCAGAGCTTTTTTTAGTTGGTAGGTTCTATATTACTGACTCAATTTCAGAAATTTATATTAGTATATTTAGGGTTTCAATCTCTTCCTGATGCAATCCTGGGAGATTGTGTACTTCCTGAAATTTATTCATTTCCTCCAGATTTTCTAATTGGTGTGTATAGAGTCATTCATAATATTCTGAGAATCTTTTGCATTTCTGTGGGATCAGTTGTAATATCACCGTTGTCATTTCTGATTGTGCTTATTTGGGTTATTTCCTTTATTAATCTGGCGGGTTTGCATCTATCAGTTGTATTTATTCTTTTGAAAAACAAACTCTTGGTTTCATTGATATTTTGTGTGGATTTTTGCATCTCAATTTTGTTAAGTTCTTCTCCAATTTTACTTATTTCTTTTCTTCTGCCAGCTTTAGGTTTGAGTTGTTGTTCTTTTCTCTAGTTCCCTTAGGATGAAAAATTACATCGTTAATTTCAGGTCTTTCTAACTTCTTAATGAAGGCATTTAGTGCTATAATCTTTCCTCTTAACACACTGCATTAGGTGTACTTCAGATATTTTTGTAAGCTGGGTCCCTAGGTTTATTAATTTCAAAGAATTTTTTGATTCAGCTTTAATATTGATGTTTACCTATGAGTCATGTGTTTAATTAATGTTCATTCATTTCAAGGAAATTTTTTATTTCTGCCTTAGGTTTCATGTTTACCCATGCATTATGCAGGAGTAATAAGTTTAATTTGCATGCATTTGTGTAGTTTTGAGAGATCCTCTTTATATTGATTTATATTTTTATTGTACTGTGATGTGAGAGTGTATTTGGTATGATTTTGATTATTATTTTTTTTTTTTTGGAGATTGAGTCTCACTCTGTTGCCCAGGCTGGAGTGCAATGGCATGATCTTGGCTCACTGCAACCTCTGCCTCCCGAGTTCAAGCGATTCTCCTGCCTCAGACTCCCCAGTAGCTGGGATTGTAGGCAACTGCCACCATGCCTGGCTCATTTCTTTTGTATTTTTAGTAGAGACAGGCTTTCACCACGTTGGCCAGGCTGGTCTCGAACTCCTGACCTCAGGTGATCCACCCACCTCGACCTCTCAATGTGCTGGGATTATAGGTGTGAACCAACACACCTGGCTGATTTTGATTATTTTTAAATTTATTAAGACTTGCTTTATGACGTAGCATGTGGTCAATCTAGAAATATGTTCTGTGTGTAGAAGAATGTATAATCCATGTTTGTTGGGTGATGTGTTTTGTAGATACCTAGATGGTCCAATTTGTCACCTGTCAAGTTTAAGTCCAGGGTGTTTTTTGTTATTTTTAGTTTTCTGCATCAATAATCTGTCTAGAAATGTTAGTAGAGCATTAAATCTTCCTATTATTATTGTGTGGTTGTCTAACTCTTTTTGTAGGTCAAGAAGAATTTATTTTATGAATCTAGGTGCTCCAATGTTGTGTATGCTAGTCTTCTTATTGGAGTGTACACTTTGTCATTATATAATGTCTTTCTTTGTCCTTAACTGTAAAAGGTTAAGGTCTATTCTGTCTGGTATACAAATAGCCATTCCTGTTCTCTTTTTTCTTCTATTTCAATGATAGATGATTCTCCAACCCTTTAGTTTGAGCTTATAAGTATCATTACATGTGAGGTGGGTCTCGTGAAGACAGCAGACAATTGGCTCTTGTCTTTTTTTTTGTCTTACCACTCTATGTTATTTAAGTGGAACATTCAACTCATTTACATTCAGGGTTAGTATTGATATGTGTGATTTTGATCCTGTCATCATTGTTAGCTGGTTGTTATATACAATTTGTTGTGTAGTTTCTTAATAGTGATTGTGGGCTATGTGCGAAAATTAGTATTTGTGGTTGTCAGTGTTATTCTTTTGATTCCATGTTTAGCATCCCCTTAAGGACGTCTTGTTAGGCTTGTCTAGTAGAAATAAATTCTCTAAGCATTTGCTAATGTGAGAAAGATAATTTCATCTTCACTTATGAATCTTCGTTTGTTAGGATATGAAATTGTTGGTTGGAGTTTCTTTTTTTAAGGATGCTGAAAATAAGGCCCCCAATCTCTTCTGCTTATAAGGTTTCCAATGAGAGGTCTGCTGCTAGCCTGATTGGGCTCCCCTCTGTATGTGACTTGACCCTTCTCTCCAGCTGTCTTTAAGAATTTTTTCTTTTGCTTTGATGTTGGTGAATCTGATGACTATGTGGCTTAGGATGGTTGTCTCGTATAGTATCTAGCTGGGGTTCTCTGTATTCTCTTTTTTTTTTTTTTTTTTTTTGAGACAGAGTCTTGTTCTGTTGCCCAGGCTGGAGTGCAGTGGCACAATCTCGGCTCACTGCAAGCTCCGCCTCCCGGGTTCACGCCATTCTCCTGCCTCAGCCTCCCGAGTAGCTGGGACTACAGGCGCCTGCCACCACGCCTGGCTAACTTTTTGTATTTTTAGTAGAGACGGGGTTTCACCGTGTTAGCCGGGATGGTCTCGATCTCCTGACCTCGTGATCCGCCCACCTCAGCCTCCCAAAGTGCTGGGATTACAGGCGTGAGCCACCGCGCCCGGCTCTGTATTCTCTATATTTCTTGAATTTGTATGTCAGTCTCTCTAGCGAGATTATGGAAATTTTCATGGACTATGTCTTCAAATATATTTTCCAAGTTGTGCATTCTCTCTCCTTCTTTCACAGGAATGCCAATGAGTCATAGATTTGGTCTTTTTACATAACCCACTATTATTTCTCTGAGGTTTTGTTTATTCTTTTAATTCTGTTTTTTAAAAAACTTTGCCTGAGTTGATTAAAAATACTCTTCTTCAAGCTCCGAGATTCTTTCCTCAGCTTTGTCTATTCTGCTGTTAATACTTGTGATTGTATTATGAAATTCTTGTAGTGAATTTTTCAGCTCAATAAGTTCACTTTAGGTCTTTCTCAAAATGGCGATTTCATTTTTCACCTCTTGAATCATTTTACTGGATTGCTTATCTTCCTTGGATTGGGTTTCCACTTTTCCTGGATCTCAACAAGCTTCCTTGCCGTCTGGATTCTGAATTCCGTTTTTGTCATTTCAATCGGTTCATATTTGTTAAGAACCATTGCTGGGAAGCTAATGGGCTCATTTGGAGGTATGAGGACACTCTGGCTTTTTGAATTGCCAGAGTTCTTGTGCTGATTTTTTCTCATCTGGGAGAGTCGGTGTTCCTTTAACTGTGGTAAAACTTGAGTATATTCAGTTGACTTTAATTCTGGTAGTTTTCAGAAGGCTAATGCTCTGTACAGGGTCCTATACTGTTGTGAAATTCTTGCCCTTGGTTTTGCAGGAGGGAGAATTAGCTGAGTGCTTTGTTTGGTTTTATAGTTTGGGCTGTGATCAAGTAGATGGCACTTGAAAGCAATGGAAAGTGGATAGGCTCTTACTCAGCCAGTTTGCTCCTTTGTGTATCCTCCTCTGTTTGCAGCTGTGCTGTGTGGTGAAAGGGGGAGAGAGATGAACCCCTAGCCAGGTCCACTCCTTGGCCTTGGGGAAGCCACTTCTGATCACTGGCACTGTGTCTGCAATTTTTATTACTTTCAGGTGTTTCTAGCCAGAGCGCTCCCTTAGGCAGAGTTCCAGAAAGAAGATAAGCCCCACCCGTACCAGATCAACCCTGTGGAGGGAGGCATGCTTAGGTTCCACACCAGCCTGTGAACCTGTGAACCTGTGCGACTCACCCCTCTCAGTTTTCTGAGAGTGTAGGCTCCTCTCCTGCTTAAGTGCTAGGCAGAGATCTCAGTCTGACATGCCTAAGCCATGGGCTGGAACCCTAAGACCTTCTTGTAGCTCTCTCCTCTAGCCACTCAAGGTTGGGTTCTGGGTGTGCTGAGGTATCCAAAGGGCTCCCAGGCTGATAGAACTCACTCGGGTCAAGAAAGCACCCAGGCTAGGCAGTGAAGGCTGCACTGTGTACATGCTTCTGTGGGGCTGCCAGGCATGAGTGAGCCCTGGAAGAGGCCGGCTGGCGGTGAGCCTGCAGGACAGACATGCCCCAGTCACACAGCGAAGTCAGCTCTGCTTCTCCCAGTCTAGCAGTTAGCTGGGGCCAGAGCTTCTCAGAGGGAGATGAGGAGCACTGGATGATGGGCGCTTATGACTGGGTTCTGCTGGAGCTGTCCTGCACACAGGGTTCCCTAGCTCCATGCCTGCTGAAACTCTATCTCTGTCTAATCTCTGGGGACATCTCCCTGCCAGTTTAAACATCTGTGGGGGTTTGTGGTTGCCTGCAGCTAGGATCCCAGAAGTTCTCAGTGAGAGTAGGTGGTTCTGCAGTCCCTTCACTTACCCCTTCCCAGGAGCTGTTTGGAGTCAGAATCCAGCCCCAGCAATTAGGCACCCCACACAGGGTTCCCAGCTTCCTCCCTCTTCAGCTTGTGTGTCTGCAACGTTGCTCCATCCACATTCCGTGTTTTATATCCAAAGGTCATTTCATAGCTTAAAGGGTGTGACAGTGTTTTTCCTACAGATCCCCCAGTACATGCAGGTCACAGGAAGACAGAGACTACAGGAGAGTCACTTGGGTCTCCTGGAGCAGAGCAGAGAGATTAGGGGAGAGGGAGCACTGGAGAAGAGATCGCAGTTCCACTGGCCAGGGTGAGATACAAAACCATACATTTTAATCATACACACACAATACACTCTCTCTAAATAAACAAAGAAGAGCAGAATGCATTCAATAAGTAATTTTTACTATTCACACAGCTTTTGTAGATACTGTTGAAAATACAAATATCTAAAGGTTATGGTGACTGCTGGTCTATATGTGCCATATAGTAGAATAGTATTTTTTTGATTGCCAATGACTATTCAGAAGTGTGAAGACAAAGAGCATGGGTTGAGATCAGATGGCATAGAAGGCAAAGCTGGGTCAGCACATCCTGATTTATAAAGAATGAAAGTGGAAACAGAAATAAGCTATCCCAGGAACCATTTCAATGGAAGACAATTCACCTTTTATTAACTATCAATATAAAAATAAGTTTAAGAGGTAGGCCAACACCAAAGGCATCAGGGGATGATATAGAATGAGGCAAAGAAAATCAAATAGCACATCTGGAATTTTGAAACAAATTTAAAGACAAAAATGTACCTAATTCTGGTTGGTTTACCACCACTAATTGATAAGACTGAATTTTCTTATTTTTCTCCATTCTTCTTTCCCCATAACCAAAAACTAAGATGGAATCTGAGCTTTGGATGCTTTCAGTAAAAGGAAATTTTGGTTCTGCATAAGAGAGCAACAGGTGTTATGATCTCTAGTCTACAGGTACCAAGTCAAACACTGAAACTTACTTCATATGATGAACATACCAAATGCTTACATAAGGCATCAGAATTATCCTCCTCCATTGCTAATAAAAAATGCAGGGCTGGCAGATGCGTGTAAGATGGTCATTTTCCAAATAGTAAAGACATAATTAGAAAACAGACAGATTTACAAAAATGATACAATAAAATATTGGTTAGTAGTTGTTATGAGAGTAGCTGTTATGGTGAACAACCAAAAGAACTTACAGTTAATTTTCTGTGATTTCTTCTACACAAAGAGCTATTGCTAATGTAACCAGAAAATCAGCCCCAAAAGACATTCATCTATTGGAGAAACAGCCAGAGATTGTGGCTAAGAAGTATTAATATGTGGAAATATAGTTGGCATGACAAAATATTTGTGGTAAGCATGCTTAGGTTAACATTAAAATTTTTGCAGGTAAAACATAGTGAACCAAATAAATTATTATGTTATAAAGCAATGTAAAATTGGTATATTCAGTCTGGATGGTTACTGAATGGACCCACTTACTGATCATCATTGCTCTTATTAAGTAGATGGAGATCCTAATGGCTGTTTGATATAGTTTGGATGTTTATGCTCTGCAAATATCATGTTAAAAGTTGATCCCCAGTGTTAGAGGTGGGGCCTGGTTGGGGCTGTTTGGATCAAGGGGCTGGATTCTTCATGAACAACTTGGTGCCATCCTTGTCCTTGTGGGAGTGAATGAGTTCTTAGTTCCTAAGATAACTGGTTGCTAAAAATAAATTATCCTCTCCTCCCCTCTCTCTTGCTTTCTTTCTTTCTCATCATGAGATACCTGACCCCCTTTACCTTCTGCCTTGAGTGGACGTTTCCTGAAGTCCTTCCCGAAGCAGGTGCATGTGCCATGCTTCTTGTACAGCCTGCAGAACCATGAGCCAAATAAATCTCTTTTCTTCATAAATTATCCATCCTCAGGTATTCCTCTGTAGCAACACACAGAGACCAAGACCCAGTTCTAGTGCCCAGTTAAGAGCAGGGGATGACTCATGGGTGGGTCCTTCCAAGGACAAGGATTTCAGGTGACAGGGCACTTCCTGAGATGCCTGGTTGAGCTCTTTTCTCCTGAGCTAAATTCATAGATCGGTATTACAAAGAAGGGGCACTATTATTTGGTTGTTAAATGCTATGACTCAGGGGAGCCTAGAGAACTGGCCAGAACATTTATCTCTGCCTCTCTTCTTTCCTAACCATAATAAAAGTAATAGCCACCTCATGTACCCAGAGGCAAGCTGCCTCCAGAAGTGGAAGCCAGCCTCAGGCTCTGCCAGGATCTGAATCGTCACATCATGGTACATGGGAATCTGTAATAAGACTCCTGATCAGAGGTTTGAACTTTCTGATTCCTGGAAAGGATTTATGTCATGGAGAACTATGGCCCCTGAGAAGATTCATGTGTTTTGTTTCTTGACAGGGAAAAAGGAAACTGTAATCTGGCAAATAACTTCTAATAGCGCCCAAGATTCTAGTACCTTCTCCCATTACTCATGGGATTTTCTCTCTACTCATTGAATTTGGGTCTAGAAGCTGAACAAAATGCTGACTGAGGAAAACAAACAGACAAGACAACTATTATTAAGAGGAGAGAAAAGCAATTACGGCATTTGGAATATAAAGCTTAAAAGAAAATAAAACTACCATAAGAGATGGTCATTTTTTGAATATTAAACAATAAAAATAAGGCATTAATGGAGAATTAATTAGTAAATCAAACAAAGTATCTGAGGAGAGTAGAGTTGGTGATTTATAGTGAAGACACTATAAATCAGTGGGTAGATTTAAGCAAAGAGTGATTGGTGTTGAGACCTGTGGCTGATTGATTGTGTCAATGACCCTGATTCTTCTTCCTTTCCAGTATTCATGTCATTTGCCACATGAGTTTGTTCCTCTTCATAAAGAAGGGACAGTTGTTTGCTCACTCCTAGAATTTGCACTGGGCTTCTGACTTGCACTGACAAGTAGAATGAGGCAGAAGTGATAGAGGGCCAGGTGTGAACCAAGGTCTTAAAAAGCACAGAGGTTTCCACATGTTCTCTTGCTCCTCTGCCTTCAATATGACAACATGCCCTGCTGGAAATTGCAGCATGTAGAGCAGAGCTGAGTGACTCCCAGTAATTCCACCCAAGATCATCCTAGATTAGCCAACTCCCACCAGATATATATAAGTGAGGCCAGAGAAACTACTTAACTGAATCCAGCCTAAATCACTGAACTGCAGACTATGAGCTAAATAAATGTGTGTTTGTGTATTTTACGGCACTGACATTTTATGATTGATTTTGTTTATAATGCACATCAAATTGCCTGTAATTGATGTAAGACAGGAATTGGTGGCCTAGAAGATCAAGAGGCAAAAATGCAGGAAGAAATACAAAAAGATGGGAAGCATTAAAAAACAAAGCATATATGAAGGGAAGATATTCAGAAGCCCTAAATTGCCAATAAATAGAAGTTTCTATTACTGGAAAAAAAGGAAAATAAAAAAAAGAAGAGGAGGTAATACTGATCTAAATGATAGAAAATCATTTTCCTAGACAATAAGAATTTGAGCGTGAGTTTGTAAAATCATTTAATTTCAGTGCAGCAGTAAAGAAAGAGACACATACTTTGGCATACCTTATTAGTATTCTAAATCAAATAATGAAGAGAAACATTTCTGCAAAAAGTTTTTAAAGATTAAATTACTCGCAAAAGTACTAACACAGGGGTTGGCAAACATTGGCCCATGGGCTAAATCCAGCCTGCTGCCCCTTTTTGTAAATAAATGTATTTGTTTGCATATTGTTATGACTAATTTTGTGCTACAATTGTGGGGTTGATTACTACAGATAAAGACTAGTTTGCAGTGCCCAAGCTCTTTATTATCTGGGTCTTTACATAAAACGTTTCCTGATAGCTAAAAGATAATAGAATAATCATCTTTATCTTTGGTCTGTTGAGTTAAAAGGACTCTGAACTTGAAACCCTACTGCCAGCCAAGATATCATTCACCAATAGAATCAAAAAAAGTTCTGAATATGCAGAGAATCGGAGAACATATATTAATCAAGCACTCAGAAGAAGAAATGACCTGAGGAAGAACGTTAAACGCCAAATGAGTTGAAACAGAAATCTCAATGCGGGGAAGAATTAGATGAGTGGGAAATTGTAGATAAAGAATTTTGCAATAAATATAATTAAATCTAAATCGATTGTGAGAGAATTATTATATATAATATAGTTACTAAATATGAATTTGTGAAATGAAAAAGACACACTGAAAAAAAAACTGAAAAGTAGATATTTCAACAAAACCCAGGAGTTATAAAATATCATGGAGAAGAGGAAAATAAAAGTATTCTAAACTTTCATATAGGGGATGAAGACTCTGATAGAAAAAAAAATAATGTATTACAAATTCTATAGAAAAACTTGCATGTATACATGTGCAGGGAAAACAATTACAAGAATGGAAAGTCAATAAATCAGTCAAAAGCCTGATTTAACAAGGAAAGAGTAGAACAAATAGTAAATCAAATAAGCTACAATGAGTAAAATTGAATTGAGGACATAGCAAAATACATTAAATGGTAAACATTAAACACTGTGGCATAAGACTCTATACTATCTGCAAGTAGGCAGAAGTCTCAGACTAAAGAAAATATAAACATTTGGCTATATCTTGTTGCAAGAACACTTAAAGTAAAAAAAAAGTTTGAAGAAAGAGAGATGAAAAAAGATACTAAGCAAATGCAAACAAAACAAAGCTGGAATATTAAACTTAATATCAGGGAAAGTGGGATTTAAGGTTAAAAGTACTCAAGAGGATACCGAAGGGCATTACACAATGATAAAGGAACAATTTACGAAGATATAAAAGTCATAAAGTTGCATGCACCAGGAAGATAGCAGCTAAATATATAAAGCAAAATATTAGAAATGCACATTGACCTTGATAAAAATGCAATCATGGAAAAAGATTTTATTGCACTACATTCAAGAATTGCACTGAAATAATAGACAAGAAATAAGTGAGGGCACAGAGGCATAGAATAATGTGGTCAATAAACTAGTTTTTATGTGTAGGTATATACAGTATATAATATGTATATCATTACATCTGAAAGAAAATATATTTTTATTCATATTAAGGAAATACTATAATCATTAAATTTTGTCTATCAACTTAAAACATTTTGAAAAGAAAAAGTTTTATAGTCCACAATTGCTGATCATAATCCAATGTAAATTTCAATATAAAATTATCTTTCAACTATTAACATCTTAGGAATTAAGGATTAGCAATCTAAATAATCTTTGAGGGCCAAAGTAAAGCCAAAACTGAAATTATAAGCAGCATAGAAAAATTTTAAAAAGGAAAATAAACCCTTCTGTGTTGGTTCAGATTATTTGGATAAAATTGTCATAGAAGCCAGATTCAAATTGCTTTAGTAATAATCTCCCATAACACGGAATCCTGAGATGAATGCTTCCAGGGTTACTTCCACTGCTCCAATACATCATCAGGGCCCTGTTTTTCTTCCACTTATATGCCTCGCCATCCTTGGTTTGTTAGATTTGTTATTAGTCCTCTTTTATCTACATTTCCAAGAAGGGTGCTTCATTTCCAGATATTATATTCAAATATGCCAGCATCCATTGGATAAAGAGAACATATTTTTTAGTATGTCTTTTTATAATAACATACAAATCTTTCCCCAACATTCCCCAGTAGATGTCTATTCACATCTCATTGTCCAGAATTTGGTTACATGTCTAAGTGCAAACCAATCTCAGGCAAAGTAAATTTGATCCATAATTTACTTACATTAATTAGGATTGCTTGATTGTGTTAAATGGATATAAAGGAGAAATGTGTGTTTCATAGAAACCCAACAATTTCTGCTAAATTTTTTTTGGCAACAAATGGAAAACATGTAAAACTACTTAAATAATTTATAATTTTAAAGGCCCTTAACACATTCATCCTAAAATTTTTTAAAGAATATAGTATTACAAATCAAGAGAGAAGAAAAATTATAAAAATAATAAAAGATGAAAGTTAATGAAACATAAAACAAAAAAGCAAAATGAAAAGGTTAATTCTACCTAAAAGTTATTCTAGGACCAATGTCTCACAGTTGTTTTAACTATATAACCATTGAAAAACAGTTAATTCCAATGTAATGTAAATTGTCCCCCACAATGAGTGGGATACCAGACCTTCATAAAAGTAATATGTAAAAAGGAAACATATAGATAATGTTGCTTAGGAATATGCATGTAAAATTCTCATTAAAAGGGGAAGTAGAATTCACACAGGTGTCAAAGGATAATATACTTCAAAAAGATTGAATTTACTCCAGGAATATAGTAATGAGTCTGCCTCTAGAAGCCTATCAATATAATTAATTAATGAAAGGACTATAATCATCTTAAGAGTTGTTATCAAGAGTCATCTGATAATACTTGAGATACTGGTGTACAGAGGTGATAGTGAAAACTAATTTTTAAAGAACAGTGTTGTATAACACTGAGGGTGGTAAAATGCTAAAACAGTTTCTATTAAAATTAGAAAGAAGACAAAGATGCCTGCTGTTATTGTGATTGATATTTCTTTTAAGGGATTTAGAAAATGAAGAAAGATGAGAAAACTAAGTTATCAACCCCCAAATGGGGAGATAAATTACAAATTCCTCTTTTAAATGTTATTAAAAAGTATTAAGAAATTTGGTAAGATACATTGAAAAAAATTAAACATTAATAATTTTTAAAATAAATTTGTGGCATCTAGTAGCCATTAAAAAATATTTACTATAAAATTAGTATAGAATAAAAGAAGGCCAAGGAAAGGAAATAGGTGCATAACTTACAGACACATATCTGGTGCCTGAAATTGGGAAGGGATCACAAATGACTTACAAAACAAAACAGAAAACTATGAAAACAAAGAACAATAAATGATCTGACAGAATGAAGATTTTACGTGTCCATTGCATCAATAAATATTAATGGACTTAACTCATTAAATGAAAATATAATTTCAAATTAGAGCACAAAACAAAACCCAACTCCATGATATATTTGTAAGACATATCTAACACAGAGTGATTATAAAAATATAAAAATAAAATAGTAGGAAAACTTATACAAGGCAATACTATTATAAATAAATAGAATTTTAAAATAGATAGTAGTTAAAACTCACACATGAAAGGCATTAAATAAGCAAAAAGGGCACTAATAATTAAGAGTATCACTGCACCAAATAACAGCAGCAATACACACAATGCAAAAACTAAATGAAATACAGGGATAAATAAAGAGAATTGCACTGAAACTGTATTTCACAATTCTTACTTCGTAATTGGGCATGTGTAAAAAAGAAATAAAGGTAAAAAATATAATTAAGGAAAACTTTATTATTAAATAATTTGGTATAAATTGTATTATAAAGATGTAATGTATATGTTTATTATATATAATATTAATACAGATATTTATGTATATTATTATATATAACAAATTCTGTATTCTGAACATAGAGGGTGAAAAGCTTTGTTTTTGCTTTCAAATTTCATGATCATCATAAAAATTGAATATTTATATATTAGGCCACAAAGAAAATTTCAGTAAATTTTCAAAATTAGAAATATTTAAAATTGTTTTTTAGACAAAATAAAAAATTGAAATTGACAGAATCAAAAAACAAGGATGACCCTCAACTAGAAATCAATAAATTATATAAAAATAATTTTAATATCTAATCTTGTGTCAAAATGGAAGTAGAAATTGGCTTTTTGAAATTCTTAGAAAATCATTGTACTAAAAGATTTAAATACTACTGCCTATGGAATGTAAGTTTGAAGGCGATCAGAAAAAAAATACTAGTTAAAAAATAGAAAATAATAGAAATACAGAAAACAACATTAAAGTATAAGACCAGTAGGTAACCAGTTCTAGAAACAAAGGGAAAAAGTTTCAAATGCAGAAATAAGAAGAGGAAAATACAATTAGAAAGTGAGATTATTTATAACTACCATTAAAAAACTATGCTCAACTGTAAGCAAGTAAATAAAAAAATGTGGATGAAATAAATAAATTCCAGGAAAATATAATTTACCATATGAAGTGCCACCTTCCCACAGATCGCTAGGATAACCTGTGACTTAAGCAAAGTTAAGTTCATTAAACAATTGCAGTAAGGGAGAACACAAACTTTACTGAGTTTAAGAGTGCCTCAGAATGGGGAGGTCAAGGCAGATATGCATAAGGGTTTTGGAGCCTGGGATCAATGGATTAAGATGAGACTATCCAGGTAGGTAACTGGATGGGATCAGACAAAGTTTGTGACATAATAAATGAAGATTCTTGGACACAATCAGATGAGGGTATTGAAAGGAGGCTCAATAAATAGACTGCTATTCATTAAGCAGCTGCTTGCCCATGTAAATAGCCCATTGTGTATCAGAAGATCTGTTTGCCAAGGTGAGCAAACGGGATAAGTTGGTTTTCAGTAATTTCCTGAAGGGAATAATAAAGTTATTTATTGATTTATAGCCATATCTTCCTGGACAAGAATTTCCTTGAAACACTAGTAAAATCACGTTGACACAAGTGAGATGAGACCACAAATGACTTATGGTCTTTGTTCTCAGTCCTGTTAATTAAATTATGTGAAATTGGGTGGCTTTAGTTCTCAACCAAAATGACCCTGGAAGAGGGAAATTCTTATAAGATCACTTTCCAAATATGAACAAGAAAGCTGGGGAAGAAAAGCAGTATCTTCTATTGTTTTTATATTTAAAGAATGGATAAACTAATGTTACATAAAATGTTCCAGAACATAGGGGAAAAAGGTATATCTATCGATTTCTTGGTATGAAACAAATTTAAAATTAATAGTAAACCCCTACAACTGCAAAATTTCCACACACACCAACCTTACTTGTGTATTTATGCAAAAATCTTAAGTACAACATTGAAAAACAGGACTTAGTAAAAAAACAAAAAATCACAATAAAGGAGAGTTTATTCTAAGAATGTAAGGATGGATCAGTATTGAGAAGTCTATTTACGTAATTTATTTCACTAATAATCTAAGGAGAAAAACTATATGAACATCACCACAGATGTTGAAAAAGCATTTAACACCAAATATTTCTCATAAAAATCTTTAACCTAGCAAGAGTTATATACTATTTAATATATTCATCTCATCCTCAAAGCCTGCATCATGCTAACAGACACACCTGGAATTTTTTAAAATGTTAAACATATAACTATCATATAATGCAGCCATTCTATGCCTATACATTTAGTCAAGTGAAATGTAAGTGAATGCTTTTATAAAAACTTATACAATGTCCTATGTGAGCTTTGTTCCTAATAGCCAAAAATTGGAAACGATACAATAGTCCACCAAAAGGCGACGAGATAAATGGATTGTACTACATCCATACAATGATGTACAATTTAGCAATGGTAAGGAATGAGCTACTGACAAGTAAAAGTGTGGATGAACCTCAAATAATTACACTTATTGAAAGAAGCCAGACCGCCCCTCATCCCACCAAAAATGCATACTATATGATTCCATTCATGTTGAACTGTAGAAAAAGCAAATGAATCTGTAAGGACAGAAAGCAGGTAAGTGCTTATCTGGAGCAAGGAGGAGTAGAAAGGATGCCTTACAAAGGACATGAGGATACTTTTTTGAGAACCAGTTATGTTTATTTTCTTGATGTTTGTGATAACTTCACAGGTGTGCACATATGTCAAAGTTATCAGATTGTATATTTTAATTATATACAGGCTGTATCAATTATACCTCAATAAACATCTTAAAATTTTAAGGGTAGCGAAAAATGGCTAATGGCTACTGTAGGTGACAGCATAGCTCCAGGTTGTTCTATTAGCAAAATAAGTGTTAACTAGGAGACTTAGGCAGCAGATGAGGATAAAATCAAATTAACTATATTTTGCTTTTGTGGAATTTTTTTTTTCTTTCCCTCCAGTACAACCCTGTTTGTATATCTTTAAAGATTTTAAAGGAGTGGAATGAGTTTGTTTTCTGCTACCTGCCTGCAAGAAGCACACAATCTAATCATAAAGATATGAAACTATAAAATAACAACTTAAAGAATATAAAGACAAATGACCAGCAGAGGAGATCATACTATTTTTCATTTCACAGAAAGTGCTAATCAAGTTTAGAGGGCCCTGAAGTAGAGCTGGAAATGCTCTGAGACACTTTTACAAATGTAATGGAACCTTACTAGATCTGGAACAAGAAATGCAGCAATCAAAGGTGGGTGGGATGGCTTGGAGACTATTTGAAGACAAAGCTGGTCATTAACTTTGGTCTGATAACTGCCCCTAAACCTTCTGTTTTCTCTTCTCATGCTTCTTTCTTCTCCTATCTTCTGTCAAATAACCATGGCTTCTTTGTATACTATTACAAGAAAAGCACTGCGTTAGGAGTTAGAATACTTTTGTTCTAGTCTCTTTTCCATCACACATTAGCTGTGTCTTTGGGAAAGTTGTAATCTCTTTACGCCTCAGTTTCTAAGGTGGAAAATATATGTAGATAGTAACACCTGCCCTACTTATTTTATAGGTGTGCTGTGAATATGAAGTGAGATCATGAATATAAAAGTGCTTTGAAAATTGCCAAGTGCTTTACAGGAGAAAGGGATTATTCTTTGCCTTTAGAGGAGTAAAGATTTTATTTCGAAAAGCACTTAGAACAATTTGGCTATTTACATAATAGCTAAGAAAGTGCACTTGTGGCAGTGAGAAACAGGGGAAACCTAGATTTCCCCTTCTAAATGTCTTTCTGGGATCTACAGCAGCTATTTCATTGTCCTGTACATAGTGAGAACTAAGTAGATTTTGATTACATAGTTCTGATCCCAAGTTTGATTACTTAATTTCTGAGTGCCCTACTTATGAAACACTTTCCCTAAATTATTGAATGGTGTTAAGAATCTCTTCATGTGAATAAGTTAACTTGAATTTGGTAGGAAACTCTTGAAAACAGGAACCGGGCTATATATAATATTTTAAAAAATCCTCAGATTCCATCACGATTTCTATCAAATGTCAAATTCTTAATAAATTGAATCCTGCAGGTTTAATAAATGAGTTTTCTAACACTTACATGAGACTAATGGAAGATTTTCAGTTTTCTCAGCTTTCTGGAAGTCTTTATATTTGAATTCAAATACTTTATTCAAAATAGGCTAGTTGCATTTGCAGAGTTATTAAAAAGAACAATACTAATGGTCCTCTGAAGGATGAATTTGTACATTTCTCCCATAAGTTTTCACAGACAGAAACAACAGCTACCAAGAGTGACTTCCCATTCCCTTAACAAACAAGCTTTACAAATGTATAATTTGCCTTTTGAAGACACACATTTAGCAAACTCTTTTATTCAGAAGTAGATAAAATTTTGAAAGCTAGAAACAAGGCATTTTATACTTCCTGATGAATTGAGTGATTCAGCTTTTCTTTTTTCTCTTCACGACTAGGAAGCTAAGTTATGTTTGCCCAGGTGTAGGTAGAGTTTGATAAGACACAGTAGTAAGAGTTTATGTTGCAGGACTCAATGCAAGATGTCACTGAGCAGAAGCTTGAATTCATGCCTTCTCAATCTCAAATGTGAATCGAAGATAGTGTTTGAAATGGAATTAGTGCATTTGACTTTGAGTTCTCAGCACTAATCATTTCATGACCCTTATTCATCACACTACTCAAAATGAGACATTTAATTAAGTGTGCTCACATTTTAATACTCCATTTGATTGGCTATAAACCCAGGAATGCGTGCAGATTGTATTGTACTCTTCTCCGTTATCTTTTGCACCATACATTACTTTTCATGTGAAGTCATAACTATATCCAGTATGAGCTCTTCTGCTGGAAATTTAGCATTCTCATTCCACATTCACAGCAGGATGCTTTCTGCAATCAGACTAGCAGACTAGACTTCTGACATTCCTGTTAACATTACTCATGAAACTTTCTAATACTACAACTCCCTGACGATACTGAAAATAAATTTCAGACATGTGTTTCCCTACCTGAATCTTATTACTTTGTGATAAGATTGTGATTACTTTGTGATATTACTGTGTGAAACACAATTTCAATCTTCTTAAATTTACTTTCTAAATACACCATTCATTTGGAGTTAGAATAACTTTCATTCTTTGAGAAGGACCACTATTGCTCTGCTGTGTCTTACTACACAGGCCAGTCTTGATCGTCTATACTCCAAGGAGGAGGGATAATAAGTCAGTACATACAAGAAACAGTCATCTTTATTGTAGTGGTAGAGATCCTCCCCTTTTAATACATGCATCGATTTGATTTGACATAAACATGAATGACTGTGTTTATGTTTGTAAATGCCAACTCTGCCTACCTGTGTATACAAACTGTTAAGATTAATTTATTTCATAATAAAGACTACGGCAAGCCTTCTCAATCAAACTAGGCTAGTTGCATTTGCAGAGTTATTAAAAAGAGCAATGGCTTTGGCATCAAAGACTTGTCTACTTGAATCCCAGCTCTGGCATTTGCTACCTATGTGATCTCAAATAATTGTGTTATGCTTTCTAGGATTCAGATTCATCATCTATAAACAAGGAATACTAGTACCTACATTAAAGGGCTTTCCTAAGAATTATACATAAATTGTTTATGTATATTATATGTGTATATATTGTTCTTACACCATTATGCCTCTTTATCACCCCAATTTACAATAATTATTCCCTCCTCCAATATTCTGTAAGACTGTTGTCATTCCACTGAACTCAGTATTGTAGTTTAACCATAGTTAATGCTGTTGCTTGGGTATCAAAGCCCATTAAAAGCTCTTAAAGGCAGATGACACATGGTCCTCAACATAATAAACACTCATGATTGATCTGTGGTCTGAAAAGAAAGCTTAGCACGAGGTGGAATAATTTCTAGAAAATAGAAAAAATATTGAAAATTGAAAAATATTAAAAATATTTTTCCTTCCCCACCATCCCTTGCAACTTATTAAGTTATTGCATCAATAGTCTACTTGCCTCTCGTAGACATAGATTACTTTAAGAAAACAAAATTGTGGAATCCTCTAAAAGGAGTAGGTTGCTACATCCTGGTTTCAGAGGCACAGTAGCCTAATGAATGAGGGCTGGATGTCACAATGGGGAAAATCTAGAGAAAAGCCCTTAGTTTTATATTTTAAATATTTATATTTAAAGTTTGAGTGACTGCTCTTGAGTTACTATGAAGCAGAAGCAGAGAGTACCAGCACCTCTTAGTGCCAGCCAGGATGGTGGGTGTCATGTTGATGGAGATATAGCCTCAGTTTGAGACTGAAAGCAGACAACATGTGCAAGAAGACCCACCTCTCAACATGCTTACCTCGACTCATATACCCCAAGCAATGGATAAATTTAAAGGGGAAGCAACTCTTGGAAAATCTTAATGCTTGGGGTGGAGGGTAACACAGTTACATGGGTTCTCTGAAGGGCAGAATTACCTCTTGGGGAACATATACAAATGAAATTTAGCTGAGCTCAGATTGTAACACCAGAGAATCTTACATTTCCCTTCACACTTACCTTTTCTAAATCAACTAAGGGATCCAAGGTCGACCCTGGCGCTTCATACTTTCTCCTACGCATCATAGCAAAGTCCAAGATATTCCAGAGGAATATGAGCTAACAGAAAATCTGCCAACAAACCAAACAAATATACAAGGAGCACCGCTATTATAAAAAGAAAAAAAAAGTCAACAAATGGAACACTTAATTCGAAATAAAGAATTAAAGACCATTTTATTTTTTTTCCAGATTATTTTGTGGTAAAAATACCATATGTAATACATAAAACATACAAAATATATGTTAATCCAATATTTATGTTATTGTTAAAGCTTCCAGTCAATAGCAGACCATTAGTAGTTCAATTCTGGGGGAGCCAAAATTTTTTTTTTTTTAACTTCTATGTTATGTTCAGAGTTAAATGTGTGGGTTTGTTGTATAGGTAAAATCATATCACAGCATTTGTTATACAGATTGTTTCATCACCCAGGTACTAAGCCGAGTACCCAATGGTTGTTTTCTTCTGATCCTCTCCCTCCTCCCTCCCTCCAACCTCCAGTAGGCCCTAGTGTTTGTTATTCCTTTTATTGTGTCTATGATTAACAACCATTTTACATTAGCCTGACATACATCCTTAATGAATACAGGCAATATTTGACATGAAAATTTTGAGGAAAAATAAAGACAAACAATTGAAGAGCAGTATGTACAAAGCTTAAGAATACATTAATAGATTTAAATATCAGATCCACGAGCATGTCAAAATATGAAGAATGCATAAAAACAAAACTATCTGAAAGAAAAAAATGAAGAGATATAGAAGATAGAAATAAAAATGTCAATACATGTCAGTATGTTTTACAGAAGGGGGAAATTTACTTGATAAAGAGAAATAAATAGAAGAAAAAAAGACCAATAAGCTTAAATAAACAAAGATTTTTTTTTTAAGTCTCAGATCAACAGTGTTTAACCTTATCAAACAGGAAAAATAAAAAGAAAACCATTAATCTTGAATATGCGTGATTGAAAGCAGGTTTCTGGAATAAATGAGGTGAAAATCTACAAGGAATAAGTATCGATTAAAAACTTGTAACTAGTAAGTAAGGTAACAACCAAGCATAAGATCTAGTGATGTGTTCAAAATATTGAGAGAAAAACAGAAATTGCAATGCAGCATCTTATATGTGGCTAAACTATAACTTAAAGATAAAATAAAGATACTTTAAGTTCTACAAAGCCTTATACAAGACCTCATGTGTGTAAAACCGCAGGTTTTGCAGACCTCAGAGAAATTGGGTTCTTGTGAAAACACTTGTGAAGAAGTATTCCAGCAGGAAAAGAACTATATCACAGAGAACGTACTAAACTATATATAAAAAGTGAATAAATAATCAGAACAACCAGAAACCTGGCATAAACTTTAGTAAATAACCTAATTGAGAGAATGTGATTTTCCAAATAAAAAATATGAATCCCATCTGTCATGAGACTCTTCTGATAAACAGGAACAAAGTTGATTTAAAAAAAGTTCCAGCTGGGTGAATTTTATTTTTGTATAGTATGGCATTGAACTACAGAACTCAAACTGACTTTAAACAAGTAAATGTAATTTCATATCCTCAATAAAGTGTACCTTTCATAATAGTGATTTTTGGAGATTTACATTTATACCTATGATACATGTCTTCAGAACCAGTTCAAAGGCAATAAACAATAACAATAACAACAATAATATGAGATAATCTGATTTATTTTCTCCATCTTACGTTTTGGATGCAGAATTACATTACCTAATATAGCCCTTCATTTTATTCTGGATTATTATTTTTTATTATTTTCCAAAACAAATTTACCTTTAGTAGACAGAAAACTTCAGCAAGGATATAAAAAAGGTTTATACAGCAACCTTGAGAAAATCGTGAAGGTGCCAGTGTACACAAAAGCTGTCTCCAAATCACATTCATTTATGGCTTCAAGCGACTCCTCTCTAAGCCTTCATATTATTTCTCCTCCTATGCCCAGCTTGTTTACTCTGGCATCCCTCTCCAATGTCTAGTCTCCTGTTTCTGCCACATAGCAAATCTCTAACTGATTCACTTCAAGTTGTGAATGGCAGCCACTGACAATGGTACATACCTTTTGTAAGACAAGAATCCTTAATACTAAGGAATTTGAATCTGATTATGGAAGTCACAGTAGTATACTTCCATAGCCTGGGACTGGAAGCTGGTGGATATTTAAATAGGGAGGTAGAAAGCTTCCTGTAGTCTGTGATCTTTTTCTTACACATTTGAATGAAAGACTGGCTCAGGATTCATTTGTTTCTCCTTTCACAAACAAAATCATTATGGCTTGTGAGAGGCTGGTATTTTTGTCCATCTGTGATCAATCTCAATAGCTTGAGGGGTTGAGAATCCAACACATGGTTACACAATCATTTGACATGACACATAAGCAAGAGAGTCAGACACTCATTTACCAAAATGGATTGAGCAGAAAATCCTAGCACATTTAATGGAAATGAATGGGTAAGTTTCCAGGAATCTAGGTTACTTTAAGCAATGGAGAGTAATCGGTTCTTAAGTTCTTCAATAGCACGGATCCCCAAAATAGGAACTTAAGTAATCTGTTGAATACCAGCCTCCCAAATATTACCAGAACTTGTTGCTATAAGAAAGCTAAACTTGTGGCTTATTAGTATAAGGGTCACTACCACCTCAAACATGAAAAAGGGCAGCATCACTATTTTTATTGAGACTTTAAAGTTTGGTTTAAAAGTGGAGAGAATGTATTAAGATTAGGTGAAGGTTATTATATATATAGTCATATGATGCCAAATGATTTGATCAATGACAGATGAAATATTCAGCAGTGATCCCCTAGGATTATAATGGAGCTGAAAAATTCCTATGGACCAGTGATGTTGTAGTCATTGTGCTTTCATTGTGCAAGGTGTTACTCACATGTGTGTAGTGATGCTGATGTAAACAGACCTACTGCATTACCAATTTTATTAAAAAGTAGCACATACAATTATGTTTAGTAAATGATACTTGATAATGGTAATAAATGCTGTTACTGGTTTACTATACTACACTTTTAATTATAATTTTAGAGTGGACTCCTGTTTATTAAAAAACAAAGTTAACTGTAAAATAGCCTCAGGCAGTTGCTTCAGGAGGTACTTCAGAAGTAGGTATTCTTGTCATAGGAGACAATAGCTCCATGCCTGTTATTGCCCCTGAAGACCTCCCACTGGGGCAATATGTGGAGGTGGAAGACAGTGATATTGATGATTCTGACTCTGTGTAGACCTAGACTAATGTCCATGTTTACGTCTTAGTTTTTAACAAAAAGTTTAAAAAATTTAAAAAAGTAAAAACAAAGAAGTTAAAAAGAAAAAACCTCTCATACAATAAAGATATAAAGAAAGAAAATATTTTTGCACAGCTGTACAAAGTGTCTGTGATTTAAGCTAAATATTAATATAGCAGAATCAAAAAAGTAAAAAAAAAAAGCTTTAAAGTTTAAAGTGAAAAAAATGACAAGCTAAGGTTAATTTATTTTTAATGTAGCCTAAGTGTACAGTGTGTATAAAGTCTACAGTAGCGTATAGCAATGTCCCAGCCTTCACATTCACTCATCACTCACTTGCTGACTCACCCAAAGCAACTTCTAGTTGTGCAAGCTCCATTCATGGCAAATGCCCTATGCAAGTGTACTATTTATATGTATATTTTCACTGTACCTTGTCTTTCCCTGTTTCTATGTTTAGGTCCACAGATATCATTGTGTTACCACTGCCAACAGTAACATGCCATACAAATTTGTAGCCTAGGAGCAATAGGTTGTACCATATAGCTTAGGTATGTGGTAGGCTATACCACCTAGGATTATATAAATACAGTCTATAATGTTCATACACAACAAAATTGCCTGAAGATGCATTTCCCAGAACATATCCCCATCATTAAGTGATTTATGACTGTAATAGTTTAGGATTGGTGACCATTTGAAGCAAGGAGTTTAAAAAATACTGAGTTGTAAACTGTCAGTTAATGCTTTCTGTTGAAGAGCTGATATGTCTTTTGGAAGATTCAGAAATAAGCAATAAAGTTGCTTGGAACTTTCATTATTTTGGCAAGTGTCTTCTGGAATAGTAAAGTCATGCTAATGAAAACGAAGTTATGGCCGAATCATGTTTATGCAGACAATAAACTGTGGCACACAGTTTTGGTTCTCAAATTTTCCAAATTCTCAGCAATCCTCAAATGCCTACAATACTAGAACATGAATTTTCAAATCCCCTAAATCTTATAATATTGCTCATGTATTAGTCAATAACAGATGAATAATTAATTTAATTAATACTGAGGTATAGATAATATAAAAGCTTTTTCAAAATGTTTTGCCACAAAAAACGGAAGACTTATAATTTGTGAAGAATGAGAGGAAGAACCACAAGGTATAAGAGGAACAAGAAATGAGAAAAGAAAACAAAATATTTCAATTTCTCACCTTCGCCAATTTTCCAAGACATTTCTACCTATAATAAAACTACCATTGCGTTGTAAAGGCCACTAGAAATCTGCAATAGAAATAGAACTTTGGATAGATCTTAGGAAATAGTGCTGCTATGTTTCTGGGTTTAGGATTTCATTCTAAGAATAGAGGATGAGAAGCCCTTTTTTTTTTTTTTTTTTTTTTTGAGAGGGAGTCTCACTCTGTCACCCAGGATGGGCGCGATCTCGGCTCACTGCAAGCTCCACCTCCCAGGTTCACTCCATTCTCCTGCCTCAGCCTCCCGCGTAGCTGGGGTACCACAGGCGCCCGCCACCACACCCGGCTAATTTTTTTTGTATTTTTAGTAAAGACGGGGTTTCACCGTGTTAGCCAGGATGGTCTCGATCTCCTGACCTCATGATCCACCTGCCTCGGCCTCCCAAAGTGCTGGGCTTACAGGCTTGAGCCACCGTGCCCGGCCGGTGAGAAGCCCTTTTATGTTATCTGTGGACCTGTCAGGAGGGAAACTTCAGCCTAGGAGTTTGGATTTTCTCATTGTTCTCTTGTTCTCCATTTTTCCTCTAAGAAGACATGGATCCTTTTGAAAATATTTGGAAGTATTATATATTTGACTTTGACCTTTAACAAATAATCAGTGAATTTAGATTATCCAACCTGAAGCCTAAAGGAAATCACACATATGACCTACTGCAATCCAAATAGTGGGTCCAGAACATAGAAGCGTCTACATGTACATTTTAAACAAATGTTTCTTGAATAAATGAGTTTGGAAATAAAGGCATCTTCCACTTTAAGCTTTTTATTTTGAAAGTCTTTATGGAAAGAAGGGTGAGAATAAGAGTGGAAAAGAGTTTGTGGATGCTTAAAATAGATGTGTTTTATATTTAAGCAAACATGATTAGGGCTAGAATTGGGAAAACCCTGAGAATGTGAGCCAGGTCAAGGATAGAGAAGATTCTTCTGGTTCCAGTCCAGCAAAAGTGATGCAGACTGTTCAGCCATATATTTAGGTAACTCAGATAGTTACAGATTATTGGAAAGTATCTTTCCCTAAACTGTCATCTATTTGGTAGATTGTTTTGACGAAGTTCAACAGAAGAAGATATTGTTGTTTTCTTACATGTTGAAGGTAAGAAAACCTATACCATAACTAGAGCTGTAGGAAAAGCCTGCCCAACTTTATAATATGTGGGAATCCAGGCCTTTTCACATAAGAAAAAAAATCACTTTATCTAGCTGAAATTTTTAAGTGAAATGTCAGTGTAGACATCCACTCTTAGACATAAGAAATCTGGGATTTTTCCTGGACTCCATGCTTTAGAAAGCCTGCCCTGGCCTTTCGCCAGCTGTGTCATAAAGTAAGTAGTCCTCGGGTTTGTGAGGAGTGTATTATATCAGGAGCTCATAGGCATCACTTATTAGACAACTCCTCAGGTCCTGGGACCCTGGAATGTCCTGTCCATAGGGTCCTAGACTTGCTTCAGACCCTGTGTCCCACTCTTCCCTGGCTCCTTTCTTCTGACACTATGCCTTAGTACTAGTGAGTATACTCTGAGGCTCAAGACAACCAAGAGGCCACCTCTTATAAGAGGACAGACAGGGGTTAGTCATACAGGCTGAGTATCCACAAATATGGACACAGGTTCTCTGACACTTCAAGACTGAGCCAGGAGTAGTGGTCCAGGTAAATGAGAAGATGAAAGAAGGAACAGCTGTGTGTCAGGGACCAGGGGGCTCTGTCTCCATTTATTATTCTCCTGTGAAGCTTCAAGAAATTGAAAAACTCTCAAATCAAACTTGGTCTTCTTGGTCATTATGAAAATGCATTTTTCAAGGTAGTAAGATAGAACATGGTTACTTATTATATTATCAGTTTGACTTACAACATTTAAATATTTAGACATAAAGTGTGTGAACCTCTAATTCTACTCTTAAGCCCTGCACATGCTAGAGGTTGGCATGCAACCCAAATTGGCAGAAGTATATGCCATAAAAATTTTACTTTATTTCCAATTTTTAAAGGTCTGTTTATTCTCACTGTTAGAAAACAAATAGGGGAAACTGAAGTAAACCAAGTGTGAGAAAGTATTAGCCTAAAAGACTAATAGATAATGGCAAGGATGGTGGTTAAGTGTTAAAATTAGTTCCCAGAGAAATAGCTAAGTCTTTGTCAAAAGAAGTAGATTCTTATCAGACATAGTTCATGTCTGGCCTTTACTACGGAAAGGGGTTAGATTCCTAAAACAGCTTTCAGAATTCTTAAACCGAAGGCAACTCTAACTGAATTATCTCTACTGAAAACATAATCCATTCATCCTTGATTTAGAAAAGCATGCTTTATATATTTTCTTTTTTATATAGAATCTTACACATCTACTTTTATATCTAGGGAAAAATTTCAATTTTTCTAAGAAAAGTTGTTACCCTAAGCTGTTCTGAGTCCTGACATGGAAGAGAAATTTATAACTAGCATCTGATGTTGTTAACTGATAGCCAACAGTTTAGGTGGAAGCTGAGGACAAAGGATGAATGGGTCGGTGTTTTGCAGTATGCATAAATCCAGTAGAAGCAAGATACCATAACTCCCAGGTGGAATAGTCTGAAAGCTCAATAGTAAACACACTAAGTGACCCAGAATCACGCTAATTCTGACTTGCCATTTTTCGTGTCCACTCCAAATTCCATATATTCTAGGTGTATGATAAGACCAGTAGCTAGCAGTTTTGCGTATACTGTATCTAAAGCAACCTTGTCCCAAATAGAAAACACAAGCAAGGAAAGTAAAACAAACAATAAAACAGAGCTCTTTTCTTCTTCAAAGCATGCACAGGTAAAAAGCAAAAAAAAAAAAAAAAAAACAAACAAACAAACAAAAAAACCCATGAGGAGTTTTAAAAATCGTATTTTATTAAAAATGTAAGAAGCTATAAAGAATTCCAAGAAAAAATGGGGCAATTTGGACCCACTTGCTAAGAAAATTACCCATGCAGAGGCAGTGGTTGAGATACATATCTGTAGTTGCCTAAGATGGCTTAGTTCACAGTGTAAACCTTGTGGTGGAATTATTCTTCCCTTTAGATCTAAACCTTTGGTTTCTTTATAGGTTGAAAGTTCTTATCTTAAAAAAAAAAAGTCTCAGCAAATTTTGGGGCAAATTAGCTAAATAGTCTTATTAAGTTGCCGTCTACTGACCCCGTGTTTCAATAGTTTGTCTTTGGCTCCATCCAAACATTACCCTTTTCTACTCTTTAAGAAATAACATTCAGGGAAGGCTTCAGTGTTTGTCATTAACCCTTCTCTCTCTCTCCACCCAGTTCCTACAGACGCCTATGTCCCTCACTTTCTCTCCTCACTTCTTTCTGTCTGAACTCAGATATTTCATTAATACTAGGAATATGTAACTAAGATGCTTTTAAAACAGCCACTCAAAAACTATAGGTTTTAATTGTACAATAGATAAGTTTTAAAGCCAAAGAACTGGCTCCCGTCTACCTTCCATTCCTGCTCTCTGGCTATTTTCACCCGTAGGAAAATATGTTATTTCCAAATTATCGATTCATTTAGGTATTTATGCATATATTGAGTGTTTCTATCAATTCACTAACCAAACCATGACAGTCATGCTGACTCATGCTGGGCACCCAGAGTGTGGGTGGTAGATAGCGCAGATTAAAGGAGCTCCTAGGATGCAAAGAAGAGACACTCTGAGGTCAGCAGAAACTGATCTGGTGTCACAGCTGAGAAAGTAATAGTAATTAGGATTTGAGCCGGTAAGAACATTTTGAGTCTGTAGGTTGAGTAGAGCAAAGGGTTGCATTGAAAGAAAAGAAATACTGACTCTAGAGGGCAACATTAAAAATGTTAGCTGGCATTTTTCCACTCCTCCTCCAGGGTACCATGACTGTTAAAGTGGAATTGAAATGCATCCCTCCCAGTCTGGGGGCCATTTTGATCTGACGAAGCAGAGCTACCCACTGTGCTAAATGTGCTGCCATTATTTCTCTGCCCTCATTCTTAGTTACAACTGCTTTCCAATTAATATCTTGGGTGCATTATAAGTTTGCTCTTGATGCCATTCCTTTAATTAAAAAAAAGGCTTAAATTGAACTCAGCAGTGAACAATTATTTTTTATAACTTTATAAATTTCTTTTTTTTAAAGTTAGCCAAGATTTACCCTGTTTCATAGATTCCCCAGCCCCCAAAGACCTCAAATCACAGAGCACAATTCTATTTTTTACTTATGTCATGTGATAGGTTTTCTTGAAACCTTCTGTTTGCTCCTCCGGGTCCACTCTCCATCATTTTCTACCTGCTCTGTCTTCTGGGAAACTGATTTATGTGAATCCCACAAATAGAACCCATCACTCTTGGATATGACCAATGAAAAGCACTGGCAGATCAGAGTTTGTTCCCTTATTTTCTTCCCTGTTGGGTCACCTCAGTCTGGCCTTACCACTCAACTGCACATCACCCCTCCAGACAGTGGGTGTGAGGAAAGGGTAGGAAGAAAGGGGGTTGGTGGTGGGTGAGGAGCTCTCCATAGAGTGTCTTTGTCTCCAGGTTCCAGTGACTATTTCCAACCTTTGAATGCTCATTTTTGTGACAGGAGTAACTAACCTCAAGGTACTACATTACCCCTGTAGAATTTTTTTCATACCTATTTCTTAAGGGTTTTTATAAACTGTGCACTTACTGAAGTCTCCTCAAATTAATCCAATTGGAATATGCATTTATTCTTACTGTAGTACTGATACAATGGGGAAACTCAGTTAAGGGATTGTTGACCAGACATGTTCTAGAGGTGACAGAATAGAGGCAATTGCATTCCCATTAAAATAGAATGGCAGATGGTAGAAACCTGACTCTGACGCTTGCTCACTGTGTGACCTTGGCCCAGTTACTAAATCAGTCTGTGCCTGAGTTTCCTCTTTAGCTGTAAAGTAAGTATAAGCTGCTATTCAGATTCCTTGTAAATATATAATGATGACAAGTGCTAAGCACAGTGCCCTGGGCAGAAAAAAGTTTCTAATCATTATAGATAGTAATCAGTTCAGTCATTCAGGTGTTAATGAAGCCAATAATACAGTTTCTATCATTGCAGAAATGGGCTCCGCTCAATCGCTTGGCCACTGCATGCCTTTTTGCACTCTTAACCCTGAACAGATAATGAATTCATTGATTCAACTAATATTTATTGATTGCCTATTATCTAGACGACATAATGTTAAGAGCTGTGGAGAATTTAAATAAGACATAAGTCTAATTCTCAAGAAACTTGTATTCTATTAGGAAGAGAGAGAGAGACACAAGGGGAAATATCTTCAAATGGAATTCTGTGAGCCTGTAGCCACTGTCTCAGAGTTTCAAATATTCTTACCCAGGAAGCTAAATGTCAGAGGAAGAGAACAATACAGTAGAAGTCAAAGGAGTAGATGTGCCAACAAGCTAGAATGCAAAATATTTAGAAAAAGAAGTGATTCCTTTGAGTCTGAAAGTGATTATTTTGTAAACACAACCAAAGATGATTGTGAAACTTACTTCCAGAACATCCACTTGAGGAAAGCAGGTGCAACGTCTTGCACAGAACAGACAGTTCATCCATTCACAGATTCTTATCTTTATTCTAGTGTTCAGTATTCTTTTTACAGAAGCTTTTTTTTTTTTTTTTTTTTTTTTTTTGAGTTGGAGTCTCTCTCTGTCACCCAGGCTGGAGTGCAGTGGTGCAATCTCGGTTCACTGTAGCCTCCACCTCCTGGGTTCAAGTGATTCTCCTGCATCAGCCTCCCGAGTAGCTGGCATTACAGATGCCCTCCACCAGGCCAGGCTAATTTTTGTATTTTTAGTAGAGACGAGGTTTCACCATGTTGGCCAGGCTGGTCTCAAACTCCCGATCTCAAATCATCCACCTGCCTCATCTTCTCAAAGTGCTGGGATTACAGGCATGAGCCACTGCCCTTGGCCATTTTCACGCAAACTTTAATGTGACTATTCAAATAATGACTTCAAAAAGCAAATATATTTTAATTAATTTGTTATGTAAATGATATAAGAAGGGGTACCCAATGTTTAATTCTACTGAAATTAAAGTTTCTCTTATCCCTTCAAATGATTTAAAATACCTACTCCATTATCATTACACTGGTCTGACACACATAAGTAACTTTTTTTAAATGAAGGTTTCACAGTTATAAGCCTCCATGCTGCGCTCCTTCAAGGGAGCATTTGATTGATTTACCTAGCATCTGAATTTTTGCCTGAGCAAAATGAGCAAATGTTGATTTCTTCACAAACAATTCCCATTTCCATACAATTTCAATAATAATTCATTAAGGATACATTAATGTCCTTAAAGTGAATATTGCTCACCTATTCATCGAGGTGAGAAATGTGAGAAATTGAAATTCTTCAAGAGGATAATCACTTCTAATATTGTGCCAAATAAGTGACCACTATTTCAACCTATGCATGAGCTATTTTAGTATAATATTCATAATTGCTCGTTTTAGAATTTTTTAAGCCCTCAGTATCTTTTGAACTTTATAGGAATGCATTTGTAATAAGGAAGCCAAAGTAAAGAGCCTTTGGGCTAGTCAGTTGGTGTTGAAGGAATCTGGTCATGCGAACTAGAATGGAACAATCATTTTTACACGGCCTATGGCTTTCTCTAGGGGTTGTAGTGGAGTTCGTGGGCCCAGCTTACCACCATTTCAAACTCCGGTGAGTATGCTTGGGTGTATGAGTTTGAACATTAAAGGTACATTAAACCACTCATAAGTAATTTGGCTATTCAGTGAATTGTAGACTTTCCTAGCAATACAGATAATTTTCCTTATATTGAATAGACACATTAAGGACAAGCTATATGATTCCTAAATCTACCAAAGATAATCTATTTGGGAAAGAAAACAGGCACAACAGACAGAGATAGACACAGATTTACAAATGTACACACACAGGGACATCCACGGACATAGACACACAAAGAGAAATACATGCTATCTTTTCATTTCTCAAAATGTCTGTAAACTGCCATGCTTTGATTGATGTAAAATCATATGGCAGGTTGATGCAAGACCTCGGAGATCTTGCATCTCAGGTCAGTTGGTTGTGAGATTTTACCATATGCTCCAAATCTATCAGTGAATTAGGGCTGTCAAAAAGTTTAATAGAGGCAGGACTTGTAAATTAGCTTTCTAGCCAGTTGAAGTTGAGAGAATTTACTGTTACTTCAGCCCCTTCCTTGTTCCATTTCCCCAGTAAATTTGCATGGACACATCTCCCCCACTATTTCTAACTTCCAACTGCAAATGCCCAAATGTGAACACAGCCCATATTTAAGAGGTAGTCATATTTAAACAAATGTTTTGAAAGCCTGTCTTTATTCACTACTGTAAGGGCTGGGTGTCCCGTGATTACATGTCCTCACCTGTGTGTGTGCTACCAAGGAGAGCACTAGTAATTTGCAGAAATAAAGTTTTGGAACTTTATAAGGGAAAAGGAACTTAGATAGAACATAGATAAGCATTCTTCTTTTAAAAGTGATGCAACTGAAGCCCTAACAGGTGAAGTGACTCTCCAGGGTCACGCAGCATCATCACTGTAGCTTCTTTTCTTTCAGACCTGAAGAGTTATTCTCCCACCTTAAGACATATTCAAAGGTGTTGAGCACCCTGCTTGTGATAGTCACAATATACTACATAATTTACTTAATTATTGCAGCAATTTCATGAGGTGAGCATAATCCTGTTTCATAGCTTAGAAGTTACCTGGCTGGTAAATGGACTGGTGTGAGCTGGATCCTAGGTCTCCGCACTACCTTGCCAGTGATGGGTCCATGCCCATTCGGCCTTCTTGGAGTCTTTGATTAAAATGCAAATACACCTGGGAATTATAGTCTTAGAAGCTAACATCCCAGTTACTAATCCTGCTTTAGAGGGGGATTAGTTGACAACTCAGTAAGAGTAAGAATTGAACTCAGAATTTGTGCTTAAGGGCTTGTTTTGATGGCAAAATGGCAGAGCATAAACTGCCTATTTCATAGCTTTGCCTTAAGCTGTTCTACTTCAGTCACCCATCAGCTGCCTGGCAGTTGGGTAGAGAAGCAGATGGAAAATTCATTGCCAGATAAGAGATAGGGCTGTCATTACTGAAAACTGAAAAAAAAATGAGTTCATCTCTAATCCATCCCCTCCCATGAGAACCCCATCAAGAAATAGGTTTGCCCTGAAACCCTCACAGAATGCCCATTTTCTGGTGAACAGGCAAAGGCTCCTCTGAGCAATCTCATCACTTTGTGGCCTCTATGATGATAATATATTTGTGCCTAATCTATAATTAACTGAGAAGAGCATAATATTAATTATTTTGCTCAATTGTTAAACAGTGGGGTGTTTCCCTCCCACATCACTCTCCTTGAACACTAACCTGTCAGACTCTAGTAATTGTTGCATGAACAGGTTTGGGTAAAAGTCTCCAAGGAGGACCAATTCTCTTGTTCCATTAGCGAGAACACATATAGATCATTTTCAGCACTAATCTAGGGCTAAAATCAATTATGTCTCTTGTATTTAAAAATTAAATTGACTCGCCATGGGAGTAGGATGAAGGAAAAATACATTCCTCCTATTATGTGTAATTACAATTGTAAAACATTTTCCTTCGAAATGTAATTGCTGCCTGCAGAGGCTGAAGCGGGCGAGCTTGAAGTGTTTAGTGAAAAGGCTGGATTTTCTTTCAGATTTTTCTTTGGGCTTTTGTTTCCCACCCCACCCCGGACATCTTTCTTCTTCTTCATTTTAATGCAATTTTAACATTGTGAGGGCCTTTAGGGCTTCTCAACTTTCAAAGAATCTCAAATATACTTTAGAGCATAGGGAGCAAAAACCAGAGTAGGAAAAAAGAGAGCTAATGATGCCTGTAAACTATATGATGAACATTTCAATCTTACTAGTATTTATTTAGTGTTCATTGTGTGATCAAGCTTGAATTACGTGTTATGGGACACACACACATGCACACAAATGACATGATCTTCATTCTCAAGGTCTTTGATTTTGATGAATGACCCAAGTACAGTTATATGAACAACATCATATTTTTAAAAACTGGCCAAGGCAGACATTCCAATGCTTTGATTGGTCAGTAAATTAGGAAATCACAGAATTGATTAGGGGTTTCTTTCAAGATTCAGTTATCAGACTTGTCTTCTTTTCTCAGAAATGCCACCATTTCTCATAACCACAACAATTCAATTTTAGTTGTATTTTGGTTACACACACACACACACACAAAAGGAAACAGTAACCAACTCTAGATGACTCAACTCTAAATAGAGTTGCTAGATAAATACAGGCCATCCAGTAAAATGTGAAGTTTAGATAAACAACTAATAGTTTTAAACATAAATATATCCAAACATTGCACGGGACATACTTATACTAAAAAAGTCTTCATTTACCTGACATTCAAATTTAACTGAGAGTTCTCTAGTTTTATTTGCCAAATCTGGCAAACCTTTTGCATAAAGAGAACCATTTCTTATTAGGATATTATAAGGTTTCTCCAGGGCCTCCAAGGCAGAGTTACAGCTTATCCTCAGACATAGACTAAAGGAGTGATTCATGGCACAGAACATTCTTTTTCTGCCTCCAATCTCTACTTCTTTTTATATATCTGGTTTATTATTTGCTTTTGCTCCAAGCAATCTTTCTTTGTTTACCAATGGACATCCTGGAAAACAGACATCACTATTTTATTCTCCTCTTCTATTCTCCTCTTTGAGTGAGATAAGCCTTGCTGTACAGAGGCTGTTTGGTCTCAATTCCAAATGTATGGGGAAAATATTTACTGGCTCAGCTTTTGTCAGTTGCTTACTCATGAACTAAATAAGTATAGTCTGTGTCATATTTTACAAAATGGTGATTTCTGTGAAACTATGTATATGGATGGTAGAATCAGTGTTGATAAAAGTGGTAATGGTACAAGACAGAAATACTCAGAAAATAATTTGGTGGCCACTACAACCTTTTAAATTAGTGAATCTCAAATATGTATCATCTTTACAGCTCATTTTGGATTATCACTTGCTGGAATGATTTACCTTAAAGTCTTTCATCATTTTAAAATCAGTTCAGTTAAAGTGCATATCTTCAGTAGTCTATTAAAACTAGCATTGCTGTCCGGGTGCAGTGGCTCATGCCTGTAATCCCAGCACTTTGGGCGGCCGAGGAAGATGGATCACCTGAGGTCAGAAGTTCGAGACCAGCCTGCCTAGCCAAGATGGAGAAACCCCATCTCTACTAAAAATACAAAAATTAGCTGGGCGTGGTGGTGGGCACCTGTAATCCCAGCTACTAGGGAGGCTGAGGCAGGAGAATTGCTTGAACCCGGGAGGAGGAGGTTGCAGTGAGCCAAGATTACACCACTGCACTCCAGCCTGAGCAACAGAGTGAGACTCCATCTCAAAAAAAAAAAAAAAAAAAGAAAAGAAAAAGAAAAAAAATTGGCATTGCCATTCAATTTCTTTTGTTCTATGTGTGACAGTATCACACTCCCCCATTGCCTTCAAGTCAGTATTGACTCTTCCCTTCTACTCTTTCACATCTAATCAGTCTTCCTAGTCTATTATTATTTTCATCATAATATCTTTAATAATATCTTTAAAATTTCTTTCTTTTACACGTTGTATAATTCTACTTGAACCTTTGCCACTTGTTATAAACTACTTAGGTAGTACAACAAGTCTTATAAATTATTTAGATAGTATATCAAGTCATACAGCAAGTCTTCTATATTCAGACACTTCATTTCAAAGCATTCTATGTACTAATTAGTTTTGGATTAGTGTTTTTTAAAAAACAAATTGCATATATCATCTTTTTCCCCAATTCAGTAATATATCACTATCTTCCATAGACTGTAATGGTAAACAAAATAAGCCCTGGTTTGAAGATGTAGCTACTTGCTCTATCATGAATCTCTGTGTTCATTTTCCCTACTTCACAGGGTTGTTGTAAAGATTAAGTATTTCCAAATGTATTGCTTATGGTTCTGGGCACCTTATTTGTGCTTTTTAAATGATATCTATTAATATTAATGTTCAAGGTTTTAACCTAATGCACCACATTTCTCACCAGTCTTTTTACCTGTTCTTATGTATGCAAACTTTCTTCTTGACAAAACTAACCTATGCAACATCTTCTAAACACAACTTGGACATTGCTAACTCTGTGTTTTTACTTATAATAAACTCCCTACCTGAACTATTCTCTATGTTTCTCTTTCCTTATTATAGTATTTTCTATTTGATGAGGGCTACTTTTTTTAAATTTTACTTTAAATTCTGGGATACATGTACAGAATGTGCAGGTTTGTTACATAGGTATACATGTAATGTCATGATGGTTTGTTCCTCTAACAACCCATCATCTAGGTTTTAAGCCCTGTATGCATTAGGTATTTGCCCTAATGCTCTGTCTCCCCTAGCCCCCAACCCTCTGGCAGGCCCCAGCGTGTGATGTTCCCCTCCCTGTGTCCATGTGTTCTCATTGTTCAGAAGTTGTGTAACTTTCACAAAAGCTATTTTGACAGTCCTAGCCCTCAGTAATATCTTCTTTCTTCAAGAGGTTTTGATATTAGTGGTCTTATTTTATGCTCATGAATAAGGCCTCTAATAATTTTATATTATTAGTGACTTTTAAAGCCGATATCCTATTATTACTAACTGTATTTCAGGCTTCAACAGAGAAGAGGCTGTGTTTCCTAATCTGTGTATGCTTAATCAATACAATAATGTAATTAATTAGTGTAATTAAATTTAATGCAGTTGATTAGATTAAAAACCACAAGGCAATATGAAATTTCAAAATCATTTCATATGCCCTCTCTAAAAGTAAAATAGAAGTGGGAACATCATGGCAATGGTCATTTCATAATCCTTGTATATAAGTTTATATATTCATAGAATGTCATTGTAGAAAGGGCTCATCACAGAGTTTTGAGTACCCTAAAACCATAAGTTTGTTGGAATCATCCTCCAAAAATTGCATGTTATTGACACTTCCATTTTATTAAGATATTTGTTTAATAAAAACAAATTTGATTCCTGTAGGTTCCACAAATTACAGTATGTATTTCTCTACTGTGTTCATTTTGACTCTGTTTATGAAATCAATTTCAATGAGTTTTCAAGACAAATTGATTGGCCATCAGTCAATGAGAAGAAGAGGAAAGGTTACTTTGCAAATAATTACTTTAACTCTTATGGAAAGACACCATAATATGCCCCAGTGATCAAGAAAAATGGAGAAAAAACAAAACTGTTTTGAGTTTTAAAAAACAGTGCTCTAACACATACTGATCATGAGACCTTATTTGGCAATAAAATCAGATCAACTGCACGTTAATTGTGCTTGACAAAACAGTAACAATTCTCTTCATCTGTGATTATTCTTTAATTTCTAGAAGGATATCATAACCATGGTAGAAATAATAACAGTAGCGTAGTACAAGTAGCAATAATAATATTTGTATAGTTAGTATTAATGAAATAAATAAAACAGTCTGTTCATGCCAATTGGTATGTGATTATAAGTGGGAGAAGCATTTCATCCACCCTCACTGTAATTTAGGTGGGATTAACCACACCTGTAGAGGCCAGTTCTGGTTGACCTAAGGCAGTCTATGCAGTCTCATCTCTCCTGTGCCAGTGATGGTGAAGACCTATGCCAATTAGTGTGTGACATTCCTCTGGCCACAGAGATGGTCAGTGAGTTTCAATGGGAGACAATCAGTATGACACTCAGAAACATATTTGATAATTATGGTATTTGACCTCCTCCCTCCACACCTTCTGGACATCACTGAAAAAGCAGATGGGTCAATTTGCTTCTGGCAACCACTTTGTGATCATGAGGGTACAGGGTTGAGGATGAAGCTAGTATTCAGATAATGGCATAGGGAGTACCAGAATTTTAGAGAAATTGAGCCAAAACCCAGATAGAATTGAGCCTGAAGCTATAAATCCTGGACTTTCTATCAACATGAGCAAACAGCTGCCTCTATTGTTTAAGTTAGACATGAGTTTATTATTACCTGCAATGAAAAACATCCTAATTACTGTATATAAGATTATATTATAATTTACAAACTACTTTCATAATCTTCATTCATCTTGATCCCCGTAGTGATCTGTGAGCTAAATGTATAGATATTGTTTATTCTGTAGAATTTGGAAAAGTTGGAGGCTCGAGTTAATAGAAATATTTTACTAGAATAAGTATAGCTGGAGTTTTAGCCCAGGATTTTGTAATTCCATCCCAAAGTTCTTTCTATTCTTTCTACATAACACCAGTGAGGGTATCAGTAATGTCATAAGCATAGGGAAATATATATATATATATATATATGTTTTGGGTTTGGGCTCTTTTTGATGAGTGTATTGGGCCAGTGAGTTGGTTAGGTACTTTTGAACAAAAGTGAGAACTTCTATAACTAAAATATAATGACAAGAAGGAAAGTGATAGATCCCGTCCAACTTTCTGTGAGACTGTCAGGTCTCTAAGGAATATCTTGTAGAGTTTTGTCTCTAATCTGTACCTTTCACCCCTACTTTTAGTAACACATGTATGTCTTACACATCCCCAAAATGATCAAAAGGCTTTTCAGTTAGTACTGTGCCTTTCTGTCAGAAGACAGGCTTAGATAAACTCATTAACTCTAAAGTATTAGGGGATTAACTAAAATGCAAATCATACCAGGAAAATTTGCATTTCAATGTGGAAGAATGAAGAGGATGATATTCACCTTAAAGGAATAAAGCAGTACTTGACATATTTCAAGTATCAAGAAGACTGTTTGGGGGCAAGAATGTATTACCATAACTTTGCAAACCACACTATTAGGTAACTGACTTCTTAATTTTTTGTAAAGTCTACCCAAATAGGGGAGTATTAGATTACCACCAGCTGTTGAAGACAATAGTGCCCTCAATGCAAAGGCATATGGTTAGAGACCTAAATATAGATATGGATATAGGGAAAGTTTAAAGGAATCAGCCATACATTATTTTAAGTTATCAGATAGTGGCAAGAATTTAAGTGGGTTTAGGAGATTGGAAGTGGCCACTATTTCAATTGTGTTTTAGTAATATCTTAGATTAGTATAAATAAAACTCATAACATATACATATTTACACACATATATAATAAAATATTTCAAATAGACTGAAAGTTATAGTGAGTATTAAAATGAAACAACTATGTATCTCAAACTTGTTTTGTTTTTTTAATCTTTTGACTGGAGAATCAGGCCCAATATGTATGTCTTCATCATCTCATTTACCTCTCTCTTCTCACAAATAACCACTACAAGATTTTTACTTATCTTTTACTTAAATATTTTTATAGTTTTACTACATGCTTACTACATAGAAATATGCAGTAGCATATTTTTAGATTTTTAGATACTCAGAAATGACCGTCTATCAATCAGGCATCATTTACCTATTTGTTTCTGTTTTTTTAACATTCATTTTTATTTTACTGTATGAACATAAGTGACATAATTTATGCACATATTTTCTTGGATTTGGATATTTAAATTGTTTCCAATGTTTTAAACTAGTGAAAGATACTATGATACATATTCTTATGCGCCTAATCTTGTGCCATTATTCTGAGGTTTCCCAAACATATACAGATAGGTAGTGGTAACAATTTTACTGCTTTCTGCAATTATAAATTTCTTCGTATTCTTATATTTTCATCTATCTATCTATTTATCCTACTTTTGTCATCTAATGGTGGTGAAACAGTTTCAATTTGCATTCTGTGATTATTAGTGAAATTAATCATTTTATATACGTTCTTGTTTTCTCTTGTGAATGGCCTGCTTATAAGTTTGATTTTTCCCTTGTTACCTCTTTTATCATTTCACTTTTATTTTATGAGAGCTATTTTATATATTTAATTACATGGCTTGTCTTTTACTTTATTCAAGATGCTTTTGTATGAACAGATTGTAAGACATGAGGGAGAAAAAAGATGATTTTGTAGTACGAAATTTTTAAATTTCAATGTCATCGAATGTATCACTTTTACTTCAAAGTTTGTGCTTCTTCTAATTAAGAAATCCTCCCCTACCCCAAAGTTATCAATATAGTCTCACACATTAAATAAATATTTGTTGAGCTACTGTTATATGTCTGCCATTGACCTTGGAGGCAAATACAGTCTATAAAGCAAACAGAAAACTCTCTGCCTCCAGGAAGTTTGCATTTCAGTAGAGGCAAAGACAAGAAACAAAGAAACCATGGTATTATGTAAAATAACACTCAGGTTTTAAAGAAAAATAAAATAGAACCAGTTTTACATAGTGACAGCCTTATTTCAGGAAGGGTAGCCAAGCAAGCTGTCTCTGAGGAGGTGCTGATGGATGCATATCTATTTGTAGGAGGTGAGAAAGTGAATTAAGTGAATAGAGACAAAGAAGGCCACTACATAATGGTAAAGGGATCGATTCAACAAGAAGAGCTATCTTAAATATATATGCACCCAATATAGGAGCATCCAGATTCATAAAGCAAGTCCTTAGCGACCTACAAAGAGACTTAGACTCCCACACAATAAAAATGGGAGACTTTAACACCCCACTGTCAGTATTAGACAAATCAACGAGACAGAAGGTTAACAAGGATATCCGGGACTTGAACTCAGTTCTGGACTAAGAGGACCTAATAGACATCTACAGAACTCTACACCCCAAATCAAGAGAATACACATTCTTCTCAGCACCAAGTCACACTTATTCTAAAACTGATTACGTAATTCGTAGTAAAACACTCCTCAGCAAATGTAAAAGAACAGAAATCACAGCAAACTGTCTCTCAGACCACAGTGCAATCAAATTAGAACTCAGGATTAAGAAACTCACTCAAAACTGCACAACTACATGGAAACTGAAAAACCTGCTCCTGAAAGACTACTGGCTACATAACGAAATTAAGGCAGAAATAAAGATGTTCTTTGAAACCAATGAGAAAAAGACACAACGTACTAGAATCTCTGGGACACATTTAAAGCAGTGTGTAGAGGGAAATTTATAGCACTAAATGCCCACAAGAGAAAGCAGGAAAGATCTACAATCGACACCATAACATCACAATTAAAAGAACCAGAGAAGTAAGACCAAACAAATTCATAAGCTAGCAGAAGGCAAGAAATAACTAAGATCAGAGTAGAACTGAAGGAGATAGAGGCACAAAAGAAAAACCTTCAAAAAAATCAATGAATCCAGGATCTGGTTTTTTGAAAAGATCAGCAAAATAGACCGCTAGCAAGAAGAGAGAGAAGAATCAAATAGACACAATAAAAAACGATAGAGAGGATATCACCACTGATCCCACAGAAATACAAACTACCATCAGAGAATACCATAAACACTTCTACAGAAATGAACTAGAAAATCTAGAAGAAATGGATAAACTCCTGGACACATACAACCTCCCAAGACTAAACCAGGAAGAAGTTGAATCTCTGAACAGACCAATAACAGCTTCTGAAATTGAGGCAATAATTAATAGCCTACCTACCCAAAAAAGTCCAGGACCAGGCGGATTCACAGCCTATTTCTACCAGAGGTACAAAGAGGAGTTGGTACCATTCCTTCTGAAACTATTTCAATAAATAGAAATAGAGGGAATCCTCCCTAAATCATTTTATGAGTCTAGCATCATCCTGATACTAAAGCCTGGTAGAGACACAACAAAAAAAGAGAATTTTAGGCCAATATCCCTGATGAACATCGATGCAAAAATCCTCAATAAAATACTGGCAAATCGAATCCAGCAGCATATCAAAAAGCTTATCCACCATGATCAAGTCAGCTTCATCCCTGGGATGCAAGGCTGGTCCAACATACGCAAAACAATAAACATATTCCATCACATGAACAGAACCAATGAAAAAAAAACACATTATTATCTCAATAGATGCAGAAAAGGCCTTCGACAAAATTCAACAGCCCTTCATGCGAAAAACTCTCAATAAACTAGGTATTGATGGAATGTATCTCAAAATAATAACTATTTATGACAAACCCACAGCCAATGTCATACAGAATGGGCAAAAACTGGAAGCATTCCCTTTGAAAACTGGCACAAGACAAGGACGCCCTCTCTCACTACTCCTATTCAACATAGTGTTAGAAGTTCTGGCTAGGGCAATCAGGCAAGAAAAAGAAATAAACGTATTCAATTAGGAAAAAAGGAAGTCAAATTGTCTCTCTTTGCAGATGACATGATTGTATATTTAGAAAATCCCACAATATCAGCTCAAAACCTCCTTAAACTGATAAGCAACTTCAGCGAAGTCTCAGGATACAAAATCAATGTGCAAAATTCACAAGCATTCCTATACACCAATAATAGAGAGCCAAATCATGAGTGAACTCCCATTCACAATTACTACAAAGAAAATAAAATACCTAGGAATCCAACTTACAAGGGATGTGAAGGACCTCTTCAAGGAGAACTACACACCACTGCTCAACAAAATAAAAGAGGACACAAATAAATGGAAGAAAATTCCATGCTCATGGATAGGAAGAATCAATATCGTGAAAATGGCCATACTGCCCCAGGTAATTTATAGATTCAATGCTATCCCCATCAAGCTACCACTGACTTTCTTCATAGAATTGGAAAAACTAAAGTTCATATGGAACCAAAGAAGAGCCCACATAGCCAAGACAATTCTAAGCATAAAGAACAAAGCTGGAGGCATCACTGACTTCAAACTATACTACAAGGCTACAGTAACCAAAACAGCATGGTACTGGTACCAAAACATATATATAAACCAATGGAACAGAACAGAGGCCTCAGAAATAACACCACACATCTACAACCACCTGATCTTTGACACACCTGACAAAAACAAGAAATTGGGAAAGGATTCCCTATGTAATAATTGGTGGTGGGAAAATTAGCTAGCCATATGTAGAAAGCTGAAACTTGATCCTTCTCTTACACCTTCTACAAAAATTAACCCAAGATGGAGTAAAGACTTAAATGTAAGTCCTAACACCATAAAAACCCTAGAAGAAAATGTAGGCAATACCATTCAGGACATAGGCACGGGCAAAGACTTAATGATTAAAACACCAAAAGCAATGGCAACAAAAGCCAAAATTGACAAATGGGATCTAATTAAACTAAAGAGCTTCTGCACAGCAAAAGAAACAATCATCAGAGTGAACAGGCAACCTACAGAATGGGAGAAAATCTTTGCATTCTACCCATTGGACAAAGGGCTAATATCCAGAATCTACAAAGAACTTAAACAAAGTTACAAGAAAAAACAAACAACCCCTTTAAAAAGTGGGCAAAGGATATGAACAGACACTTCTCAAAAGACATTTATGCAGCCAACAGACATACAAAAAAATGCTCATCATTACTCATCATCAGAGAAATACAAATCAGAACCACAATAAGATACCATCTCACGCCAGTTTGAATGACGATCATTAAAAAGTTAGGAAACAACAGATGCTGGAGAGGATGTGGAGAAATAGGAACGCTTTCACACTGTTGGTGGGAGTGTAAATTAGTTCAACCATTGTGGAAGACAGTGTGGTGATTCCTCAAGGATCTAGAACAAGAGAAACCTTTTGACCCAGAGATCCCATTGCTGGGTATATACCGAAAGGATTATAAATCATGCTAGTATAAAGACACATGCACGCGTATGTTTATTGTGGCACTATTCACAATAGCAAAGACTTGGAACTAACCCAAATGTACATCAATGATAGACTGGATTAAGAAAATGTGGCACATATACACCATGAAATACTATGCCGCCATAAAAAAAGGATGAGTTCATGTCCTTTGCAGGGACATGGATGAAGCTGGGAACCATCATTCCAAGCAAACTATCACAAGGACAGAAAACCAAACACCGCGTGTTCTCACTCATAGATGGGAGTTGAACAATGAGGACACACGGACACAGGGCAGGGAACATCACACACTGGTGCCTGTCATAGGATGGGGACCGGGAGGAGGGATAGCAAGAGAAATACCTAATGTAAATGACGAGTTGATAGGTGCAGCAAACCAATAAGGCACATGTATACCTATGTAACAAACCAGCACATTGTGCACATGTACCATAGAACTTAAAGAATAAAAATAAAATAAAATAAAATAATAAAGAACCAAGTATTGATTTGTTTTGCCATATTTAACTACATTAAAAGCTTATCACTGTTAAAAAAAAAAAGAAAGTGAATTAAGTGAATATAAAGAATTAAAGGGTTTCAGGCAGAGAGAACAGAAAGGGAAAAGGTCTAGAGACAGGAGCATGCCTGGCATGATCAACAGACAGCAACCTATTTTTCTAGCCTTAACCAATGTCATTCTTATGCATATACTCAGAATTTCAACCTAATCAAACAACTTAGCTTCGTGAAAAAAATCACATAGCACAATTTTCTATCTTTGTGTTTTCATAAGTATAAATCCTTTTATATGGGATTCTCCTCACCTTCATTTCACTTGTCAAAATTAAGTTCATTTATTCAATCAAAAGTGTCTACTATTTGCCAAGTAACTCATCAAAGAAATTGATTTTCTTAATATTCCAACTTGGTAATGATGCCTGCTTTAGATCTACAGAGACATTAGAGAATCTCTAATAGAATTTATATCTTATTCCATATTCCTTTTTGAAATCTTTCCTTTCATATTAAGTTTAAAATATCATAAGAATAGCACTGAGAGTTACTAGTATTCCTATTTCCTATGCCTAGTATACTACCTTACTGAAGGCTGGTGCTTGATATAGAATTAAATTTAATTTATTACATATGCAGTGAGGGGCAGAAATTAGTACTGAGGCAGTATGCTAATCTCCCCATTTACTGAGGTTTGGAAGTCAAAGTTGTTCCATATTGGTCATTTCTGTGGCTCTCCAGCCTGCATTTTCATCTCTTTTAAGCATTGATTGTCAGTGTTAATGTAAACATTGTGTACATGTATGGTGTATGTACCTTTACTTTAGGTAATGTATAGAACCTTTCTAACTACAGGGGGTAGTTATCCCATCTATTGTTGCTATTCTTGGGAGAAAGAACCAAGCATTAAGATATCAAATGAATGTCACAATTTGTGAAGCATTGAGGAGAAAATAAGAAGCCGATTCCATGATCAATGTCTTTAGATTGAGAATGAGGGTTAAGTGGCTGCTTGTTTGCCCCATTTTTCTTGATCATAATACTTCCATCCCCTGACACTCCATGGGGATTATTTTGGGAATGTAATGAGGTCAAAACTAATATGTGGTTGTAGAGGAAAATATGCCCATTTTTCTCTTTCACTCTTCCCACATTTCAATCAGAAAGCCTGTTTTTGAAGTACCTATGGTCCAGTTCTAATGATGTCTACTTACAAATTACAGTGTTACTAAAATAATATCAAGATTCTATAAGCTAGCATGGTTTTTGTCTAGTAAGGTGTCCTGGCTCTTATAACCATTAATAAGACGATACTGTTATGTACAGACTTAAGAGAAACCAGTTTGAAGTGACCCTCAATGCTTATAGCACAGTGGTATGGCACCGAGATCCATGGATGAAAAATTAATTATTTTAAAAGGAATTGGAGAAAAATGACAAACTTTGTCAACTATCCAATCTTGTCTAGAAACTAACCTAAGTAGGTTGAAACAATAGCAAATGCACACATAGTGGTTCTTTTGTGCCGGGTACTAAGAATTTAATATAGATAACCTTTCAATCCTTACAAGTCTCTATGAGAACATGTATTCATTGGAATGGCCTATGTTACTCGATAATAACAAAAAACCCCTGAAATTTAAAATGCACAGCTGTCACTGGTACATGGCAAGTCTGAAATCCTCTGCTAAGGTAGAGATTCTACTTCCTAGGAGGAGCTCCCTTGTATATTTTTCATGTAGCTCCTGGCTCCAGCTTCTCAGACATTGTGTCCTTCCATCATTCTTTGTGGCCATATTTATTTACATTGTGCCTCAAAATAATGCTTCCTTAGAACTGAGTAATTTTGTTAGTTCATTTGATGCCTGTGGATTTTGGCCTAAGATTGTTTTAAATCTCAAAACTTCAGTGTCTTTAGTCCCAGCTGTTGCTTTGTTTGTTTAAATTATATCATGATCCCAAGACACCACATTAAAGACCTTCCTTAAATCAGACTTTGATAAGAAAAAAAAATGCCCTTCTGCTATGGAGAAGCTATGAATACTGTATTGAGTTAGTGTTTCTCCTTACCATGGTAAGAAATAAACTCAGCTTTGTTTTAGTCACAAAATTAAAAAAATAATAATAATTTAGAGTATTTAGCATTTGACAGAACTTTGCCCCAAACATGGTTTCTTCCAATTATTATAAAATGATAGAGAATGTTTGATTTTTCCATCTATTTTCACCTAACTGAGATTTAAAGAAATAACTATGTCAGGATGTCAGGGGGAAAAAATGTAAGCATGCCTATTGTCTTACCACAATGAATGGAATCAAGCAGATAAGAAGCCAACAATTTTTTTAGGAGTTTGGCATTAACAAAGCAACAGCTGGAACTAAAGAAGCTGAAGGTTTGAGACTTAAAACAATCTTTGTCTCATGCCTGTAATCCCAGCACTTTGGGAGGCCGAGGTGGGCGGATCACCTGAGGTCAGGAGTTTGAGATCAGCCTGGCCAACATGGTGAAACCCTGTCTATACTAAAAATACAAAAATTAGTCAGGCATGGTGGTGGGCGCCTGTAATCCAGCTACTCGGGAGGCTGAGACAGGAGAGTCACTTGAACCCGGGCGGCTGAGGTTGCAGTGAGCCGAGGTTGCACTACTGCACTCCAGCCTGGGCAACAAAGAGCGAAATTCCGTCTCAGAAAACAAACAAACAAACAAAACTCCAAAACAATTTTAGGCCAAAACGCACAGGCATAAAGTGAACTAAGAAAATCACTCAGTTCTAAGGAAGCATTACTCTGAGGCACAATATAAATAAATATGGCCACAAAGAATGATGGAAGGATACAATCTCCAAGAAGCTGGAGCCAGGAGCTACATGAGGTGAAGATTTTGAGGCAAGGAATTCAAAGAGTCTTAAAGGTATAACTGTTGTTTTATTATTTATACTAAAGGTATAACTGTTGTTTTATTATTTATACTAAAAAGTTGATGGATCTTTCCAAAATTTTCTAGAATGGATGATAACAAATATTGTAAATTTTTTTTTTCTGTGTTAAGAGTTTCCTAAAGAATAGTAAAGCTGTATTTATGTAGACAGTAAGCTTTGGTGAATGAATATCAATTCTCAAGTCATGTGGCATAATATAAAAAATATATACTTTGGTTTTAATTAGGCCAGTGCTGATTTTTCAATGATTTTTAATTATATGAATAATTTATGTTGCCTTTAATAATTAAATAAAACACAATAAAAATATAATTACCTGTAATCTCACTTTCTGTCAATTTGGTAGTACATACAAAGTCTCTTTTTTTTTCTTCTAGGCAAAACAAAAAATACTGTGTAAAAAATAAATACTTTCTCTTTTCACTTCAAGGCATTTTTGTGTGTCATTTAATTTCTGTAATTACATTTGACCCTGGTACTTAAAACCTGTTTGATTTTGGAAAAATTGTTAATCTCTATGTTATTTTCATGTGTAATATGGAAAGAACTTTGCAGAGGTCCTCTCCGTGGATTAAATAGTATGATATCAGCGAAGTACCCAGAAATGTCTGACACCAATCGGCTAAAGTAAATGTTGATACTCTTCCATTTCTATATGCTTTCTGAGGAAATCTGTTCGTATCCACACAGGGCCAGCCAAAACTTATGTAAACATGAAGAGAGAAAAAAAAAAAAGGACAAGCTAAAATGTTCTCATGAATAGCTATGACTGCTAGTCTATTATTAGGTGTCATAGAGGCACCAATCTTGCATGTTTTACTCTGGCCAGACTGACATAATGTTCATGTGCTGAGGACAATATGAGACCCAGTCACCTGATTTTATCTGGAATTAATTATACTGGGCTTGTGGCCTCCTTTCCTGCTTTGTATTTGTGTTCTAGTGGGAGCTGGGGCGCCATGTTATTAATCATATTCCACTTGGCTGAGGAACTTCCACGTTGCAGTATCTTTTTATTTTACCTGGGGAAAGATCTTTACATCAGTGGCCTATATTCTCTGGTAGACCGTGGGGAACTACTCAAAAAATATTCACCAAGGAGAGCTCTATATCTTTCCACTAAGCCTTGAGTATTACTTTTTAAAATATACTTTATTTTTATTTAATTAATTAATTAATTAATTTTCCAAGACAGAGTTTTGCTCTCATCTCCCAGGCTGGAGTACAGTGGCATGACCTCTGCTCACTGCAAACTCCGCCTCCTGGGTTCAAGTGATTCTCCTGCCTATTGCCAAAAAGACACCCAATGTAAGGGTCAGTCCCTTCTAACTCTGTTATATGTTATATAGCATCTTCTTCTGTTTTACGATAGCCTGTGATATTATGATATTTAATCTCTGGCATGTCTTATAACTAACAGCCTTGAAGATTTGACTTATGGTACAATGGACATATTGTTTCAGGAGTTTCTCAGTTTGGCTGCCTTTCTTGGCTTTCCTAAGCTATGGAATAAAACCCTGAAAACCTAAATTTATTACAAGTGGCAACAGATGACTTGGCTGTTTTCTCCATTCCAGTAAGACGTCAGAGGAGATTTGAAATTTGCCTTAGTAGGAGACAGCTATTAAAGTAGCTTGTTTCTCGTACTAGTTTTGCTGAATCTCTAAAGAGTTCTTTGAATTTGGACTGGGTTGATGTTATTAAATTTCTCATAAAATATCAGGTAAATGCCAATTACATGGTTAGGGTAAGTAATTAGATTTCTTTAGTGGTAAAATAAGAAAAGAGAAGTATCCTTAGAGGCTATATTAGTCTGTTTTCACACTGCTATACACACATACCCAAGACTGGGTAATTTATAAAGAAAAGAGGTTTAATTGACTCACAGTTCTGCAGGACTAGGGAGGCCTCAGGAAACTTACAATCATGGTGGAAGGCAAAGGAGAAGCAAAGACCTTCACATGGTGACAGGATAGAGGAAGGAGGAGTGAAGGGGGAAGAGCCCCTTATAAAACTATCAGATCTCATGAGAACTCACTCACTATCACGAGGTCAGCATGGGGGAAACAGCACCCATGATCAAATTACCTCCACCTGTTCTCTCCCTTGACATGTGGGGATTATGGGGATGATAATTCAAGATGAGATTTGGGTGAGGACACAAAGTTTAACCATATCATATGCAAAGGGAACACAATGGAAAGAGTGAACTATAGTAAAGTCCAAAGAGGGAAATCAAGTCACTTGCTGGTGAGAGCAAAATTAACAAATCTTGCAAGGGCAGAGGATGGAATCTTGGTCTACATGGAGGATATAAAACTTCTTAGTCCTCTTGGGGAGAGAATTAATAACAGTAGGTTGAAAAAAGCTGGAGAGGGAGAGAATGAGATAATGATGGGAGAAGAGATGAGTTTGAGAGTCATTGTTTTGCCTGGCTGGGTCCAAATGCCAGGGACAAACTGAACACATCTAAGCAACTGTCCACAGATGAGCCAACTTAAAACCGAGTAGATTTTTACTAATGACATAGAAGTATATATGTTCAGATGGGGGATGCTCATTTAGTGGAGAGTAAGAAAGCCTACATTACATTTTCTGCCATCAAAGACTGTAGGATAAGGGTTATCTACCTTGTTTGCCTATTAGAATCACATGTAGACTTTTTAAAACACTGATTGTGGGGTCCCACCTCAAGAGATTCTGACTTAATTGGTCTGGTGTGGGGACTGAAAATCTCCACCTGTTAATAGGCTCCCAGGTGATTCCAATATGCAGCCAAGGCTGGCAGCTATAATCTAGAAGGAAGGTTGACTCAAATTAACTCTATGAGCACAAACCTCCGCAGAGAGGAATTACACTCTGTCTTCTGTGGGGATATAAATTTTACGGATATAAATTTTATCAGATTTTTCACATAGCCAAATAGACTTCAGGCTCTCAATCAGTTTTAATGTAATAGATATATTTCAGGCAATATTAAGTAGACCAATAGTCTATCTTGATTCAACTAGCTGGATAATTATTCAGTTGTTCAATTCACTAGGCAGAATCTTAAACCATATAGAAGAGTAGCTATATTTTTAAAAGATTGGTAGTGCCCAATAATGAAAAAGAAATTGCTAGGGCCTATTGTTTTAATTGATTAATATGATGAAATGATATAACCTAGGCTTTTAAGAAATATTTATAGCTTGTTCTCATATCCTGAAAATATTCTGACCTAGAAAAGTTTATGGGTTTGAATTGTTCAATAATGAAAGACAATGAAGTGAAGACAACATCATATAGCTCATTTACCTCCTCATTGTGTCTTAGAAAACTGAAATAATCTTAAATGAAGATTCCACAGCCTTTCCTGGTTATGACACATGAATCTCACTTTCACTGAGTTTCTACTTGAAGAGCCAGTGATGGTGTTTAGGGTCTTATCTCACACACACACACACACACACACACACACACACGATGAGTCCTATGCGGATGCATTTTTCAGTCCATTAAAACTTTATTAATTTGAGAGACAGCATGGTAGAACTGGACTGGAACCTGGAGAACTAAATTTTGGTACCAGCTTGTATCATTGAAGTGGCTTTACTGGGCCTCTTAATCAGTTAAAGTCTACCTTTCTTACTTATAAAACTGGGATAAATAAGACTTGTCCTGCCTGTCTAGCAAGTTTCTGTGAGGAACAAAACCACAGCTCAATAGTTACCGAAGACTTTTTTCTACAGTTCAGATTGGTTTTATTTACTCCTGATCTTCTTTGTGCTAGGCATTATACTCCATCTGGGAATTTATAGAAGAATAAGATGCAACACAATTTTTGTAAAACTTCACAGTCATCTTCATAGAAGAATAAGACATAGTTCATATTTTGGAAAAGTTTATCATCAATATCTGCAGTGTGAGATACATCTGCTCGCTGATACCGCCTAACCGTGAAAGACAATTTATTAGTAGCTCCATTCCCATTAGGAAGTAATGCCTGTAATTAATCTTAGTGGCCCTTGGTTCTCTACCTTGTCAATCCTGAGTCCCTTTGCGTCTTTGGTCCATTACGTATATTCTACTCTCAAACTTCAATTGTGTAAGCTGAATTTATAAAATTAATGATCTTTTGTCTCTTGTGTTGCACACTAGATTCCTACTGGGATGAAATTACTGTCCAAAGCTCCCGCCTATAATGTGGGGCCTTGACAATTACACTAGCATTTACTAGTTTACTTTTTCCAAGAATTAGGAGTTAGTTTCCAGGGCTTAGTGAAAATTAAAAATGTGGGACTAGTTCAAATACTATTAAGGGATTGAAGATGGCCACAGCTGAGCACTAAACCAAATGCTGAGCACTTCTGAGCCACAAAGCTCTGTGCAACTCTCGTGAACCTAGAGATGCTACATAATCCAGTTACTGTCTTGGGTCCTTTTCAAAATATATCCAGAGTTTTCTGTAAGTTTGAAAAGAGATGATATCACCCACCTAATTATATAAATTCTCATACTCAAAGCTCCTAGTTACCTTGGGGTTAACTACTGGACTGGATCTTTTGTTTCCGAAATTCTCCTGGATATTGCCTAATTCCCTCAGAATAGCTGAAATGTTGGTATTTTTCTTAAAAACATGACCTCACACAGAATTAGTTCACCTCTTCCTGGCCCAGCCCCACACATTCCCACTGCTATAGGAGAGTACCATGTGCTCTGTTGTCAACTCAGAGTTTTCTAAGGGGCTCACTCTCGCCCAAGGAAAGACATGGCACTCCTCCCAAACACTATCCACTGTAGTGTACTACCCCATGTAGAGTACTACCTGAAGGCTTACAAGTATCTGAGTGTGCAGCATGCAGCAGGTCAGCTTTCTCTTTGGATAGCTAAGCAGTTTAGCTCAAGAATTGCAGTGTTTCCACTCAAATAAAGACCACACCTCCAGTAAGTGAGATCTTAAAGTAGGATCAGAGTTAAGTCCCAATGCACTGAATGGCAGGCAACTGGGCCAGAAGACTTTGGACCAGAAGTGTGGGATTTTCTCTGATCCAAGAATGATTTGGGCATTGGGATAGCGCTCCTCACAGAGATCCTTGCTACAGTGTCTGGGTCCTGAAACTTCCAGGCCGAAGATGAACCATAAGGAAACTTTCAGGGATGGGGCCTAGACATTCAAAGCCATGAACTTGGTGTCTTTGTATCCCTATTTTCTCTCAGAATTCCCTCCTGTACTGCCAAGTCTTTTTTCTCCTTTTATCCACATTATGAGCTTCAAATACACTAAAAGGCACCTCAGTCCACCATCCTTCCAAAAATAAATATTAAATAAAATAAAACTCATTTGCTCTTCCTTGCAGATAGTCATTAGAAACTTGATGGTCAATATTTTATTTCTAAAAGGTAGACAAATACTTTTATTTCCTCCAGGTTTCTATTCTTCACATATAATGAAGTTCAGATTGAAATTTCCAATTCAAATTCAGGAGTACGGAGTTTTCACTTAACTTCTTCTAGGTTACATTACTTTTCTTCCATACAGAGAATATGTGTTCTCAAGGACAATGGGAATAATAGAATATCCCATCATTATTCATTTACTTTGTCTCACTTTTCACATACAACAGGCTCTGAATAACAATTCTAACACTATCACAATTAATGATGAGTATAGTAACAGTTAAAATTTTATTTTGGCTTTTGTTATATCTTTGCTCATGCTTTTCCCTTTCTCTTCCAAGTTTTGTATTTAGTTTCAGTATATCTTGCTGCATGCCTTCATGGATTATACAAATGCCATTATTTCCACCTTCCCTATTCTCTTCCTGTTTTTTTAATGCTCATCTGGGTTGATATCGTTAAGTATACTGTATGCCGTTTCAATAAGTGGCTTCAATTTTATTTGTGTTGGGGGGAAATTTTTCTTATTTTTTTTTTTAATTTTTATTTTTGCTTTAGTTTGGTTTGCTTCTTCAACTCCTATTACTTGTATGCCAAATCTTCATTGCTGACATGGTTTGGATGTGTCTCCCCTCCAAATCTCATGTTAAAATGTGATCTCAATGTTGAAGGTGGGCCTAGTAGGAGGTGTTTGAGTCATGAGAGGAAATTCCTCGTGAATGGCTTGGTGCCCTCCCTTCAGTAATAAGTCAGTTCTCAATCTGTTAGTTCACATGAAAGCTGGTTGTTTAAAGGAGCCGGACACCTCCTCCTCTCTTGCTCCCTCTCTTGCCATGTGACACACCTGCTCCCCCTTCGCCTTCCACCATGAGCAAAAGCTTCCTAAGCCCTCACCAGAAGCCAAGCAGATGCGAGGGCCATGCTTGTACAGTCTGCAGAATTGTGAGCCAAATAAATCTCTTTTCTTTATAAATTAGCCAATCTCAGATATTCCTTTATACCAATGCAAAATGCACTAATACAGTTGCCCATCTTCAATTTTTGTCACCTTCTCTCAAATATTTTCATCTCTTTATTTCGTTTTTATGTTACAAATATTCCATTTTTAAACCTTCTATTATAATTAATGTTGTCAACAATATTATGAGTAATATGAGGGCTATTCTGTTACCAGGTTTTGTAATAAGTGTTCGTTTCATTGTTGTTTTGCTATTTCATTGCTATTTCTGTTTTTATATGGGATTTGGAAAAACAAGTCTGCTACTGCTTAAACCATTTTTCTAGAACTCTTTCAGCAGCAAATATTTTTGCTTATTTAACAAAATAAACCTGATCTGGCCATTACTAGGTCACAATCAATTATTTCTTTTATTAAAAAAGACATTTATTAAAAAGACATTTATTGAGTTTCTACTACTATAATAGATTTTATAGTCCTTTCAAGTTATTCTGCATATGTAATGAAAGTTACATACATGCATGTATATATAACTTTCATAACTTACATGCATGCATGTGTATACTGAAGGTTATATATGTAAATAACTTTCATTTTATATATATATATATATATATATATATATATACATATATGCATGTCTTTAACATTATTTTGGATGACACACAGCTCCACCACTTGGTTTCTAGGTGATGTTTGACTATGTAATATTTATGTTTAAGAAGGTTGATATATTCTCACCCTGGCTTTAAAATTGTCCAGATTCCCACTGACAGTAACAGGATTTGAAAGTTATTGAATTTGAGGAAATCTTCCAAAGAAATATGGTTTATGGTAATGATTCTTAATTTTTTTATGCCATTGATTTATCTAGGAAACTTCTAAAAAATATAAACTCTCAGTCCCTATCATAAACCTAATATGAATGATTTTTTGGGAATATGTAGTTTGGAAGACTTTATTTATTAATATAATGTAAAAAATAGTTGAATAGCAAATTCTAGAGGCAGGGGAATACACAAAGGATCAATTAGCTATGTGTATTAAAACTCACAGGAAAGGTCATTAGTACTGGGGCTGAGGGAGACAAGTGAAGCAGAAATAACTCACCAGCAGGCATTGAGAAAGTTGAGGAAGGCACTTGTATAATATTATGGTTTTGTCTTGTAGAGTTTGTCAAAATTCAGAATAGGTGTGGCATATCTATGGCATGCATGTCAAAATATCACCCTTTAGAGCTCATGTAAGACTTGGCAAATTAGTTATGAAGCTCTTTTATGGTGAATCTGAATATCGCCTCATAATTCTCATTAAAAAACAATAACAGTAACAGCAGTGACTGCAGAAAACCACAACTCTGTGCAATTATTGTCAACAAGTTGGACTTGGCCTGTCCAACAAGATGTATTTGTCATTTTTATTTATTATCTGAGCACTTAATACGTATAAAAATAGAAGTCCTGGACTGAATCTCAGAGAGGTGACAAGTGGTCACAGCTTGAGTTGCTTAAGATACAACTAAGGATACTATCTGAACAAAGACTCAGGGTGCATGAGTATCATTGTCTAGAAAGCCTGACAGCCTACATTGTTCTGTAGGCTGTGCAGTCTGTTGCTTTTATTTTTTAAAATAGAGGCATATGTATGCTACTTTGGTGGCATGAGTCACTCAGGATCAGTGGGAGGTGAACTGGGTTCTGGAGATTCCCATGGTAATAAGTTCATTCCATTGAAAGTTGTTGAGTCATTAGTTGCACAAGACAACTTGTTAGAAAAATTACCATTACCTGTATGAGCATGTACGAATCACTTAACTTTTGATTTTATAAAATAAAGTTTGGACTAAATATGTGTTTTCAAATTGTGCTCCAAGAGTCACTAGAACTATCATGGGCCCACAGGAGAATTTCAGGCAAATGGACTTGAAGCTAACTATCTCCTGGCCAGCACCCCGTCTCCCTCCTAAAGAAAATTCAGAAGCATCTCTGTGCTTGTACTTTTTGTTGAAAGATTTCTTTAATAAAATTGATTTATCCCTAGGTCCCCATTCAGTTCTTACATATTGTGCTTCAGTTACTCAAACCACTAAAATAAGCAGTAAGAGTTTGGAAGCAGTTACTCAAGAGGATAAAAAATCATCAAAGACAGAAACAGTGATATGTTCAGCTAATGCTTCACAGACCTATATGTGAAACATAACTGATTCATCGGACATTGGGAAGGTTGAAGAATGCCACCTGAACAGGACACAGGCCACCTTGATCTTTTGTCCTTTAAGGTTTTTAGAAACAAACAATTGTGCACATTATCATTAAAACTATTTATATAAAAGGTTTTTATAGTGATAAAATGACATGCATTTAAATTTATACACATGATTTTACAAATAGTAATCCAGACCTCTTTCTCAATCATGGCCTGAAAAAAAGGACTGCATTTTAATTTATCTGCAAATATCTATGTAATCTGGCAGCAGACCCTTCTCTTCCCCTTGGTTGGGACTGAGACGATTCAGAGAGAATAATTAGATAAAGTTCATCTGGAAGACTATGGTAGCTTTCATGAAGACATTTGAATATCAGCTGCTAAAACTTAAGCCAAAGTTTCTACATTTGTACAACAAGTTCATTTAAGGTATTCAAAAAGGTCCTCTCCAGTGTGTGCACATTTAAGCAGAGAACCGTGAAAAAAGTGGAGAAATAAGAGATGTAGGAGTATAGGACTGGAACATGCTGGATGATAGGCACAGCTGGGGCAATTTTCATTTCTAGGGTTATGTATTGGGTTGATGATCTGCTATGTGATTATTTTGGTAACTTTCCTTTTAGGATATAAATGTTAAATATTTAACAGTTTATCACCTTTTGCTAATTGGCAATATAATCCATGTTCACTGGAATATTTAAAAAGAAAATGTTAGGAAATTCAGGAAAAAATGTAAATAATAAAAGGAACAGCTGTGCTATAATCCTTCAACTAAGAATAATTCTTACTATGAATTTAGTGCTTCATATTTCAGGATTTTTTTCTAGGCCTAACTAAATATATAGACCCACCTCCACTAACACAATCTTCTCAACATAAATAATTTATTTTTTCATCTATATGTATCTATATCTATACCTCTATGTTTACTTATATCTATACCCATGTCTGTATCTCTATCCATATCAATATTTATATCAATCTCTCTATATATCCACTGGTAAAATTTTATCTATCTACTTTTCTTTCTTTTTTCTACTTTTTTTCCCACAAAATTTAAATTATTTGTGTTGGTAGGTACTTTTGGTTGACAATCCAAAGTCATTCTCAAACATCTTCTTTCTTGATCATTCCATAAGAAGGATTAGAAACATGCAAATAATAATTATCATTTGTTCAGCCCCTACCCCCGGCTTGAACCCAGATAAGACCAAGTGCCATGCTTTCCAGAAAATAATGAAAAACTAAAGTTTATATTACTCTTAATTTATGTACTCTATATAGTAATTGATATACTTAATTTCTATTTAATTAACATATCATTACTACCTCTTCACAGACATAAATTTGAATCTAAAATTGCTTGTTTAAATATAACAGTCATTTTTAATAAACTGCACACATTTCAAGCATGTGATTTTGTAAGACTTGTCATGTTGTCTTACATCCCTTTATACTATCTCACCCTGCATCTCCTGATCTGTGCTGATTGGATTTCTATACATTAGTTTGCACTTGTATCCTCTATTATACATTATAGAATTTTGTTTAAATGAAATGATCAGTATAGTCCTTTTTTTCCCCTCTGATCTAATTCACTCACCAAATTTGTTTTGAAATCCATGTATTTTATTGTGTGGCTTTGTGGGAACTTGTTTATGCATTTACTTGCTGATAGCCATTTGGTTGTAGACAGGGTCTTCTTGTGTCGCCCAGACTGAAATGCAGTGATGTGATCACAGCTCACTGCAGCCTCAACTACCTGGACTCAAGTGATGCTCCCACCTCAGCCTTCTAAGTATCTGGTACTACAGGCACGCAGTACCCATCCTGGTTAATTTTTGTATTTTTGGACTAAAGTGATCCACCCTCCTCAACTTCTCAAAGTGCTGGGATTGCAGACATTAGCCACCATACCCAGCCTTGTTTTCATTTTTAAAATGTGTTTTAATATGTAGATGTGTTTTTTTTCTTAATTTAAAAATATCTTGCTTTTAGGTGAGATGTTGAAATCACTTATGCTTAGTGTGACTATTGATACAGTTAATTTTAATCTATCATTCTATTTGTTTTCTATTTGTCTCATCTATTACTTTTCCATTTTCTTTTTTTCCTTCCTTTTTCTTCATCTACTTTTTTTGGGGTTAATTCATTGTTTTCAAAAATAATTATATTTTATTTTCTTTGTTGGCTTATGTGTTATAACATGGTATTTGATTTTATTATCACAACCTACCTTATATTAATATTATACTACTTTATGCATAGCATAGGAATTTTACAGTTTATTTTTATTTCTTCCCTCCCAGGTTTCATGTACCTATTATTGTACATTTTACTTCCTCATATGTCACAGCCTCACAACGCATTGTTATTTAGTTTGTTTAAATAGTTAATAATCATTTGAATATATTTAAAGAAAAATTTTTACATATTTGTACATGTAACTTACATATGGTGTTTTCCTTATGTAGATATATTTCTATCTATCTGGTATCATTTTTCCTTTTTACAGTGCAGATCTACTATTGAATCTATAAGTATTCATGTTTCCACAAAAAATTGTTTTTATTTTTGCACGATGTTTTATTTGGGTGTAGAATTGTCGATCGAGCACTTTTTCTTCCACTACTTTAAAGCCGTTTCTCCATTTTCATCTCTCTTGAATTATTCCTTATGAATAATCTTCAGTCCTTTCCTTTGTATGCATTTTTTTTAAAAAAAAATTTAATATTTTCTTCCCCTCTTCCTCTCCCTCTTTTACTAATTTGATTATGATGTGTCTTGGTGTAATTTTCTTCGTATTTCTTGGACTTGAGCTTCTTGAATGTAAATTTTGTATTTTCCAACAAATTTGGGAAAAATTGCCATTATTTCTTCAAATATGTTTGTTATTCTTCATCTTCCTCACCTTCAAGAATACCAATAATATGTATATTGGGTGACATGAAGTTGTGCTTCTGCTCACTAATACTCTGTTCTTTCTTCCCCCCTCCCCTGTGGTTTAATTTTAATAGTTTATGTTATTTTTCAATTCACTTATCACTTTTTTAGCAATGTCTAATCTGCCATTAATACCTTCTAGTATATTTTTTTTATCTCAGAGATTGTAGTTTACATCTCTTGAGATCTGAATTTTTTATATCTTACATGTCTCCATTTTACAGGTTTAATCTCTCCTCTAGCTTATTGAACATATGGAATAGAGTAATAATACTATTTCAGTAACTGTCTACTAAGTCTTTCATCTAGGTCAGTTTGGTTGACATTTCTCCTCATTATGGGTAGCATTTTCTGGTTTCTTTGCATGCCTGATAATTTTTTTGAGTATATGTTAGACATTAAGAATTATACTTTGCTAGGTGCTGGGTTTGTTGTCATTGTTTGTTTTTGTATTCCCATAAATATTCTTGAACTTTGCTCTGCAATGCAGTTAAATTACACAGAAACTTTGAATTTTTCAAGTCTAACTTTTAAGCTTTATCAGGCAGGTCTAGGGTAGCATGCAGTGTACGACTAATTAATCTACACTACTGAGGCAAGTCCCTTATGAGCTCTCGGCCCGTTGCCTCTTGAACTATGAGTTTTTCTTGGATGCCTTGGGAACAAAACCTATTTCTGGCCCTGTATGCACTATGGGTCCTGTTCCTTCTAATGTTTTAGTTTTACAGTGTTCTCCCTTATTCACTTCCCCAAATTCAGGTGCATGTGCTGATCCTTACTGCATGTGCTAATGACCACACTACTCAATACTCAGAAATAGTTTCTGATGTCTGTTGAGCTTTCTATGTAGCTGTGACATGGTTTAGATATTTGTCCCCTCCGAATCTCATATCAAAATGTGATTCCCAGTTTTGGAGGTGGGTCCTGGTGAGAGATGTTTAGTTCATAGTGGCAGATTGCTCATGGTTGGCTTGGTGGCCCCTCCATGGTAATGGCGAGTTCATGCAAGATCTGGTTAACAATGTGGCACTCCCTCCCTCTCAGCTTGTCCCTGCTCTGGCCATGTGATTTACTGGCTCCCCTTTTGCCTTTTACCATGACTGTAAGTTTCCTGAGGCCTTCACCAGAAGCAGGTGCAAGCACCATGTTTTCTATAGAGTCTGCAGAACCACGAGCCAAAATAAAACTCTTTTCCTTATAAATTACACAATCTCAGTTATTTCTTTATAGCAACGCAAAAAATGGATGAACACAGCTGTGTCCTGTGAACTCTAACTTCCTTTATCTCTTTCAGTTCTTTTTCTTCAACCTGAGAAGTTCACTAGGCTATTCCTGATTTTCCCTTCCCTGCTCCTCGGCTGAAGACTAATTAATGTGGTAAGCTGGGGCAGCTATTGGACTCACTTTGTTGATTTATCAGCCCTCAGGATTCATTTTCTTTATTACCTATTCCCAATCTCGAGAGCTGTTGTTTCAAACTTCTTTGTTTTTTAGTGTAGTTGTTTCATGCAGGTGGGCATATCTGAGTTACCTTACTTCACCTAAGTCAGAAGTGGCATACCTTACATAGTTTTTTTTGTTTTTTTTTGTTTTTTATTTTTTTTTTGTTTTTTGAGATGAAGTCTTGCTCTGTCACCCAGGCTGGAGTACAGTGGTGCCGTCTCGGCTCACTGCAACCTCCACCTCCCAGGTTGAAGCGATTATCCTGCTTCAGCCTCCCAAGTAACTGGGATTACAGGATCATGCCACCACACCTGGCTAATATTTGTACTTTTTGTAGAGACGAGGTTTCACCATGTTGGCCAGGCTGGTCTCGAACTCCTGACCTCAAGGGATCTGCCTGCATCAGCCTCCCAAAGTGCTGAGATTACAGGTCTTACATAGTATTTTAAAGAACAAAAATACCTCACTTTAATGAATCTTATATTGAGCAATATTTAGATTTTTTCTCTATTTTCTTACACAAATAGCATCAGGATTATAATTTTCTACATACACTTTTGTATTTAAGATACTTTCAGACTTGTTCTTTTCATTTCTCATTTAAACTGTGATCTTTATTATAATGTGTTGTGGTAAAAGTATAGAATTTTGAGAAGGTTTTTATGAGGGTTTCCCTTGTTATGCACTTCATATAAAAGGTAAAATTGTAAAAGTTACAAGCTTCTAGGGAATTACCAAGATAATTATTCCCTGTATTAATGTTAGAAGAAAGCCCTAGTTTGCAACTAGAAAATAACTGAACAAGAGAAATATATTACTCTTTAAGTGAATGAATTATATTTTTTATTAGAAAATGTCTTCAATATTCTCAAATAAATTATGTGAAATATCCCTTTTCTAAGAGATCGTTCCTACAATGTAAATACATCTTAGAGACATACATTCTAATTTTATTTTACACATGTAACAATAATACTCAGAGATAATACAAGTCACAGTTCTGTGTCTTAAGATTTTGTTTTCGTTTTCTTCTTTAGCATGAGGTTGAATTTTTAAAGAAGTTAAAAGGAACAAATTATCTTCTTGATTTAGAGGCTAAGAATAAAAATAATGACCAATACTTTTATTATATTCAACAGTCTGTGAATGGTGAACAAGACATGTGAGGCTGTTGTGGAAAGAATCTTCTAGCAATCATGGACAATTTAATAGCAAAACTTTTGAGATCAATTTAACTATAATATCAAGAAACTTGTTCCAGTAACTAGGAGCTATAAGATACACATTCTGAGTGAATAAAAATAATAATTTTTAGATATCTTTGAAGTTTGGCTAGAGTAATTTTTAAAACCAGAATTTGTCTCTTTTTTAAGTTTTATGAGAAATTTAGCATCATGGTAAAGAATGTGGGCTCTGGATTTTGGAGTGTCTGGATTCAAATCTTGAATCTTCAAATTACTTATCTGTGCTTCACTGTCTCATCTATAAAATTGAGGATTATAATAATGCTTATCTTACATGGATGTTATGAGGATTAAATGCATTACTAGACATAAAACATTCAGAAGAGTGACTGGTAGATTGAGGAGTTAGATAAATGTTAGCTATTAGCCATTAGCCCTGAGTTTTCCATTAACTATCTGTCTTGATAAGTAACTTGAGAATGTTCTTTAAATTCTTTCAGTCTCTGACTTCTCATTTGTACAGTAATGTGGTTTTATGTTTGCAAGTAGATTTTATCTTAACTGCCAACTCTGATTGATTAGCATTAGCTACCTGGATCATAGTATGTGGAAAAATTGTGTTTGGCTGGGTAGAAAAAAAAAAAAACATAGCATCAATTAGCTCTGTCTGCAATGGGTTCAGTAGACAGAGTAGTAGCATGCACACACACATACATACAAACATAAAACATGTATATTTGCACAAATATTATATATATGTGTGTGTATGTATATGCTATATCCTGTCCCTTTCAGCTTCAAAATAATAAAGCTCTTTTTTAAAAATAATTTGGCTCTTTTTAAAAGGGTTAAACTCTTAATAAAATTACTGTTGCAACGGCATTTGCAATATTATTACGCTTCCAAACACCCAACTCTATTCCTACATTTGGGACATTTTTCTCTTGAGTGGCTAGCCCTACATTCCTTTGTGGAGACTGAATTTGTTCCATATTCGTGATTCCATCTTTCCTCTCGATTTTCCTCGCGATTCCTCTGCAGCTGGTATACGGATATGTACCCTAACTTCTACTAATGTGATGTTCCTGCCTGAGATTTAAGCGCTGCACATTAAAAGGAAGAAAACAGACTGGATCCATGTTGGTGAAGGTGGAACTAAGGTAAAGTTTGTGCATTCAATGTCTTCATCTCCAGACTAACCCTGTGGAATGACTTTATATTTATTTGTGACAGGGTGGATGTCATGTGTAATTGTCCAATCTCCTAAATATTCTGTCAGCTGTCTTCTACCATGTGACTTAGTCACTTCTATTCCTAAGTTAGCTTTTACTGGTTTTGACTGCTTACCCTAAGAAGCACAAATATTACCTAGAATTACACAGTCTCTCTCTGTTAACACTTATCACGTACCTACTCCCTGTTAGGCACTGCATGACTTCAGCAGACTAAACTTTCATTGAATATTCGTATTTACATAACATGACACAAATGAGATATAAACAGCTCTTTGTACAAAGACAAATATCATAAGAAAAGCATATCTAATAGGCAAAAGGAATAGGGATATAACTTTTTCTTTATTTTATGTGTGAATAGCGAGAAATCATACCTTAACTTGTTTTAATCCATTTGGGCAGCTATCACAGAATATCTTAAATTTGGTGGGTTATAAACATGAAATATTGATTTCTCACAGTTCTGGAGGCTGAGATGTCCAAGATAAAGACACTGGCAGATCCTGCGTCTGGCAAGAACCCATTTCATAAATGGGGCTCTCTTGATGTATCTTCACATGGTGGAAGGGGCAAGATCTCTCTAAGGATTGTTTTATAACGGCACTAATTTCATTTATGATGGTTTTAAGCCCATGATCTAAACACAACCCAAAGGATCTACTTCCTAATACTATTGACTTAGGGGTTAGAATTTTAACATATGAATTTATGCATTTTAGGAGGGCAGATACATCCAGACCATAGCACGTGTCTTATACAATCCAGTAAATACCCCCACTTTAAAATTTTTTTTGGATTCTCCATTCTTTCCTTTCTTTGATATGCACTTTAGTATATTGATTATATCACTCACTGAATGATTACCATTGATTTCCTATACAAAGTGTCATCTATTTATTTACTTGTCATGAATACTAAACTAAATAATAAAACTTGCAATGTTGGAGACCATTTTTTAAACAACTTTATTATAAAAAACTTCATAAAACAAAGACATGCTAAGAGTGATGAAGGATTGTGTTAGTGATTATTGGAAGCATTAGCTTTACTGATGGATTTTTCAAAACAATTAATTGCCATGAATATTCAAAATATTAAAGATGTATATATTTAGTGATACAGCAATACTATGGAGTTATGCCATAGTGTATATCACACATGTATCAAAAATATCTGTATTGGCCAGGTGCAGTGGCTCACGCCTGTAATCCCAGCATTTGGGGAAGCCAAATTGGGCAGATCACCTGAGGTCAGGAGTTCCAGACCAACCTGGCCAGTAGAGTGAAACCCCGTCTCTACTAAAAATACAAAAAATTAGCTGGGTGTAGTGCCACATGCCTGTAATCCCAGCTACTTGGGGGGCTGAGGCAGAAGAATAGCTTGAACCTAGGAGGCAGAGGTTGCAGTGAGCCGAGGTCATGCCACTGCACTCTAGCCTGGGTGACAGAGCAAGACTCTGTTAAAAAAAAAAAAAGTATCTGTATTATTTGTCAGTAGTTTTCATTGACTTCCCAGGCCTTTTCATACAGAAAAAAAGTATTTTGAAAGGCAGCTCTTCTTACTACTATACTACCAATGCCAGTAGAAAAGAGTATTTTTGACATTGAAGAGCCTATCTTTTCAGTGATTGTGGTGGTTGACCCCCTAGTACACACTGCACCTGAAATAAAAAGTCTAACTGGTAATGTAATCCAATCCCCCTATTTTATAAATTACCCAGGCTAGGGGATTCTGTTATAGCAGCACAAAACGGATGCCAAACTGAGGATAAAGCAATATACAAAAAGCTATAAATAGAAAGGAAAAATAAAAAACGAGTTGAAGTCCTGACATACCAAGCTTGACACTTACCAAACTCTGAACCTCTTGTTACATGAAATAATACACTGTTTAAACCATTTTAATTCAAGGTGCAATGTTACTTGGCAGCCAAAGTCTTCCTAACTTATATAAACCCAATGCAAATTATATTGCATTGAGATATTAAATTTTAATAGTTTGAGCTTGGATTTTAGAATAACTTGGTTTATTATGTAATCTTCAATATATGATCTATTTTCCTCATGTATGAATGGGAAATAATTACAGGCCTTAATTTATGGGGTTTTTATAAGGATTACACAGGGAAGTTTATGCATAATATACATTTTATTTGTTTTATGTTTGACTATTCCCAATATATTTATTAATCCCTAGCGTTTTATTAATTTCATTGATGTTTTGTAAGGACTAATTTGGGGTTTTGTTGATTTTTCTCTATGTTTTTCAAGCTCATTGGTATATGTTCCAAATGCATTAGTTCTTTTCTTTGGCTTGTTTTGGCTTAAATTACTCTTCTTTCTCTAGTTTCCTAAAACAGAAGCTTAGATTACTAATTTGAGAACTTTCTTCTTTTCTGGTCTATGCATATAATGCTATAACTTTTGCTCTAAGCACTGTTTTTGCTGCATACTCCAAGTTTGATAAGTCCTATTTTTGAGAGTTATACTTTGACCCATGTGTTTTTTAAAATTATGCTTTTAATTTCCAAATATTAAGGATTTTCTCATTACCTGTGATTAATTTCTATTTTAATTCCATTATAGTCTAAGCTACCTTATATGGTTTCAAATTTTTAAAATACATGAAAGTGTGCTTAATGCCCCCAAACATGATCTATCTTGGTAAATATTCTATGTGAGCTGGAGAGGAATGTATTCTGTTCCTAGATAGATTATTTTATAAAAGTTAATTAGATCAATCTGATTATTATTGCTGCTCAGGTCATCTGTATTCATATTGATTTTCTACCTACTTGATCTATCTGTTACTGACAGAGAGATGTTGTAGCCTCCAACTATGATGATGGATTTGTTTATTTTTCTCTTTTATTCGATTATTTTTTGCCTCGTGCTGTTTGATTTTTTTTGGTAGGTCACATATGTTAGGAATATTATATTTCTTTGAGAATCTACCCCTTTATCATTATGTGGTACTTTTCATTTTCTCTGTTAATCTCCCTTGATCTAAAATCTGCTTTTCCTGAAATTAGCAGAGCTACTCCAACTTTCTTTTTGATTAGTTAGCATAGTTTATCTTTTGTAGTGTTAGCATGATAGATCTTTCTCCATCTCTTCTAACCTGAGTTTTTATATTTACACTATATTTCCTGCAGAAAACACGTAGTTTGGTGTTTTTGTTTTGTTTTTAAATCGATTTTTACAATTACTATTTGTTATTTAGATCATTCACATTTAAAGTAATTATTGATATAAATGAATTAATAGCTATCCTCTTTGCAACTATTTTCCATTCATTGGGTTTTATTCCATTTTATTTCCCTCCTCTTTTTCTTCCCTCTCTAGTTTTAATTGAACATTTTATATAATTCTGTCTCTAAATTTAGCATTATCATTGTACATTGTTTAAAAAGTTTTACTGGATGCCCTATAGTTGATAATATGCATTTTTTACTACCTAGATCTACCCTGAAGTAACACTATACTGCTTCCCATGTAGGGTAGATACGAATTCTTCCTTTCTGTCCCTTGTAACATTGCTTTCATTCATTTCACTTTTTCTACATGCCAATACAGTACTACCATTATTGCTTTAAACAGTCATCTCTTTGATCAATTAAGATTAAAAAAATAAAATATTTCATTTTACCTTCACTTCTTTTCCAATGGTCTTTATTTTTCTTTGTATAGATCCATATTTCTGACCTATACAATTTTTTGCTACTACCTGAAAAACTTCCTTTAACATTTTGTGAGGCAAGTCTACTGGGAATAATTTTGTTTTTGAGTTTTTGTCCAAGAACAACTTTATGTTTTCTTAACTTTTAAAAAATTATTTTATTGGATACAGAATTCTAGGTTGGTGGGTTTTTATTTTCTATTTCTGGTGGTATTCCTATGTATTTATTACACCTTTTGTAAGTGTTCAACCGTTCTTATACATTATGTTCTGTTATTTTTATTCTTTCTTCTTTTTGCATTTCTGTCTGGGGAATTTCTACTGATATATCTTCAAGCTTACTGAATCTTCTCCTAGTTGTGTCCATTGTAACAATGAGCCTATAAAAGGACATCCTTCATTTGTTACGTTGCTTAATTTCTAGCATTTTCTTTTGTCTATTTCTTATAATTTTCATGTTTTTAATATTTACATTTTCCACCTGCTTTTGCATGTTGTCTACATTTTCCACTGGAGTCCTTGACATTATTAGTCACAGCCATTTAATTTATTTTGTGTAGATTTTGATTTTTATATTATTTTATTGTGTAGTAATTAATTTTACTATGTTTTACAAAATTATTGGTCTATAGCAGATTAAAAATTTAAATAAAAGGCTGGCTCTTTAGCATAGGTAGTTTAGTGTCACTGGACTAAAATCATAGTCATTTTAAAATTCTTATCTGATGATTCCAACATGTGTGTCATATCTGAGGCTGGTTCTGATTCTTGCTTTGTCTCTTCAGGCTGTGTTTTTTTTGCCTTTTGAAATGTCTTATAATTTGTAATTTTGTTGCTGTTGAAAACTAGACATTATGTGTCAGGTAACAGGAGATGAGGTAAAAAGACATTAAGTGTGAGGTTTCATCTTAATCTAGTGAGAAATTAAACTGTCTTTAATGTTTGCTGGGCTGTTGGTGCCACGGGCTACAAATTCCTCTAGCACACTTGTTTTGTCTCCCCTGTTGTCTTGGGCCTTCCCTAAGAACTCCTCCTTAGATAGAATTTATGTCATGCAGCCCTTTTAGCTATAATCAGCAGTTACTACTGGAGCCTTTTTGATGTGCTGGAAAAGTATGGGGTAGGGAAAATATTTAGTAATTTTATGATTAAATCCCATTCTTATTATTTTCATCTTTTTCTACTTACATTATTCACCTCCTCTGACTTTCACAAGAGTGTCTACAGAAGTATAAATTTACCTCCAATCTGCGTGCTCCCTTCCCTGGCTGACAGGTCTCAAAGCTGTATCCTTGAAACTCTGGCTTCTGTTGACTATCCATTTCCTCCCTTAGATGAGACAGGAAGTCTAGGTGGGGCTGAAATGGAAATGGAAGAAATGCCCTTCCCTCAACTGGGATAAAGCTCTGGTAAACTATTTTCCCCTGGCGGGCAGACCTTTGTTATGTGGAAGACTCTGGATATATGTAACAATTACTATTTTTTTCTTCCTCAGCCCTGCTTGAGTCATGAAGGGTTTGTTCTTAAATCTTCACCATGAGAACCTGGTGAGGTTTCTGGTGGTAAAGCCCATGAAAGTGTGCAGTCTGTCTAACATTATGATCTCAGGAGTTTTTAATTGAACTTTAGCCTTCAGCAATTTGTTAAAATTATCATTAAGAGTTTCACCAGTTTATGGCTTCAACTTCAGTTCAGTTAAGCAGATCTCAGCTTTGACTTTCAGGATGCATCCAGTCAAAATCTGGAGAAATAGGTATCTCTCCAAATTTTCTGCTGGCTCTTTGCCTTGCAACCTCAATTCTCTTATGGATCCATAAAAATATTTAACTTTCAGTATCTCCAGCTTTTTCTTGTAAGGAGGGCAAAACTGATGACTTCCAACTTTTTCCATGTTGAAACTGAAAACTAAAATCTCAGGTATTTTCATGTTGATATTTCCTGGAGGATGTGGGGAAACATAGTTAACATCACAGAAAGACATCCCACAAATTTGGGAGGACTCAGTCAAGAATATGAGTAGTGATCTACAATGTGCTGTGGAGTTTATCAGAGACTTCATCTGATAACTATAACTAGAAGACTTTAATGAATACCAAATATCAAATCTGGCTTTTTCTATTGTATTCATTGGGTCTTCTGAATCAAGGTTCAGAGCAAAAGTCTATTTGTTTGTTTGTTTTCCCAGAAGGTGTCTCCTGAAAAAGCATTACCTGAGCAATAAAATTATATTTTAGTTTGTTTTACATAGGTGAGGACCTGTGCTATTGTGTTTGAGTCATAGAAGAATGAGGCCTCTAGAACTATCTTGGACAACTCTTATTTTATAGATGGGAAGATTAAAGTTCATTGAAGGGTAGAGACATGTCTAAAGTCACGTAGCTAGATATCAGCAGAAGTATAACTAGAGACCTGAGTTCTGCTAATCATCATTGTCAAAATAATAGTTTTCAAAAATTAACAGACTTGCAGTCCATAAAAATAATTTCCAATATCAAATGAAGCAAATTATATTTCTCACTTGGCAAATCCAGAAACATGTTCATATAGTAAAATTTCTGAGAAGCTTGATATTTAATTGTCCTAAGAGTCATTTTTATTAATTCTGTTTTTATTTTTTTGTCATAATGTTACTGGAAAGGGGTCCTGATTCAGACCCCAAGAGAGGGTTATTGGACCTCATGCAAGAAAGAATTCTGAGCAAGTCTGTAAAGTGAAAGCAAGTTTATTAAGAAAGTAAAGGAATAAAGAAAGGCTACTGCCCTGAGGGCTGCCGGTTGGCTATTTTTATGGTTATTTCTTGATTATATGCCAAACAAGAGGTGGATTATTCATGAGTTTTCCCAGAAAGAGGTGAACAATTCAAGAAACTGAGGGCTCCTCCCACTTTTAGACCATATGGGGTAACTTCCTGACATTGCCATGGCATTTGTAAACTGTCATGGCACTGGTGTGTCTTTTAGCATGCTAATATATTATAATTGGTGTACAATGAGCAGTGAGAACAACCGGAGGTCACTTTCTTTCCCAACTTGGTTTTGATGGGATTTGGCCGGCTTCTTTACCTTATGCTGTTTTATCGGCAAGGTCTTTATAATCTGTATCTTGTGCCCACCTCCTATCTCATCCTTTGACTAAGAATGCCTTAACGGGCTTGGGGTGTTGGCTCATGCCTGTAATCCTAGCACTTTGGGAGGCTGAGGCGGGTGGATCACAAGGTCAGGAGTTTGAGACCAGCCTGGCCAATATGGTGAAACCCCGCCTCTACCAAAAATACGAAAAAAATTAGCGGGGCGTGGTGGTGGGCGCCTGTAGTCCCAACTACTCGGGAGGCTGAGGCAGGAGAACGGCCTGAACCCAGGAGACGGAGCTTGCAGTGAGCCGAGATCGTGCCACTGCACTCCAAGCCTGTTCGACGGAGCGAGACTCCATCCTGGGAATGCAGCCCAGTATGACTCCGCCTTATTTTACTCAGACCCTATTCAAGATGGAGCCACTCTGGTTCAAACGCCTCTGACAATAACTACTATCGGCATCTTAGAAACTGTTGTTTCATGAAACTGATTTGAGAAATACCTCTCTTACTCCCTCCTACCTTCGCTCTCTGTGCCCCTCCCTCTCTTCTTCACTTTTTCCCTTATTTGTGTTTATCTCCTAGGTTATATACTTCTCATTGTTAGAAATCATGGATGCTATTCTTTTTTCTCTTCCTACACTGTCCACCCTCAATTTCCACTTGTGATCATTGCCTAAAACATGCAGAACACAAAGCACTTGGCAAAAATTTAAACATAATTGATTGACATTTGGATCAAGTTCAACGTTGTCTTTTCAAACCTCTGGGGTCTCTGTGCAGCGTTTTGCATCACTGCAGTTTTCTTTCTTTTTCCTTTTTTTCTACTTGTTATTTTTACAGTTTCCTCCTGTAAAAATAACAGGAGGTTATTTCTTCCTTCTTTTTCATTTTGTAGATAATCGGGCTCGACCCTTTATTTTATATGTCTTGTAGCTCACTTTCTTGCCTGAAAGCTGGAGAGCACATGAGGTTTGGGTCTAGTTTCTGAAAATCCGGCTACTGATGAGGAAGCAATTCTTGACAGCAGTGTGCAGCTTTCTGTCATTTTCTCTGACAACTTTGCCCACACTCAAGTGTCCTTTAGCAAAATGACTGGAATAAGTGGTGCATTTTCCGGGACACTTTCTTCCATCTTGTGCATCAGCAGAAAATCACAGCAGTGGTCTCAATGGACAATGGTAAAAACAAGACAGAAACTGCTATTATAAATGTGAAAAGTCAATTTGAATGTCAGCAGCTGAGGTAGGGGAGGCAAGCTGAAAGGAACTGTAGTCTGAGAAAATGAAGAAACTCTACTGCATCTTGCTCAAGCTTAAAGCCTTACACTCAAGCCACATTTGAGCATATTACAACAAGTGATTTGCATTGTACTTGGTCCCAGGGTTGCTTGTTTTCCCATAGGGAAATTATACTTGTGGTTGGGAGTATACAGTGCCCCAAAACACAAAGTTCATCATAGACAGAGTTAGTTACTGAAGTTACCTTGGGAAGTGTCATTTTCTCTTAGAAATCATTTGCTCTTGAATCTAAAGGCATGAGCCTGATACTTACGGAAAACTTGAATGTGATTGATTTTGAACAATTTGGCATTTGGGAAAATCTCTTTCTCTATAGCTATTCTCCAAAAATCGGCATGATTTTTTAAAGGGTTTTATGGAAATATCCAATTATTGACATATTAATAAGGGTTATTTGAATAAAGGGGGCAGCATTTAAGTAACTTAGGGCTTTTCAGAGCTTAAATATGCAAATGAGCATTAGAAATTTTTAAGACAGAACTATAGTATATAGTATATATAGAAACAAAGTATTTGATCATGGAGTTCTTATTTTTTAAATTTAATTTAATTTTACAAAGGAATACACACATTGTTAAATTCAAACAATGTAGCATAATACAGAGTAAAAAGTAAAATTCTTTCTAATTTACTCAGTTCCTGTAAACCAATTCTTCTTCCCAGAAATAACCTCAGTGAAAAATTTCGTGTGTTTCTTTCCAAGTTTTGCTTCTTTGCTAGATACTGACAAATTGCCCTCAAAAGAGATTTTTGCCAATTATTCTCCCACTGGTAGTATAACAAGATATTTGTTTCCCTATGTCATGCCATGCCAGATAGCATCAATTACTTACATTTTTCGGCAATCTCAAGGGTAAAAAAATCTATTTCAAAAGGCAACCTCTAACATTTATTTTATTATTGTTTATAATAAATCATTATGGAGAACCTAAATATCTATCAATAAAGAAATAACTAATTACATTATAGATGCATTTATGCTTTGTAGTGGTTTGAGAAACATAAAAGATGTACATGTGATAATAGAAAATGACTACTATAAAAAGACCTCTATGACCTACCATAAAAGGAAAAAAATTTTTTCCCTTAGAAAAATAAGAACAGCTACCATTACCCCAAATCCAGAAATCTCAGTGATATGCACATATATATATATATATATATGCATATTTATTCATAGATAAAAGTCCAGAGTCATAAATCCCATACTTGGAAAAGTAGTTATCTTTGGGGAAGAAATGTAGAATTTACAATTTTGAATGACCATTTTTTTCTGTAAGTGAAATAATATAAAATTATTAATATATTTAACTGCTATTCTATTTTTTTTATTTCTCAATTATCAATGAAGTTGATGCCTTACCATTTCTTATTCTGTGATTAGCCTTTATATGCAGTGCTCCTTTTCCCACTGGGCTTTTTTTTCTCTAAGGTTTTTGTCCTTGGTCTTAGGAATGTTCAAGTTTTTTTTTCTTCTATTTTATATATTTGCCTTTAACTTTGTTTATGTGTATTTTACTATACAAATGTTTAAATTTTAAGTGTAGTAATATTTTTACTTTTTTTTTTTTTTTTTTCCTGCAGATGGAGTTTCGCTCTTGTTGCCCAGGCTGGAGTGCAATGGTGCGATCTCGGGTCACTGTAACCTCCACCTCCCGAGTTCAAGCAATTCTCCTGCCTCAGCCTCCCAAGTAGCTGGAATTACAGGCATGTGCCACCATGGCTGGCTAAGTTTTTTGTATTTAGTAGAGATGCGGTTTCACCATTTTAGTCAGGCTGGTCGCAAACTCCTGACCTCAGGTGATCCACCCCCATCGGCCTCCCAAAGTGCTGGGATTACAGGCGTGCACCACCGTGTCCAGCCTATTTTTACTTTTTATGGCTTCTGATTTCGTGTTTTAGAAAAACCTTTGTTTTGCAAGATTATAAAAAAATTCTAATTTTTTATTCTCATAACTTTAGAGTTTTAAATATATACACATTCATAATCTACTTGGGATGGCTCTTATGTCAATGTGAGAAAACAATCTAATTTAATTTTGACCTCTTTCCCTCCTTCATGTATCCAAATGAATAAAACCCCTTTTCCCCCACAGAGTGCATGAAGCACTATTATTACTACAGCAGTTTGGGAAATACTCTCCAAGCCTCCAGTAATTCATATTTGGGGCTCTGATCCATGAATATTCTTCATAAATGGCCATGTATCCATGAAAATAGTTCAGGTTTTTCATTCAGTTTTCTACAAATGTCTATTAAAACTCTGGGAAACATACATTTTAAAAACCAAAATCCATGGTTCAAACATACAATTATTCTATAACTGTCTCCACAAACTTGCCTCCCAGTGAAGACTATGGAAACTCCTCTTCCCCACCTAAATAGCCTTTAAATCTTGAGAGGTTTCTTTTCATTTAAGTTCACTTAAACAGAAACTTATTTAATCTCCACAGAAGTATTAATACTTTAAGTCAGGGTTTATTATACATTAAATAACTGAATAGAAGAAGGCTTTCATGTTCCCAGCAATAATTAGCAGAGTCAGTCTTTAACCACAAGCTATCTACCTGCTCCCCCATCTCTCTACCTGTCTGTGCTTATTTCACTGACCACACAGCTTGCATATCTGTAAAAATGTAGGTTCTTTGTGTTGATTGGTTCTGTGATTCTTAACTTTTGTCCAAGGTGAATGCAAATACTTTCAATCAATGTAATCAATGTTTACAGTCCATATTAACTAGTTTGGATTAGCAAGAATGATCATATATAACAATTGGAAATAAGAAACATTATATGTATGTATCATTTATATAGTCATAGATAAATATTCAGTTCCAACCACAGGTCCACAAGTTCCATGAAACTGCATATGTAAATTTCTTTCTGAATAACTTTTTAGTAACTGTAAAATTTTCCATTCCAGTATGCACAAAAATTGATTTATTTGAGTAGAGTTAGAGAAAAAGGAAACTAGTTGTGGTTAATAGGGAAGGAAGATAAAGCAAACGTCAAAAATAAAACTTTTACAAAAGCTTTGCCAAAGCTGAAGGAAGATGAGAAAAATAAATTTAGTTCTTAGACGAGTTCTCTGTGACTAGTTTTTGTGAGAAGAGAAATAATTGAACCAAATCAAAGGAAATAATAGAGGGAGCCTTGCAGGGCTGAAGTTAGGACTCACTGAGAACTTGAGGGACAAGAGTGAATTACTCTCCAGTCATAAAACAAAAAGCTGCTGAGGATAAGGCAAACAAACATGCCTCATATCTTCATCAGTAAGTGTTTATCTTCAATAAGTACAAAAAGTTATATGGACCTTTTTCAAATTGTAGGGAAATCATAAAAAGCTTCTAATGCATCAAGATATAATAGTTGGAAATGTATAGTACTCCACCCACTATTCTTTGTAAAAGATATTTAAAATTGTTGACCTTTTCTTACTTTATATATATTTTTATGTATTACTAAGCTGTTTTATTATTTTGCTGTTGGGAAGATTGATTTATTTACAAAGGTTTTCCGTAGGTTAACCATACATATTGTCTCTCTTAATCCTATTTTCCCCAGAAGACTTTAAATTCTTTAATGTCAAATTGTCTTGCCATGGTGGCTGTCAGAAATCTGACCCCTAGAGTTGGGGGGAGCCTCTTTCGAATCTAGTTCCAAGTGGTATCTTACGAGGGAATAGAGAAAAATGAGACTGGAAAAATAGGCTGGAGCAAGTCCATGTGCCAATTGTATCTTCTTACCCTTTAACATATAATTAGACCTGGCAGGCATATGGCAAATGCTTTTTCTGTGTACTTTATGCACACAATACTCAAAACCATTTCCAAATTTCTGGTCCCTCCTTTCTGGCCCACCAGTGGTCCGTGTTCTGTGAGTGTCCTGTGTAATTCTGACCCCTAGTGGCTGAGGAGGCTAGACCTAAGACACATTTCAATCAACATTTTTCGTAAGATGTCATGCACTAAACTGCTAACCTATTTAATTTTCTTTTTAATTTTTGCATCTAAATCTGACTTGAAGTCAGCTCCATCCCCCCACTGTTTCCTGATTCAGTGTACCTCTTAATCTATCTATCATGCAATAGACAACCATGAAATCCAAAGCTGCTTTTATTCCTGGTTGATAGGAATGGGATGTAAGGTTTAATGAGAGGGAGAATGGTATAGGTCTTATACCCAATCAAAAGGTCATCCTCCTTTATAGGAGACTGAAAATAAAAACTACACTATGAAACCAAAAGTCCAACTTGTGTCAGATATATTTCCCAAGATTTTCCAATTTGAGCTCAGGGAAAACTATTATTTTCACTGGATCAATTCATGGTAATTACACTTTGTATCTAGAAACCTTCTGTCAAAATCCAAATATTTCACAGGGTTGCATTAATATCTAATACCAAGTAAGTACCTAATAACACTAATAACACCTTAAGATAGTTGATGGAGTAGATTAAAATGATTAAGCCAGAGACTGGAAAAAAATGCACATAGACTGGGTCATTTTGAAAGCAGGATACTGACAATGGTATAATCTGGACTATGAAGTAAAATAGCATGCCTAACACTAAGATGTCATTGTGGATGGTAACTGTATGTTCACACACAGAAAAATGTGTATTGCCTTCCATCTTTACAGGCTTTTGTGGTGAGGAAAGCAGGGATTGTCACCCCATTTTGCGGTTACATAAAATAAGGCACAGATAGGCTATTCATCTTATCTAAAGTTACAGTGCTAGTTTATGGAAGAGTTTAAAATTAAGTGCATGTTTTTTTATCATAAAAGGAACTTTTTTTTTTTATTCACACTAGACATATGGGAGGACCACTTCTGCGAGGTCCTTTGGTAAGTCACCTTATTCTAAGAGGACATACGGCAGTTGAGAGAGTAGGAAAAGGGGCAGAAGACAGAACAGTAAAATGAGGAAGCATGACATGAATTTAATTATGTCATCATTTTTCTAATAGAGAGCCAACTAGATCACACAGAACTAAAAAGCAAATGTGGCATTTTCTGGGAGAACTGAGACTGTGAGTGTTACCAGTTAATAAAATAGGGTTCAGGAGTGGAATTTGAGTCTCTGGTTGGACTTTATCATTATCAATATATTTTTGAGTCCTTCATTATTTTAGGCACTGTGATAGATAATAAAATTATGATAAAATTGATAATAATATTTTATTGAGCACTTAGTATCTGTTTCAAATAATTTATGCCATGTAACCTCATGGTAAACCTGGGAGGTATGTATTATTATTAAATTCTTTAATGTCAAATTTTCCTGCCACAGACAATTTGGCATTAAAGAACTTAATTAAAGACATTAATTTACATTTTTACTTATGGAAAGTTAATCTTTAAGTTTCTTTCCATAAGTAAAAAGACTGAGGCTTGTAAATGTCAACTAAGTTGTCCAAAGTCTTAACCTTATACACAGCAATCACTCTAACCTCCATATCCCTTGGGCTTAACTGTAAAGACAAATGCATGAATAAGACAGGCAACTCCTGCCTCCTTCTAGGAGCTTTTAGGGCACACACATGAAGTACAAACTTGTCCAAGTACCCTTGCAAAATATTCAGAAATAAAGTAAATGCAAGATAAAAATAAAGACCCAGAGTAAAGTTAGCTTGAATTTCAATGTGTAATAAAATTAGACCATTAACAATCAAATTATATAAAAGGAGCTATTTCATGTCAAGTAAATCACTAAGTCAAATTATTTTTGGTTAGTTTTTTAAAGGAACGGGTGCAGAGAGACTATTTAAGAGTTTTTTTTTAAATCATCCATATGAGATATGTGGAGGATTTCCTTATCCTGTGACTTTCTCACTCAGATGTATGCTTGCATGGAAAAGTCACTGGGGCAGGAAATTATCTGCCTATGACTACTCTAGTGGGTGGGGCATGGAAAGAGATTTTCATCATGATCCCTTTATGTAAAAGGAGAAGGAGGAGCAATTGAGGACCATTTAAAGAAAAGAAGAAGGAAATTTTAAAAATAAAACAAGAAGAGAAGAATCTACTGTGATTATTTTTCATTAGTTTAAGTGACTGGATATGGGGACTATTAAACAAACAAACAAAATAGAATGTAAATTAATCAGCTATTTCTAACTCATGCTGATTGAATATTAAACTTTCACTCAGGGTTCTATCAAGGCTTCAGCATCTGAGAGTGAAATCATATAGGATTTTCTATCCTTGAGCAGGACACAGCACCAGTTTGACATCCTGGTCTTCATGAAAGTTCCTGGTTTCTTTATGCTTTTTAATTTGGCAATATTAACTGTTTTCTAAATTAGGTGTATCTTACCTCTAATAAGATTAGAGCGTTAGGAAACTCTTGGATGCCATTTACAGATTTATAATAATGTAACCCCTCAATGGAGTGGTTCCTAAGCAGTTCTGAAAGTCAAAGATGCAATCAAAATTAGATATTTAAATTAATTTAACATCTTGAACTTCATATTCATGATTCATGTTGAATATGTTTCTTAATTACTTGGAGCCTTCATCTCCTCATTTGTTAACTAGAATGAGTTGCTTCAGCAGGGTCTTTGTGAAGAATAAATGAAATACACATGTGAAAAATACATAGTGACCCAATACTAGTAAACTGGTGTCTATTATGTGTGCTTCCTTTCATCTACTTTGCAGGATCCTAAGCTATGAAGTACTGTTGGCCTCATGCTGAAAATCTGCTGACTGATACTGGTTATTTGTGTTTGTCTGTTTGTTGCTATTGCATACAGGCTTTTTTATAATTTTATTGACATCCACGTTGCTACTGGTTTTTCATTTCCCCACATTTCTTATTTGTGTATATGTCCATTCAGTCTTTCTTTTCTGTTTGATTAGCCACTTCTAATCTTCTGAAGGTCAGAGAAACAAGTCATAACCTTGTTAGAACTGCTTTTGAAATAATGAGTCCTAAACTTTAAAAGGAGGTTTGCGTGCATCTGTGGACTTTAGTGGGTGGGCTCTGGGGCACCTATTTTGGTCACCAATGATTTTAGCTAATTTTTTTTTTTTCTTTTGAGACAGAGTCTCGCTCTGCCACCCAGGCTGGAGTGTGGTGGCGTGATCTTGGCTCAATGCAAGCTCCATCTCCTGGGTTCACGCCATTCTCCTGCCTCGGCCTCCCGAGTATCTGGGACTGCAGGCGCCCGCCACCAGGCCCGGCTAATTTTTTATATTTTTAGTGGAGACGGGGTTTCACCATGTTAGCCAGGATGGTCTTGATCTCCTGACCTCGTGATCCGCCCACCTAGGCCTCCCAAAGTGCTGGGATTACAGGCGTGAGCCACCGCACCCGGCTAATGTTAGCTAATTTTTATCAGACTTCTTTCTTGTGCCATAGCTGTGCTAGAAAAGTTTTATTTTATTTTTTTACTTTTCTTTACACATTTCTAGAGGGCAGAAACTACGTCTTGTAAATCTTTGTTTCCCCAGTGCCAAGCAAAGTTGTTACATAAAAGGCATTTCATAAACATTCTCAAATACATAATGACTGAAAGTTTAAACTCTAGAATAGAAGACCTGTGCTGCTACTGGTAAGGCATCATGTCTAAAATGGTGTCATTATCATCCTAACTTCAAGTAGCTCTGTTGTGCTTCCCTATGTCCCACAGTTGTTCTTGTACTGACTCAGCAATAAAAAAAAGTTCAATAAAATAAAATGTTGTGTGAAAGCTATTTACATATTATATCAATCTCTTTTTCACTTGCTTTTTGCAGATATGCTGATATTGTCTATTCAGGTTTGGTGCTATCAACATAAAGGTGGAAACCCACTGGCTCATTAGGACAAATTTCTTTGTGATACTAGTGATCAGCAACATTAATAGACCTGAAGTCAGAAGCTGCAAAAAAAAATAGCCTGCTAATTTTGCAACCTGAGTAAAAGTACTCTTAAAATGTTGGAATAATCTTAGTAACTCCATGCCTACGACTTCTCTTATGTCAGAAATAAGGAGTACTGGGGAAATTCCAGATGAAGATGAGTATAAGGAAGTCTTTTCTTTCAAAGAGGAGCCTTTTCTAACTCTGTGATGAAGATCTTCAGGCTAGGAAATATCTCGTTTCAAATGTTTCAAATTTTCAACCACTGTACTCTGAATGTGATGAAAAATACAACCTTGAAATCTTTAACATGCAGGCAACAAAGATCAGAGGTTGTTAGATGGTATATTATCCTGTGGAATACATATGTGCTGGATGATTCCTATGCATTTATACAGGACTCTTCCTACATGACAAGAACTATTTCAAACTCTATGACATATGATACATTCCCTCTTTTAATAGATAATCTCTACAGATAAGACTAATACCAATGAAAGTTTGTCAGGCTTTATGACAAAGTATAACATAAATGCTACATTGTCAGAATAGACTGTCAAAGGTAATATAGGTTATACGTATTCTGCTGTGTCAAAAATAAATATCACTTCAAGTTATGAGGATAGTCTCAGGAAGCAATTAGGAAATTGGGATTTAAAGGCTGGAAGGGAAGTTAGAAATCAGTCAGATAAATGTTTTTCAAACGTTTTCTAATAAGTGAAATTAAAAAACAAACTCTTAAGCAGAAGGTTAATAAGCAACTGTTATAAGGTATAATTATTGTGGTTGAATTTAGGGGAGGGGGGACTATCCTCCGTGCCCCACATCCACCTCCTCCATCTGCCACAACTTTCTTAGTATATTTCTCTGGAGCCTCAGAGCCTTAGTCCAGTATGAAAATTCCTGAAAACAGAAGTTGGAAATGCATCAGTTACAACTAACATTAAATATGGCCAAAATCCAGAATAACATTTAAAGGGAAGTAATATTTTTCCCTTAAAAACAAGTCTGAAATATTACTGGAATTGATTCAGATATTCAATAGTTCCACCAGTAATGAAAAGTCTTATATTGTCGCAATTGGTAACATATTCGTATCTTTTTCTTGACCCACCATGGAAATACAGCTGCTGCAGCTCCAGATATAATAGTTTCTTTAAGACAAGAAAAAGGAGGCTCGGCACAGTGGCTCACACCTGTAATGCCAGCACTTTGGGGGCTGAGGCGGGCTGATCGCTTGAGATCAGGAGTTTAAGACCACCCTAGGTAACATGGCAAAGTTCCATCTCTACAAAAAACAAACAAACAAAAATCAGCTGGGCACAGTGGAACACACCTGTGGCCCCAGCTACTCGGGAGGGTGAGGTGGGAGGATCACTTGAGCCTGGGAGGAGGAGGTTGCAGTGAGCTGAGATCACACCACTGCACTCCAGCCTGTGTGACAGAGAGATACTCTCTCAAAAAAAAAAAAAAGAAAAAAAAAGTGCAGGGGAGTAACAGTGGCAATGCCAGACACAAGTGTCTTCTTTCCACAACAACAACATCAAAAACAAAAGCATATCAGAACATCCTTACATGTCACCTTCCACCCCTTTTGGCATAATTGTGTTAGATGGCCATCCCTATCTACAAAGGCAAATGGGGAAGAAGTTGTCTTACCTGATACTGCATATATTTATTTACCCCTGAACAAAAATGAGGCTCTATTTTCCAGGAAGAAGATGGGGCGGGGAGTGGTTAATCAACAAATCATGTCTGCCACTTTACATCTAGCCACAAACTTTCATACCATAACTAGCAACACTTCTGTCCTTGGGTTTGGTTAACATCAATAAGTAAATTGATAGTGGGGCTTAGGCCTAGATTCTCAAACTAGATCTGATGAATAAATCAAATGTGGAAAAGTGGCAAGACAAGGAGAAAATATTTCAAATGGAAGAATAATAGTTCAAACATATGAAACTAGACATGTTTCATTCATATCTAATAGGTGTTGCTCTGTTGCCCAGGCTGGAGTGCAGTGGCACAATCTCAGCTCACTGCAACCTCCACTTCCCAGGCTCAAGCCATCCTCCCACCTCAACCTCCCAAGTAGCTGGGACTACAGGTGCGTGCCACCATGCTCGGGTAATTTTTAAATCTTTTTGTAGAAATGGGGTCTTATTATATTGCCCAGGCTGGTCTCAAACTCCTGGGCTTAATCAGTCCTCTTACCTAAGCCTCCCAAAGTGCTGGAATTACAGGTGTGAGCCACTGGGCAGCGCCTACCTTGATTTTCAAACCTCATTTGAAAATCATTCTTCTGTTCTGCATTCCATTCATATTTGAATATAATTCTTCAATATTTTCTAGTTGTAATTGTTTTACTATATGAAAATCCTTTTCACTTCACTTCTAATAACTTTACTTGGCTAAAAGATTTCTCCTTTTCATTGTGACTGTATTATTTGTTTGAATACAAAAGTTAAACACATTAGGGGATTCTTCATCAATTTCTGACTTTTATAAACTCAAATTCCAGCTCTGTGTTTTACTGGGTATACAAATCTGGGTGAGTTACTACCTTTGTGACTCATTTTCATCATCTGTGAAATGAGAGTAATCATAGTGCCTCCCTCATAGGGTTATACTTGAGTGACCACAGGTATTCCCCTCAGAACAGTGCCAGACACACACTATGCACTCGCCAAGGGCTGGCTATTTTATTAGCCGGCTTGAGCTGCCATAACAAGATACCATAAAAACAGGTGGCTTAAATAACCCAAATAAATTTTCTCATAGTGCTGGAGGCTGGAAGTCCAAGATCAGGATGTAAGCATGATCAGGCTCTGGTGAGGGCTCTTTTCTTGGCTTGCAGACAATGCCTTCTTGCTATGTCCTCACATGGCCTCTTTTTCATGCATACACTCAGGGAGAGATGCTCTTTCTTTCTCTTCTTATAATACCACGAAAACTGATGCCATTATAAGGGCTCCACTCTCATTATCTAATCTACCACTAATTGAATCCCACAGGCCACATCTCCAAATATCACAATATTGGGGGTTAGGGTCTCAACATATGAATTTGGGGAAGATACAAACACCCACTCCATAGTGTTGGGGACTATTATTACTGGATGGTGAGCTTCCAGTGTGCTGGAACTCTCTTTCCTTACATATTTTGACAAAATGTGTCACTGTTGACATAAAACTTTCCATAGGCAAACTCTGAAATTAGAGTAATTTACCTTTCATATGATAATATCTGATTCTTATGCCTCTTCTCTCATTCAATTAGCCCTTTTATTCACTTTATTTTCCCTTAGATGAAAAAATCTGTCTGATGAGCTAATTATTACTAAAATTTTACTGACTTACTATTTCATTCCATTCATATTTCAATAGAAGTCACAGGAAGTAGAATATGCTTAGAAAAAATAAATTACCAGTAGTAGAATTTAAGGCAACAGAAAAATGCTAGACAAAAGTAGCTTTCCCATTTTTTCCTAGTTACTATTACTGAGATAATTATGTACTAACTGCATATGTAAGTGCCATTTTCGGCATCTCTTTAAATACTCAAAAACCACCTATCATAAAAAACGAAAGAGGAGAAAACAGAACTAAGTAACTACATAAAACAGTCTGGTTTGGTAAACACTTATAAGCCTAGTATTTCTAATCTTAAACAAAAATTGTTAATGTTTTTCAAGAATTGGCATTCCTGCTTATTAGAACTATGAAAATCAACATTATGTAATTTATCTTAAAGGTCATACCCTTCAAAACTCCTCGTTTCCTTGACTTAGCCACAATTCACCAGGGCTTTACTCAGGTGGAAGAGGTCAAGGCAAGGGTACCAGGAGCCTTCAGGCATCCCTTGAACAATGATGTATTCTGGCAAGGAAGATCTGATTTTGTTTCTCAATAAAAATTAAGCTATAGACATGAAAATTCTTGGCAGAGTCTACCAATATCGTCTTCATAATGTTTCAATTTGATTTAGCTGGACAACGTTTCCCAGAACTCATTTTTCTACATGTCACCGATTAGAGTCGGCCACCAAAGAAAGTTGTGCAAGCTGAGCAGAAGAGTCTACTTTTGGGACTGTCGATCTGGCCCTGTTCTAGTGCCCACATGCTTTAGCAGCTCTGTCGCTCACCTTGCTGGTTAGGGCAGCAGCAGGGGACATTGCCTCCTGGAACTCCATAGGAGTTCTTCCCTCAGCTTCTTCACATTCTAGGCCAGGTGTGAGTGTGGCTGTACCACAGAGGTGCCAGCTTTTCCTGCAGCCTCCCATAGCAGTAAAGTTAGAAACTTGGGCATGAGGAGATACCAACATGGGTTTTGGTAAGAAATAGACCTGGGTCTAAGCTTTCCCTGATTTCTCCTATTTCATGTTCATCTTTTCTTAGCAACTGCCTTTTCTGTGACTTCAGGCTCTGGTCCAGATGTAGAAGTAGGAGAAACAGCTGAGCCAATGCTGGCAAACCAGCTCTAATAATTACATGAGGTCAAATCCCTATAATAAATCCCTTATTCTAATGATTTCTGGTATTTTATTTCTCAGGTTGAATCAGTATGAATATATGACAAAGTGATAAAAATTTTAACGTTTTCTCTTATCATTCCAACCTTTTAAAATGTGCCTTTATTCTGCATTCACGTCTCATCTAAAATTTTAGTGACAGTATATGTATGTATATATACCTATATAGAGAGAGAGAGAGAGAAAGAGAGAGACAGAGTCTTGCTCTGTCACCCAGGCTGGAGTGCAGTGGTGCGATCTCTAGTGCCAGTATATTTTTTTAAATGCTCATGTTTTGTGATTGTGCAACCATTTTCATCTTATAATAACTCTTCCATCTTTCTTCATGTCTTCCACTTCAGCGGTTATTTATTTATTTATTTATTTATTTATTTATTTATTTATGAGACATAGTCTCTCTCTGTTGCTCAGGCTGGAGTGCAGTGGTGCAATCTCTGCTCAGGGCAACCCCTACCTCATGGGTTTAAGCGATTCTTGTGCCTCAGCCTCCTGAGTAGCTGGGATTACAGGCACGTACCACCATGCTTGGCTAATTTTTATATTTTTAGCAGAGACACGGTTTCTCCATGTTGGCCAGGCTGGTCTCAAACTTCTTACCTCAAGTGATCTGCCTGCCTCGGCCTCCCAAAGTGCTAGGATTACAGATGTGAGCCACCATGCCAGGCCTTGATATTTACTTTAGAAATGGTAATGTGAATTCCCTGCTCCTCTGGTCCCAGACCCTTAAAGAGTTTCAATGAAGAAAACTTTAGTCAATTGTACTCTCTGAAGGAAGGGGTAGAGATTCACAGAAGTAAAAGCAGATTTGGCATAGTACTGAGATGTTCCTGTCATGTGAAGGATCATGTCCACCCTCTAGTTTCTGAGTACTATGAGGACATAAGGCGACTACTGAAGATCATGGACTAACTTATTCTGAGGACTTTATTACACATTAGTTAGAGATTTATGAAAGTTCTCTTTGATTACAGACAGGTGTTCAAATCCAAGTAGACAGAGAAAAGGAAGAGAGTCAAACTGTAAAGGCTAGAGCTATCCAAAGTCTGGGCTTTGGATGTCCAGCACTGCAGCACTGGGAGGGAAAATGATGAATTCTAGAGAAATGCGACTACAGTGTTGTTTTGTAAGGTTTCTGTGGCTTAATGTGCCAATTGGGGTGAGTGTTGGGAGGAAATAGGAAGTACGAGGTAGGGTTAGGATATTGAGAAAATGTTAAGGCACAGACAGGAAATCTTAACCATCAATTTACACTTCAAAATTTCCACTGTGATTTAAATAAAGGCCATGTAAAGTTCCTATCTATATTTGTGAACAGTGTTTTTCTCTCCTTTCAAAGATGCCAAAAGAGAGAGTCTATACTACATAGTTTACTTAGAAAATCTTCCACTATTCCTTCTGCCATCATTATGATATAACCATCTCTATGGATATATCTGATTGCATTTCATTTTCTTGTGATATGGCAGCATATAGTAGCATATTTTTTTTCAATAGTGTTGGATCGATAGACTTAGCAAGCCAAAATTACTTCTGCATTGTGATCAAGACTATGGAGGGAATATCCAAGCAATGTTGTGTGTGTGTAAATGTATGTATGTATCTACATATGTATTCTCTGACTCCAGTATTGCTACAGTCTCATTCTCTGGCATTGACCCAAAGGAGGTTGTGGCCAAAGTCAACCAAAGGTTCCCCACAAATTTACCCACATATCCTTCGCTATATTTTCTAACCCTTGTACCCCTACCTGAATCAACTAATTTCCTTCTAGGCATGTGTCTTCCTCTACCGGTGCAATTTACAAGGATTTGAAGACTCACTCTTTTCCAAAAATATTTAGGGATTATAGTCCTAGAGACTAACATTCGTCTTGACTTTTATTTCTCCTTCATTCTTCTTTAGCCACAAAACATGTTTCTAAATATCGCTCAAATTTATCCACTTTTATCAATTTCCTTGCTATCCTCATGGAATAAATGATCATTCTCTCTCAAGTCTTAGCACTTCTTACTGGATCCTAATCGTCACTCTCTAGTCTGTTACTCACATGGTAATTAAGAATGATATTTTAAAGGAAATATAAGAAATTATGATTATGTCATTGCCTTGTTTAAAGTTCTTCGATGCCTTTTATCACTGTAAGAATAAATATTTAGAACACATGCAGAATATGTCTGCTGTCCACTTTAGAGAGTCAGTTCTAGCTCTTTATTCCTTGCTTTATTGTTTCTGCCACATTGACATTCTTTCAATTCTTGGAGTATGTCTATGTTTTTCTGTATCTTAGAGTCTGTGCAATGCTATTTCCTTTGAGTGTCACACTCCTTATTTTGGTATACATCTTTCACAGCTCATTTCCAACTCTAATTCTTCAAGCAAATATTCCCATGCTTGGTTCTTGACTCTATATTATATACTTTTATTGCACCTATATTACTTTTTATTACAGAGCAACCGTAAAATAATTAGGTAATGATTTCTGGTTGTAACATTTGTTACTTCCCAGAATGTAAATACCTTTAGGCAGATTATATTTGTCCTTTTAATGATGTATTCCCAAGGAATGGTGCATTGGATTATATTTTGAGAACATTCAATATATATATTTCAAATAAATAAATGGATGGTGGGGCTAGGATAAAATTCAAAAAATCCTTAGAAAGACTAAATTTACAGGATTAGGGGTTACACGTTCTGTAACGAAGACAAAGGTATCTCTTCCTTTGTCTGGGACCTCTCTCTCTCACTCCCTTTCTATTCTTGGGTGCTGTAGTACATCTGAAACAGTTGATGATTAAATAACCAAGAGTTTACAGAAATAAAGAAAAAAATTATGATTTCAGAATTATAAATAAGTCCTTGCTTTAGTTCAGCTATTTAGAAGTAGGTGTTCCCCAGATCTCATACATTAAAAATCGAGCTAACCTCTATGGCAAAACTGCCCTTCATTAGTCTATTTAAACATTAGAGACAGGAACATTTCATTAGTACTTGGAAGATGGCTAAAGTTCAGGCTATTTTTTTTTTCTTTTTTTTTTTTTTTAAAGTGACAGCAAGTTAATTAAGAAAGTAAAGAAATAAAAGAATGGCTACTCCATAAACAGAGCAGCCTACTTACCTACTATTATAAGATGATGTTTTATGGAATAGCTTCATTTAATATATATTCCACTGAGGCACAGAGAGTAGGGGAAACTAGTTTTACAGTCCAAATCTAGCAAGCATATTTGTATTCATTGCAGTGGGCATTGAAGCCTATTTAGGATGGGGTTATTACACTGGGAGAGATAAGGCAAAAGGAGAGCAAAAACATCCTTCCACTGCCTCAGGCAGTGGACATAGGAGAAGAATGATAAACACATGCATCTCTCGTTAGAAAGTTGGATGCTGGAGACATTTTTTTCCTCAATGCTCTTTATCAGTATGTATTTCCTTGAAAACCATAAAATATTAGGTTAATTTTGCTGCTAAAAACGAGCTATTTGTTTAATAATTTATTTGTCCTTTCTTTTCAGAGGGCACTTGGCTTTTATTCACAGATGATGAATACGTTGTCTTTTTTCATTTTTTGCATACCCATTATGTTCTCAAAATGAAGGGTCTAAACAATTCTCTGGGAGAAAATTATCCACAATACTTTTATGAGTTAATTTATGATATTGAAATAAAACAAGATTTCAAAACCAAGTCCAACATATATAAAAGTAAGAGAAATAGTACCTTACATTTTGATTACTGGGAGAGCTAAAAGTTTTTGTAGCTGGGCATGGTGATGTGCACCTGTAGTTCTAGCTAGTTGGGAGGCTGAGACAGGAGGATTGCTGGAACCCAAATGTTCAAGGACTCTCTGGACAACATAATGAGACCCATTTCAAAAAAAACTTTTTAAGTTTTTCTGTGTACATACAGCATGTTGCCATGATAATTATTAGGGTGTTTATAATTGAAACAAAGCATTATTAACCAAGAAAGCAACCCCCCCAACCCAGGCCCAGTGGCAGGTCCCATGAATCATGCCCTGTGAATGACTACTTAAGCCACCATTGCTGATCACTCAAGCAGGATGGCATCATGTTCTTACAGGCAACAAAACAAGAAAGGTTGATGAGCAGCACTGGGCACAGGTTAGGAACAGAAGGGGAAAGAAGAATCAGCACTAGCAGGAGATGGGGAACAATAATTCCCAATATCTTTTAGACAAATCACCAAAAATCTATAGGCCTCAATTACTCCAAAACATAGGCTTAAAATTTATGTGTATCTAATCTAGCTATTGACTCCTTAAGACTATGTCAGATATGTGTCTTAAGTAAATAATTAGAAATGAAAAAATTATGAGTGAGTGAAATATTTATCTCAGTTTTATTTATAAATATTGAAACAATAGAAATGTTAACAATAGCAGGATAATTAAGTAAATTACATTAAATATCTATTATTTCATCATAACAAGATAATGTTTTTTAATTATTTTAGCAAAAATGATGCTTACAAATGTTGCCTGAGAAATATCTACAGCTACATGCCACACTATATTGTTCATTTGTGTCTGATTGTTTATTTGTGTGTGTGTGTGTGTAAAACCTAGAAGGAAGACCCAAAGTTTTATTTTTGATTGTCTCAGTATGGTGGGAAGTAAGATTAAAAATACTATTTTTTATATTATAGTTTCTCAGGTCTCAGTTTTTTCAGCTTTTCAGTTGTTTCCATGAAAGCCTCTCCTGTTTTTGTCAAGTGCCTCTCATCTCTCACGGCACCCATTCTTATCACTTTCACATTGTATTGAAATTCTTTGTGTGTGTGTATCTGTCTGCACTTTTGCCCTTTAGAATTGATCAAGAATCAAGTCATATTTATCTTCATATTCTTAATGTTTAGCATGGGGGGGCTACATATTAAAATGCATTTCTTGAACTACATTAAACTGCAGAAACATAGATGGCTTTTGTAATTAGAAGGAAACAACTACAATTTCAAAGATATAAACCTAATTATTTTTGAAATTCAATTCAATGTACAGGTTCCATGAAAGTGAGATGAAAGAAGCAAGGACATGTTCTTCATGGATTCATAGCCTGACAGAGACTAAACATAGAATAATAACTTGTTAAGGTAATATTGGAAGGGCATAGGTATATATCAGAGAAGTAATAAAAAATATTCATTCTGGTTGCAACTGACAGAAACCAAACTCTAAGTAGCCTATGTGCAAAGCTCATTGATTAGCTCATGGCATCAACCAAAAAGAGGAAAAGGGGATTAACTAGTCACACAGAATGCTCCCAAAGACCTAACTCTTCCAGAATTCTTTTTTCTCTCTCTCTTTCTTTCTTTCTATATCTCCTTTTTGTTTCCTGGTGCATGGAATTTTTTTAAATTGACTCTCTCTACTATCCAGAAATATAACTATTCAGTTGCTTTGATGCATTTAGCCTAGGTTTATAGACAGAGAGAGAATGAAATTTGCTTTAACAATTTTAGTAACGGTACTTAATTGATCTCCATTCATCAGGTGATATTCTTTGATAGCAGTGAATCAACAGCACCCATGCAAAGAACATGTTTTTGGGAGGAAAATAAGCTTTTACCAACAACAGTGGTCCAGTTCTGGACAAATAAATTCAACCTGTAGATGTATACTACATAATGTTTCGGACGTTGTTAAATAAAAATTAGTATGTGAATTTGGTTTCAAAGGTGAGTTAGACTCTACAGGTAATGTAAAATGAGAACCATTCTTTTAAAGATAATAAACAAAAGATTGAAGCAATACAACATTCTTGGGGAACCTATGGTTTTTGGAGATACATCTGGGACAAAAGGTAAGGAGGAGACAGTAAAAGAGGGCAAGAAGATAGGATAGGGCTAGGTCATGAAGAGAATAGAACACTGTCCTTGATTTTTTTATAGGTAATTGGAAAAATTTGATATTTTTTACTGTAGTAAAATTACAACCATTCATTTACAGAACTTTTTCATCATCTCAAACAGAATCTCTGTACCACTTAAACAGTAACTCCCTACTCCCCACTTCCCCTAGCTTCTGGCAACCTCTATTATACTATCTCTATGAATTTGGCTATTCTAGGTACCTAATATAAGTGGAAGCACAGAAAATGTGTGCTTTTGCATCTGGTTTATTTCATGTAGCTCAGTGTTTTCAAGATTCATCCACGTTGTAACACGTATTAGAATTTGATTCTTTTTAATGCTGGATAGTATTTCATTCTTCACCCATTCATCTGTTGATAAACCTGTGGATTGTTTCTACCTTTGAGCTATTATCAATAATGTTGCTATGAACATTGGTATGCAAGTATTTGTTTGAGTCCTTGCTTTTGGTTATTACCTAAAACTGGAGTATATACCTAAAAGTGGAGTTGCTGGATGATATTGTAATGCTATGTTTAACTTTTTGAGGAGCAACCGTACTGTTTTCACAACAGTTGCATGATTTCATGTTGTCACCAACAACACCAGCAATGCACAATAGTTCCCATTTCTCCACATTGTAGCCTACAGTAGTTATTTTTCCTTTCATTACAGACATCCTAGTGGGGATAAAGTCATGTCTTTTTGTGGTTTTGATCTTCGATTCCCTAGTAACCAATGATGTCAAGCATCTTTTTATGTGCTTTTTGGCCATTTATATATCTTCTTTGGAAAAAATGTCAATTCAAGTTCTTTTCTCATTTTTGAATTGGGTTTTTTAAGCTGCTGAGTTGTAGTTTTCCTTTACATATTCTAGATATTAATCCGTTATGAGATAGATAATTTGCATATTTTCTCCCATTCTAGTGGCTGTCTTTTCACCCTTTGATAGTGTCCTTTGCTGTGCAAAAGTTTTCAATTGTAATGAAGTGTAACTTATCTATTTTTCTTTTGTTGCCTCATTTTAGTGTCATATACAGGTAATTGGAAATTTTCAGTGGAGAAGTGATATAACTAAATTTGGATATTAAAATCCCTTAAATAAAATAGTGCAGGATGATTTAAAAACAGAACTCAAAATAGAAAGACAAGTTTATAAGCAATGGCAAAAGGTAAGCAGACTGAAAAGCTACAATTCTCCCTTGCCCCACCTTCAATATCTTAAAAAATGAATAACAAAAATACAAATGAGAAACAATTTATCTGCAGAAATCATATACCATACATTATACCACAAAATACTTTAAAAAGTGTCCGTTTAGGAAATAACATGGAAAATTTGGGTGCAGCTTAGGCAGCTACACACCTTATACCTACTCCCTTTATCTTCATGAAGAGGTATTAAATAATGGAAATGAATCAAGAAAACCCTGAGAATTCTCTTTAATAACTCCCAGATTGAAACTAAGAAGAAATTGTATGATTAAGCAGTCAATTGAATAATGATAGGAAAATCCTCATAAATAGAAATTCCTACTTAGAATTCTTATAACCTCATCAGAATTAGTAAAATCCTGTAGGACTCCCCATTTCCAAGTTTCACAGTGAAGTTATGAAATAATCTGAAGATCAGTTTAATCTGTCCCATAAGATAATGATAACCCTCCTCTCCTACTCTCCTGCAGGTAGAGAAAATATTTAACCAACCTTTAAAAGAGACATAAAACCAGGCTCTACAACAAAGGGCACACACTGTCCTAATGGTATATATCTCTTCTTTCTCCCTTCTGTTCTCAGGTTAAAAAGTGTAAAATGAAGAAAATATTCCTGTTTTCAATGTAAAGCTTGAAAAATAATACAAAGAGATTTCACAAAGCAAAGTAAATCATCGTATATTAGAATAAATAAAAACATTAGATTAACTGCTCAAATAAAATGTAAAAATGATCAAAACAATATATGGCAACTATGCAAACATTATTAGAAAAAATCATTTTAACATGAAAATGGAATAAAAACATATATAAAAGAAGAAAAAGTGGAAGAATAAGGAAGAGGAGGAGGAGAAAGCAGGCAGCAGCATCAGCATCTCAGAATAGAATAAAAGTTAGTTCAAAGAATTTAAATCCATACTTTCAAGGACTATTAGATGGGATAAGTAAATTTAATAAGAAGATATATTCAAATCAAACTGAGAGAAGACCCATGGCGGGGGGGGGAAAGAAAACTAACTTTTTAGAATATAATAAGATAGAGTAAGAAAGAGTTGAACACTGACATAGGAAACATATTTTTCCAACATGAATAAGTGGCTCTTTTTATTCCAGTGCACCTTCAGACAACAACTACAAACTTTTGGGGCAAACACACACACACGCACACACACACATATACACATGCACACACACAATGAAACCTACCTGAAAATATGGGAGTTACCAGAAGGAGATAAATATTGGACCAGAGTCAACACAATGAGACAGTCTTCCAGCTCCACAGTTTTCAGATTGAGGGCAAACTCAATTTGTACCAAATACTATACACAGGAAAAACTCAGAAAACTCAGACTCTGTGGCATGTAGGACCAAAAATCCAAGTAAAAGCCACCAACAGCAGTAAACGGAAATTTAAGATGAAAATCCAGGAAAGGAGAAAGCTGGAGAGGAAAATCTTCAAATTCTGTGTATAAATAATTTCCCAGTCTCTTGCCAGTGACTAAAACTTGCATAAGTGGCATGAACACCAACAGCACAGCTAAAGAAAAAAATGCCTAAACTAAGATCCTTTGTTCTACTCCCTGCAGAAGGAAAAAGAGTTTGCAATTTCAGTCCAGCTAAGTGTTTGACAAAACAAATAAAATTATTGAACATTCACCATTTAATCCTCTTGAGAGGATTATAACAAATTCTCTATAGCAGAGCCTATCATTCAAAATGTCTAATACACAATTCAGAAGTAGACTATACTCAAATAACTGGAAAACACAACCTACTTAAAATTACAATCAATGTAGACTAACCCTGAGACAGCATAGATGTTGGAACTAGCAGAAAATAATTGTGTGTGTGTGTGTGTGTGGTGTGTGTGTGTTTTGAGACAGGTTCTCACTCTGTTGCCCATTCTGGAGTGCAGTGGCATGATCTCAGCTCACTGCAACCTCCACCTCCCAGGTTCAAGTGATTCTCCTTCCTCAGCCTCCCAAGTAGCTGGGATAACAGGCGTGTACCACCACACCAGGCTAATTTTTGTATTTTTTTGTAGAGATGGGGTTTTGCCATGTTGGCCAGGCTGGTCTCAAGCTTGTGACCCCAGGTGATCCACCTTCCTCAGCCTCCCAAAGTGTTGGAATTACAGGCATGAGCCACCGCACTGGGCTGTAAAGAATTTTAAAGCAACTCTTTTCACTGTGCTCAAAGATACAAAGAAAAATATGACTTTACTATTAAAAAGTAGCAAATCTCAAAAATGACTCTGAAAGAAACAAATAATTAAAAATATAACATTTGAAATTTTTAAATGTACTACTTGAGCTTAACAGCAAAATAAGTATTACAGAAGAGTGTGTGAACTTGAAGATACATCAATACAAATGATTCAATATGAAGAAGAGAAAAAGGAAAAAGACTCAAAAAAGGATAATGGTTTTCAAGGGCTCATGAGGCAATATAAAAAGATCTAAAATACTTTATTTAGACATACAAAGGGAGAATAAAGAAAGGGAGTGGAAAAACATTTAAAGAAATGATGGCCAAAATTTCCTCAAATTTGGTCATGAACATAAATGTATAGATTTGAGAAGCTCAGCAACCTCAAGCTGGATAGAAACACAGAGTGCCACACCTTGACATATTATAATCCAGCTACTAGGAGCCAAAACTAAGAAAAAAATCTTGAAAATAAACAGAAAAAATTAATACATTGCAAACAGGGTCACATCAATTTAAAGCCACTGACTTCTTATAAGAAATTATGTATATCAAAAAGACAACAAATAACATCTTTAAGCTTCTGAGAGGAAGCTTAAATACCAAAACCTGTCAACTTGGAATCCTATATTTGGAGAAATCACCTTTAACAAAATAAAGGTGAAATAAAATATCAGATAAAGAATACAAAGAGAATTTGGTAGCAGATGTCATTGCAAGAAATGTTAAAAGCAGCTCTTTAAAAGAAAATGACACAAATGGCAACTTGGACCCTTGAAAAGAATGAAGAGCGCTATAATTTGTAACCATCTGAATAAATGTATAAGATTAATATTCATCAAAATTACTTTATTATGTGTATGATCCTCTAAAGCAAACATTATAATAGAGGTCTACAATGTATGCCAATGTAATTCTACGTAGCGTGATTAATATTTCACATAGCATAAAATTGATGGTGTTAGTGATGGATTAATTGACATATAGTTGTAAGGATTCTGCATTTTATATGAAGTGGTACAGTATTACTTCCACATAGACAGTTAAAAATTACAGGCCTATATTATAATCTTTAATCAATGAAAAATGATGCAAAGAGGTATACTTAAAATGAAAAAAGGGTACTTCTAGAATGTTCTTTGGCTCTTTGGAAAAGACTACACATTTTAAAACTTTGAGTTATGAGATCACAAAACCACACACAGCACCACTGTACTTAAAGGGCTAGCCACTAGCACCAAATGGCTTATTAATAAGATAAAAGATGAGTCACTATCTTGCCCTACTTCTTGATAATTTTTGGTCACAATGAGCTAATTTTAGGGATATTTAAAATCTGTATTCTTATCTAAGTAATGAGATCAATTTTACCTAATTATAAGATCAGGAGTTGTTATTTGCTTTACTGCCTCACTCCATGTACTTCTTGGTGACAACTTCATGTATATTAGAGCTAACAAAAGATTATTGCTATAATCAAGGTATGTCTAGTAATTTATGGTTTTTACATATGCCATGAGTGGCTAACTTATGCCCAACACAAAACCCACATAAAGCCTTCCAAGATAACTGTAAAAAACAATATAAAAATCTAACTAATACAACAAATTTCAAAACAGACAGAATGCAATATAATTCTACAAGAAGGCAGAAAAGGAGAAAAAAAGAATAAACCAGCAATGACAAATAGAAAACAAGTATTAAAATAATTCTATATCCAACCAAATTAGTAATTGTTATAAATGGCAAAGCTAACTATTCTAATTAAAAGAGATTGTCACAAAGAGTAAAACACACACACGCACACACACACACAAACACTCAGCTATTTACCCTCTGCAAGAGATAACACTTGAAGTTAAAAGACACATAAAAGTTGAAAATAAAATAATAAATGGATGGTAAACGACATGCTATGCAAGGAACATATGTATATGTTTATGAAGGATAGAGTAGAAATGACACTGATATTATAATAGTATATTTTAAGGACAAGTTTTTACTTGGGATGAAGAGGGATATTTCATAATAATAAAAGGGTTAATTCTTTAAAATGGTGTAATTATAAATGTGAATAAATGTATAAGATTAATATTCATCAAAATTATTTTATTATGTATATGATCCTCTAAAGCAAACATTATAATAGAGGTCTACAATGTATGCCAATGTAATTCTACACAGCATGATTAATATTTTACATAGCATAAAATTGATGGTGTTAGTGATGGATTAATTGACATATAGTTGTAAGGATTCTGCATTTTATATGAAGTGGTACAGTATTACTTCCACGTAGACAGTTAAAAATTACAGGCCTATATTATAATCTTTAATCAACGAAAAATGATGCAAAGAGGTATAGTTAAAATGAAAAAAGGGTACTTCTAGAATGTTCTTTGGCTAGAAATTCTCAAAAATATGTAAAACAAAAGTTCACAGAATTAAAATGAGGAATGGATAAGTCCATGATCATATTTGGAGGTGTTAAGACTCTCCTATCAGGAATTGAGGTTATAAATAGATAGGATCTTATAAAATTAAAGAAGCTCTCAATTGCACTATCACTACTTTGGCACAATTTATTTCTACAGAAAATTATATTCCTAACTCAAAAATTATTATCCCAGAATAAAAATTATTTTCAAGTACACAGGGTACATGGACCAAGATAGAACATATGTGGAGCCATAAAATAAGTCTAAATATGTTTAGTAGGATCAAGGTCATCTAGAGGAGTAGTTCTCACTAAAGAACAATGTTGTCCACTCTCCATCTTGAGGACTTTAAACAATGTCTAAAGACATTTTTGGTTGTTGCAACTGGAGGAGAGGGTATTACTAGAATTTATTATGTAGATACCAGGGAACTTCTAAACATACTACAATACACAAGGAGGCCTCTACAACAAAGAATAGTGCTCAGGTTGAGAAACTATGAGAGAGAGTATATTAATCAGTGTTCTCCAGAGAAACAGAACAAATAGATTCCGTATGTATACATACATGTGATATGGTTTGGCTGTGTCTCCACCCATATCTCATCTTGAATTACAGCTACCATAATTTCCACACACTGTGGGAGGGACCCAGTGGGAAATAATTTAATCATAAGGGCAGTTTCCCCCATACTGTTCTCATGGTAGTGAATAAGTCTCATGAGATCTGATGATTTTATAGGGGTTTTCTCTTTTGCTTTTCTCTCATTCTCTCTTGACTGCTGCCATGTAAGACATGCCTTTCACCTTCTGCCATGATTGTGAGGCCTCCCCAGCCACATGGAACTGTGAGTCTATTAAACCTCTTTTTCTTTATAAATTACCCAGTCTCAGGTATGTTTTATCATCAGTGTGAAAATGGATTAATACAACATATGTGTGTATATATATATGTATATAATGTATGTGTGTATGTGTGTCTCTCTCTCTTTCTATACAGACACATTTATATTCTCTCTTTTTTAAGAGATACAAATATGTATCACGTTCCAAAGGCTGGCAAGTTCAAATATAAAGGGTGGGCTGGCAGGCTTGAGACCCAGGAAAGCCAGTGTTGCAGATAAAGTGAGAAGACAGCATGCTGGGGAATTTCCTCTTGCAGTAGAACACTGTTTTTTATTTTTTTAATTTTTTTTATTGTGTTATTCAGGCCTTCAACTGATTGAATGAGGCCCACCTACATTATGGAGGGTAATCTGTTTACTCAAAGTTCTGATTTAAGTATTAATATAATTTAAAACACCCCTAATGTTAACACATACAATTAACCAACGCAGAGAGTACAGCTGACACTTGAACAATTGGGTGTCAGGTGAACCCACCCTCTGTGCAGTTGAAAATTCACTTTTAACTTTTGATTTCCTCAAAATTTAACTACTATAGCCTACTGTTGACTGGAAGCCTTACCAATAACATACACAATCAATTAATATATACATGTTTTATATATATATATGTATATAAAATCCACTGTATTCTACAATAAAGTAAGCTAGAGAAAAATATTACTAAGAAAACCACAAGGAAGAGAAAATGCATTTACTATTTATTAAGTGTAAGTGGATCATTATAGAGAACTTCATCCTTACCATCTTTTACATTGAATAGGCTGAGGAGGAAGAGAATAGGCTGGTCTTGCTGTTTCAGGGGTGGCAAATGCAGAGGATGTGGAGGAGGTGAAAGGGAAGGTAGGAGAGACAGGCAGAGTAGATGTAAGATTACAAAACCACATCGTCATTACTGGTTTTTATTTTTTTGCTATTTCTTAAATTTTTTAATACAATATCAAGCTTTCTTCCACCATTTACTTTAGTTTCAACAGTTTCAATGCCTGTATCGTAGAAGGGTTTGTGTCGTGAAAAAAGTCAAAGCAGTCTTGAATAATGAGAATGCTTATGCCAGATCGTCTAATGTCAATTTCTTTTCTGGAACTGCTTTCTTTTTTTCCTCATTATCTGGCACTGGTTCAGAAGCATTCATCTCCATCAGGTCATCTTCTGTTAATTCCCCTGGGGTGGTGTCTATTAGCTCTTGAATTTCTCCAAGATCCCTATCTTGAAACCCTTCTTCCTTTTTTTTTTGTCATATTCACCATCTTGATTAGCTCTCTTGTAAATCCTGTGAAGTCATACAAAACATCTGAACACAAGTTTTTCCAGCAAGAATATATCGCTTTGGGCTTGACAGACTTTATTTTTCTGCAACGACAATGTCATCTTTAATGATAGAAGCTTTCCAGATATTCATGATGTTCTATTTGCATCCTCTTTAATAGAGCTGATAATCCTTTCCAAGCAGTATACTGTGTAAGGACCCTTAAACGTCCTTATGACCCTGTCCTTCAGAGGCTGAATTAGAGAAGTATGTTTAAAGGAAGTAGACCACTTTTGAGGTAGGAGGCAGGCAGGATGCATCTTCAGACCAAATTGAAGACTGACCAAAACCAGGAAGAGGCACAAAAAGCACCTCCCATTGCTCTCAGTGCCTACCAGCACCATGCCAGTTTATCAACACCATGTCAATCCCCAGAAGTTACTACCCCTTGCCATGGCAACACCCAGAAGTCATCACCCATTTTCTAGCTACTTCTGAACAACACACCCCTTAATTAGTACGTCATTAAAAGTGGGTATAAATATGACTAGAAACTGCTCATAGGTTGCAGCTCTCGGTGCACTGCCTATAGGGTAAATGCTGCTCTTGAATTCTTTCCTGAGTAAAGTCAAGAACCTCCCTGCATCTGTGGCCATCCAGTGAGGAGGGCAGAGAAGCAAGGAGAGAAACTAGGAGAGATGGTGATCAGTGAGGTGACAATGAGAGATGGCAGTCTGTGATCAGCAAGATGAGAAGCAGAGAGGTGATGACTGGTGAGTCAGTGAGAGATGGTGAGGCAATCAGTGATGAAAGCTGCATGAGGTGTAATACTGAGGCTGTAATTCCAAAGAGCTACTAGCACTGCAGAGAATTGTAACACTAACCAAAGGCTCTTTTCAGAGCCATCCTCTTTCCCGGCAGGTGATGGAGCTGAGTGGACAGCTGAGCATTCTTAATGCTACCGCCTTGTGTAAGACCCACTACTCTGGCTGGCAGGTCACCAGTCTTAGTGCTGGGCCCCCTATGGCAGCCAAGCCCACCTAAGCCAGGAGAACTTGGAGAGGCCTTCACCTGGGTCCCATGGAGAAGGCTGGTCAATGGCATTTTGGCTTTTGTGGACAGGTGAGTGTCCCCTCTGCACCCCCACCCCAACCCTCTTGATGATATTGGGTGAGCCAGGGAAAAAAGCCTGTGAATATGTGGTCAGTTTAAAAGTTCTTTGTCATTTAGGTACCCAAATAGAAGTACCTCCTTTTCATCACTTCCCCTGGTCTTTTCTCCTCTAACATCATTGAATTGCTCCACCAACCATTTTATTTTATTTTATTTTATTTTATTATAGTGTAAGCTCTGAGATATATGTGCAGAATGTGCAGGTTTGTTACAAAGGTATACATGTGCCATGGTGGTTTGCTGCACCCATCAACCCGTCATTTACATTAGGTATTTCTCCTAATGCTATCACTCCCCTAGTCCCCCATCCCATGACAGGCCCTGGTATGTGATGTTCCCCTCCCTGTGTCCATGTGTTCTCATTGTTGAACTCCCACTTATGAGTGGGAACATGCGGTGTTTGGTTTTCTGTTCTGGTCAGGGCAATCAGACAAGAGAAAGAAATAAAGCGTATTCAAATAGGGAGAGAGGAAGTCAAATTGTCTCTGTTTGCAGTTGACATGATAGTATATTTAGAAAATCTCATCGTCTCAGCCCAAAATCTCCTTAAGCTGAAAAGCAACTTCAGCAAATTCTCAGGATGCAAAATCAATGTGCAAAAATCACAAGAATTCCCATACACCAATAATAGACAGAGAGCCAAGTCATGAGTGAACTCCCATTCACAATTGCTACAAATAGAATAAAATACCTAGGAATACAACTTACAGGGATGTGAAGGATCTCTTCAAGGAGAACTACAAACCACTGCTCAAGGAAATAATAGAGGACACAAACAAATGGAAAAACATTCCACGTTCACGGAAGGAAGAATCAGTATCGTGAAAATGGCCATACTGCCCAAAGTAATTTATAGATTCAATGCTATCCCCATCAAGCTACTATTGACTTTCTTCAAAGAATTAGAAAAGACTACTTTAAATATTTTATTTATTTTATAAAATGTATGTTCCATTTGTAGTTTTTGGTTTGTTTTTGTTTTGACTCCCTGTTAACTATATTTGGGCAATTGTTTAATGTAAGTCACTTGGTTGTGAGAAATCTCCCATTGTGTTGACCCTTGGATGACAGAGTCAGGTTGTTCTGTGACCCTTGGCATTGGGTTCACTATTGGTCACAAGTTGGGTACTCTGGACTTTTTGCATTTGGTGAGGGGACCTTCATTGGCCAATATATAGGTACTCTGGGATTTTTGGCATTGGCACTGTTGGCTGCTGCCCAGATGCTCTGGGGTTTTCAGCATTGACATTACCTCTAGGATAGTGGGTTGCAGCCACACCCCACCCCCTCAAGGGAATCTTGGTCTCACCTTTTCTGCTCTGAAGTTAGAAGTTATTATTTTCTGGAACAGCCAGTTGTGGGCCCCTTCTTGTGTGCTGTCTTCCTTTCTGTCCAAAAACTGCTTCGCTGAAGCCCATCTTAGTAGAAGACACTGGAAGTTACCAGACCCTTTGGCTGACAGTTAGCTACCTAGAGTGGTAGATAAGCAGCTTCCCAAACATATTTTTCAGGGTCTCCACTGCTGGGTAGGTTCTCCAGCAAGTCAGGGCCTCTGAGGTCTCCCCTTGAGCAATGCTCTTCACCGCTTCCCTTCTTCCCTTCCATGATCACTATCTGTTTGGCCCCTCTTTGCCCAAATTAAGGCTCTACTTTACTTTCTGTGAAATTCAGGCTCATCATTCTACTACCCATTAACTTTTGTAACTCTTTGCCATCTACATTTACAACTTCTTTGAAAAAAGTGTAAATTTAAAAGGAAAAAGTAACTAGGCGTTTGTTAGACTTAGGCCAACTAAAATTTCCTGCAGTGATCCTTACTAAATATGGGGACTATAGTGAGCATCCCAGAAGACTTGCCATTAAGGTGTCTTTTAGGCAATTGGAGCAAATTTATACACTTTAAAAAAGAAAATTCTCATATTCTATTGGAATGCTATTTGAGTCCAATACAGATTGGAGAACCAACACTTTTGGCCTATATATGGTTCTTTACATTATAATGTTATTTTACAATTATAGTTATTTTGTAAAATGGAAGAAAAATAGGGAGAATTTCCTTATGTGCAAGCTTTTATAGCTCTCTGCCAGGACCCTGACCCTAAGGGATAGCAGTAAAATGTATCTAGCTCGTAATAGTCCCTGGAACCAGGAAGCCACACTGGGTATCCTAGATGACCCCCTCTTAGCTGCTCCCCCTAGAAGGCCTATGCTCCTCTTGGAGCCTCCTCAGACCTTCAATTCTGAGGGGAGCCTTGCCAGTTCTTTAGCACAGGATTCCACCCTAACGTCATCAGGCACTCCTCCCTCTTAACCAACAAGCCCTAGCCTATACCACTGTCCAAGGAAGTAAGTCCAACCAGTACCAAAAGGAGTGGGGCCCCCTATCAGCCCCTAAAATTGAAACTACGTTCAATACAGGAGGTGGCTGTTGGAGATGGGGGAATAGTTAAGTATGTGTGTCTTTTTCCATTTCTGTTGGCTTTATGCAAGGAAAAAAAATTGCCAGTTTTCAGAGAATTCAGGGATGTTTAAAGAGGAGTTTGTTAAGTTGGCCAAGTCTTTTGACTTAACTTGGCATGACATGTAAATATTTATTATTATCCACTTCTTATACCATAGATGAAAAAGAAAGGATTCCAAGTACTGCCCATGAACATGCAGATGGAATGGCCACTCATAATCAAGGCTATGCCATTTGTTGTGTGGGAGGAGATGTGGTTCCAGATCTAGATGCCCCCCAGTGGGATTACCAGAGGGGTTCCCAGTATCTCAAATGCAATCACATGCTAGCTTGTTTCATAGAGAATATTTAAAAATGTGTAACGACGGTTATGACAAGTTTAGAGAAATAACTCAGGGGAAATATAAAAATCCCAACCTGTTTCAGAGCCACTTGTTTGAGGCACTCAGGAAATATACTAATGCAGACCCAGACTCCCTAGAAAGGTGAGTTCTTCTCCGGGGTGTGCATTTCATTACTCAGCCTGTCCCTGACATTAAGAGGAAGTTACAAAAGGCAGCAGTGTGCCCTATGAGGCAATTTTTAGAAATGGCCTTTGGGCTTTACAACAATAGGGACAGGACAGAGAAAGAAGCAAAAACCAAAAGAACTGGCCAAACTGTACAATTGTTAGTGTATTTAAGCCTCCTGCTGCCTCCAGGTTACCCATCCTGAGGAAACATGGCAAAATTGGCTTCTGCGATGCCTAGACAAGATTCCCCAACTCACTAAACCCTCGGCCAAAATTAAAGCTAAAAGGAAAGAACTGCTCCAAGCTTAAAAGGGAGTCTGGGCCACCCAGACCCATAATGGCCAAGAGAACAGAGAACACAGCCCAAGGTCCTCTCCCGCTCCCACTGGACTCCTTACTATCTCCACAGAGGAGCCTTGGGTAACCCTTGATGTGTCAAGCAAAGGGAATTCAAGAGTCCCTAGACTCTTTGGCAAAGATAGTCCTTGATAACAGACTAGCATTGGATTATTTACTAGCTGATCAAGGTAGCATCTTTGCAATTATGAATAAAACCTTCTGCAAGTATATTTACAACTCTAGACAGGTTGAAGTTAACATTCAAAAGATCAATGAGCAATCTACCTGGTTACATACATATGACCAGGGCACTGACCTCAACTAGCAGTTGACTATTTTTGATAGTGGTTAACTATCAAAAATACCCTTCCAAATCTCACCTGTTTTTTACCTGTTCTAGGATCTTTAATTAGCTAACTTGTTAATACTAATTTTTAGCTCCTGCTGATTTATCTCTTAAAAGGGTTTCTGCCTTCTAGATTACAACAGTTCCATGTAAAGACAATACTGGTACAACGATTCCAATACGTCTTGTCTTCTGACCCAGAGAATAAAAACATCCTGCCTTTGGGCCCCTTAGATCAGGTATCCAGAGATTTTTTTACTCCTCCAATGCAACGCTAGGCAGGGCCTATGCCCATAAAACCATTAGGAAACAATTACAGAAGATAGACCTCTGCCCATCTGCAATCCCTTTAAGATTAAAGAGAAATATCTAATCTCTAAGTTGGAAATGAGGCTAGGAGGCAGGCAGATTCATCTTCTGATCAGATTGAAGACTGGCCCAAACTGGGAAGAGGTGCTTAAAGCCCCTCCTGTTGCTCTTGCTGCCCATCACTGTAAGGTACTCCAACCAGTGCTATGACAGTTTACCAATGCCATGGCAATGCCTGGAAGTTACTGCCCATTTTCTGGCTATTTCTGAATAACTTGCCCCTTAGTTAGGATGTCATTAATGTGAGTATAAATATGATGCAAACCTTCCATATGCTGCTACTCTCTGTACATTGCCTATGGGGTATCTCTGTTCCACAGGAGAAGTCACAAAGCATTAATGGAACCAATCCAGAAAAAGATTTCTTGCTTTTCCGACCTTCTTGCTGTACAACCAAAAGACTGGTAACTGGTGTTTATCTTTTCCATGGGGGTTAGCAGTTTTATAAATAAGGGCAAGTCCTAATCATAAACCCAACTGCATTTGCACAAAACAGTAGTTAGCATATAGTTTCCTGCCTTAAATCCAGGTAATCACTTCTCTTTTCTATTCATAAATGTCCTTTGTGGCATCTTTTTTTTTCTTTCTTTCTAGAATAGGGAACTTTAGTTTGCATTAAAAACTTGTTTAGGCAGACATTCTCTCTCCTCAATAATTTTCTTAATGGTGTCTGGGAACTTGTCTGCTGCCTCTTGGTCAGCAGAGCCTGCTTCTCCTGTTGCCTTGACATTTTTAAAGCCAAATATCTTTCTAAAAATATCGAACCATCCTTTACTGGCATTAAATTATTCAGCTTTAGATTTTTCACCAATGTTTTGCTTTAAGTTGCCATATAATGACTTTTTCTCAAATCATATTAGAGTCTTTAGGTATGCCTTTCTTATAGTAATGCTGCACCCACACGAAAGTTGTATTTAAAATAAGAGGTATCAAAGGTATTTAACAAAAAGTACAAGGATTTTGTGCATGCTAGCATAGCTGCAGGAATATATTCAGGAATTTCTTTTTCTTTCTTTTTTTATTTTTTTAAACAGAACTCTTTAAACTGGATTTATTTATCTTGAAATAGTGGGAAACCATAGTTGCAGACCTTAATCTACAAGAAGTAACAAACAATTTAACTTTTTTTTTTGTTATGTCATGACATTTTTCTGCTTCTTGGGAACACTTCCGGTATCATTAGTGGTATTTTGTGTGGATCCTATGGTGTTATTCAAGGTTTATAGTGTATGGTGTTGCTTTAAATATAATTAAAAATACGCAAGAACTGCAAGAGATCACTTTTTACTGTGGCACACAATTTACTGGAGAGACGAACTGCTTGAGCTCACTACAATAGCAACAGGCCATGGCTACAAAATTATTACTGTAGTACAGTATATATTATAGTAAATTTTATGCAATTATGATTTAATAATGCAACTTTATATTTGTTTACATTTCTCTTGACTACCATGTAGTCAAGAGATGCCATGTATAGTCTATAAGTATTTGTGAGTTTTTATTTTTAATTTTAACATCTTATAATAGATTTGTGTATATTTTTTGGTAGTAAATAATAAATAGACTAGTTTTTACATATATTTTATGCATTCCTGACATACCTAACTTTTTTTTTTAAATATGTCTAGGCTACACAGATTATCTGTGAGTTTTTTTATTAAATTGTCATTAACCTCCAAAAAAATTTCCCATATATTTATTGAGAAAAAATTTGCATATAAGTGGACCCGTGCAGTTCAAACTCATGTTGTTCAAGGCTCAACTGTATATTTCCTGACCACAGAACAATTACATTACTATTTAACAGCAGGAAGATATCTAGAAACATTCAAGTATTTGGAAATAAGACAATACACTCTTAAATCCATTAGAAAATAATCAAATTAAATAATAATAAAATACACATAAAAATTCGTGGGATGCAGTTAAAGCTATGCTAAAAGGAAAAATTGTACCTCTGATGTCTATAATATGAAAAGAGAAAAGCTTGAAATAAAAAACCTATCTGCCATCTAATGAAACTGCAGAAAGGAGCAGTGCCAAGACGGCTGAGTAAAAGCAGCTATGGTGTATCACTTTCACAGAGAGGAGACAAAATGGGGAGTAAGCAGTAGTTATTCAAGTAGATCATCCAGGAGTCAACATTAGGATTCATCAAGGAAGTAGTAGTGACCCACAGAGAGCAGACAAGAGCAAGGCAGGACAGCCGCCCACCAGGGATTGGTGCCGATCTAGGGAAGGCTTCCTACCAGGGCGCAAGGGTAAAAAAGTGAGAGCCCCCAGGGACCCACACTTCTGCCATGGACCTTTGCAATCCTGGGCACAGGAGATCTCCCATGACCTCCCCATGCCTCCAGACTGACACAGAGAGTTACCTGGGGTCTGAGCAGAGTTGCTGCTCAGGCCCATGTGGGACCCTGTGGGCGTTAGATCCCTGAGTACCCTTCCACCATGATTGTGAAGCCTCTCCAGCCATGTAGAACTGTAAGTCCAATAAACCAGCTTCAATAATCCTGCCAAAAAGGGAGGCCAGGCTCTCTCCTATGCCCGTAGGATAGGGGCTGTATCCATGGTGCTGAGGAACTGATGAACTGTAGGGTCTGCCTCTGCTGCACCTCACCAGGCAAAGCAAACTGCCCTGGGATGCCAGTGCAGCCACCCCATCTCCTCCTCAGCACTCCAGCAGGTCTCTGGCACTCCGTTTCTCTGGGTTAGAGTTCCCGGAGGTAACTAACAGGCCTGTTGTGATTACCACTGCCCATCCCTGCTGCCCTCAGGCTGGGGAGGGAGCAAAGAGCTCCTCCAACACACCACAGCTGATATAGGGAAAAGTAGCCTGATTATTTTACACATGCTGCCCCCCTGCTACTTCTCACTGGGCAGGGCCTCCCAGCATGGGCCACCAGCACAACTGCCCCACCCTGGCCTGATCACTTGGTGGCAGCTCTGCATTTCTCTGGGGTAGAGCTAACAGAAACAACTGGCAGGCTCTCTGTCATTGCCACCACAGTGGTACCCACCATTGGTCTTCCCAGGCTAGGGAGGGAACAAAGGGTCTGACTGCTTTTGCATGCTGTATTAGTCCATTTTCACGCTGCTGCTGGAGACATACCTGAGACTGGGCACTTTACAAAAGAAAGAGGTTTATTGGACTTAGAGTTCTACATGGCTAGGGAGGCTTCACAATCATGGTGGAAGGCAAGGAACAGCAAGTCACATCTTACATGGACGGCAGCAGGCAAAAGGAGAACTTGTGCAGGGAAACTCCCATTTGTTAAACCATCAGCTCTCATGAGACTCATTCACTATCATGAGAACAATGCAGAAAAGACCTGCCCCCATAATTCAATCACCACCCACCTCGTTCCTCCCACGACATGTGGGAATTGTGGGAGTTACAATTCAAAATGAGATTTGGATGGCGATACAGCCAAACCATATCACATGCGTATAGAAGGCAGCGGACATCCTATGGAAAGGAGGCCAGACTGTCTTCCCTGCAAGCCTCTACCTCCCCTGCTTTTCCTACCTCCCCTGGCTTGGGGCCACAGCTCAGCCACTCCAACCCTGGCTGAACACTCCAAGATCCAGATTGCCCTGGCTGCACTTTCAGCAGCAGCCCCATGGAGAAGAGGCTAGACTGTCTTTCCTGTAAGACTCTGACCCCCTGATCTTTACCAGGCAGGGCCCAACACCATAGCACCTTGGGCACACAGCACAGCCACCCCACACCAGCTGATCACTCTGATTGGCAGTGGCTTGGTGTTCTCGGGGGTGGAACTTCCAGAAACAACTGAGAGGACCTCTGCTATTGTTGCTGAGGAGGTTCCTGCCTCTGCTACCCCCAAGCTGAGAAAGGAACAAAAAGCCTGAGCTCACCCCAGAGCTAAGGTGCAGTTTGAGAATGCCAAGCTAAGATCTGTGGCCAGCACCTGAGCAGGAGAGGAGCCTACACTTTCAGAACACTGAGAGGGGTGAGTCCTGCAGTTTTTCGGGCTGCTCTGGGAGTGGAGCATGTCTCCCTCTGCAGGGTCAGCCTGGAAATGTGTGGTCTATATTCCTGCCATAGCCTCTGCCCAAGGGAGCACAGCAGCCTGAAATACCTAACAAAAGAATTGTGGGTACATTGCCAGTGATTGGAAGGGGCTCTCGCTAGTCCTACGAGTGGACCTGGTGAGGGGTTAACCTCTCTCCATGCACCACAGACCATGGCTACAAATATAAGAAAATACGAAGTTGCCATGTGGCCAAGAGCCTATCCACTAGCCATTACTCTTAAGCACCATCTACTGGATCACAAACCAAACTACAACACCAAGAATATCTTCATAAAATTCCTCCATGTGAAACCCAGGGCAAGAATTCAGCCACAAATAAACACCCTGGGCAGAGGCTTGGCCCTCTTAAAGCATCCAGAAAGAAGCCAAGTGACTATACTCAAATTACACCACAGTTAAAGGAACAACAATCCCCACCCCCACAACCCCACAGATGAAAAAGAACAAGCTCAAGAACACTGGTAATTCAAAAACGTGGAGTGTCCTCTTGCTTCCAAAGAAGTCCACTAGATCCCCAGTAATGGTTCTTAACCAGTTTGAAATGACAGACATAAAATTCAGAATCTGGATGGCAATGAAACTCATCAAGATTCAGAAGGAAGTTGAAACCCAATCCAAGGAACTCAAAGAATCTAGTAAAATTATCCAAGAGCTGAAAGACAAAATACCCATTTCAAGAAAAAAAAAACCTAAAATTCAAAAGTTAGATTAGTCATTACAAAAATTTCATAATATAATGAAAAGTATTAGAGCAGAATAAAACAAGCTGAAGAAAGAATCTAAGAGCTCGAAGACTGGTTCTTCAGATCAACTCAGTTGGACAAAAATATGGAAAAGAGAATTTTTTTAAATAAACAAAACCCCCAAGAAATATGTGATTATATAAAGAGACCAAATCTATGACTTATTGACATTGCTGAGAACAAAGGAGAAAAAATAAACAACTTGACAAATGTATTTAAGGATCTAGTCCACAAAAATTTTTCTAATATTGACTGGCTGTACACTATTCAGGCCCAACATCCCCAAGGCTTATAGTCATAAGATTCACAAACTTCAAGGCAAAAAAATAAAGTCTTAAAGGCAGCTAGAGAGAGGGTCAAGTCATGTACAGAGGGAACCCCATCAGGCTAGTAGCAGATCTCGCAACCTCACAAGCCAGAAGAAATTGGGGGCCTGTTTTCAGCATCCTTAAAGAAAGGGAATTCCAAACAAGAATTTTATAACCTACCAAACAAGCTTGACAAGTGAAGGAGAAATAAAACTCTTCTCAGACAAATGCTGAGGTAATACATCTCAAATAGACCAGCCTTACAAGATGTCTTTAAGGGAATGCTAAACATGAAACTGAAAGAATGACACTTGCTACCACAAAAACACACTTAAACACATAGCCCACGGGCCATATAAAACAATCACACAATCAAGTCCACATAACAATCAGCTAACAACACAATGACAGGATAAAAGTCACACATATCCGTTCTAACACTAAATGTAAATGAACTAAATGCTCACTTAAAAGACATAGAGTGACGGAATGGATAAAAAGACAAGACTCAACCATCTGCTGTCTTCAAAAAACCCATCTCATGTGTAACAAACCCCACATGCTCAAAGTAAAAAGATGGAGAAAGATCTACAATGCAAACAAAAAAAAACAAGAAAGAGCAGGAGTCGTTATTCTTACATCAGATAAAACAGATTTTATATCAATAAAAATTAAGAAAGACAAAGAAGGTCATTACATAATGTTAAATGGTCCAATCCAACATGAGGACGTAACTATTCTAAATATATATGTACCCAGCAGTCAGATTCATAAACCAAGTTCTTCTTGGCTTATGAAAAGACCTAGACAGCAACACAATAATAGAGGCTTTCAAACCCCACTGACAGTATGAAACGGATCATTGAGGCAGAAAACTAGCAAATTCTGGACCTAAACTTAACACTTAACCAGTTGGATATAATGGACATCCACAGAATCTCCACCCAACAACCAAAGAATATACATTCTTTTCATCTATACATAAAACATATTCTAAGATCAACCACATGTTTGCTCATAAAGCAAGTCTAAATAAATTAAAAAAATAGAAGTCATACAAAGCATAATCTCAGACCATAGTACAATAAAAATATAAATTGATATCAAGAAAATGTTTCAAAACTATACACATACATAGAAATTAAACAACTTACTTCTGAATAACTCATGGGTGAACACTGTAAGGCAGAAATCAAACAATTCTTTGAAATTAAGGAAAATATAGACACAACTTGCCAAAATCTCTGGGATGCAGCTAAAGCAGCGTGAAGAGGAAAGTTTCTATCACTAAATGCCTTCATCAATCAGTTAGAAAGATCTCAAAATAACAATCTAATTTTGCACGTAAAGGAACTAGAAAAAAAAAGAAGCCAACCCAAAGCTAGCAGAAGAAAATAAGTAACTAAATTTAGAGAAGAACTGAATGAAATTGAGATGCAAAAATCAGTATAAAGAGTCATTGAAACTAAGAGTTCTCCATTTGGAAAAATAAACAAGATTGATAGACCACTAGTTAGATTAACAAAGAAAAAAAAAGAAGATCCAAATAAGTAAAGTCAGAAATTACAAAGATGACATTACATCTGATCCCACAGAAATATGAAAGAGCCTCAGAGAATACAATGAACAACTCTATGCACACAGATTAGAAAATCTGGAGGAAATGTGTCATTTCCTGGAAATACAACCTTGCAACATTGCATCAGGAAGACATTGAAATCTCAAATAGACCAATATTGAGCTCAGAAGTTAAATTAATAATAAATTATCTACCAACCCAAAAAATCCTGGACCAGATGGATTCATAGGTGAGTTTTGTCAGACATACAAAGCAGAAGTCATACAAATCCTACTGAAACTTTTCCAAGAAATTAAGGAAGGAGGCTTCTCCCTAACTCATTCTGTGAAGCCAGTATCAGCCTGATACTAAAATCTGGCAGATACACATGAAAAAAGAAAACTTCAGGCAAATATCCCTAATGAACATAGATGCCAAAATGCTCAACAAAATACTAACAACTGATCTAGGAGCACATCAAAAGTTAATACAACATGATCAAGTAGGCTTTATTGATAGAATGCAAGGCTGGTTCAACATACACAAATCAATAAATGTGATTCACCACAAAAACATAATAAAAACAAAAAACATGATTATATCAAAAGATGCAGAAAAAGCTTTTAATAAAATTCCATAACGCTTCATATGAAAAACACTTAATGAACTAGGCATCAAAGGGAAATACCTCAACATAATAAAAGCCATATATGACAAATCTACAGACAACATCATACTGAATGGGCAAAAGCTGAAACCAATCCCCTTGAGAAATGGAAAAAGACAAGGATGACTACTGTCACCACTTTCAGTCAGCATAGTGCTGGAAGTCCTAATCAGAGCAAGTGTAACGCTAAAGTTTCTTGCCTTAGCCACGCCAAAGATTTGGTGTGGCGGTAGCCCACAGTGAGAGAGAGACACGGATCAGACCGAGAGAAAAAAGGCTGTAGACTTTATTAAGCAGTGACAGTACAAAGCTTCCACAGCGTGGAAGGGGTCCCGAGCGGGTAGCCAGTGTTAGATTTTTTGATCACCTTTTAAACTCTTTAAGGAGGGAACTACGTGCAGCGGGAAGATGTTACCAGAGCAAGAAACAAAGACAATTAACATGTCTCAGATCTTGAGGAAAACCGGAATTGTAACTTAAGTTTTATCTACTTTATGACCTTGCAGCGGCATGGCAAAGGAGACAGGATCTCACAGGATTTCACAAATTGTGTTTACAAGGAATTGGAATTGGGAGCATAGACAAGGTATGCTGGTCACAGAAAAACAGGCTTTTAACATTTCTTTTAGTTTCAGGGGAGGGGGAAGGGAGAGAGGGAGAGAGGACACAGGGAAGCTTACAACAAAATTTTCGCTGTTTATAGCTTTCTTGGGGAAGAAAACACAGGCACAAATTCTGATGTTAGGAATATTTTAAGCATGTATCTTCAATATTATTCATCCAGGACCAAAGTAAGTCCTGATGCAGGAAATGACTGAGTTTCACAGCTTTCTGAGCCCCTACTCGACCCAGGAAGCCCAGCTGACACCTCCCCTTACAAGCAGGCAAGAGAGAGAAATAAACGGCATTCAGATAGCTAAAGAGTCAAAATATCTCTCTTCACTGACAATATGATTCTATACCTAGAAAATCCTAAAGACTTCAGTAAAAGGCACCTAGAACTGATAAATGATTGTAGTAGAGTTTAAGGATACAAAATGAATGTATAAAAGTCAGTGGCATTTCTTTTTTTTTTTTTTGAGACAGAGTTTCGCTCTTGTTGCCCAGGCTGGAGAGCAATGGCGTGATCTCGGCTCACTGCAACTTCTGCCTTCTGAGTTCAAGGATTCTCCTACCTCAGCCTCCTGAGTAGCTGGGATTACAGGCATGCACCACCACGCCCGGCTAATTTTGTATTTTTAGTAGAGATGAGGTTTCTCCATGTTGGTCAGGCTGGTCTTGAACTCCTGACCTCAGGTGATCCACCCACCTGGGCCTCCCAAAGTGCAGGGATTACAGGTGTGAGCCACCACACCTGGCCAGGTCAGTGGCATTTCTATACACTAATAATGTCCAGGCTGAGAGTCAAATCAAGAACACAATCTGATTTACAACAGCAAAAAGAAAATGAAATACCTAGGAATCCAGTTAGTAAGTAAGGGAAAGATCTGTACAAGAAGAACCCTAAAACACTGCTGAAAGAAATCAGAGATGACACAAATAAATAGAAGAACATTTTATGCTCATGGATTGGAAGAATCAGTATCATTAAAATGGCCATACTGCCCAAAGCAATTTATAGATTCATTGCTATTCCTGTCAAACCACCAAAATCATTTTTTACAGAATTAGAAAATAAAAACTATTCTGAAATTCATATGGAGCCAAAAATGAGCCCAAATAGCCAGATTAATTTTAAGCAAAAAAAAAAAAAAAAAAAAAAAAAAACAAAGCTGGAGGCATCACACTACCTGACTTCAAACTCTACTATAAGGCTGTGGTGACCAAAATAGCCTGGTACTGGTACAAAAACAGACACATAGGCCAATGGAACAGAATAGAAAACTTAGAAATAAAGCTGCACACTTAACCACCTGATCTTAGCCAAGCTTGACAAAAACAAGCAATGGGAAAAAGGACTCTCTATTCAATAAATGATGCTATCTGGATAGCCATAAGAAGAAAGATGATACTGGACCTTATCTTTTACCATGTACAAAAATGAACTCAGGATGGATTAAAAATGTAACCATAAAACCTCAAACTATAAAAATCTAGAAAATACTCTTCTCAAACTAGGTGCAAAAAATTTTTGGCTAAGTCTTCAAAAACAATTGCAACAAAAGCAAACATTGGCAAGTAGCCTTGGAAAGCAGTTTGAAGGTTTCTCAAAGCACTTAAAACAGATTTGACCCAGCATTCCCATTACTGAGTGTACACACAAAGAAAAATAGATTGTTATACTGAAAGACACATGCACTCATATGTTTATCACTGCACTATTCACAATAGCAAAGAAATGGAATCAACCTAGGTGCTCATCAGTGGTGGGTTGTTCAATAAAATGTGGTCCATACACACAATGGAATATTGTACATCCATAAAATATAATGAAATTATGTTTTTTGAAGCAACATGGATGGAGCTGGTGGCCATAATCTCATGCAAATTAACACGGGAATGAAAATTAAACACCACATATTCTCACTTATAAGTGAGGGCTAAACACCGAGCACCCATAGACATAAACATGAGAACAATAAACAGTGCAGACTACTAGATGGGGGAGAGGAGCATGAGTTGAATAACTACTGGGTGCTATCCTTACTACCTGGGTGCAATATATCCATGTAACAAGTCTGCACATATACACACTATATATAAAAGCTGAATAAAAAAGAAGCTAGAAAAAAAGCAAAATAAATGGAAGAAATGAGTGAAAATAAGAACAAAAATGAATAAAATAACAAGCAATAAATAAAATTAGCAAAGCTGAAATTTTATTCTTCAAAAAGTACTTAGCAGGACTCATCGAGGAAAAAAACAGCAAGTACAAATTATCAATATTATGAATGACAGGAAAATTTTCACTACATATCCTACAGATATTATTTTTTATTTTTTAATTTTTAATATTTTTACTTTGATAGGCTTTTGGGGAACAGGTGGTGTTTGGTTACCTGAATAAATTCGTTAGTGGTGATTTCTGAGATTTTGTTGCACCCATCACCAGAGCAGTGTACACTGTACCCAATGTGTAGTCTTCTATTCCTCACCAAACCCCAACCTTCCCCCAAGTCCTCAAAGTCCTATCATTCTTCTGCTTTGCATCCTCATAGCTTAGCTCCCACATATGTGAACATACAATGTCCTAGAGATTTTAAGAGGATTATAAGAGAGTACTATAAACTATGTAGTAAACTATGTAGTGCCTGTCATAATAAAATTGTTAAATTTCTTTTGGAAATACAACTAACCTAAAGTAACCAGACGAAAAAGATGAAAGAGAAAATGTGAATATCCTGATGTTTAATAAAAAAAAAATTATTATAATATTCATTCCACAAAGAAAATTCCAGGCATTTGTTTCACTGGTGTATCCAGGAAAGGAATCAAATCAATTTAAAGAAACACTTTTAGAAAATGTAGAGGACAACAGAACAATTTCCAACTATTTTCACAATGTCCACATAATCTGAATACCCAAATCAGGTAAATACGTTACAAAAACTGAAGTGATAGATTATTAGTCTTCATGAATACAAACATAAAAACATTTTACAAAATATTATCAAATCCAATCTAGCAACATGTAAAAAAACTATAAAACACCAAGACTAAGTAGATTTCATCCCAGGAATTCAAGATTGGTTTAGTATTTCAAAAACAAACAATGCAGTATTCATTATACTAAAAAATGCAGGGGAAAAACAATCACTTCCATGGATGCAGAAAAAGAATTTGAAAAATTCAACTTTTATTTAATATTTATGATGCAAAATCTCAGAAAACCACACAAAATTAATCTGATAAAGGGCATTAATGAAAAATCTACAGTTAATCTCATACTTTATCATACAATGTTTAACCTTTTTATGTCTATGGTGGAGAACAAGATAAAGATTAATAGTTTCACCGCTTTTATTTAACCTTGTACAAGGGATATTGTAGTCAGGAAAGAAATGAAAATAAAAGGTATAAAGAATATTAAAAAAATAAACTTTCTATTTTCCAATGATATGATTGTTTACATAGAATGAACTAAAAAATATAAAAAATAACTTTTAGAGCTAATAATTGAATTTTATAGGGAGGTAGCATAGGAGGTTAACATATAAAAATCAACTGTATTTTTTGTCAGAAGAAAATATTATGAAAATGGTGGGGAACATCACACACCAGGGCCTGTCGTGGGGTTGGGGGAGGGGGGAGGGATAGCATTAGGAGATATACCTAATGTAAATAATGAGTTAATGAGTGCAGCACACCAACATGGCACATGTATACATATGTAACAAACCTGCATGTTGTGCACATGTACCCTAAAACTTAAAGTATAATAAGAAAATATTAGGAAAATAAAGCTAATAATATAGTATTAAACATAACAGACATACATTTTACCAGAGACATTCAAATATTCCAAAATTTTGAAAATGCCTAAAAAAAAGAAATATACCATGTTATTAGAATTATCAACAGTAGCAAAAAGGCATTGTTCTTGAATTAATCTTCAAGTACAATGACATTCTAATGATGATCACAATAGGTTTTGTAGAAAAAAATCTAGTAAAATGTTAATTGTAAAATCTAACCAGTAGCCATACGATGTTGACTGTAAAATTGAGTTTTTCAGTGTGCTTAAAACTTTCATAATAAAATATTGGAAAAACATAAAGGAAATATTTGAAATAGAACAAATTACAAACAGAAAAGAGAGGTATGAAATGTCAGGATAATAAACATCAAAGTAAAAGTTGATTCAAATGAAGACAATAGGCTCTCAAAATTAAAAAAAGTGGACCAATTTTGTGGTGTATCCTTAGACTCTCAAAATTATATTTTACAACATTTGTTTTGATAACAAAAATTATATTTTGCAACACTTGATTTGATAACGTAACATGCAGGTAGTGTATACAACGTGGTTGTGCTAGACAAAGGAATGATTCACATCCTTGGTAGTACAGAGAAGTATGGTATGAGATTTAATTACACTACTCAGAACAGCACACAATAAAAAACGTATGAATTGTTGATTTTTGAAACTTTTCATTTAATATTTTCAGACTGTGGTTGACCTCAGGTAACCAACATCATAAAAACTGAATCCATAGATAAGGCAGACTACTGAAGTAATACAAGATTGACAGCTTTGTTGTGTTTACCTTTTGCATGGTGTATCATTGTTCATATTTTTCTTTCAAAATGTTTGTTCTTTCATATTTAAAGTCTACCGTTTTTAGATAGCACATAAATTAGTCTTGCCTTTTAAGTGGAGTTTTTAGATCATTTGCATTTCCATTGATGTTTTCATAAAACTTCCTTTTAGGTCTACAATCTGACTAATGTTTTCCCATTTGTTTCTTTTGTTTTTGGTTCCTCACTCACTTCCTGTTTCCTTTGAGGATTATTGAAATTTTTTTCGTATTCTATTTATCTCACCTCTTGGCTTCTAAGCGTACCTCTTTTAATTATTTCCAGAGGTTGCTCTAAGGCTAACAATATGCATTCTTAACTTTTAAAATCTATTTAAGAACAATTTTTTGACGTTTTACCCTTTATACTTTCTACTTCACTTTCAATAGTGTTTTGTTCTGTCCAAGAAGGTAAAATATTTCTACAAGCAGAACTACATATACATACATAAAATATGTATGAATATTACTACATATACATAAATAACTACATACATACAGAACTACATATACATACATAAAATACATATTCCTATCTATTTCTTTTTTGGTGGCTGTTGTAAATGGGATTGTGCTTTTGATTTGGGTCTCAGCTTGAAACTTATTGACGTACAGAAATGCTACTAATTTTTGTACATTGAGTTTACATCCTGAAATTGACTGACATTATTTATCAGCTCTAAGAGTCTTTTGGCAGAGTCTTTAGCGTTTCCTACGTAGAAAGTTTGAGACATTCGGAACCAGAAACTAATACTATTATATGAATATCTTGTTGATAGGCAATGACAGTGGCATGTTGTCTCCACATAGCCCTCAGGCAGAAGACTGGGGCTGGGAGAATGTAGAAGAGGGTAGATGATACAAAGTGCCTGGAGCAGATTAAAGGTTAGTGGCTTCATGTAAAGCTTTTCTTTAGAAATATCCTATATAACATCAGATAATAAAACTGAATGGACAGAAATACATTCTAGCTACATGGAAGATGGCTGTGGAGCTAGAAGGCATTTGGTATATATATGGACTACATGAACATATACACACTCTGAAAGAGAGCAATTAAAATTATAATTATTATAATAACAACATTGCTATTATTATTATTTTAGTCTCTTTGATCGTTAATATCATGTGTCCATTACTTGACTGGGCTATGAGGTGCCTAGACATTTGGCCAAACATTATTCTGGGTGAGTCTGTGAGGGTGTTTCCAGATGAGATTAACATTAGAATTGGTAGACCAAGTAAAGCAGAGTGCTCTCCTTAATGGGGGTGAGGCTCGTCTAATCAGCTGAATGCCAAAATAAAACAAAAAGGCTGATCCTCCTGTAAGTAAGGGAGGATTACTCCTAACTGCCTTTAACCTGTAGCACTGACTTTTTCTTGCCTTTGGACTTGAGTGGAAATATCAGTTCATCCTGGGTCACAAGCATATCAGCCTCTGGACTGTAATTATACCACTATCTCTCTTGCTTCTCAGGCCTTTTGACTGGAATTCCATCATCAGCTCTCTTGGTTCTTTTGCTTGTAACTCACCCTGCACATTTTAGGACTTGCCAACCTCTGTAATTATATAAGCCAATTTCTTATTCATATATGTATGAATATATGTATATGTCTCTTATTGGTTCACTTTCTCTGGAAAATGCTGATACAGTCACCATAAAGATGGTTCACCCAATTTAAAAAAATTGTCTGCCTATTTTCTAAACAGGAAGAAATGGGTTTGATAGAAAACATAATATTGCCATAAATTTGGCTTTTTCCTGTGTAGTTCTTAAATTGTCTACATATCACATCATGATTTAACTCTTCATAAATCCATCCTGTATATAATATAGCTCTAATTCAAAGAATTAACAGACTTTGCTCAAGAATACCTGACTAATGCATAGCATCATCTAGACTAGAATCTGAGGCTCTGACACACAGTCGTGACTCTTGCTTGTATGTTCTGTTTTCAGGGTCATATTTCTCCTGCCCATAGCCACCTGTGATCTGAATTACTGCCCTGGGGTTTGAACACAGCAAGCACATGATCTCTTATACAAGGACTCTGTTTGTCTATGACTTTTCAGACCCCTCTCTTCATCTACAATTTTCTTGCTTCTGTCCATCACAGCTGGAAGCAACCACATCTAACCGCTTGATGAAATCTGAACATATGAAGTGATTTCTTTTTTACAAGAGCAGACCATTATAAACAATTTAGACTTTGGGTTGGGAAGAAGAGAATACTGGGCTGTGACAAATTTAATCTCTTTTCAAATCTTCAGGTCAGGGCAAAGTCAAAGAGTTAGAAATGAAGATAGAAAAAATTCTCTCAATAATGTGGTTTCAAGGCTGCAGGGAAAGTCCTTCTCTCCACAAATGCACCTCATCACATGCATATAATCTTTTTAGCAGGGGACAAGACCCTTCCTTTTGCAAGAAAGAAAAATGACATTTTCAATCTCCCTGGGGAAGTAACACTGTGGCCAAGTGCAACATTGGCAATAATAAAAGCTAAGACCTCTATATGGTGTATTATGTATCCGATACTCTTTTAAGTACTTTACATTTATTATCACTCCTACTTATCTCAACACATCTCTGAAGTAGGTTGCATTATTATCCCCATCTTACAGATGAGAAGACAAGTAGAGAGAATAAAATGACTTGCCTAGCATCATGCAGGTAGTCAGTGCTTAAGCAGACATTCAAATCTAAGTAGTTTGGCTTTTGAAGTTTTATGATTTTTTGTTTAAACTTAAACACTACCTCTCAGCAACAGGATAAAGAAAAGGAAACATGACTCTTATCCTCGGGAAAATTGTGCTCTAAAGGAGAAAAAGGCATTTACAACAGGATGTAATGATTATGGTGGGCAGAAGGGGCTAAGTAAGCTGTGCGGTGGGTCACAGGCTTTCTGACAAGAATATTTAGATGAGGGGGTTTCAACTGATAATCAGATGCCTTGAGAGGAGATGATAAATTAAACGAGGTTTAGTGGTAGACATAGGGAGAATGAATTGTTAAGTGATAGGGCTGGCTAGAATAACATCTGTCTCCAAGATATTGCCAAGTGTCAGTTCCTTCTTTCTAAATTCATTTTTTAAATAGACATGATTTTAGAGCATTTTTAGAGCTTAGCATTTAGAGCTTATTTTTTTTTTAACAGCAAAATTAGGCAGAAAGTACAGGAAGTGTCTGTTTACCCATTCCTCAACTTCCCCTACCTACTTCCCACACCAGAGTAGAACATTTATTATAATTGATGAACACATCGTTATAACCCAAAGTCTATAGTTTATATTAGGCTTCACTATCAGTGCTGTACAATATCTGTCCTTTGATAAATGTAAGCTGACATGTATCCACCATTATAGTATCATACAGAATAGCCTCACTGCCCCCTAAATCCTCTGTGCTCCACCTGTTCATTCCTTCCCGAATTCCCTATCCGCAGGCAACCACTCATCTTTTTACCGTTTCCATTGTGCTTTTTTCAGAATGTCATATAGTTGGAGTCACAGACCATGTAACCTTTCCGGATTGGCTCCTTTTATTTAGTAATATGCATTGAAATTTCTTTTCTTTTTTTTTTTGATGGTTTAATAGCACTAAATAATATTCTTATTATTTTTAGCACTAAATAATATTCCATTGCCTGGATGTACCAAAGTTTATTTATTCATTCGACTACAAAAAGATATCTTAGTTGCTTTCAATTATGAATAAAGCAGCCCTACACATCCATGTATAGGGTCTTGTCTGGATATAAGTATTCAACACATTTGGGTAAATACCAAGAAGTTTGGTCGTTGGATCAAATGCTGAAAGTAAGTTTAGTTTTATAAGAAATTATCCCACTATTTTTCAAAGTAGCTGCACCATTTTGCAATTCCACCAGCAATAAATAGTTTCCTGTTATTCTACATCTGCATCAGCATTTGGTATTTTGTTTTGTATTTTGGCCATTCAAATAGGTATGTATCTTAGTTTGCATTTGACTTAATTTGACTTAATTTGCATTTCCTTAATGATGTATAATGTTGAACATCTTTTTATATGTTTATTATCTATCTTCTTTTGTGATGCATCTGTAATGTCTTTTTTATATATTTTAATTGTGTTCTTTTATTATTGTTGACTCGTAAGAGTTATTTGAATAACTGGATAAGAGTTCTTTGCTAAATATATATTTTACAAATATCTCCTTCCATTCTGTAGTTTTTCTTTTCATTGACTTAACAAGGTCTTTTATAAAGCAGAAATTGTAAATTTTAGTGAATTTCAGTTTATCAATTCTTTCTTTAATGGATCAAGCCTTTGGTGTTGCATCAAAAAAGCAATCACAAAGCCCAATAATTTCTTGATTTTCTCCTATGTTTCTCCTAGAAGTTGAAAGAGTTCTCCTTCTAGGAGTTTTGTAGATTTGCATTTGTCATTTAGGTGTAGGATATATTTTGAGTTAAACTTTGTGAAGTTCATAAGCTCTGTGTCTAGATTCATTTTTTTGCATATTAATGTCTAATTGTTCCAGGACCACTCATTTAAGAGACTGTCTTTTCTTTATTGTGCTGCCTTTGCTCTTTTGTTACAGATCAGTTGATTATATTTGTATGGGTCCATTTTAGGGCTCTTTATTCTGTTTGATTGATATATTTATCTATTCTTTTACCAATACTAGACTGGCTTAATTACTGTAGCTTTATTCTAAGTTTGGAAGTTGGGTAGTGTCAGTCCCCCAGCTTTGTTCTTCCCTTTCAATATTGTTTTGACTACTCTGGGTATCTGCCTTTCCACATAAACTTTAGAATCAATTTGCTGATTATCCACAGAACTACTTATTGGGATTTTATTCAAATTGATATGAACCCATAGATCAAGTTCAAAATAATTGAAATCTTGATCACGTTGAGTCTTCCTACTACTCATGAACATGGAATGTTCTTCACTTATTTAGTTCTTTCTAAATTTATTTCATCACATGTTTTTCTCATATATCTTGTACATATTTTGTTACACTTATAATTAAGTATTTCATTTTTGGGGTTCCAATTTAAATAGTGTTGTGATTCTAATTTCAGATTCCAGTTGTTCACTGCTGTGTACAGGGAAGCTACTGACTTTTCTGTATTGACATCATATCTTGCAATATTTCTAAAATCATTTATTGAGAATTTCTTTGATGTTGTTGATTCATTAGGATTTTCTACATAGGTGATTGGTTATGTAATCTGCAAACAAAGACAGTTGTTTTTTTCTTTTCTTTTTTTTTTTTTTTTTTTTTTTTTGTTGAGACAAATTCTCACTCTGTTGCCCAGGCTTGAATGCAGTGGTACAATCTCAGCTCACTGCAACCTCCACCTCCCGGGTTCAAGTGATTCTTCCGTCTCAGTCTCCCAAGTAGCTGGGCTTACAGGTGCGAGCCACCGTGCCTGGCCTAAAGACAGTTTTAATTACTACTTCCCAACCTGTATACTTTTTATTTCATTTTCTTGTCTTACTTCATTGAATAGGACTACCGGTAGCATGTTGGAAAGGAGAGATGAGAGGGAACATCCTTGTCCTGTTTTGAATCTTAATTTCTGAACTTAACTTCTAATTTCTCACCATTAATTATTATGTAAGCTGTAGGTTTTATTATAAATGCCATTTCCAAATTAAGAGAGTTTCCCTCTATTTTAGTTTGCTTAGAGTTTTTATCACAAATGAGAGTTGGATTTTGTCAAATGCTTCTACTCTATTAATATAATCTTGTAATTTTTTTCTTTAGCTTCTTGATGTGATAGATTAATTGATTTTTTAATGTTGAACCAGCATTCCATACCTAGGTTAAATTACATTATTGTGGCATATAATGGTTATACATTGCTGGACTTGCTTTGCTAATATTTTGTTGAATATTTTGGCATCTATGTTTATGAGAGACATTGCTATGTCATTTTCTTTTCTTGTAATGTCTTTTTCTGGTTTTGGTATTAGGTTAATGCTGGCCATATAGAATTAGTAGAATGTATTTCTTTTGCTTCTGTATTCTAAAGGAAATTGTCGAGAATTGGTATCATTTTTGCTTTAAATATTTGGTAGAATTTACCAGTGAACTCATTTGAGCCTTTTGCTATCTCTTTTGGAACGTTATTAATTATTGAATATTTCTCTAGGAGATACAGGCCTATTCATATTATTTCTTCTTGTGTGAATTTTAGATCAGTTCACAAAATTTGTTCATTTATCTAAGTTATCAAATTTGTGTGTGTAAGTTCTTTATAGTATTTCTTTATTATTTTTTAGTGTCCATGGGATCTATAGTAATGTCCTTTTATTTCTAGTATTAGTAATCTCTGTCTTCTATTTTTTTTAGTTAGCCTGGCTAGAATCTTATAAATTGTATTGATTGTTTCAAAGAATCAGCTTTTGGTTTTATTGATTTTCTCTTTTCTTTTGCTATCTTCTCTTTCATCGATTACTGCTCTAGATTTTATTATTTTCTTCTGCTTACTTTGGATTTAATTTGCTCTTTTTTGTTTTTTCTAGTTACCTACGATGGAAACTTAGCTGATTTATTTTTATATTTCTCTTTTTAAATATATGCATGCATTCAGTGTATAAATTTATCCTAAGTATTGCTCTCACTATATCCCATGAATGTTGATAAGTTGTGTTTTCATTTTCCTTTAGTTTATAATTTTTCAAAATTTATTTTCAGATTTCTTCTTTTACCCATGTGTTATTTAGAAAATTTATGTTTAATCTCTAAGTATATTACAGTTTTTTAACCATCTTTCTGTTATTAATCTTTAGTTTAATTTCATTGTGGCTTGAGAGCAGATATTGTATAATTTACATTAAAAAAAACTTGTTGAAGTGTGTTTTATGGCCCCAAATATGGTTCATCTTGGTGAGAATTCCAAAACCTGTCTTTTAATTGGCATATTGAAACCATTGACATTTAAAGTAATTATTGACATAGTTTAATTGAAAAGCTATTGTGAGTGTGAGGAGAATGTTAATTTTGCTGTTGTTGGATAAAGTCATTTATAGGTCTCAATTTTATCCAGTTCATTGATGGTGCTGTTAAGTTCTAGTAGGTACTTACTAATTTGCTGCCTCCTGGCTATATCTATTAGTGGTAGAGGAGTGTTCAAGTCTCTGACTGTATTAAGAGATTCATCTGTTTCTCCTTGCATTTCTATCAGTTATTTTGCTCATGTATTTTGAGACTCTGTTGTAAGGAAAATACACATCAAGAGTCCTTGTGTTTCTTTGGAGAATTAATCCCTTTATAATTTTGTAGTATTCCAGTTTTGCCCCAATAATTTTTCTTGAAGTTTGTTCTGTCTACAATTAATATAATCATTTCAGCTTTTTTATTAATGTCAGCATGCTATTTCTATTCCTGTCCCTTAACCTTTAATGTATTTGTTTGTTTATTTAAAGTGGATTTATTCTAAGCAGCTTATAGTTGGATTGTATTTTGACCCACTATGATAATCCCTGCCTGCTCATTGGTGTACTAAGACCATTGATATTTAAATTGATTATTCAAATAATAGGATTAATGTCTACCATATTTGTTACTGTTTTCTGGTCATTGCCCTTGTCCTTCTTATTTTTGTCTTCCACTCTTTTTCTGCTTTTTGTAGTTTTCATTGAGCATTTTATATAATTCTACTTTCTCTCCTTTTTTAGCATTTTGATTATAATTTTAAAAATGTTTTTAGTGGTTACCCTAGAGTTTTTAATATACATTTAATTTAAAAATAGTCTAAGTCTACTTTCAAATAACACTACACTGCTTCACAGGTAGTTCAAGTACCTTATGAAAATAAAATATTTCTAATTCTTCCATCCCATTTCTTGTGTCATTACTGTCATTTTATTTATATACTTATATATACTTTCATTGCACTTATATCTTTTTAAAAAATTTTAATTTTTTCTTATTCTTAGTTGATCAAATAGAAATTTGTTCAAGACAATAGCAAAAATGTATTTAAATTAGAATATTTCACTTCATTCTCTTCTTGCTTGCATAGTTTCTGAGCAAAAGCAGATGCAATTCTAACTTAGCTACTGCATAGGTAAGATATTTCCCAACTCCCCTTGGACTTTTCAGTATTTTTGGTTTTGTTTTTGATTTTTTGGAATTTAAATATATATGTAAGTGGATTTTTTTGTTTCTTGGTTGGTTGATTGGTTGATTGTTTTTTGTTGTTGTCATTTTGGCATTTATCTTGCATGGTGTTTTCCGAGACTCCTGGAATTTTGATTTGATATCTGACATTAATTTGGGTAAATTCTCAATCATTACTGTTTCAACTATTTCTTCTGTTTCTTTTTCTCTTTCCTTTCTTTCTGGTCTTCCCGTTACATGTAGGTTACACCATTTTCAGTTGTCCCACGGTTCCTGGATATTTTAACTATTTTATCCTTTCTCTCTCTTTTTTTTTTTCTTTTTCCTGTTTGGCATTCCTATTGAGACATCTTCAATTTCAGAGATTCTTTCCTCAGCTGTATCCAGTCATTAATGAACCATTCAAGATCCTTCTTCATTTCTGTTACAGTGTTTTTGATCTCTAGCATTTCTTCTTGATTCTTTCTTACGATTTCTTCCTCTCTGTCGCTAATACCTATTTGGTTCTTACATGTTGTTTACTTTTTCCTTTAGAAACATTACATATTAATCAGTTATTTTAATATCCTGATTTGATAATTCCAACATTCCTTCCATACTTGAGTCCTATTCTAATGCTTGCTCTATCTCTTCAAACTGTGAGTTATTTTTCCTTTGAGTAGCATTGAAATTTTTTGTTGGTAACCAGACATGATGTAGTGTGTAAAAGGAACTGCAGCATATATGCCTTAAGTAATATTGCAGTAAGGTGTAGAAGAAGGGAATCATTCTGTAGTCCTATGATTATGTCAGAGTTTGAGTGAGACTGCTCAGACTGTAAACTTCACACATACTTCAGTCTTTTTCCTCTCAGGTGGGACAGTATGGTTAGAGATGGCTGGAATTGGGCATTTCCTTTCTTCCACAAGGATGGATAGAGGAAAATGAGTTGGGTAATTCCCTTCCCTCAATTCACTCAGATCCTGATAAAACCCCAATAGGTTAGGCAATGGTAAAATAACTTCTCTTAAAGATAGTTCTTATTAAGAATAACATAATTCTCTGAGTTATTTCAAAAGAGTTAATTTTTCCCTATCCTCCCAGAAGCATAGAGAGATTTTTCTATAGCATTCACTTTGAAGTTCTGGTAGAGTTCCTTGAGGCAGAACTCACAGACATGTGGGTGTACTACCTTAAGCCTGGGTCCATGGATTTCACAATTCTCAGACTTCTCTGCACTGAGATTTCAGCAATTTGTCAATTAGAGTTCTAGTTTTCCTATCCCAGTAGTTGCTCCCTCAGAATCTTCTGCTTGCTGGTCTCCATTCTGGAAAGTTTTGAATTTCTGTATCTGTCTATTTGACTCTCCAGTTTTGGAGACAGCAGTTTTCCCTGTGACCTAAGTTCTTCAATAGATTCAAGAGGATTTTTGTTTTTCAGTTTGTTCAGATATTTGTTGGAAAAAAGTGACAATCTCAAAGCTCCTCACATATTGGACCCTTTAAATTCATTTTTAATATAAATGTGCTAACTATAAGTAAGACATCTTCCTTCTGGTTCTTTCCTTTCCCCTTGGAAGAGCCAAATAATTCCAGTAATTTGTACTAAAATATATTGGAACATTCTGTTCCCCAATTATGTCCACTAGATATAACTCAGATATAGTTCAATTAAAACAGTAGGGCATTGTTGGTGTTATGGGCAGTCTCATTCTGAAATATGAAGGCAAATGAGTTGGGTTATTCTCAATGGATCACTAAGTCTCCCTGCAAGAAATCATATAAATCATGATGAGAAATGGACTGTGAGATCCTCTTCATAAATCCTGGCCAAGTTTCCAAAGGTAGCATCTTGCAATCTCAAAGTCAGTGCTCAGCATTTCAGATGCAAACCTGCAGCCCAACTTCTGCAGGAGTTAATGTGTTAGCATTTTAACAAATTGAACCACTTTGGTGGCCTATTTATCAGTTCAAGCTATTTGGAAATGTTGAGACCATATGTCGTCCATTGAAATGAACACTAAACACTGCATTTATAAATGGTAATTTATGACTCATAAATGTCTTTGCTATTAAAGCCATTCTGCCACTGTGAATGGAATTGATAGCAGGTTCTGAGCTCTGTGGTATGTGTAATTTTTTTTCCCTATTTAGGAATGTTGTAGATATTAAAGCTTTGATGCCTCATGGAAATGTTATTTTTAAAAAGCTATGCATATCAAAAAGATTATGTTTTTATGCTAGATTTTCATATTCACAAATTTGACAGGCAGGTTAAATATATGTGTGCATGTGCATATGGTGAAGATTTTTTATATGTTTGTATAGACAAAGATTATAGAATTATAGCTCTAAAATGTGGAAGTTACACCTTATTATCTGTCCAGGCCTTGGATTTACTTGTGTAGTTGAAACTGCAAGTCATCTACTCTCTTATCTCCTTTCTCCTTCTTTAGTAATAGATTGCCAGAATTGAGCTGGACATGTGGCCTCCTGGAATAAAGACTGTATTATTCACGTCCCTTGCAAATAGGATAGCAAAGTGATGAGTCAGTGTAAGCAGAAAGATTGTATAGAAAACTTCTAAGAAACCACATTAAAATACAACTGGATTACTTTACATGACATTATTGATCCTTTCTTCATCCTTCTGGGTGAAAACTCAGATCTCAGGCTGGAACTTGAGCACTCATTTGGACATTGAGGACTTAGGACTGACTATATCACACTTAGAAGAAACCCAGACCCCAGACAAACCCTAAAGGACATATATTGGACCTGGAAAATGTAGCTCAGACTTATTTTATGTAAAAAAACAGAAGAGATGACAGAAAAAAAAATTTATTGTTTACAGAGCCATACTTATATAGTATACAAGTATACAGTATATATATACTATATATAATGTATAGTATATATAGTATATACTATAGTATATAATGTATAGCATATATAGTATATACTATAGTATATAATGTATAGCATATATAGTATATACTATAGTATATAATGTATAGCATATATAGTATATACTATAGTATATAATGTATAGCATATATAGTATATATACTATATATAGTATAGTATATAGTATACTATATACTATACTGTATATACATTATACTATATAGTATATACTGTATACAGTATAATGTATATATAGTATTTATAGTATATATACTGTATATAGTGTATATATACTATATAGTGTATATAGTATATATACACTATATACAGTATATATAGAATATATATACTATATAGTGTATATATAGTATATATAGTACTATATAGTGTATATATAGTATAGTATATACTATATATTCACTATATAGTATAGTATATACTATATATACTATATAGTATATACAGTATTTATACACTATATAGTATATGGTATATATACACTATATAGTATATGGTATATATACACTATATAGTATACATTATATGTACTATTTATAATGTATAGTATATATAGTATATACTATGGTATATAATGTATAGTATATATACAGTATACTGTATACTGTATACATATACTGTATATAGTATATATACTGTATATATACTATATACAGCATGCTGTATATAGTATATATACTATATACAGCATACTGTATATAGTATATATACTGTATATACTGTATAGTATATACATATATACATATATACATACATATATAGTCTATATAGTGTATATATACACATATATAGTATACAGTATATATACACACATATATATTATATAGTATATATATACACACATGTAGTATATAGTATATATATACACATATATAGTATAGGATATATACAGGGTTCAGTACTATCCCTGGTTTCAGGCATCTACTGGAGGTCTTGGAAAGTATGACCCATGGATGGATAATGAGGGAACACTACATAAGTGTGTGTGTTTGTGTGTGTATGTGTGTATATATATATATATGTATATATATACACACATATATATATATAAAACTATATGTGTGTGTATATATATATATGGTTAACATATTTTGGACATGAGTTTTAGTATGCTATTTGGAAGTTGTGATGCTTCAAAAATTGTATTATATATTATGTATTATTATTAATATATACAGTTAATACCATGACATTTGTTTCTAAGGAGAATCAAGTATTTGAAATTCTAGTGAAGCAGTGAGATAATGTGAGAGCTAAAACACTATACTCTGTGAACCTGTAGAAAAGACAAAGGATTTCCTTGTTGTTAAAGGAAAGTTGTAACCTTCAGTAGGTATGACTCCAAGCATAATTAGAATGGAATTTTAACATTGACTCAAATTCAAAATGTAATTCTATATCTAAACCCACATCCCCCAGCCCCCACTAACTCTGTTCAGATTTATAAAGGAATTTAAATCTTTTACTGGATGTTCTCACCTGATGTGCTAGGAATTCATCTCCCTTTAATCAGTTCAAGCATTTGTTTTAAGAGAAAATACTCTATAAATATTACTGTTTAGAGGCCGAGGGTCATAAAAGATGTATTTCTTTAAGAATTTAGAGTTTTGTGACAAGAAAGATGTTTGCACTAACAATGAAGAACTCATTAGATGGAGTAAAAAAATACGAAGTGTTTCAATTCAGCCAAATGGATCCAATTGTAAGAATATCAGAAACTCAACTTACTTAGCCACACATTTTTCTTTTCAAACAGATATTCTTACCTTTCTTACAGGTTTTATGTACTGATTAGTGTTGATGCATGCAAATTGCACAAAACGTTCTATGGCATGTAATGTTATACTCAAGAAAGATGGTATTAACTGTAAGAGAATTGTGAAAGTTTAAGAATGAGGAAAATGTTGAAGAATGCTTCAGCTGAAAGGAGGGATTTGAAGTGAAACTTCAAGTCAAATAAATTTTTTATTCAATTGAAAAAGTTCAAATATATGAAAATATAAGGAATACCCTAATGTACATCTATGTACTAAATATAGAGTATAATTGCATTTTAGTAAGTGGCCATATTTGCTTTCAATTTTGTTGAGAGAAGAAAATATTACAAGTATGTTTCAAGACATTTGTGTACCTTTTGGAATAAATATGTCTGCTTCCCTCCACTTCTGAAGTAAGTAATATTATTAAACGGTATTTATTTTTTCCATGCATTGACAGGCGGAATTCTAGGATGGCTCCTAAGATTCCCCCATCGCTGTTGTACACACATCTTCTCCCAGTTATTCAATCAAACACTAATCTAGGTGCTGCTGTAATAGAATGCTGCCGATATAATTAAGATCCCAAATCAGCTTGCCTTAGCAAAGAAAGCTTATTCTCAAATAGCCTGACCTAATCAGAGAGTTCCTAAAAGAACTGTTTCTGGAAAAGAGATTCAAAGTGTGAGAGACAGTCAACATGGGGAGGATTCTCTATTGTTGGCTTTGAAGATGGAGGCAGCCATAAGTGGAAATGAACTCCTCTAGCAAAATTCTAGACAGCCTCTAGTTGCTGTGGGTGACCCAGTTAACAGGCAGCAAGAAAACAGAGACCTCAGATGTACAATACAAGGAACTAAATTCTTCCAACCATCTGAAGGAGCTTGGAAGAGAACCTCAAGCCACAGATGAGACCCTAGCCTTGGTCTAGATTCCAGTCTTGTGAGACACTGAGAAGAGAACTCAGCCATGCCATGCCCATATTTCTTACAGAAATGTGAGTGAGAATAAATGCATTTTGTTTCTAGCCACTTCGTTTGTGATAATTTGTTACGCAGCAATAGAAAATTAACACATGCATGTTTTTCACAGGAAGATTATACACACACACACTATTTCAAATGGTCTCAAATTATTTAAAACGGTACATTATTCTGCGACTTTTTTGCTATAAATATTATAGTATGGTGATTTAATGATGTCAACACATGTAACTACATGTTAATCATTTTTACATAGCAGCAGTCAGCAATCTTTTATTTGTAAAGGCCTCGACAGTAAATATTTTAGGATAAAAGCACTATAGACAATACATGAAAGAATTACTGGCTATGTCTCAATAAAACTTATGAAGAAAGGTAGCGGGCTAAATTTGACAAGCAGGCTATAGTTCGTCAGATCCTGGCATATAATATTCTACTCTACACATGTGGCACAACTTATTTATTCATTCTTCATTAGCTCTACATTTGTTTCCAATTTTTCACTTTCACAAACATTAAATTTATTCTAACCTATTGTTTAAGAGTGCTAGAATTTCTTCAGACTGGTGGTGTTAACACAATCCTCAATAAGAACTATATTGGATAACATTCCAATAAACACCTACACACACAAACAGAAGTGTTCTGTATGCTAAATTGTACATGATGGTACTGTGCACATGTACTTAAATTTGCTATTCATAAAACAATACTCCCATTATTTTGTACTGTATTCTTAAAATTTCTGGGTTAACCACCGAATAAATTTAAAACTTTGAAAATAATTTGCTAAAGAATATGCTTTGAAGGGATATTGTTGGGCTAAAGAATATGCTCATATTAAATTTTACTATATGGCATAAAATTACTCATGAAATTCTCCCCAACAATTAGTAAATGTTTGCTTCTCTACAATCTTTTTATAATTTTTACTTTCAATATTGAGATAATTGTAGGCTTACAGGAAAGTTGCATAAATATTAAAAGACAGTTCCCATACTCCCCCTGATCTAGCTTCATTTAATGTTAACGTCTTACATAGTTTAATTATTGAAACCAGGAAACCAACACTGTTAAAATTTGGTACTTAAAAAACTACAGACTTTAATTCAAATTTCACCAGTTTTCCTTCGTGTGTGTGTGTGTGTGTGTGTGTGTTTGTGTTTTCATTCTAGCAAGGATCCTGTGTTGCATTTAGTTTCTGTTCTTCCTTAGACTCTTCTAACATGTAATATTTCCTCAATCTTTCCTTGTCTTTCATGGTCTTGACAGTTTTGAAGAATACTAATAATTGGTTATTTTGTAGAATGTTCTTCAATGTGAGTTTATCTCGTGTGTTTTTCCTGATTGGAATGAGATATTTTTGGCAACAACATCACAGAAATGATGTGTCTTTCTTGGTGCATGGTGTCAAGGAATTCATGACGTCAATGTCATTACCAGCGATGTTAACCTTGTTCATTTGGTTAAAGTAGTGTTTTTCTGGGTTTATCCACTGTAAAACTACTCTCTTTTGCTTTGTAGTTAATACATATCTTGAGGAAGTTACTTTGAAACTTTGTAAAATCTATTCCTCTTTAAACTTTCACCCACTAAATTTTGCATCTATCAGTGGATCTTGTCTGCAACAGTTTTCACTATACTTTTTGCCTAACGATAATTATTTCCCTTTTGCCTTTTTAGACAAACAAATGAATCAAATAGCATCTGTTGTTTTATGAAAATTTAGAGATTTCAAGTGCTGTTGAGCATCTTTTCTTACATTTATTGGCTACTAGTATTTTGTTTGAATTGTCTATTACTCTACTTATTATTTTCTTCAGTCTGATATCATCTTTTTCTAATTGATTTGTTAAAGCTCTTTATGTATTGTAAATTCTAATGTTTTGTCATATAGGTGTGGTTGTAAATACATTTCCCTTGAATGTAGTTTGCATTTTTAATCATTTATGCTTTCTTTTTTGGACATAATTATAGTATGTAGTAAATTATGGGAAATTTTGCTTTATATTCTATAACTTTTAAAATCTAGTTTTTATAAATCCATTTCTAGCTGAGGTTTTAGTCTATACTTTATCCTTTAAAAAATTAATTTTCACATATAGATGCTTAATTTATCTGGAATTTATTCTTATTTATTCCTATATATGGTGTGAGGTAAGAATAAAACCATATTTTTCACTGATTAACCTATTTGATTAGGAATTATTTATTTCACTGAATTAGAAAACCATTTTTGTCATATATGAAAATCCACATATATGTGCCCCTTCTATGGGTCTCCACTTTGTTTCAATGCTTGGTTTTACTCCTGAGTGTTTATAACACGGTATTTTAATTTAGACCACTTTATTGTAAGTCTTGATAGCATAGGAAGTCCTGCTTCTTGCTTTCCTGCACTAGAAAAATTTCTTAATCTACTATATTAGAATCAGTTGCTTGATTTCCACAAGAAATCAATTCACAATTACTTTTGGTATGTGTCAAATTTATAGGTTAATTTAGTGAAAGTAGATTTTTTAAGAAATCAAGTCTTTCCATTTTTGAACATGGTATAGCACTTCATTCATACAGGTATTCTTTTGTCACAACAAATACTTTCTCTTTACGTTAAACGTTATAGAACATTTTTTTGCAATACTCTATAAAGAGGCCCATTTCTATGTCACTTAAAGTAAAAAACATACATTTTTATGCATGTTTAAATGCACAAGAAAGGTATTTTAAACTCAGTGTTTCAACCATAATATGAAAAAAGTCTGAAGAATTATGAGATGCTTTATGAAGGGTCTTCAGTATATAGCTCTTCCCTCTGGGGATTTTTTTTCTCTAAAGTCTCATGACTTGGAGAGGATAAAGACGTATTCAAAAAGTTTTTTAAAAAAGTAATTGAGTTTATAAATTGTTATGCAATCCAACTCCAATTATCATTATTTAAAGATACCGAGTTTGGGAAAACAATCACCAGAGATCATATGAAGATTTCAAGAGACAGCAGGTAACGGATTCTTGATGATTTTATAATTGTAAACAGTGCATCTGAGTCTATTTGTCTCTCTTTTGTAAAAATTGTTCAGATCTCCATGAATGAATGAACTTGTATGAAAGGTACAGGCATAATTTAAAGATATTGCAGATTTGACTCCAAACCACTGTAATAAAGTGAATATTGCAATAAAGAAAGTCACAAATTTTTTGTTTCCCTGTGCATATAAAAGTGATGTTTATACTATACTGTAGTCTATTGAGTGTGAAATAACATTATGTCTAAAAATATACGTAACAATTAAAATATTTTATTGCTAAAATATGCTGACACAGAGACATAAAGTGAGCACATGCTGTCGGAAAAAATGGCACCGATAGATTTGCTTGATGCAGGGTTGCCACAAACCTTCAATTTGTAAAAAAATTGCACTGGCTGCAAAGTGCAATAAAACAAGATAATGCCTGTATTTCTGAAATGAGGGCATTCTGCATGAGGACATGACCTTTAAAAGCAAGAAACCTATTTGACCTTCTATAAATAACATTTCCAATAAATTAGTTAGAAATAGCATACCATATGAGCAAATTACAATGGGAACAGATTGAGAAATAGACACCATTTTGAGGAAAAGGTCAATATAAATGTAATGTAAACATATAGGACATGGAAAATTATCAGGGTAATCTTTAAAGTGAGTAGCTGTAATAGAACATTACTTCTAGAAATGGTCTTAAAGACTGAGTAGTCCAATCCTCTCATTTTGCAAATAAATAAAATGAGGCCCTGAGAAGATATATAACTTACTTAATAAACATGACAAAGAGGTGCTCTTTCTCCTTGGCATTTTATTTTTTTTTCTTTCTGATTGTTAATTGTGGAAAGACTCTACCATCCTTATAAATTATATGGGCTTGTCTTTTTTTCACATTGCAATGTGTGGCAATTGGTGAAGGTATGTCTGACAAGACTAACCAGGGAGGTGAGAGACTTTGGGAATACTGGAATTGAATTGGGAACTACTGTATAGTAGGTTCATTTCAGAAATAGAAAATAATAATGGTAGAAACAAGCAAGCATTCATATGTGGGATTCTATAGTTCCAAAAACTTAGGGGCAGTAGGTGTTGTTTTTGATTCAAAGTAGGTAATCTAAATCCCAGAAACGTAAAAACTAGTCAGATTGTGGGGAGTTCACGAGGCAAGGAACATTTAGATTCTAAGAACATCAGCAAAGAGGAATGTATAAAATGATACAAAGTCATTATATCTTATAATATGTATAGGGTTGAATCTTCTCATTCTTAGCCCAAGGCTGTTCATTAACTGCCCCAGTTTTTTTAAGTCCTGACTTTTATAAGCACACAGGATTTCAGTTCAAATTAACTAAACAACTACTGAGTACCTATTTTGTATGGCAACTCCATTCAAAGTTGTAGCTCTTCCAAAGATATTCAAACTATGTGTCTGTTTTCCAGGACATTAAATGTAATGGCGAAGGCAGATGTACAAAAATCTGTGACGTAGAACAGAGCTGACCTAGACCTATCCTCCACACTACATTCACATTTATCACATATTTATTTTCATTTTAATTTTTACATTTTTTGTTAATTAAAAGTGGAGTTTCACTATGTCACCCAGGCTGGAATGCAGCAACTTGATCATTGCTCAGTGCAGGCTCGAACTCCTAGGTTCAAACAATCCTCCTGTTTCAACCTCCTGAGTAGCTGGGATTAGAGCCTTAAACCACCACACCTGGCTCATCATACATTAAATGCATAGGAATTTCAGAAAATTTTGTATTTTAGAGAATAATGGATACAAAGTTACTTAGATAATTTGATGTCAATTACCATCAGTGCTACTTAAAGACTATTTAATGGCTTGCAGTGATTTTTTTAATGATCAAATTATAGGAATTTTCTCTGCAAAAAAAATCCTTTTTTTGTTGTTTATTTAAGCCTACAGTGCCTGATATTTTCAGGCAGTCTCCCATTCAAGTCCTAACCAGGCTCAACCCTACTTAACTTCTGAGATCAGATGAGATCAGGTGTGTTCAGGGTGGTATGGCCATAGACCACCCTAAATTTTCTATAGCAGTCATATAACTGTTACAAAAGAAAGGTACTTAAGTGTTTTTTTTCCTTCTCTTCAGGGCAGCAAGAATCCACACTGTTAATACGTTTGAAACTGATGACTTCAGAAGTAAATGTTTGAATCTTACTCTCATTTTTATTAAAAGGATAAAGTATTACATGCTCAAGATTTTAAGAAAAATCTTTACAGAGATATATATTAAAGTAAAATTTGCTCCTCTGTTTCTATTCTTTATCTAATTCAAATTAATACATTTACACCTTAACACAGTATAATCTAGAGTTATTAAAAACCTAATTATGAAAGTAACCTTCAAAGTATTACAAAATACAAAGGATCACATCATATCAGAAAATATCCTCAGAATGATTGCATTTATAATGCCTGCTTAAATGTGAACACAGGAATTCATGTTCCTAATTCATATATACAAATATTTTGATATATTTGACTGTATTAAAATGAAAATTGTTTCAAGGGATACTACAGATGGAAAGTACATATTTGCAACGTATATGAAAGAGGAAGTGTTACTACAGACTCTACACAGAAATTCTGAAAATTAATAGTAAATCATAACACAATCTAAATAGCTAAAGCTTATGGATAGGTAATTCTCAGGATAGAGATATTATTGTCAATAATTATACAAGAAAATAATAACCCATACTTTTAGTAAACACAATTAATATTAAAACAAGATATATAATCATTATTGTTCATTTGGTAAAAGAATTAAAAGTCTGATAATATAAATTCTTGTCAAGAATCTGGAGTAATGAGAACTTCCGTGTATTTCTTGTTGGGATATACATAGAAGCAACCTATGTGAAGATCACTTTGGCAATATTTAGTAATAATGGAACAATGCCCTTCCACTTATAGAGCAGCTATAAATTCTCCATGCATGATATCCCTGCTTATAATAATGATCTGAAGAAAACTATCAGGTACCCTCCCTGTTAATGACTCCCAAGGAGTTGTCTACAAGATCCGGTTTGAAAATATACATTTGTGCTAATAATAGAACACAGAGGTCACTAATTAGGATATAGAGACTTTGTGGCCACCATAAATAAACTGTGTAGAAACGTCTGCACGTATGCACGAAATGTTTATCCTAGCAATGTTTGTAGTAACAAAACAGAACAAAACACAAATTTAAAATAATTCTAATGTCTAAGGAGATAGCATGAAAGATTTGATTGAATTCATATGAAGGTTTAAAATTAATGACTTACTGTACCATATAAACCTATCAACCTACATACATTACTTAACATAATGTTTAGTGAAAAATCCAGGTGCTAAGCACTGTGTACAGCAAGCAGAATTTTATGAAAAAAAAAAACCCCACAGAAATCAATATTATGTACTCTAAGAATACACACACACACACACACACACACACACACACACACAGAGTTCTATGTTTATTTTATATATATCTAAACATACCCACATACATATAGGCATTCAAAATAAAAAGCAGAATGAATAGAATATTATTTCTAGGTGAAATTATTTTAGCACAGCAATTTTCCCTTGAAAAGCAGGAGGATTTTATCATATATAATTTTTTTCTAAAAATATATATCTAAAACAAGCATAACAAATGTTAATATGTATTGGAGCATGTGTCTATTATGCCATTTTTTTCTCTCTACTTTTGAAAAATTTCATAAACAAGAAATAGCAGCAAAAGTCCATGTGAAAAATATTACTAAGTGCTACAAAAGAAGAGGAAAGCATTACATTTTAGCTAAGAGAAAACAAAAGGTTTATGGAATGAGTGATACTCACTTCAGATGATTGTTGATGCATAAAATTTCAGAAGACAGACAAGAGGAAGGTCATTCAAAGCAGAGGCAATATTTGATTTGTGTAGAGAAATAATATTTAGAAGGCTATTTAAAGAGTTTGAAGGACATATTAGAAATGCATTTAGGAAAATGCAGCTTGAGAGACATTTTTTGGAATTTAGGAATAAGAAAGATGTAAAGAGGAAAAGAATTGAGTCAAAGTCAAATGTTGGTGAAATATAAAGCAGAGTGGAGACTGAGAGCAATACATTGGATTTGAACAGATGAGTAGAGAAAGTCAGTGTAGTTTCATTAGAATTATAAGTTCAGGAAAGTGCAGGAAGACAGGAAAGTGGCAGCAAATAGTCCAGGCTAGTTTGGAAATGTTTATTGGAGAAAGAAAACATATATGCAAAAGTAACTTAGCTCAGTGCTTTGGGAGGCAGAGACGGAAGGACTGCTTGAGGCCAGGACCTCAAGACTAGCCTGGGCAACATAGTAAGACCCCTGACTCTACAAGAAAACAAAAGCAAAACAATTGTCCAGGTGTGATGGTGCGTGCCTGCAATCCCAGCTACTTGGGAGGCTGAAGCCAGAGGATCACTTGATCCCAGGTGTTTGAGGCTTAGGAGAGTTGTGATCATACCACTGAACTCCAGCCTGGGCAAGAGAGAAAGATCCAATCTCTTAAAAAATAAATGAAAGCAAGGAAAGAAAAGGAAGGAAGGAAAGAAAAGAAGAAAGGAAGGAAAGAAAAGGAAGGAAGGAAGGGAGGAAGGAAGGAAGGAAGGAAAGAAGGAAGGAAGGGGAAAGGAAAAGTAACTTATTGGTGGTGTTGTATCTTTTGTTTTAAGCATATAGGACACTTGGGCACTTTTCTAGTCTGGATAATGGGAATAAACAGGCCAGATCCTGGAGGACCTGGAGGAGATGGGAAATATTGCTATCCAGAACAGAGCAGAAGAGTTATCTTTGGTTAGCAGAAGAGAGTTTTTTGTTTTTGTTTTTGGCTTTTTTTTTTTTTAATAAAACAGAAGAAGGACAACAGGTTATAGAGATTGCCAGAGAGAAAGAACACTAACAGACTCATTAGAGAGGGGCCTTGATCTTTGCATTAAAGGGAGAAGATAAGAGCAGAGACTGCGTTGCCAGCTTGGAGAGGGTAGAAATCGTTTGAGAAACATGCTACAGGAACTGAAATCAGCCACTGAATGGGGACATAAAGCCTCCTATGATACAACTCCATCCCTGCTGCTTGGTCCAGAGTTAATACTATCCTCTGCTGACATTTTTTAGTGGTTTGTGGTAGCCCATAATGCATATTTTATAACTTTTTTAACCTATTTTTCTTTCTAGAATCACCTATATGTGCCAGGAACATAGTAAGTGCTTAATTAATGCTTCTAAATTGGATAATCAAGACATTACATTAGTCAATTCATAACTTATATTTAAATTCTCTGTGCCTGATCCACACTGTTTGGTGCCAGAAAGACCTATGAATTAAAACAAATGTCCTGGGAGTTATTAGAGATGAACAACCTGAGCAGATATACTGCTAGCATTCACTTTTTAAAGAGTGGGGCCATGAGATATTTCAGAATGTCTGTCTGGAAGATGGACTAAGTCACCACCTAACAACTGTGTGACATCGCAGAAGTTGCTTTACCTCTGTATAAAAGAAGTAGTATGCTTGTCAGGAGAACAGTTTCTTATAGTCCCTGCTCATAAATTTTTAGCTGTTTTGCTATTATAAGAAATGATTTTATACTCTTATGCTCCATCCATCAGATGTACTATGAAGTCATTGAGGACTTCCTATGGTCATATGAGATTTAACTTTAAGTGAAGGTAGTCAGCATTGCGTTTTATCAGTGGATAGCTAGGAGGAAAGTTCTCGATACTTTGGCATTAAATTTACATGTATATTCAACTAGCGACTTGGATTAGGATAAATCCCTTCACTCTCTCAATAAGCTTTGTAGCACCGCATTTTAAAAAGCTTAGATGATGTACAGAATACCCGTTTGTGAAAGTTTATGTGCAAATTTAGGCAAAAGAATTAAACATTAAAGGAAAACTATAACGGTAATCTAAAAATACCCTGGACAGCTAAATTGAATATTTACTAGATGGATGTACCAGGCTTAGCAAAATTAAATTTTAAAACTGTGCCTATAACAAAACTATGATAAAAGTAAGAACTCATGCTTAGAAGGGGAAAAAACAAGAAAAGAAAAAGGGTGACGATGCAGCCTGGCAGGCGGATTCTTAATTTATATTTCCTTTTATACATGTTGTTTGCTAAGAGACCTCAGAGCAAATAACTTGGATCCTCTTGACTTCTGTCTCTCACTGGATTGGGAGGCTGATGATGTAGTCTGTTTATTGTATGACTTCACTGTAAAAATCTGTGTGTGCCTTAGAAGAACATGGCATTATTGTACTCTATAGAACCAACTCCAGTACATAATCATAATTATTCTTGTCTTCCAATCTCTAAGAATTATCTCTACAAGTAGAATAACAAATTTGAGTGTCAGTTCACAAGACACCTATGTCAAACAAAACATTATTTTGTAGTTACATGGCAATATCAGGAAAAAAATAAGAAATTCAAATAAGATACAAGAGAAAAATTCGAATTGTTCATCTGCCTATAGGAGATATAGATGAAAATGTTGTTTCCAGTTTTCTCTTACACAAAGGGAAAAATGAGTTTTTATAAAGAATGGAATGAAACCTTAACAGATGGAGACCAAAGCTTGAAGCACTAATGTGGGAAAGAATACACTCGGAGATGAACCTCCCTTAAATTCAGCCCAAGGGAAACATACTGAAATCAGCAGAGAGCAGGCTTCCTCACACACAGTCCAGGCACCAACTTTGCTGCCCTCACTGCCATCAAGGCCTGGCTGTACCTCCCTTGGAGAGTGGGTCAAGTCATACCTGATACACTTATCTAATAAAATTGTAGGAAGATGCAGAAGATAAGTAATCCTTGAATAAACATAAACCATTAATGAACTGTACAAGAGAGTATTTATTTACAGGGTCAGATTGCAGAAGTGATAATAAGAAAGCTAATGGTAGTGTCTACATGCCAGCAAAAAGGCATATGTAAAGCGAAACATTCACTGTCCAATCAATTAGATGAAGGAGCTATATAATGCCAAACAGCTAAGTATTTGGAAACACCCAGACATTTGATAGCACAGTTCCCATTTTTTAATGAATTTTCCTTCAGAGCCAGAACATATTCCATACAAGGAAAGTGGTTTCTGTCAGCACCTTCTTTTTTCTTTTCAAACCACAGTGGGATTACTCAGGAGTCTCCCTCTCTTTATTTGAAATACCTGTTTTGAAGGGATTTTCAGTTGATTCTAAAAACAAGTCAAATATACCATCAAAGAGCAAAGATTTATGCTTCTTCAGGCTAGTCAGTAAAATTATGTGTCACAGGCTCTTAGGACAATTTTTTTTTTTTTGACTAAGTCTCACTCTGTCACCCAGGCGACAGAGTGGCACAATCTTGGCTCACTGCAACCTCTGCCTCCCAGGTTCAAGAGATTCTCCTGTCTTAGCCTCCTGAGTAGCTGGGATTACAGGTTTGTGCCACTACGCCCAGTTAATTTTTGTATTTGTAGTAGAGATGGGGTTTTACCATGTTGGTCAGGCTGGTCTCGAACTCCTGATCTCGTGATCCACCCATCTCGGCCTCCCAAAGTGCTGGGATTACAGGCATGAGCCACTGCACCCAGCCAGGACAATTATTAAAGGTGTTCCAACAATGGTTCAATAATGAAAAAGGCAGGTGGCCTTCCAAGAAACTGCTAGAAAGATAACTTCATTTGAATATTTAAGTTCTGATTTATTTAAAATATGAATATGAGTTGCAACCTCAATTAAAATATAAATTCTGGATTTTTAGGGACATTCTTGATATTATTTTTAATTCCCACCCTGACTCCCAAATATACATAGTACTAAATTTATAGAAGCATATTATATGCTCAATGCTTGCCTACAGAATGAATGGTGAACTGAATGTCTTTTTAAAATGTACTAGAATGAAATTTATACTGAAATATCTACCATCTGTTAAACAAAACACACACGCACACACAAAACCCCAACATTTTAATTCCAGAGCATGTGGTTACTGGAACTGAAGGTCCTTAATTGCATCTTTAAAAAAAGCAAGGGCATCTCTATTTATTAGGCATTTAAATTCAATGCACTGCAATGTCTCGTCTCTTTGCACTTCCCTTAGTAATTGGGTGTTGACTCTCTGTCTTCAGGCTAATTCAGTGCTTATGTTGTTAAGATATAGACTGGCTGCCCCTGTGTGATTACTTTCTGGCTTTAGTCCATTGCTCATCCTTTTCCCAGATTTCAATAATGAATAGAGTTCTTCATTCACTGAAAGAATGTCCTTGGACCTGTTTGTGCTCCATGTTGCTGATACACTGCAATATTCCCTTGGCCTCCCGACTTTGCAGCTTGCAGTTGTCCAATAGCCTAGTTTCCTTTACAGGCGACCATATGCTGTGGTTTTATAGAGGGAGAGCCCTTCCTACCACAACCTAATTCTAGTCTCTACACATATCCTTGCAATTGCACACACTTATCTAAAAACACTGCTTTAACATACTAATTCCTGTTCAAAAACTTTCCATTGGGCCTTATTTTGAGTGGTGGGGGTGGGAGTCATCAGAATAAAAATCTGCTTGGTTCTCAAAGATTTCTATAAACAAAATACCCCATTCTTACATTTTTTAATTTCTGGGAGTATTCTCACAGACTTTGGTTGAATTGAGGACTTCTTCACTTTAGCAGGTATATATTCTATTTGTTGACTCTCTCAGTGCCAAAGATGGGTAAAAAGATGTATGTCATTTATAATAATATTCTTTGTTTTAATTAAGTTCTGTTAAGTTTATATGGTTTATGGGTAACTGTTGGAGAAGAAAATATCATATGTTCCTATTTTCATATGTATATATCTGATATCTTCCAGCAGCTTCCATGCCAGTCAAGTTCCTATGCAATCACTATTTTAATCAAGACACAGAATCCTTACTTAAGCTAACATATGCTCCCTTTCTGAAAGAAATATAAAAAGGACTGAAATACCAAATTGGTTATCAGTAGTTATCATATTATTCCTCTTTCTATTTTAATCTAACTAGATGTTTTATCCGGAACAAGTTACACATTTTTCTTCAGGCCTCAATTTTCTACCAGTGAAAATGAAAGTCAACTCAAATGTTCTCTAATATTTCTCCTCGTTGTGATAATCTGGGACATTATGACTCCATAACTCTCTACATTTTCTACCTTATTAGGAAAAACTTAACAGCAAAAGTAGTGTTTATCTTTTTCCCCTCACTGAGTACATTGTTATATGGTTAAGGGAGGCTAAGTACCCACTGGATGAAGAACTTACTACCTGTTGTTTAAAGTGTGCTCACAGTTCTGAATAATGAGCTCTCACCTTGTTAAAATCATGAACCATCTGATGCAATCGTAAGTCCAAAGACATTCATGGGATTAGCCAGAGCAATCCAAATCAAACAGAAGCTTCTCCATCATGTCCCTCCCTTCCCAGACCCAATGCATTTCAACAAGGAAAATCATGCCATGAGGTTGTAATAGGAGAATAAATATTCTCTCTTTAAATGTTTGTTAAGTTGCTGAGGAGTCAAAATGACAGCTCCACACATCCACATTTATAGAGATTACATTTTTTTCCCTTATGTTTCCTGAATCTTTTTCTCACCAGTCTCTATTCCAGCAGGCAGCAGAGAAGAGAAAAAGCAAATTAAAAGTATCTGTTATTTCCTGGAGGGTCAATTATGCTCCAAACTTGAATTACCAAAAGCCCTGGTGGTGAAGCACAGCTGGTTTGATTTGGTCCACCCTTGTAGGAAAAATTTAAAATCTTGATGGGGCTGCCCGCCACGCTACAGATCAAAGAGAAAGGATAACCTGGGCTGGGAATAAAATGTATAGTCTAAGATCTGTTTAGCCCCAAGCATCCAGCACTCCTCTGTGATGGGTCATCAAAGGCTCTGTGCAAATGATGTCTCAGTCAGCCCAGGGAGCCAGACACCACCGAGGGAAAGAGAGGTGGTGAGTAGACACCAAGACACGTTTCTTTTATACTCTCAGCACAGCCTGGCAGAATCCTAAAATCCCTCTTCAAGTTTGGCTTTCCCCTGAATCAGCAATCCTAAACTTGTCTGCAATCTTGCCCAGCCTCATTTTATTCTTCCAGCATAGTTTTCCTTAATTTCTGAAGTGGAAACCACCTATTTCCCAGTTTCTTGCAGTGATGGTTAAATATACAGTACAAAAATCTCGGACCCTACCACTAAACCTACTGAATCCAATGTAAGGGTGTACTCAAGGGACCTACATATTTAAGAATTTCCCCCACACTTCTTCCCATGCTTAATTTCCCAGTCATGAACAGTAGCAGCGATAGTCTGCTTCCTAGCAGACTCCAAATCGCACTCAAAAAAATTAAAATGCACTTACCTTCTATTATAAATGAAATGGCCAATTACCATCAGTAACTGTATCTGTTATTCCTTTTCTAATTCAAGCCTATCCTTATATGCAATAAAGTCTACTTTATCATCACAATCACCAGGACCTATAAAATAGTAGAAAAAATAAATTATACACACATACATAGAAATATGTATGTAATATATACATACATATATATATATATATATATATGTATATATATATATATACACACACTTATATAATTTTTTTTGAGACAGAATTTTGTTCTTATTGCCTAGGCTGGAGTGCAATGATGCAATCTTGGCTCACTGCAACCTCTGCCTCCCAGGTTCAAGCAGTTCTCCCGCCTCAGCCTCCAAGTAGCTGGGATTACAGGCATGTACCACCACACCCAGTTAATTTTGTATTTTTAGTAGAGACAGGGTTTCACCATGTTGGTCAGGCTGGTCTCAAACTCCTGACCTCAGGTGATCCACCCGCCTTGGCCTCCCAAAGTGCCTGGATTACAGGCATCAGCCACCGCACCTGGCCTGTATTATATTAATAGATATTACCTAGATCTATCAACCTATTTATCAGTGGCTATCTGTCTTCCTCAGTGCCAGCTATGGAGGCTGCTTGTGGTATGCCTGGTACAGCTGCAGCCTCATAGGGAGCCACCCATGGACCAATCAGCACACGACTTCTCCCCTCTGAAGCCTTATAAAAACCCCGGATGACTCAGCCAGACTTGAGGACATGAAGGGATGACCAATATAGAAATATCTATATATGTTAATATGTAAACTATCTATCTATATATAGAGATATGGTTAGATGGCTATATATATATATATTTCTTGTGTTCTCTATGTAGGTATAAATGGAGATATAGATCTTGAGATATATATCCAGATAGGTAAGAGAGAGCAAGAAAATAAAAATGGGTAGGTTCCAGAGTTCTTATTTCTACAGCTATACACAAAGCTGAGTTGATACATTTGACTTATTTTTTTAGTGCCTGTTTGAAATTCCTTTTGCCCTTCACCACCACTCTAGGTTGTCAGGAGTCTTTTACTGGAATGGTCATATAAATCATAAATCTGAAATAATCTAAATATCTAATGGTTTTCTAATCTGGTTAAAATCATCATATACTTTTCTTTTAACCTGAGACACTTTGGAGTATGAGAGTTCTATCAATATCATGCTCGTATAGTATACATAAAATGAGACAATCCCGAGAAAACCAGGATATTTTGTTGCTGTGGTGCCAACTTTCTTTAAATTCATGCCCATGGCCTCATGGAGAGCTCCCCATGACCAGTAAATTGAAGAAGAAGAAATTCAATTCATTTATAAATTGTTTTTACACATTATGCTAGCAGAGCTGGAAGAGACAGTTACATCATCATAGTCAGACTCAGATGTGGCCCTGTGTATATATGGTTTTCTATATTACTCCACTGAAATTTACTAATAGACATTGATGGCAGAAGCAGCCTGTCTGGAGTGGTTGTTACCATGATGCCGGCTTCCGTGGGGGAGGCACGGCTAGGGCTGCTCGCTCCAAGGAGCCGGTGGGCGCCTGGAGCAGGCAGGAGCCCCACCCTTCTGGGTGAAGCTGTGGCCACCCAGCCACTGTGTGAACCCAGGCATCTCTGTACTCTCAGAGGCTCAGAAAGGGCCCCCACTGCCGACACAGGCTCAAAAGTATCTGCTCCCACTGCCTGGCCTCTCCCTGCTCTCAGCACTTGCTCTGATCTCTGAGCAAAGTTGAGGCTGAGTCCAGGAGCTATTGCAACCTGGACGGGTGTGAGCATGCTTGGGGCAGTGCTGACATGACAGCCTCATGTTACCTTTGCCCCCTCCACACTTTGGGCACCAACGAGCATGGAGGGAAGCCAAGGGAGGGCTGGGGGCAGTTCAGAGCTAGCCTGCAGGTTTCCCTTGGCAGCAACAGCCTAGGCACTATGAACAGCAGGAGGCAGACAGGCTCTGGGGCAGAATGGGGCAGGTCCCTATTGAAGCTCTACCTTCAAGCTGGGAAAGGCCTGAGGCCTGGAGGCTGGGCTGCCAACCCCACGGAATCGAGTGGAACTTATGGTGCTTTTACCGGGTCCACCCATGGCCACCAATGGACTGATAAGCATGCATTCCCTCCCCTCTGAAGCCCGTAAAAACCCTGGACTCAGCCAGACTTGAGGAGACAACAGGTTCACCAATTGTGGAGAGGAGCTACCCACCACAGAGTCTCCTCTCTGCTGAGAGCTGAACACTCAACAGGATGACCAGCTGCAGAGAGGAGCTACCCACCCCAGGGTCTCCTCTCTGCTGAGTGCTGACCATTCAAAGGGACACCCCAACTGTGTAGAGTAGCTACCCTACTGTGGGTCTTCTCTGAGCTGTTCTGTTATTCAATAAAGCTCCTCTTTTCTTTACTCACTCTCCACTTGTCTGCCTACCTCATTCTTCCTCAAGGCAGAATAAGAACTTGAGACCCACTGAATGGTGGGACTAAAAGAGCTGTAACACAAACAGTGCTGAAAAATGTTCCTTGCTTGCCAGGTTGTGAGCGACAAGAAAAAGGGAAGAAAGAAGGAGAGAAGAGCTGCTGCCTTTTGGATATCCCAGGCCTAGGAGCTCCCCAAGCCAGGGCTGTGACACCCTCTTTGGGGCTCTGCAGTTCCTGGCATCTCCAAGCTTCCATGCATTACTTCATTCTGCATTCCCTGGTGCCAGCCATGGAAGCTGCTTGTACATCTGGTCCAGCTGCAGCCATACAGGGAGCCAGAGCCCTGCCTGCACCTGAAGCTGCCCACTCTGCCACAGCCAGCATGCCTGGCTCTGTGTGGTGGCTGGACCCCATGCTTGCTTGCTCGCACACCCCTTGCCACTCCACTCTCTCTTGGAAGGCATGGCATCCAGGTCAGTAGCATGAGCTGAGCACAACCTGCCAGGCTGAGTGGGGGCAGTGGGCCGGAGCAAAAATCAGGCAAAGGCACCACTGGCCACAGAGGTTTCCAGGTGGTGAAACGACACCCCAAGGATCCCGTAACAACGTGACAGTAGTAGAAGGAACTTCACAGTATTTAACGGGTTTCGTATACACTCTTTCTTACCACAAGTAAATCGATTTGATAACACGAGTAAATCAATTTCTCTGTAATAGTCAGGATTAATTACCCTAACAAACAAAGTTGTCCCTGTTTGAAGGCACACATAGCTAAGTGGCAATCCAAACTTCCAGTTAAAAGAAGTTATTATATTTTCTTTTATAGAAGTCTTCCTTTTTGGGTATAAAAATCTCTAAACTAGAGGATCCTAAAGTCAAAATAGTAGGAAAAACATATTTTATCAATGGTTTATTATATGTAATACTGAAAGGTGCAAATCACATTTCCACTTTATGTTTCTCTATCATTGTGCTTTGGTACAATAACAATGGTTGTTGGAAAAAAAGCATCATATATTGAAAAGCATCTAATTGGCTTTGTAACTGACTTTTCAAAAGGGCATTCCGCTGTATATTGGTCCAACTATTTCTAGTTGATGGTAAAGCCAGCAAATTGCATCAGTATATGCTAACCGATGTACTTCTTTTGCATGAAATGTGTTTCTTGATAAGAAGCAATGTAGTCTGGGATGTTATGATGGGTAAATAAGTAGGTAAGGTAGTCCATAAATAGTATTTCTTTTCTTTCTTGTTTTTTTTTTTTTTGGAGACAGAGTCTCACTCCATCACCCAGGCTGGAGTGCAGTGGTGTGATCTTGGCTCACTGCAAACTTTGCCTGCTGGGTTCAAGTGATCCTCCTTCCTCATCCTCCCAAGTAGCTGGGATTATAGGCACATGCCACCACACCTGGCTAAGTTTTGTATTTTTAGTAGATATGGGGTTTCACCATGTTGGCCAGGCTGGTTTCAAACTCCTGATCTCAGGTGATCCACCCACCTTGACCTCCCAAAGTGCTGGGATTACAGGCAGGAGCCACCATGCCCAGCCCTATAAATAGTATATCTAGCAGATGGAAATTCAGTGCAAATCCATATTTAATATAAATGCAATCCAAGCAAGGACAAATCACCATCCAATCCATAATGGATGGTTTCTAATATAATTGTCCTGGCAGCAGATGGTTAGCTGGTCCCCATGGATATGGGCTAGTAGTGGTGTCTAGATTGATCTTGTTGGAGATCGATCATCTATGTTTTTGAACCCATAAATAATGTATCTCCTTATTACTTTGGCCGTTTTTTTTTTTTATTTCAAGAGCCCAATGAACCAGCACAGGGATGGCTGAGAACAAAAGACTGAAAGAGTGATCTTGTCTAGCTGACTATTGAGAAATCAGTGAACATTTTTACAGTACAGAAATATTTTCAAATTATTGACCTCTTCCCAACGTTTCAAATCTCTCACCCATGTCTCTTTAACATTAGTCATATAATCTTATTCCTTCTAACTCTTTGAACATCTGACCATGTTCCACCAGCCTGTTAGCCGAAGCTTGTGGACTGTTATAAATCCATCATGTGGTCCATAACACCTTCCATGCACAGAGGAAATTTTGCCTATTTGATGGATTTCCTTTATCACTATCTTTCAGGGCCACATCTGAGTGTGACTATCATGATATAACTTTCTCTTCCAGCTCTGCCAGATTTTTGTGTTGAACAATTTATAAACTAGACTTGAATGTCTTCTTTTTCTTTAATCAACTGATTGTGGGTATGACTTGACAGAGAGTTGACAGGCAGCACAGCAAAAGAGCAGATGCACTGCAAGAATGATTACCTACTCACGCAGTTTACTTGTACATGTGCTTGAGTTCAGTTTTGTGTATACCACTTTCACCTAGTGATGTGGTACTATTAAGCAAACTCAAATTTATGGCTTATGGTTATTTGAACCATTAAGCAAGCAAGCCAGGATATTTGGTTGCTGTACTGCCAGCTCTTTCAAGCCATGCCCAGGTCCTCACAGAGAGTTCCCCCATGACCAGTTAATTGAAGAAGGAGAAATTCAAGTATAGTTTATAAATTATTTTTACAGAATATGCTGGCGGTGCTGGAAGAGGCAGTTACATCATCATAGTCACACTCAGATATGGGCCTATGTATATATAGGGTTTTATATTACTCCATTAAATTTTACTGATAGACTTGACAGTAATAGGAGGAATTTCATAGTATTTTATGGGTTTCATACATACTCTTTCTCACCTGCATTGATACTACCAGCAAATCAATTTTTCTGTAATAGTTAAGATTAATTACCCTGACAAACAGAGTTGCCATCTGGGGGAGTCTGCAGGTCACAACTATTTTCACAGTAGCATTAAGACATTCGCTATGACCTCAGCATTCAAAAGTTGAAAAGCCTAACTCCCAATGTGATGGCATTAGGAGGTTGGGCTTTTGGGAGGTAATTAGGACATGATGGTAGAGCCCTTATAAATGGGATTAGTACCATTATAAAAAGACATGAAATGAGAACATTATTTCTTTCTTTTTCTTCTCACTTCTATGTGAGGATATAATAAAATGGTCATCTGAAAACCAGGAAACTGACCCTCCCCAGACACTAGGGTAGCTGGCACTTTGGATTTAGGCTTCTCAGCCTCTAGAACTGAGAGAAATAAATTTCTGTTTTTGAGCCACTCAGTCAATAGTATTCCATTATAGCAGCCTAAACAGATTAATACAATGTTTTCTGTCTTTTCACTATGCTAAAATTTTTACTGATGGTGCAAAAGAGTGATGGATAAAAATTCTATATTTAACATGAATCAGACACTGGTACCAAACAATAGGTACTAGCAGTTTGTTAGTCCATTTTACATTGCTATAATGGAATATCTGAGGATGGATAATTTATAAAGAAAATATGTTTATTTGGCTCATGGTTCTGCAGGTTGTACAAGGAACATGACACCAGCATCTGCTTGACTTCTGGTGAGGCTTCAGGAAGCTTTTAGTCATGGTGGATGGTGAAGGGTAAGCAGGCATGTCACATGGCAAGAGAAGGAGCAAGAAAGATGCCATGTTCTCTTAAACAACCAGTTCTTATGTGAACTTATAAGAGCAAGAATTCACTCATTACCATGGGGAAGGCATTAAGCCAGTCTTGAGGGATCTGCCACCTTGACCCAAACACCTCCCACTAGGGCCACACCTCCAGCATTAGGCATTACATTTCCACATTAGATTTGGAGGGAACAAATATCCAAACTACATCAAGCAGTCATCATATCTTTCATTACCATAAATTTATTTTTTTAAAAGCCAATGTAACTTAATAGACCCTTTGAAAAAGTAGTAAAGTTATTTATTTTATTGTCTTAATGCTTTGGTACATGATATTTTAATACTTTGTATGACAAAATGGAAAGTATGTATAATGCATTTCTAAATACCAAAATCTAATTGTCTCAAAAAAACTTGTGCTATTGTTGGAGTGAGAACCTAAACTGGTTGCTTTTTTCACGAAATGTCATTTTTATTTGAATAAATGAGTGATACCATTTCACTGTTTTTCAAACTAAACTGTTTGGCAGATATTTTCTCAAAAATGAATAAAATAAACTTATTACTTCAAGGAAAACAACTGACAGTATTTATAAGCCATGATAAAATTCAAGCTTTCAAGTGTAAATTAGAAATTTGAAAATTGTTATCTGCTTGCCAGCTCCCCAATATTGAAAGAGTATTCTAATAAGGATGGTGTTGATATTAAGAAATGTAATTGAGAGATTATATAAATGAAATGTACCAAAATTTGGAAGACTTGTTAAGTCAGTAAGCCAATGGTTTCCAAATAAACTTTGTATAATTTTTCAAAACCAGGCATGGGTAAAAGATGCATTTAACATGCAAATTAGATGAATGGGTTTTCATGTAACAGAGAGCAAAACGCTCACTGATATGGTTTAAAATACCATGTTATAAGCAACTCTTAAAGCTCAACTACTTGTTGAGTTTTGGTGTAGTATCATAGAAAAACCAGAATAACCTGAAAAGGCTATGAAATTTCTCCTCCCTTTTCTAACTACATAGCTGTGTTTGAAACTAGACTGTCTTTGTACATTTCCATTGAAACAATCTATTGCAACAGATTTAATGGAGAGGTAAATATAAAAAATCTGTTTTCTACTAATCAATTTATTAAACAGATTTCAAAAAATATTAAACAATTTTTCACTTACTAATTTTTTGAAAATGTAGTGATTCTTTATAAAAATATATCACTTGTTATGTAATTGTTTTATTCTCTTTTTTTAGACAGATTACTGGTTTCTAAAATTTTTTAATTAATTTCCTATATAATAAATATCAAAAAAACAATCCACACAAACAAAATCTCTTTGGAGTGTTCAATTATTTTTAAGTGTGTAAATGGCTCCTAAGAACTTTAGAACAATTTGGGATTGACTTCTTTAAAGAATAGTGGTTATTTGCTGATAATAACATAGTTATGCTCCAAATATTTAGAAGCCTACACTGCAGTTTTCTTATCAGAATTTTTTCATACCTGCTTACAGCATCCTGATCTGCTGCAACATCGTAAGTGCCAAATAGCTGAGCTGTTTGTACTGCATTCTGGACCAAGTAAAGAAAGAGACTTATTTTTCCTATATCTTACTCAAAGATGCCAATTTGGGGCCTTTGCAATAAATTGCTAGAGGCAAAACAATCAAATATATCATATGTGGCACCTAAAATTATAAGACCCCTACCAAAACAATAGGCTCTACCTTAGTAGTAGTCATTTCAGGGTGTTCCAATTTTTCTTCGCCTCTAAAGGGAATCCCAGCAGGGAATCCCAACAGGCCAGAGATGAATGATTTCTAAAAGTAGGTAACAAATGCAAGTTTCCAAGACATGAGATTTCTTGCTACTTTCCTCTTACTAGGTCTTACTGGCATGAGCAAATCAGTGTGGTAAACCAATGTGTCCTGAGGGATATGAGAGAATCAAATTTCCTGCAGACTAATTATAGCACAGAGTTGATATAACTCTGATGTGAGAGAATAAAGTTGTGCTCTTGCCAAAGTCAGGTGAAAGAAACCTGTTAAACTTTGCCTATTAGTATAGAGGAAAATACACTCAAAATATTGATAGCTACATATCAAATGTTAGTGATTATGCTGGTTTTCTCTAGTAAGGAGACTGCAATTGATGTCACTCACTAATTAAATGTATAATAACCGTGGTCATTCATCAAGGCATGTTTATTTTTGCATAGTCCATATTTGGTTATTTGAAAGGATATGTGATAGGTATAACCACCCCACATATTTTAAGCAACTGATGATGGAACTAATCTCTGAGAGGGTCCCATGAGTGAAATATTGCATTTGTTTTATTATTCTCAAAGAATGGGTAGGTCCTGGGTCTTCACTTTCTAAAGCTTTCACTTAATGGGTCAAAGAATCAATAAAGGAATTCTCAACTTTCTGAGTATACCTACTCTAACTATACTTGTAAGAACAGGGAAATAACCACGTGATGGTTTCACTTTGAAGTGAGCTTGAGTCAAAATGCCATTTACCACCTAACCCCATAAGCTTTCACTCTGAGCTGTGGACCATTAGGGTTTTTATTTCAGTCCCCAGAGTTTATTAGTAGCTCAGATTCATGATTCAATTATTCTAAAAAATTATAGAGATTTTTCTTTCCCCAGTACACAGTCATCTTCTTAAACCTGTAACAGCCATCATGTAAATACCAATTACTTCAGAGAGGAAGACAATTTCAGCCCATCCTTGTGAAATTATGTCAAGGATATTTCTCAAGCCTCTATAGCATCTTTTTTTTTTTCAAGATAAACTAGTCTTTACTGTTTCAGACATAGATATTGATAGAGGGGAATTGGTTGAAGACCTGGGACTCAAATCAGATTAAGTAGGATTTTATTCCTAGGGACCTCATGATCAATAAGAGACTATCAAAGTTCTCTGTATGTCCAAACATTCTGATTTCCATTCCTCTCTTACTTCTGGTAGCTAAGTGTTGCTGCCATCTGTGTTCCAGATATTCTACCATCTCCCCTACAATTGTCTTACAGAAAAAATATAAAGCACTTTTCAAGGATACTAGGACTCCCATCAGCAGTTCACTTCTCATTATTTTGTGGATGGAATTCTTCTAGATGCTCTCAAAGGATGGAGACATGGGGTGGGGAGCTGATCACCTGCAGTAAATCCCTCCCAGTCTCTCCATATTACCAAATATTAGGACTCTTTCTTTTCATTATATCAAGGGATATCTGGTTTTTCCACTTTATTCAGTGAAGGCATATTTTTTTACCTTGGTTTTAGTTAACCATTGGTCCAAACAATTATAACTATTTCTACCTTTTAAATCTCACTTACAGAATCCAAAATAGTAATTTACTCAAGTCAATGAATGCTATGTAATATAAAATTGTTTCTCTCCACTTTTATCTAGCCCTCTCCTACACATATTTCTTATTTTTTGCCAATGTTATTATTATAAATTAAAAATCTTATAATAGTTTTATTGTATGTCTTTATTTTCCATATTTAACATTTAATTAGCCCCTGAGTCCTACTGCAACCTCAGTGTGATTATCTATATGGAGGTAACTAAGGATGATGTAATATAAGGACTATGGTGAAGTGGCTCAAGAGAGATTGTTTCCGTTCCTTCAAGCAAGGATTGACTATGCTCCTCAGATAAGTGAAAAGTTGCTTCTAACAAAGGATATCGGTTTTGGTGTTTGGGTACTTGTAATTGTACAAATCCTTCCACATTTTCCAATTCAAATTCTACAGGTCTCAATCTGAGCCAAGATTGCAACTTTCATCAGTAAGGCTGGTGAACACAAGTTAGACTTGAATGCAACAATACACAGGTTTAGTCTAAGTCTAGTTTTTGGATATGTCAATGCTGAGGCTACAAAATTAATTATTATCTTCAATAAAGCATATATTGATGATATTGAGAATTCAAAACCCCCAGCTTGTCTTTTTGCATGTTAATCTCTGCAGTGCAATTAGACTTAGCTACTTTCCCCATTCTCTGTGAACATCATACAGTGATATATCCCATTACCATCACCTCCATTACCACCCTTGTCTTCCAAAGCTGTTCTTCAATAGGTACTTTATGCCACAAGGGATAATTTAAGTACCTGTTTTATGACTACATACCACTAGTATTCTTTTTTAAAATAATAATTTAATTTTCAGTGCTTTCAATTCTTATAAATAATCCCAGAAGCCCAATCTGAATTTTTGACTAGTTGTTTGCCTGTTTACCTGAAGCTACATTTGAGTTAATAATATATAAGTTGGCTGGGTGCAGTGGCTCACCCTTGTAATCCCAGCACTTTGGAAGGCTGAGACTGGTGGATCACCTGAGGTCAGGGGTTCGAGACCAGCCTGGACAACATAGTGAAACCCCATCTCTACTAAAAATACAAAAATTAGCCAGGGCTGGTGGCGGGCACCTGTAATCAGCTACTTGGGATGCTGAGGCAGGAGAATTGCTCGAACCCTGGTAGGCAGAGGTTGCAGTGAGCAAAGACTGCACCACTGAATTCCAGCCTGGGTAACAGAGCCAGACTCCGTCTAAAATTAAAAAAAAAAAAAAGTTAATATTAGGTTAATGTTAAAAAATGTAGTTAACATAAAATACTGTAACTATTTTACGTGGAAATGAATTAATAAAGAGAATGAGGTATTTACAAATTACTCTGAATAATGGAGAAGTGAAAACTGTAGATTGGGCATCCAAAATAAGTTACAGAAAACAGTAGTATTGACTTGCCAGTGGAGCTGCTACATCTTCCATAATCAGAAAGACTGAGTGGCAGACTTGGATTATTGGCTTCAAGATCACGTCATATTGGCTGGGATCAGGAAGCTGCCACCTACAACTGTTGCCTCTAGAATTATGTTATATCTGCTATATCGTCACTTGCAGACAATATATGCCCTACTTTCTGCCTTTTAATATGTGTAAAGCTAGTGATAGAACACTAAAAGTTATATTGTTGCTATTACAGAGAAACCCAATACCTCCATGGATATGCTTGACATCAGAAAAATCATAACAAGCATTCCTGTGAACTTCACCATACTTCTGCCTTCCAAAACTAAGCAAGTGCATCTGATTAGTTGAATTCAAATCATATATAGAACCTAAGTCACAAAGGAGCCTGGGAAATTAGTTTATAGACTTAATAATTTCTGAATTTTCAATGGCACAGCTAGGATGATGATAGAATAAATGTTCTGTACCAATTCATTATAGTCACCCTTTCCCTTTATTAAATGAATAATCATGATAAAGTAATAATTAAAAGAATTCCCACTTGCAAGCCCTTTCTAGGTTTGTCTTCTCCTTCAGAAAAGGGATCAGACTATTCATTAGGTTGAAATGAGCAGCCCACCCACTCAAACAGCCCACCCTCTCAAACTGAAGAGATAAGCAACAATAAAAATACATTTATACACACTACTGATACTGGTCAGATGTAGACATAACTCAAAAAACTACACTCGTACTTCTCAATCCAGGCCATTTTTGACTGAAATATTAACTTAATTAAACAAAAGAAGGCATAATTCTTCTGAATTGTAGTTACCACGGTCGCACCCTGTATATCAGTATATATATCTTACTACTGTTTCTGTAATTCAGTGAGGCCAATATCAGTATTAAATTCTAAATTTTTTATCAATTCATAGAAGTAATAAATCATTAAGAGTTGTAGGTAAGTTAAAAGTATAAGCTAAAATATGTCTAAGAATATTCTAGAGAGAAAATACAAGCACATATAATGTTTATTCTCATGTTCAATTTCACTTCAGGGAACCTCTGTGCAAATCCCTTTGAAGTGCTGAGTTAAAGGAAGAAACAGTGCTTGTTAGAAGCCTGAAGTTGGCTAAATTTAGATATGTAAATGTCTCCACAGGGCTTGCTTACACTCCATAGGCAGTCTGTACAATCTCTGTTTTTTTTTCCCCCTCCTTCTTACTCCATCCCTAATTAAAAGAGCTGTTCAGTTACAGGGTCAAATTTCTCATGCTGACCTAGCTTTGCTGCAGCTTTGAGAGGAGTAGAAACCTGTACACCACAGAGCAGTGGCAATTAGTTCTCCCGTAATTAAGGAGTGAAGGGTACTAGCAAATGGAGGTGTGCCCCTTCCAGCCTGCTGAGTGGGAAAACACAAGTTGGATTAAGGAGAATTTTCTAAGTACTGTTTCCCCTAGAAATGGGTTCATCATTTCTCGTAGAAACGGCTTACAGTCCTGGGAGGAATCTCAAACAAAATTACTGTAATTCTGAGTTAGATTGGAAAGTGAAGACACTCACACAAACTCACTCAAGAAGAGAGGCCCTTGGAATTCATTGGTGCCACTTATAATGAGATAAAAAGATCCCTTAGCCACCCACTGCAGAACTCTAACATGTTGTCATGTTTATTTTAGAATCAAAGCTTGTTGGATATAATCTGAATATAGAAATATAAATAAAATTACTGTTTTTAGTATTATTTTGAATTTTCAGGTGTTTAAATACAAATAATTTTTTTCTGTAGGCAGGAGAGAACCAGTAAGTTCACTTAAACAATGGGAACTTTACTGCCATAATAAATATTAAAAGAGTCAAAAATACAATCATAAAACTATCAAGAACCCAAGTAGTTTTAAAGGCTACTTAATAATTTAATGTCTTTCTCACTGCATCTTTATTTTTTTTGTGTGTTCAAATCCCTTCTCTCTTCTGCCCAGTTACTTCCCTATTTTCATTCTGTGACAACTTTGGTCTTCATAGGGCTCTCAGCTTGCCCCAATTCCAATTCTAACTCATAGCACTGATTCACTGCCTTCAACCCTCAACCAATTGTTTCCTTCACTCCCATATTCCTAAGAGAGAAAATGTCAGAATTAGGTAATTTGAAGGTCAGCACATGCTAATTTTGTCTAACTGGTCTGATCCATTTTTATATTAGCACTATTTCATGTATTTATTTTAGAGCTCTAATCTGCACTTATCTTGTTGGTAGACTATACATTTCTCAGCTCACAAAAAAGGTTACATACATTGTTTTCCTAATATAAGTTTTATTCCACTGGGAGGTACACCTAGCTGCTACCTACATTAATCTATTTTGGTTGTGGGGAAACATTTGGGTCTGGACAACTAGACATGGCTTCAGGCCAATTGCTTGAATGTCTGTACTGGTCAGCTGTACAAGAGTGGCTTATATTGATAAGCATTTATTTCTTGCACATATGTGAGGTGCTGACTGAGGTTCAGTGAATTCGGTAATGCTGGTTTAGCTTCAGACTACACAAAAGCTCCATGATCCATGAACTAGCAGTTACCTAAGGAATGCTTTTCTCATAGCACAAGGAAGGAGTGGAAGAGACCATCATCAACCTGGAATTACATTGTCAAACATCTGTTCGAGTCACTTGCTGAAGTCAAGCTCAAGTTCAACATACTCTAACCTCCATGGGACCATAGGATTGTAGATATTTAATAGTACTATAGAAGAGGAAAAAAAAAAAAACACTGGGATCAATAATCCAATTAAAAATAAAAGCTCCACAACCATGCCTACTTTATTTCTCCCTAAGATGCATAGACCCTGAAATTCAAGATTTGCTGCTGTACAGAACCACATCAAGGAAGATTTAACCTGTAGTTTGCATCAGCCCCCATAAGTTAAAGGGCCCAGTCAGACAAAACTGTCTAAACTTCAGATGTCAATTCCAAGTCCCAGGCCACCTGTACTTCCCACTGACTGGCTATAAATCAGGGGTTCCCATTACCTTCTCAGATTTTTTCAAAAAACACCTCATGGATCTCAGGAAGTCACTTTACTTATGTTTACCAGTTTATCATAAAGAACATAAATGAACAATCCGATAAAGTGGTACATAGGGTGAGGTCCAAATGTATCCCAAGTTCAGGAATGCCTATCTTTGTGGAAGTGAGGTGCAACACACACTAGCATGTGGATGTGTTCACCAATGTGGAAACTCTAAGCCCAGTAGTTTAGGGTGTTTTATGACGTAAGTACAATTGATTAAATCATTGGCCACTGGTGATTAACTCAATTTCCAATCTCTTTCCTCTCCTCAGAGCTTGGGAGGATGTGGCTAAAAGTCCCAACATTCTCATCATGGTTTGTCTGGAGAGCAGTTCCCATTGTGAAGCCACCTAGAAAGTTCTCAGCCAATAGTCATCTCATTAGTATAACAAAGACACTCATTACTCAGGAGATTCCAAATATTTCAGGAGCTCTGTGCCAGGAATGGGGACAAAGTTTTTTTCGTTTTGTTTTGTTTTTTTAATACCATAGTAGGCATTTTGGCTATATGGCTGAATAAATATCTTTGAAATATAGAATAAATATGAGTTGAAAAGTAATTATTTAAAATGTAATCAAACCCACATCTTAAAGCGGAAATACAAACAATATTCATAGAACCCTTGTCCTAAGATTATATTAACTGAGTTTGGGCAACAATTATGTAAATTTGAGAGTTCCCTTTTAGTTTTCAGAAGGAAATAGCCATACGCATAAAAGGATTCAGTCTAAGCAAAACCATATGCCTATCTGTATATGCACACACACAGACACATTAATAGCAACATGAGTAGACAGTCAAATGCATAAGCAAGAAATCTGCTTCTTGGGACATCACCATTCGTCTGAAACAAGGACTGAATGAACCTTTGTCATATCATCATAAAGATCACAATTTTCTTCTTTTAGCTTTAAAATAATAAATAGGTTTTGACCAACATTATTGCAGAATATCTTTCTTACTTTTTACACAATGTTCTCTGTATTCTCTGGAAATCTTAAAAAGAAGTAAATATGCAAGCAAGTAAACAAACAAATACATTCATGAACACTTTTAAATCTAAGAAAAAACTTTCATGCCTCACAAATTTCACCAGCAAGCCAGTAAACCACATGAGATCAGGGACTTGGTTGTTTGGTTACTTAGTTTTATTGCTATATCCCCGGTGCTTTGATCAGTTTCTAGCATGTAGTTCAGCACCCAACAAATATCTAGCAAAGAAATAAATTCCCCATGAATCAATTCTTTATGATTTTTTTTTTCACAAAAATCTATGGCCAAGGAAAAAACCCAATATGGTTGAGGGCATCTCCACCAGCCTTTACCACTAGAAAATATGTTTTTCAAACTGAAGTATGGAAAGAACTGTCACTGAACCAGAACACTGACCATTCTCTGACAACTTAGCGCAGTCAGTTTAAGATGTTCCTTCCAACTGTGGGAAAGAACATAATCCTTGTGAGAAATTACAAGTTAAGAGGAAACAAAGACATCCATAAAGAAGTCAAACTATAAAACCTGAATCATATAAGCATACTTCCATAGAAAGTGTCAATTCCAGCACCTAGGACAGTACCCAACAGACAATAAATGTTCAATTAAATATTTACTGTTTTTTTTTTTCCAAGCCAGCATCTCACTTTGTCACCCAGGCTGGAGTGCAGTGGCACAATCCCAGCTCACTGCAACCTCTACCTCCTGAGTTCAAGCAATTTTCCTGCCTCAACATCCCGAATAGCTGGAATTACAGGCATGCGCCAGCACACCCAGCTACTTTTTGTATTTTTAGTAGAGATGGGGTTTCACCATGTTGGCCAGGCTGATCTTGAACTCTTGACCTTAAGTGATCTGCTCACCTCAGCCTCCCAAGTGCTAGGATTACAGGCGTGAGCCACTGCACCTGGCCAATATTTACTGAATATTTAGATGAATAATTTCCTTATTACCAGTCTATGTGCTCTCAGGAATCCTTAAAAAAATAATAATTATTGCAACCAAATAATGAGAAAAAAAATTAGTATTCCAGTTCCTCTCCATCATTAACACCTACCTACCACCAACTGGTATTTTTCTTATTTGTGTGCTGGTTTGTCCATTTGATATTTATCTTTCTGTTAGACTGAAAGCTCCATGAGTACACGCACTTTGTTATGTTCCTGTTGTATCCTCAGCATCTTGAATAGTGTTTGCTTATTTACAATGCTGAGTGAACATTTGTTTGAAGAAATCGTAATTATAAAGATCATCAAAATAGTGAGTTCTAGGATTACCTCTCCTAGAAGCCAGCCGTATTTTTCTATCATAATATTCCCCTGTGAATGAAAATAGGTCATTGAGCATTTTCAACTTGCTTCAGTATGAAAATAATTAAGAAAATCATGTCTTTAAACACTGTCCTTTTCCTGAAAGTCTCATTTAAAATGAAAATATCCATTAAAAGAATAACAGAATAAGTCATTACCGCTTTAATGCAAGGCGGTACATGGAAGATTCTCGTTTTCTCTTAGGGCATGGAGCTCAGGCAGTGGTGAATTCCCAGTGTTTCCCCTTCAGCATGTGTCTCCGAATTCCACATCTACTACGAAAGTTGTAGAAAATGGAAATTTTATTTTTCCATGAATCACATTTGAAAAATGGCATTGAATATTCCATGCCAGCGGTCGAGACTCATTAGGATACGGAGACAGCTGTTTCAAGCAAGCTGCAGAAAGCAATTAAGTGAGAGACAGTAGGAGAAAAAATTCTTTTTAATCTTTAAGTTTGTAGTATCCAGTGTTCTAATATGCTAAGTAGTCTTGTCAACTAATCAACTTTAAAAATCTCAGTAGCATGGCCACTTAAAAGAGAGCTTTTCATTAAACTCTGTTCCAAGAAATTCTAAGGCATAATATCACATCTGTCTTCTTTCTCACATCACATCTGTCTTGTCTCTGAGATAACATTTAAATCTTGGAATTGACCAACCAGTCACACAAGCTCTTTTCTTATCAGCAACTGAGATTGGTGAAACCATTGTTGGGTTTGATGAGTTCCCTATTCCGAATATTTCTCTGAGGTCTTTCCCAAGACTAGATCCAGCATACATTTCTAGCATAGGAATCGCATAGGAATCAGCTCCCTATCTATGGCATTTGCATTAAAGATGACATACAGAGGCCAGGCACAGTGCTCACGCGTGTAATCCCAGCACTTTGGGAGGCCAAGGCGGGTGGATCACCTGAGCTCAGGAGTTCAAGACCAGCCTGTGCAACATGGCAAACCTTGTCTCTCCTAAAAATACAAAAAAAAAAAAAAAAAAAGAAAAAAATTAGCCCAGTGTGGTGGTGCAGGCTTATGTTTCCAGCTACTCAGGAGGCTGGGGTGAGAGAATTGCTTGAGCCTGGGAGGTGGAGGTTGCAGTGAGCTGAGATCACACCACTGCCCTCCAGCATGGGCCACAGAGTGAGATTCCATCTCAAAAAACAAAACAAAACAAAAGACACATAGATTTTGAAGACATGAGCAGGATTGTAAAACTGACCAAGTTTGTCTTCATCATCATTCTAGCATCCCTTTAAATCATGCCATTCCTTCTTTCTGGAGCCTTCCTGAATGTGCACAAGATAAAGATACATGTGGATGGAGGCTGAACACCAGTGGGGAGTTATATTAACAACCTTCTTTTTGGTGAAACAGTTTTGACCTTCTAGGATGAACAACCTGAGACTAAAGGGTTACCAGGACCTGGGACACTCAGTGAGTGCTAAAAACAGGAAAACTCTGGGCAAACCAGGATGGTTTGTCATCTTAACACTAGAAGAAACTGCCTAGAATACTGCTCTGCAATTCCCTTATTTCCTGCCAAGCCCCCCTCCTGTTGCAGCTATACACATTTCACCTAGAAGACCATTACTAACGCTCCAGGCCTCATCTGCATGCTTGCTTACTCTAAGAAGCCTTCCTGGACACCTCCAAGATGGAATTATGTGCTTTTTCTAGAAACTGGCGTTATCATCTTGTTTTGAACCTCTTGAATAGTATTTATCATACTATCTTAGTTTCCCTTTTACTTGTTTACACCCCTTGGCTTCTTGAATGCAGCAAATATGTCGTGCTTACTACTGTAATCCCTCCACCAATTAAAAATGTTTGCAAGATGACAGCAATGAATAAATATTAGTTATGTTGAAAAACTCTTTCAAACAATATAGGCAAGAATGGTGAACAATCACAGTGGTCTAACAGTGATGCAGGCTTGAAGGAAAAATGGTGAACATTATATTTTTAGAAATGTTCAAGAATCTCTCAGGCTACACTGCATGTGAATCCTTCTCTAGGTAAATTTTCAAGTTAATTGAACACAAAGGTCACTTCATACTGAACTCATTTTTAGACAGATGTCAAGCAACAGTATCAGAATTATCTAAATCCCTAAACTCTGATTCTATTGATATGGAGTCAGATCTAAATATTTCTATAAGAGATGCTGGAAAAGAGCTAGTTCGTTCAAGTCTGCTAATGCTTATTACATAGCTAAGGTGGAACTAAATGCTCTGGGGATATTAAAAACGAAAAGGCATACAATCCTCTGGAAACTCATAGTCCAAATAAATGAAGCTGAGACCTTCTCACCAGGTAGAATATATTTAAGCTTTAGGTTTCCTGGGTCTGAATAAGACCAGCACTGGTCCCATACCAAAACCTTTCAACTCTGGTTTGTTTCTCATCTTCGTGGATCTAGAGTAGGGTTTTCAATGCCAGCTGTACATTGGAATCACGTGAGAAGCTTTAACAATATATAAATGCTTCACCTTTTCCTACACCATGCTAATGTAATTGGATTGAGGGTAGCCTTTCCCCTTTCTAAGTTTCAGCCTGAGAGCCCCCATAAACAAAGTGAGGGTTAAACTGAGATCTGAGGTATTAATAGGTCAGGCGAAGTGTGGGGATGCATGTATGCATTTGTGTGTGTATGTGCGTGATGGGAAGAATGTGGTTAGGTAGTATGGTAATGAGAATAAAAATCTAGGCAAAACTTTTCACTTAGGGAAGTTCTAATGTGCTTCTGCAATGGGGAAATGCCTACCATTGAAATTAGGTGCAGATAATGTGTGTAAAAGTGCTTTGTAAAATGGAAGGCATGGCTTAAGAAAATATTGTAGGTAATTTAACTAAATTTTAAATCCTTAATGGTATTACTTTCAACCTGAAGAAATTAAATTATTAAGAGATCAGCTCTTCCCATATAGGTCATGCTTTATGGTAATCTCAGGTTATTTTACATTATTTTTCTTCTTGGAAACAGGGATCTATACCCAGATCCTAAATTACTTTTAATCCCATTTGACTGCAGAAAATTTTAAGTGTGTGGTTCTATTATCTTGCCTCATTAATTCTTACCTGGAGAATATCACGGAATCTTTCTTGAATAAATAAGTTTGTGATCCCTCAGGGAAATCAATTAACAGTGTGTAGGAAATTCAAGTTAGTGTGTCCTGACCCCAGGACATACCAGGGAAGTGGCTTTTTGAGAGAAATTGCTAATATCAGCTCGCTTTACTCTAATGGTCCACTTTCTCTTTAAAGGAGAATGCTGAGGAGTGGGGAAGTTGGGTACTTCATTGAGTTTGGTTTGTGCCATTCCTTGTAGTTTCTTTGCACCTGGTAAGTGAAGATGAATTGCAACACTCTTCTTGTAGTGGCTCTTTGTATTGAAGAACCTATCCCATGGGGTCAACAAGTAAGATGTTGAAAGCATCTCTGCCACAGTTGCCTTTACTTGATGAAAAACCCCCAAGTGTATCAACAAGTACCTAAATCAGCTCAGAAGAGGATCTTCTGAGGCTGCCACTAGTCAAGCAACTGAACTTGACAGTGTATCTTTCCCAGGCCAGCCTTGAGATGGGTGCAGCCCTGGTCAATAACTTGATTATAGCCTGCGAGTGACTGAGACAGAGGCTTTCAACTGTGCCTTGACTGCATTTCTGACACACAAAAAAATTGTGAGATAATAAACATCTCTCATTAGAAACCAGAAAATCTTGAGGTAATACTATTGCTCTACTGCAACAGATGATTAAAATATCAGTTCCCCCAATTCCAGTGGGATGCCAGTTGTCACCCTTCTCCTTACAACTCTGATCTAGTACCACCAGAATGGGGACTTTAAGACCTTTTTGCTCTATGCATCAGCCTACCCAATCCCATGCTCAGCCCAATGTTCTTGTCATCCTAAGCCTGAGCCACAATGCTCCTGAGTGCCCCCAGCAAGGATGTTCACTTATTTATAACTAATATAAATGATTCCATTTGACTCTCAAGAATGTTGTGAAATATTTATTATTATACCCATCTTACAGACAAGGATATTGAGGCCCAGAAAGAATACCCAATTTGTACAAGTAGGAAGACAAAAGAACATAATTTTTAACTCCAGGTTCAACACACAGTGTATTATCCTGAAGCTGCCTCGCATTGTTTTCTTATTCTTTTATAGTTGGAGGAGTTATTATTATATATTATTTGACAAAAAGATTTAAAAAATATCAGACCACCTGTGCTAAGTGTCAAGTGAGTCAATGTACTTGTTTTTAAAAATTATTGTACTAATGTAAGATATTGCTATTAATATACATTCTCTATATAGGCATATTTGTATTTGTACTTTTTCTTGTTTGAATTTTGTGGAAATTCACACTATTAAGTTTCAATTAAATATTCTGATTCTTGAGACTCACACATATATTTGGATCATTAAATTTGACCTTATATATATATATGTGATTGGATATAACATGTTTTTCCTCTCTGGCTTCTGTTGTGAAAATTTTCCATTTTTATTTCACTTTTGTTTAGTACAGATTAAACAGAAAGGAAATATTAATGTCATGAGAAATATAGTTCATAAAGATTTCTTTTTCTCTACTTAATATGCTAAGGAGTAGGGGAAAGAGAGATTTTTTAACATAAACCATCCCAGATCTTTAAATTTGTATGTAAAACTGGCACTAGTTCATCATTGCTTTTGCTGAGGAAAAAAAAAAAATTAAAGTCACCCACGAGGGTTTTCCCCTCTTTTTCTTTAATAATAGATACTTTCAGAGACCTCCTGAGGTCCCATTTCCCTTGTCATGTTTAAAGGGTTTATTGTTTCCAGAAAAGCTTTTGCTGCTCCCTCTGGAGACTGAGCCGATCCAAGGTAATATTAATTCTGTGCCTCTCTCTTGTCGGAACTCAACTTCAAATGGAATATATGAGATGAAAGCTGAAAGAGAGGTTATGTGGGCTGTCATCCGCCATTGTGTCTGAGGCATCAACTGTGCTCAGAACAAATTAGGTGTCAGTCCAGTAAATCACAGTCAGGAAGGGAAATCAGTTTATAGAAGACTTACTTGGTCTTCTGGAAGGCTCTTCCATTCAGAGAACAGTTCACCTTTCTTTTCTTTTTGGTAATTAAGAAAAAAATCTGAGATTTAGCTGGTCATTTTTATCTCCTCAAGCCCCATCCCAACTCACTCCATTTCCCCCATAAAGATGAAGGGCTGTTGCTCTGAAGGACTAGTTCCATTTGCAGAACCATTCACATGGAATGTCTCTTTTTAAAGTCTAATTTCCTAAATGAGGAAAGATCTGGGAAGAAAAGGAACAGGAGGCGAGGTTGGGCGAGGGAGTGAGGGGGAAGGAGAGAGACATGTGACTTCGCTGCTGGCTTGTGTGTGTGGTGTGTGCAGATCAAGGAGAGAATCCTCAGGGAGAAGCAGGTCAATCTGGCTGTCTTGGGATTTGTTTCAGGTTTTGAAATCCTTCTGGATCCCATTAGTCCTTCATTAAGAAGTTTGGATAGCAGAAGCAAAGAAATTGCTTTTCACTTTGGAATATAGAATTTTAAGCCTGTCATAACTTTAATGTGAGAGAAAAGAAGGCAAGAGAAAAGAAAATGAAATATTTGTATTTGTCATATCAGGCTCCCAACCATTCTGCTTTAATGTAAAACAAACGCATTGGAATTTATGAGGAAGTAGGAGACCAAAAAAAAAGTACTAGACTCAAACTCATTTGACCAACACTCTAGTTTTGATGACTAATAATTTTAGGACACTGATAAGAGTTTTTGAAATGGATCAAAATTATTTTTTATAGCACATTTGCTTACATGTCTGCTAAACATGGGTAGAGCTAAACCTGAAATATTGAGTTTTTTAAGTCATTTTTCCAGCTAAATTATAGCAGCGAATTGCTGTGTGTTCCCCGAGGCTTATCTTTCAGAAACTAGAACATTAACCTTCCCGATTTATCTAGGTACTAGAACACAAATTTAACATTTTTAAAAAGATTTAAACACTCAAACCAAATAGTATACTATAAATAAATTAATTTCTCTTTCTAGATATACAACATAGGCTCAGAGAACTTCTGAATATACAATATTGTGAAGGTAATGAGAACTCTTTTCCAAACTATTTCTTATGTTTATACTTAAACATTTATTTTAGAAAATTTTAACACTTTCAGAAACTAATTTTGTCACAATTAGGCTATTGTAAGATCCTCCAACCCAATGAAAACAAAATCAAAGCCCACAATGACTCTAAATCTTACAAACTATTATCTTGAACTAAACGGTCTAGAATAATTAGTGTTCTTATTCCCTTTCCACTATACTCCATTGCTTAATGCAAAATGGAGAATGTGCCATCTAAAATGAAAGACGGCATTTGAACAGATCAGTCTTTAAACCTAGAACACACTCATAGCCTATGAAAAAAGCAACAAGAACGTTGATACAACCATTGAGGCAAACACGAAATTCTGGCCATTAATAGGTTAGATTAATGACTGATGCCCGTACTTTAAACACTTCAGTGTTGTGTTATAAAGCATAGTGACAACAAATATTTGGAAAGGTCTTTTAAAGTCTAAAACAAAAAGTTATTTTTTATACGTAGTTCTTTCTGTCTTACAATTCAGTTACTCATACATTTGTTAGATTATTCAGTGTTTGTTATTCAGAAGAAACAATCCAATTTAATCTTAACCTAATAAGTTTTTCCTCTTATACATTTTTACATGAAAAAATACTAAAATCACAATTCTGAGGAATTTCTTTTTAATCAAACACTATATGCTTAAACCACAGTAAGGAAATTAGAACCTTTCTTATTCTATTTAATATGATACTACTAAATTTATAAGAACTCTTTTCCTCAACTTTTCTTTATACTAACAATCATAATTTGAAAAATGTATCTCAACCCCACAGTGAACTAATATCCATGCTTATTCCACATAGGTACTGCCAGTGGTCCCTGTGGTATCCTTTCAACAATGACAAACTCCTCAGGGTTGCCAAATGCCTGATAGAAAACCAGTAAATCATGTACTGCATCCTCCTCAGTTTGAATCAGAGCCAGGGTTTTTTCTCAACTTCAAATAAAGCTGCTTCCTTTTGTAGTTCTTCTACAATATATGTGAAAGTGACTGGGGCTACCATGGAAAGAGCAGTCATTTAAGAAGATAGCGAGGGATTGGGACTGTCCAGAGATGGTAAATCTGAAATGTGGCTACTTTCTGCTCCTGGGGTACTGTGGGTAGAGCATCTCACAACTTTTGGAGCCTAAGAATTTTTAATTTCTTTAAAACAAACTTTTTTGACATGATTTCCTGAACTATGGCCAGTAACAGGCTTTTTTGCCCATATATTTATGTGAATTTCCATACATATACTGGTTTGGGGGCTTTTGAAGGGGTGGTTAAAACGGTTTCCATGCAATTAATTTCTGAATTGTTTTCTTTGGTAGTTGATACAATCATTTTTCACTGCTTCTGAGAAAGTTTAACTCTACAAGATATCATTTTGCCTAAATTTGACTTTGGTATAGCTCCACATTTTGTCTGCTTTCTTCTGTTTTTATGATGGTTCTGAGAGCCACAACACAACAGGAAGCCATGCAAAAGTGGGTAGTCCTAGAGATTTACAGTCTCCTGATTTCACAATGGGATTCCATACAGATAAGATTGCTGGGAAAGTTAAACCTTATGTTAATAGTACATCTCTTACGTATTCTAGGGAACATTTAAAACCACGGGAAAATCACCAATATTTAAAATATCTGCTACACAGCCCATTTCCAGTAACAGGATTGATACTACCAACTCTTGTAGTTGGTTTGCAGGCTCTTTCAGTCCTGAGATAATTACTTCAGTATGCTGGTTCATCCTCCTCTCACCTGCAAATGATGATGATTATTTCTATCCTTGCTTTTGTTAACATTGATACTATGTGCACGACATGAAAGAAAATCACAGTTAAATAAAACGTACAAATAAATGATATTACTAGAAAGGTCCTGCCACTGGTCATATCTGTGCCACCATTCTGCACAAGTCTGGAGGTTTTTCTTCTCGCTGATCATTCCTCTTGTCTAAATTTCCATTTTACCTGCACTTGTCTCCATTACTACTTCTCCCTAACTAACTTTGGGTGAATTTGACTAGAGATATAACCAGATTCCATAATTTCACTTTTGAATAATTTCCTGGTATCCTGACCAATCACAATTCTACAGCGGGTAATTATTGAATACTGGAATTGCTACTTGTCTCTTCACTTGATCTAGTACTCTTGAGATTTTACATCATCTCCTAATAACCTACTTTATTGGTCCATTCTTGTCTGTCTCTCTCTCTCTTTTGCCAGACATCATGATTCCTGACTTTGTTGTACTCCAGGATCCTAATTTTATGTTCAGCCTGACACCCTTTGTATATATTCTCTTTCTTCTGTTCTGTTTGTGTTCAGCACAGGACAACTCAGATATAACATCAAGTTCGTTAAATAGTCACGTTTGCTTGTTCCCATCAGCTCAGCTTCTGATTTCCCTTCCAGTTTCCTTTAGCTACTCCACATCTTAATAGACACTGAGCCATTCATTTGGTCTCTGGGGAGGTGGTACAAATACACTATGCCCTCTCTCCTAAGGCCTGGGTCAGGTTACGGCATCATATCAATGGGAACTGTGGTCATGGATTCTAGGGGATTTCTAACAGTTAATGGGCCCAATTTGAGAAACGAAGGATAACCCAGAGTACATAAGACGTTTTGTCTTCCAAAATTCATACCAAGGGATGATAGAGGTTTGCTAGTAACTGACGTGATATACTTCAATTTTTTTTCTGCCACTTGCTACTTCCCCCTCACTTATATTCTTCTTCCCTCAACTACAAAGTTATCAAACTATTGCTCTTCTCTTTACTATGAAACTTGTTTTCAAGATTAGTCACCACCTAAATCTCTGGTTCATTATCTCTCATCCACTGGTCCTCTTGGATTTTGCTTTTTCCTTTCTCTCCTAAAATTAAACTGTTCATTGTACTGGTAATCCTCAAATTGCCAAATCCAACAAGGCTCTTTATTTCTCATACTATTGGGATTGTGACATTTGCAATGTTGAGTACACACTCCATAAAATGCTCTTCTGTCCTGGTTTTTATGCCCAACACCCTTTTGTCTCCTTTATTTCAGACTGATCATTTTCTATCACACTGAGCATTCTCATCTGTCTCTCCCTGGAACTTCTCAACTCCTTTTAAACTACGCAAAATTTAAGTTCCAGTTTTGTTGCTTTGCTTGTCATCAAATTTTCACCCCTTCTCTTTCCTATACCCAGACCTGTATTTCCAGGTGCTGTCAATTTTCCATGGCCCTGTTCCACGGGTATATCTGACACAATACAAATGAGACTTAACTTTTCACCAAATCGCTTTCTTTTTCTCTATTTTTAGCTCTATGTTTCATTCAGCGGTCCCAACTAAAGTTTTTATAGTTCTTTACCACCACTCAATTTCTGCTGATCCTACCCCTCCCATAGATGCCTCATCCTTCACTCTTCTATCATCTACAACCTCACTGGCATTTTTATTTAAGTCTCTCATCATCTCTCAGTCTGACTCCAAACATCCCAAACAAGTTTATTTTACCACTTCCCTGGCCATCTCTTGAAATATGTGCCCCGGTATATTCTTTTTTCACCACTCTTAGATCATATGAACATATCATGCTTTTGTTCCCTTTCCTTTTCTCATGCACATGTCTCTGCCAAAATGCCGTTTTTTTTTCTCCTGGTCATGCATTTCGTTTGTATAGTCTTCTGATTCTTATTTCTTCCTGGATTATTCCTACCTCCAATTTACTTCAAATAAATCTGTCAACCTGCGAAGTAATCACAACTTGTTGCTGTGTGTTTTTGACACTTGCACCAGGTGCAAACTAAAGTGAAGCCCATCTTCTGTTTTGCCCCAGAGCTGCTACTAATCTGTGACAGAAAGGTCTCCCAGACTTTTCTAATGGGAGAAACTGACTTCTTAGTAGAAAGGATTTTAGTTTTTCTCTCACTTTTAATTCTAGGATATTGTTGGAACCCAGGTGTACTTGAAATGTACTAATTGAGTCCAAGAAGTGGGGAAAGGCAAACCTGAAGAAGCCAACAGAGCCGCATAGGCTCTGTGATGTAGGCTGGAGCCACTTGGATTTATTTATACCCATTTAAAAATCTTCTTGTATTATGATAGTTGGCTTTTAGGAGATCAAAGGAGCCAGTGCAGAAATGTTGTTTTCCTGACTGTGCAGCACACAAACATCATTTAAATGTCCCCTCAACATGTGCTCACATCTAAAGCCCATCAGAGCATCATGCAGCAATGGGAGCTGGCACCGTGCCCGCATTGTTAGTCTTGCTCCATTATGATGGAAATAACAGGCAAGACAGAGACAGAAAGCAGGATGGGGGGGGGGGGGGAGTCGCAGGGGTTTAGATATAGCTCCTTGGTGGGGATGGGGGATGGGGGAGTAGGGAGTGGATGCAGACATAGTCCTGATAATGTGATGTTTGAATTTTTATTTTTTCTGTTGAAAAAGCAGATGGATGTGAGAATGGCTTCATAATCTCCATGGTTGGGGGTGATTTTTCAAACTCCTGCTTTAGTGTCTTTGGAGATAGAGCCCAGTGGCCACGTGAGGTCTGAATGTTGAGATTAATCCCGCATGTTTAGAAGATGGAAGTGGCAAAACAGACTATAGATATATCAGGGCAGTTCAAATGCCAGAGTCCAAAAAGCATATGATGCCAGCAAGCAGTAAAATTTCTATTCAGTCTTCTTCTAGAACCCAGTTTGCTTTCAGCATATTGTGAGTGCACTTCATGGGATGGTTTTCATAGCATTCATTTATCAAGTACATATTAATATTCAAAGAACTTTTATATTTACTCATTCATTTGGAACGTATCTCTCTCCTGCGATGTTATAAAGTTTCAAAGCTGGAAATTCCTCAGAGATCATCTCTCCAATGCTCACATATACTAAAATCCAAAGGGATCTTAGTTTGCCTAAAATCTTATACACAGCTAGTAATATTGGGTCCCACGCCTGTTGGATTTTCACTCCAGAGCTTTTTACACGACCCAGTGCAACCACCTAGCCAAGAATTTATTTATGATTTTTCATAAGATGATAATTGTTTGAGAGCATGTGTTTATAGGGTATAAGGGGAGATTCGGAAATTGTGCCACCTGCAATTGGGAAGGAGCCCTGTGGAAACATGTGAGGCATTTACGTCTGTGGTGGGGTATGAGTGTCCAGTGCAAGTGGAATGCTATTAAAAGAAACATGCCTACAATGTTTCCTGTGAAATAAACATTTCACAATGTTTATTTTTAGTATTACACAATGGGGGTAGCTTTCTATCTTTGCCACTTTTTCTTCTCTGCCCTTAATTTTGGAAAAGAAAATCATGTACAGAAATATGAAAGTAAGAAAGAGGAACACTCCTGGTATTGATTCTTGCCCTCTCCATTGGCCTTTACTGCTATAATTCCCCACACAGACAAGACATATCTTCCCTAGGGTCATTCTGGAGGTGGCAAATAGATTATTGGTCTTAAGTACCTGTTCACGAAAATATTCTTTGACCATTCCTCAGACTTCCTATAGAATATTTTAAAAGAAGAAAAACTTAGATTTCTGAAGTTAGTGGTGGCAGTTGATGATACAATATCTCAGCAGATATCTTTCTTTAAAATTCTCTCATCCAAATAGTCTCCCAAACCTAGCAGAGAGTTACACTGGGCACCTGTTAGGTACTTAACACCTCTCATTGAACACAGCTTCCTCTTTTGAAATGCTTTTTATTTCCTACTTGTCTAAATGTGCTTATTCTTTAAAATCTAATCAATGTCACAACTTTTTTTTTTTTTTTTTTTTTTTTTTGAGATGGAGTCTCGCTCTGTCGCCCAGGCTGGAGTGCACTGGCATGATCTAGGCTCACTGCAAGCTCCGTCTACCGAGTTCACGCCATTCTCCTGCCTTAGCCTCCTGAGTAGCTGGGACTACAGGCACCCACCACTACGCCCGGCTAATTTTTTTTGTATTTTTAGTAGGGACGGGGTTTCCCCGTGTTAGCCAGGATGGTCTCGATCTCGATCTGACCTCGTAATCCACCCGCCTCGGCCGCCCAAAGGGCTGGGATTACAGGCGTGAGCCACCGCGCCTGGCCAATATCACATCTAAGAAACATTTACTGAATAAAAAACAATGGATTATCTGGATATCTATAGCCTCAAGGTCATGACTACAAGCCTAATATGTAAGAATAGAGTATGATTTCTCTATTTTTTCCTTTCTAGTTGTGTCATGGAATTTAGTTAGAGGCCCATTAGAATTCTTGGAAATTAAATTTTTTCAATCTTCAAAATATTGCACCAGAAGCTTAGGAAATTGCCAAGGAATAGTTTTGTGATTTTGCCTATCTGGAAGTTGTGGTGAATAATCAACCTGTTACCTCCAGGAAAATGACCCTAGAGTACGCTCTCTGTGGGGGCCTTACCTCAGTGAAGTCCAAAGGAAATTCTCAATATGTTCTCATTGTCTTATGTCTTGCAGTACATTTAGTATATAAATGGACCCAAAATAAAAGTATTCTGTAAATATTTGCTCATTGACTTTAATTTCTCAATTCCCAACATTGATATGATAGATTATAACTATAGCCAATAATATAATTCCCTCTGTTGTACATTATTAGAAGTCAAGAGACTAAAGTTCTTGTCCAAAGTCTGACATGTTATGGATATATAAAATTGCACAAAACTATTTACCTAAGAATAAGTTCATTTTAATTTATTCCAAAAATAATTAAGTTTTGCTCTACTCACCTTCAGAAGCTTTAGTGAAAAAAGTCTTAAATAAAATGGCCTTGATTTTCCTAGGCTTTATAATTTATTTCAAATACTATCATTGTAATATTACCATTAGTGCTTATTATATCTTTTGGATCATCATCTTTAGTTTAATATTTTATGCTATTCTACTCCATTTCTATCATTTTTTCTTACATCTCATTTAAGTTTCATACATGTTAATTGCAGACAAGTATATATGACATCTTTTGCTTTGTTTCATCTGCTGCCAGGATAGGTCAGAACTCTCAACAAATGTTATTACTTGCTTGTATTTGAATCTATCATCAGATGTGACTGGGGACAGAGCTACTGGCTTCTTATGTGAAAATAAGAGTTGTAGAATAAGTAAGTCATTCAAATTTTCAGTTGACTCTTATGTAATGGGGGGAAAAAAGACGAGTAGTTTGTATAACCATGGAAGTCAATATTGTGTGAGGAAGGTAGAGAAAAGGCTTGGTATGTGTTTGGGGAATCCATCTGCAATCATTGCCTCCCCATCCAGAGGTCAGAATAAGCGATTATGGAAGTGACAGCCTTGCCATCACTATTTATTCACCTCAATGATACTCACAATTATCAGGAGAGACAGGCAGAGGAGAAAGCACTCTGAATGCGAGACACAGTAAAGCAGCTTTCAGCGGAGTGGGGCTTCCCAATAAGTCAAACCTTTTCTTCTCTGCCTGAAAGGGTCACAGGCTGAACTGGCTATGCTGATTGTCTGGTTGACAGCCCCAGTTGACCGGCAAATGAGTCAAATTTTTGTGCAGCTTTGTGACCACAGATGCCTTACACACCCTCCTTGTCAACCTCAGACTCAGCTGCCAGTTCAGAGAGCTGGAGGAGCATAACTATATTGGTGCCTCTCCAGACCCCAAGGCCTCATTTCCTGCTACGCTCTCTCACCTCCTCTACCAGGCAAACAAAAATGTTAATGGTTAACAACGTTTAGCTTGCTTGCTCTGCTAAAGAATGGGGGTAGGGGATGCATATATTTTAATCCAGAAACCAGTATCTTCTGTGTCATAAAGATAAGGCGATGTAGCTAGTATGAGAAAGCATCAGCATGATAGTGTACCTCTAGACTTGAAAGCCAGACTTGAGATTTACATTGTAGCTTTAAAACTAGCTCATAATGTGATATTGGGAAAATCTAACTCCTGTTATCCTTAGTTATTTTCTTTGTTGAAAATGACATTTAAGGACAAATACTCTCTAATTTCCCTATGATCTCACCAAAAAATCCTTTAAGGTTTAAAAACAGAATTTTTGCACAACGAATTTCTATGGAAGAAATGGTTTCAATGAAGGAATTTAAAGATAAATTTCTAGAAACTATAATCTTAAATAGTCCATTCCATTGAAAAATATTTGAATATATTATTTAACAAACCAACAAACAAAGTAGCCAACCACTAAAAATATTACTCAGCACCTATTATGTTTTCCATTTTTGTTTCTGTTTTTATCAAGATTAATAAGATCAATATGTAGGAAACAATTTAAAGGTAGTAAAAATGTATATATAATTAAACTGTGTGGCAGCCTTGAGAATTTTCTCTATCATGCCAACCTCCAACCCTAAAGATTAGCTGTAACTGACCGGCTGTTGCACTCAGGAATTTATGTCTGCCCAGCTGAGGCCACACCTCAGCACGGCAATACTAAGGCTGACCTGTTCCAGGAAGACTAGAACCCTTCTGGTGGCCAACACTGGTTTGAAGATTCCCAATGGCTTGACCACACTTTCTTTGGTTATCATCGCCGTATAGGATACTTTCTCCCACCCCGATATTTATTCCATCTCTTCTACACATGGAAACAGCTATGTATCACGGTTCTACAATCCTCACAGATTTTCTTGGCTCTCTTCCTATCATCCCTCACACAGGTATCTCCAACTAAATCGTTGAACAACAAAATCTTCCCTTGACGTCTGCGTTTTGGATCTCACTATTAGTCATAACTAATATAAACTAAAAGCTGTGTATGTCATAAATGTGTATGTCTTTTCAGTCTTTATTGATTTTGACTCCAATCTTCATTATTTCCTTCCTTCTGCTAATTTTTGGCTTACAATATTCTAGTTTGTTTATTTTGAGATGGAGTCTCTCACTCTGTTGCCCAGGCTGGAGTGCAGTGGCACGATCCCAGCTCACTGCAACCTCCACCTCCGGGTTCAAGCAATTCTCCTGCCTCAGTCTCCTGAGTAGTGGGGATTACAGGCATGTCCCACCACACCTAGCTTTTGTTTTGTTTTGTTTCGTTTTTTGTGTTTTGTGTGTGTGTGTGTGTTTTTTGTATTTTTAGTAAAGACCGGGTTTCACCATGTTGGTCAGGCTGGTCTCAAACTCCTGATCTTGTAATCCACCCGCCTCAGCCTCCCAAAGTGCTGGGATTACAGGCATGAGTCACTATGCCCAGCCTCTTTTTCTAGTTTTTTAAGGTATAAAATTTGGTTGATTGAAACTTAAAATAATTTTCAATGTAGGCATCTATCACTATACATGCCCCCCTTGAAACTGCTTTTACTCTGTACCATAAGTTTTGATATGATTTGTTTGTTTTCATCTTCATTTGTCTTTATATTTTATTTCCCTTTTTTTCCTTTGACCCACTGTCAGTAGTATGTTGTTTAATTTCCACATATTTGTGAATTTTCCAATTTTCCCCTTGTTATTTATTTCCGTTTCATACCACTGGGGTCATACTTAATATGATTTAAGTGTTCTTATATTTGTTAAGACATGTTTTATGGCCCAGTATACCATCTATACTGAAGAATGTGGTGTGTGTGCTTAAGAATATGTATTCTGTTGTCATTGGATGGAATGTTCCGTATATATCTGTTAAGACCATATGGTCTAAAGTCTACTTCAAGTTCAATGTTTCTTTATCGATTTTCTGTCTGGATGATCTATTGTTCAAACTGGGATGTTAAAGTCCTCTAATATTATGTTGCTGTCTCTCTCTTCATATCTGTTAATATTTACTTAACATATTTAGGTGACCTAATGTTATATGTATATATATTTATAATTGTATATCCTTGGTGAATTGATCCCTTTATTATATAAATTTTTCTTGTTACATCTTTTGATTTAAAGTCTATTTCACCTGATATAAGTATAGATACCTCTGCTAGTCATTTTTAAAAGAAACCCATTCTACCACTTTATGCCTTCTGATTGGATCATTTAATCTATTTATATTTAAAGTATATATTAATAGGTAAGGAGTATTATTGCCATTTTATTATTTTCTGGCTGTTTTATAGTTCTGTTTCCTTTCCTCCACTCTTGCCACCTTCCTTTGTGAATTTATGATTTTTGGTAGTTTTGTGCTTTCATTAATTTTTTTCTTTATCTTTTGTATATCTATTCTAGGCTTTTGCTTTGTAGTTACCATGCCTTAAATAAAACATATTATAATAGGCTATTTTCAGCTAATAACTTACCTTCAATCAGATACAAAAGCATTATAATTTTTCTTGACTTCTACTCACAGTTCATGTTTTTGATTTCACAATTTATATATTTTTAGATCATGAATTCATTAAAAAATATAGTAGCTGTGGTTATTGTTAATAGTCGTGTTTTTTAACGTTTACACTGGAGCTAAAAATGATACATACATCATCATTATATATAATATTAAAATATTATTTGATTACATGTTTACTTTTACTGGTAAATTTCATACTTTTATATGCTTTTGTGTTATCTATTAGCACGTGTTTCAGCTTGAAGTATTTCCATTAGCATTTCTTAAAGAACAAATCTAATGGTGAAGAACTACCTCAACATTTGTTTGTCAAGGAAAGTATTCATCTTTCCTTCATCTGACCCAACAACATTGTTAGAAAAAGTATTTGTGGTAACCAGTTTTTTCTTTTCACATTTTGAGTGTATCTTCTCACTTTTTGTCCTATAGAATTTCTGCTGAGAAATCCACTGATAATTGATAGATGTTCCCTTGTATTTGATGAGTTACTTCTTCTTGCTGCTTTCAAAATCCTCTCTTCCTTGAGTTTTAACAATTTGATTATAATGTGTCTCAGTGTAGTCTTCTTTGGGTTGAATGTTTTGAAGAATTTTGAGCTTCATCAATCTGAATATACACATTTCTCCTCAAATTTTGGAATTATTACCTATAATTTTTAAAAACAAGCTGAGATTGATATCAGTGAGGGCTGCAGGAGTCTATGTCAATGGTCGTTGCTAGGGCTGTTGGGGTCCTTGGAGGCAAAGGTTCGTAGGGTACATTTTGTATTCTAAATATTATATAAGGATTAGCTATAACACACGAGAAAATAGAAGGCCACAGAGCTAATGAAACTTGCTCACAGAGCTAATTAGTAAAGGTATTGAGGTAAGTACTTGGGCTTTCTGTCAGATGCTCAATAGGGTTGTTTGTTTTACTAATTTTTTTCCTTGTTTTAGGTTGTTTATTGTATATTTTGGTTTTTTTCCGTAGTCAATCATATTGAGAATTTTGAGAAAGATCAATGGTGAAAGATCATTGGTAAAGATGATAGCAGAGATCTTTTAATAATAAAACTTGTTACATAAAAATTAAATATTAGAGTCAGTAGCTTCACTTATCAACTTTGGTAATATAATTCTTCATTGAGGTTACATAAATTTTGATTATGTAATTTGGTAACATAATTCTACAGTGAGAATTAACAAGGATTGAAGTGCTGAAATTATAACTGGGTTATTTTATATGTCCTATAAATAATTTCTTGGTCCTTATCTCTTTGACCTTAACCTATTTCATAGGGCCTGATATGGTTTGCCTCTCTATCCCCACTAAAATCTCATGTTGAATTGTAATCCTCAATGTTGACAGTAGGGCCTGGTGGGAGGGGATTGGAACATACAGGCAGTTTCTAATGGTTTAGGACCATCCCCCTAGTGCTTTCTTGTGAGTGAGTTCTCATGAGATCTGGCCGTTTGAAAGTGTGTAGCACCTCTCGCTTTGCTCTCTTCCTCCTGCTCCAGATATATAGGATGTGCTGGCTTTCCCTTCACCTTCTACCATGAATGTATGTTTCCTGAGGCCTCCCCAACCGTGCATAACTGAGTCAATTAAACCTCTTTTCTTTATAAATTACCCAGTCTCAGGTATATCTTTATAGAAGTGTGAAAACAGACTAATACAGAAAACTGGTCCTAGAAAAGTGCGACTATGTTAATAAAAACACCTGAAAATGTGGAAGCAGCTTTGGAACTGGGAGATGGGCAGAGATTGGAACAGTATGGAGGTCTCAGAAGAAGACAGGAAGATGAGGAAAGGCTTGGCACTTCCTATAGATTTGTTGAATGGTTTTGACCAAAATACTAACAGTGATATAAAAAGAGATGGCCAGGCTGATGAGGTCTCAGGTGGAGGTGAGAAACTTATTGGAAAATGGAGGAACAGTGATTTTTGCTATGCTTTAGCAAAAAGACTGGAGACATTGTGCCCCTACTTTAGAGATCTGTGGAAATTTGAACTTGAGAGAGATGCTTTAAGATATCTGGTGGAATAAATTTTTAAGCAGCTAAGTGTTCAAGATGTGACCTGGCTTCTTCAAAAAGCCTATGCTATTTGCATAAACAAAGAAATAACTTGAAACTAGAACATATTTAAAAGGAAAGCAAAGCATAAAAGTTTGGAAGATTTGCAGCACAGCCATGCAGTAGAAAAGAAAAACCCATTTACTGGGGAGGAATTCAAGAAGGCTACAGAAATTTGCATAAATAAAGAGTAGCTAATAGCCAAGACAATAGGAAAAATGCCTCCAAGACATTTCAGAGACCTTCATAGCAGCCTCTCCCATTACAGCCCAGAGGCTTAGGAGGGCAAAATGGTTTCCTGGGCCAGGCCCAGGACCCCACTGCTCTGTGCAGCCTTGGGACGTGGTGTCCTGCATCCCATGTCTCAGATAAAGGCTCAAAAGCAGATAAAGAAGTCACCTTGAGAACAATAAGTTTATAAACCACTAAATAAGAATTTAGGAGCATTAACCTCATTGTATAAGTTTCTGGAAGGCAAACACTGCATCTTATTTACTTGAATTTTCTTCACTTACCTCAACATATTAAGGCAACACATTTAGATAAGTACATAAACTTAAAGTACAAGGCATATCACTAGCTAAAACTTAATGATTAATTATGAGCATTAACTTTTTAAACATTTTAGTTAATACTTAATCAATGTGCTTCAATTCCAGCTTTAGCTAAAAGGGGCCAAGGGTACAGCTTGGGTCATTGCTTCAGGGAGTGGTGTAAGCCCCAAGCCTTGGTGGCATCCATGTGGTGTTCGGCCTCCAGTTGCACAGAGGACAAGAGTTGAGGCTTGGGAGCCACTGCCTAGATTTAAGAGGATGTAAAGAAACACCACAAGTACAAGCATAAGTCTGCTGCATGGGTGGAACCCTCATGGAGAACCTTTACTAGCATAGTGAAGGAACCTCTACTAGGACAGCAAGGGAAAATGTGGGGTTGGAGCCCCCACACAGTGGGACACTGCATAGTGGAGCTGTGAAAAGAGGGCTACTGTCTTCCAGACCCCACAATTGTAATTCCACCTACAGCTTGCACTGTGTACCTAGAAGAGCCACAGGCACTTAATGCCAGCCCTTGAGAGCAGGCAAGGGAGATGAGTCCGGCATAGCCACAGGGGCAGTGCTGCCCAAGGCCTTGGGAGACCACTGCTGGTATCAGTGTGATCTGGATGTGAGACATGGACTCAAAAGAGATTATTTTGGAGCTTTCAGATTTAATGATTGCTCTGCTGGGTTTCTGACTTGCATGGGGCTTGTAGTCCCTTTGTTTTGCCCAATTTCTCCCTTTTGGAAAGGGAATATTTACTCAATGCCTGTACCTCCCAGTGTATCTTGGAAGTAACTAATTTGTTTTTGATTTTATAATCTCATAGGCAGAAGGGACTTGTCTTGTCTCATATAGAACTTTGGCTTAAGCTTTTGACTTAATGCTGGAATGAGTTAAGATTTTGGGGGGCCAACTAAATGAAAAGAAAGATTTGCACTTTCCAGTTGGTCTAACTAGAGAGAAGACAAAAGCTCTGTATTAGTCCATTCTCGCTCTGCTATAAAGAACCACCTGAGAATGACTAATGTATAAAGAGAAGAGGTTTAATTGTCTCATGGTTTCACAATTGTTCATTTATTTACTACAGTTTCTTCAAAAAGTTGCAGTGAGGATTTACGTATAAAGAACTTGAAGTACAAGGCTCATACAAGTACTTAATCAACAGAAGCTAATTGTACCATTAATAGCACACTGATTAAGTATTAACTAAAATGTTTAAAAAGTTAGTAATTACAACTAATCACTAAGTTTTAGCTAAGGATTTGCCTTGTAGTTTAAGTTATGTGCTTATCTAAATATGTTGTCTTAATATGTTGAGATAAGTGAAGAAAATTATGGTAAATAAGACACAGCGTTTTCCTTCCAGAAATTTTTACAGTGAGGTTAATGCGCTGGTTTATATCCTTATTGTCCTCAGGGTGACTTCTTTATCTGCTTTTGAGCCTTTGTCACTTCACACATTAATTCATTTATGACACTTTCATTGAACCTTTTCTATTTGCTGAGTACTATTGTAGATGTTGAGATACAATATTATATGAAAAAGATAATCAAGGTAGATAGCATTTCGTGAGCAATTTCTGTAAGCCAGGATGTAAATTAGATAAATTATTTAATTCAATACTCACAGCAAACTTACAAGGTAAGTTTTTATATTGTCATTCCAAGTTGCCAAATGAAGTAACAGTGCAAATTGTGTCAAATATTAAGTCTGATGATACAAAGTAATATTAGAGATGGGTCTGGAATTGAATATCTGAATCAAGAGCCTACCTTCTCCAGAGAGATTCCATCTTTGCCCTTGAAAAGTACACAATAAACTTAACAGAGCACATGTGAGTCTGATGGGCAATTTGAAGCATTCAGATGAGGTACCTAGAAGACCAAAACTACTTCTCCAATTAACCAATATTTCATAGGAATGCTGGAGTATAGATTTGTAAAAATGAGTGAGTAGTAAGACGTCCATCATTGTAGGTCCCACTTTCACCATGAAAACATTCCTTATCAGGTAGATAATGAACAGTCCATTTTTTACATATGAATTTTTGCAGATTTCTTAGTACTTAAGATTGGACATTACATGTTCAGGTATGTATTTTATCAGTTAATTTAAATTGCAGTTATTTTAAGACAGAGACTATACTGAGTGCTTTGTATAGCTCTGTATTCAAGAAAGTTTCCCAGTAAATATGTTAAAATAGTTCTATAAGATTGTCATCATAAATTACTTACTGGGTACTTACTGATTGCCTTTCTATGTACACAAAAATATTTATAAGATATTCTTCTATTCTTATTACCATGGCAGCTCTGGTTTCTCTTTAGGAAGAAAAAACAGTAATCCGTTTAACAGCACACACCCTTTTCAGTTTTGATATTTCCTACTTTTCTCTCTGCTCAGTCCACATTCAAACTTTACATGGAGTTCAAGTGCCAAGAAGTAAGGGTAATGTGGAGTCTTTCCAGTAATCAGAATGTGACTGGAATAGAAGGCTTTTCAGAGATCTATATTTAAAACCTGTTTTATTCATTCAGCAGCAGCAATTTCTTTAACAGCTATGGTTATAATTGAGAGTTTTGGGACAGAGAGAATTGATTTCAATAAATGTTTTATTCTTTTACCAGTAATTCTCTTAAGTGGGTTTCAGTGAATTATGTTTGTTATGCAGCTATTACCAGGGATAGTATCAAAATAACTGGAGTCTCAGCCAAAGAAGTTTTTAACTGTAGTAAAGGGTTGTAGCTCTTTTGAGAGAGGTAGTTCTCTATCCTCATACTGGGGATAATAATCATAGCATAGCATATGCCTTTATGTAAAATTGGGAATTTGAGCCTGGTACTATATAAATTAAAAGTCTTAATAGAAACTGTGGGAATTTCCCTTGGAAAATTTGAGGAGGAGCAGTTTTGTTATTTTTTTTTTCCCCACTGCAGTGGCAATTTTAGTATCATGTGATACATTCCATCACAAAGTGTACAGTAGCTGTATGTTCTACTAATCTTCTTTCCATCAAACATATCCTGCCTGAATGGCAAAGAATGCTTCCTACAAGAGATAATATTGGTCCTGGGTCTTCCAAAGTAAACAAAAATTTCCACTTAGAAAAAAAAAAAAAAGAGACCATCACTCAAAAAATCTATGGCAGTTAAGATTACAGCTCAAACTGAAATGTCTGACTAATGAAGAGAGTTTTAACAGAAATTGAAGACAAAGTATATGCATTATTTTTTAATAGGAAATTTATAGGGGGAGGAGCCAAGATGGCCGAATAGGAACAGCTCCAGTCTACAGCTCCCAGCATGAGCGATGCAGAAGACGGGTGATTTCTGCATTTCCATCTGAGGTACCGGGTTCATCTCACTAGGGAGTACCAGACAGTGGGCGCAGGTCAGTGGGTGTGCGCACTGTGCGTGAGCTGAAGCAGGGCAAGGCATTGCCTCACTCGGGAAGCGCAAGGGGTCAGGGAGTTCCCTTTTCGAGTCAAAGAGAGTGGTGACAGACGGCACCTGGAAAATCGGGTCACTCCCACCCGAATACTGCGCTTTTCCGACGGGCTTAAAAAACGGCGCACCACGAGATTATATCCCGCACCTGGCTCGGAGGGTGCTATGCCCACGGAGTCTCGCTGATTGCTAGCACAGCAGTCTGAGATCAAACTGCAAGGCGGCAGCGAGGCTGGGGGAGGGGCGCCCGCCATTGCCCAGGCTTGATTAGGTAAACAAAGCAGCTGGGAAGCTCGAACTGGGTGGAGCCCACCACAGCTCAAGGAGGCCTGCCTGCCTCTGTAGGCTCCACCTCTGGGGGCAGGGCACAGGCAAAAAGACAGCAGTAACCTCTGCAGACTTAAATGTCCCTGTCTGACAGCTTTGAAGAGAGCAGTGGTTCTCCCAGCACGCAGCTGGAGATCTGAGAACGGGCAGACTGCCTCCTCAAGTGGGTCCCTGACCCCTGACCCCTGAGCAGCCTAACTGGGAGGCACCCCCCAGCAGGGGCAGACTGACACCTCACACGGCCGGGTACTCCAACAGACCTGCAGCTGAGGGTCCTGTCTGTTAGAAGGAAAACTAACAAACAGAAAGGACATCCACACCAAAAACCCATCTGTACATTACCATCATCAAAGACCAAAAGTAGATAAAACCACAAAGATGGGGAAAAAACAGAGCAGAAAAACCAGAAACTTTAAAAAGCAGAGCGTCTCTCCTCCTCCAAAGGAATGCAGTTCCTCACCAGCAACAGAACAAAGCAGGACAGAGAATGACTTTGACGAGCTGAGAGAAGAAGGCTTCAGACGATCAAATTACTCCTAGCTACGGGAGGACATTCAAACAAAAGACAAAGAAGTTGAAAACTTCGAAAAAAATTTAGAAGAATGTACAACTAGAATAACTAATACAGAGAAGTGCTTAAAGGAGCTGATGGAGCTGAAAACCAAGGCTCGAGAACTACGTGAAGAATGCAGAAGCCTCAGGAGCCGATGTGATCAACTGGAAGAAAGGGTATCAGCGATGGAAGATGAAATGAATGAAATGAAGTGAGAAGGGAAGTTTAGAGAAAAAAGAATAAAAAGAAACAAGCAAAGCCTCCAAGAAATATGGGACTATGTGAAAAGACCAAATCTACATCTGATGGTTTATCTGAAAGTGACGGGGAGAATGGAACCAAGTTGGAAAACACTCTGCAGGATATTATCCAGGAGAACTTCCCCAATCTAGCAAGGCAGGCCAACATTCAGATTCAGGAAGTACAGAGAATGCCACAAAGATACTCCTCGAGAACAGCAACACCAAGACACATAATTGTCAGATTCACCAAAGTTGAAATGAAGGAAAAAATGTTAAGGGCAGCCAGAGAGAAAGGTCGGGTTACCCTCAAAGGGAAGCCCATCAGACTAACAGCAGATCTCTCGGCAGAAACTCTACAAGCCAGAAGAGAGTGGGGGCCAATATTCAACATTCTTAAAGAATTTTCAACCCAGAATTTCATATCCAGCCAAACTAAGCTTCATAAGTGAAGGAGAAATAAAATACTTTACAGACAAGCAAATGCTGAGAGATTTTGTCACCACCAGGCCTGCCCTAAAAGAGCTCCTGAAGGAAGCACTAAACATGGAGAGGAACAACTGGTACCAGCCGCTGCAAAATCATGCCAAAATGTAAAGACCATCGAGACTAGGAAGAAACTGCATCAACTAATGAGCAAAATAACCAGCCAACATCATAATGACAGGATCAAATTCACACATAACAATATTAACTTTAAATGTAAATGGACTAAATGCTCCAATTAAAAGACACAGACTGGCAAATTGGATAAAGAGTCAAGACCCATCAGTGTGCTGTATTCAGGAAACCCATCTCACGGGCAGAGACACACACAGGCTCAAAATAAAAGGATGGAGGAAGATCTACCAAGCAAATGGAAAACAAAAAAAGGCAGGGGTTGCAATCCTAGTCTCTGATAAAACAGACTTTAAACCAACAAAGATCAAAAGAGACAAAGAAGGCCATTACTTAATGGTAAAGGGATTAATTCAACAAGAAGAGCTAACTATCCTAAATATTTATGCACCCAATACAGGAGCAATAAAGCAAGTCCTGAGTGACCTACAAAGAGACTTAGACTCCCACACATTAATAATGGGAGACTTTAACACCCCACTGTCAACATTAGACAGATGAATGAGACAGAAAGTCAACAAGGATACCCAGGAATTGAACTCAGCTCTGCACCAAGCGGACCTAATAGACATCTACAGAACTCTCCACCCCAAATCATCAGAATATACATTTTTTTCAGCACCACACCACACCTATTCGAAAATTGACCACATACTTGGAAGTAAAGCTCTCCTCAGCAAATGTAAAAAACAGAAATTATAACAAACTATCTCTCAGACCACAGTGCAATCAAACTAAAACTCAGGATTAAGAATCTCACTCAAAATCGCTCAACTACATGGAAACTGAACAACCTGCTCCTGAATGACTACTGGGTACATAACGAAATGAAGGCAGAAATAAAGATGTTCTTTGAAACCAACGAGCACAAAGACACAACATACCACAATCTCTGGGACGCATTCAAAGCAGTGTGTAGAGGGAAATTTATAGCACTAAATGCCCACAAGAGAAAGCAGGAGAGATCCAAAATTGACACCCTAACATCACAATTAAAAGAACTAGAAAAGCAAGAGCAAACACATTCAAAAGCTAGCAGAAGGCAAGAAATAACTAAAATCAGAGCAGAACTGAAGGAAATAGAGACACAAAAAACCCTTCAAAAAATTAACAAATCCAGGAGCTGGTTTTTTGAAAGGATCAACAAAATTGATGGACCGCTAGCAAGACTAATAAAGAAAAAAAGAGAGAAGAATCAAATAGATGCAATAAAAAATGATAAAGGGGATATCACCACTGATAGAAATACAAACTACTATCAGAGAATACTACAAACACCTCTACGCAAATAAACTAGAAAACCTAGAAGAAATGGATAAATTCCTCGACACATACACTCTCCCAAGACTAAACCAGGAAGAAGTTGAATCTCTGAATAGACCAATAACAGGATCTGAAATTGTGGCAATAATCAATAGCTTACCAACCAAAAAGAGTCCAGGACCAGATGGATTCACAGCCGAATTCTACCAGAGGTACAAGGAGGAGCTGGTACCATTCCTTCTGAAACTATTCCAATCAATAGAAAAAGAGGGAATCCTCCCTAACTCATTTTATGAGGCCAGCATCATCCTGATACCAAAGCCGGGCAGAGACACAACCAAAAAAGAGAATTTTAGGAGTCAGTGTGGGGATTCCTCAGGGATCTAGAACTAGAAATACCATTTGACACAGCCATCCTGTTACTGGGTATAAATCCAAAGGATTATAAATCATGCTGCTATAAAGACACATGCACACATACGTTTATTGCGGCAGTATTCACAGTAGCAAAGACTTGGAGCCAACCCAAATGTCCATCAATGATAAACTAGATTACGAAAATGTGGCACATGTACACCATGGAATACTATGTGGCCATAAAAAAAGGTTGAGTTCATGTCCTTTGTAGGGACATGGATGAAGCTGGAAACCATCATTCTCAGCAAACTATCACAGGAACAAAAAACCCAAGCACCGCATGTTCTCACTCATAGGTGGGAATTGAACAATGAGAACACTTGGAGACAGGAAGGGGAACATCACACACCGAGCCTGTCATGGGGTGCTGGGAGTGGGGAGGGATAGCATTAGGAGACATACCTAATGTAAATGATGAGTTAACGGGTCCAGCACACCAACATGGCACATTTATACATATGTAACAAACCTGTACTTGTGCACATGTACCCTAGAACTTAAAGTATAATAAAAAAAATAAAAACATAAAAGTAATGAGACTCTGGCAAGAGTAAAGAGTTGTAGCCATTCTGGAGGAATACCACAGACTTTGTTAATTTAAATATATTTATATCCTCTTTTCATGATGAAGAAAATACTGGAATTACATTAACCCTCCTCAAGAATTGGAGATGAAGGCAATAAATAACCGTGTGAAAGCATGAAGGATCAACAGAAGATGTAATACTCAAGAAGCTAAGATTCTAGAAATAGCAAATTCTGAGTGGAGTTTAATATTCTACATACAACTCCCCCATCAGCTGCTTGCTGACTGTGTCTTGTACCTGTCTGTGGTCAGATCACACACAACAAAAGGGAAAGAAAGGAAGATAACTTTTAAAGAACTAAAAGGCTAAATAGATTTTTTTTTTTAGTGAAACAATACAAGAATGATAACAATACCCTAGGTTTTATTTGTAACTTTGGAAAAAACATAAACTAGTAATAATGGCAAACTAGAATAAAGCTGTGCCCAGACATCATCTGCTGCACAGAGAAAAAGTAAACCTTTCCTGAAATAACACCACAACACCAGTTTGGAAGGGTAGAAAGAAAATAATGGCCCAATAAAACACCATACCCAGTGAAAATAAGCTTCAGCAATGAAGGCAAAATAAAGATTGATCAAAAAATAAAAAAATGCAGATCTTTACAAAAATAAATACCTTATCTGAGAGAATTCTTCTGACAGAAGAATCAAGATTCCAGAGGCAACTAGGGTAGTGCTCAAAAACATGGTAAATATGTAAAAGGTTAGCTGTATAAGTTAATCTAAAATATTGACTGTTTAAAACAATAATGTTTACATCTTCTGGGGTTTGAAATATATGCTAAATTTATAAAACTAATAGTAGAAAAATATAGCAATAAAGAGAGACAAATGTCTGAAGTCAGATACTACTTAGTATATGGTAAATATATTAATTTAAAGTAATCTCTAATGAATTGACAATGTATGTTTTAGTATCTAGGGTAACTATGAAGAGAAAGAGGAAAAGAAGCAGCATTATACCTAAGTTGCAAATTAATGGGGGTGAAGGCAGAATACAATGAAATCTGAAGGTAAGAAAATAAAAATGACCAAAATAGATGGGGCAGATTAAAACAGATATTCAAATGGAGAATTTAATGCACATGTTAGTAAGTTACATTTTACGTAAAAATATATGACAAAAATTGTAAAAATAAATACAAAGTAAATCATCACAACATATGGCTATAATTCTAAAATATGATAAAGTAAAAGTTTGAAAATAAAAGTTAAATCAGGCTGGGTGCAGTGGCTAATGCCTGTAATCCCAGCACTTTGGGAGGCTGAGGCGGGTGGATCACTTGAGGTCAAGAGTTTGAGACCAGGCTGGCCAACATGGTGAAACCCCGTCTCTGCTAAAAATATAAAAATTATCCAGGCATGGTGGCACTCACCTGTAGTCCCAGCTACTCAGGAAGCTTGGGCAGGAGAATCAGAGACTGAGGCAGGAAAATCACTGGAACCTGAAAGGTCGAGGCTGCAGTGAGCCGAGATCATGCCACTACACTCCAGCCTGGGAGACAGAACAAGTCTGTATCAAAAAACGAAACAAAAACAAAGTTAAATCTTACAAATATACTGTGAAGAAAGCTAATATTCCAATATTAATAAATTTTAATATCAGTAGAAACCTTATACAAGCAAGGATCAAGAAATACATTTAATAAGAGTCAATTCAATAGAAAAACAGTAATTATTATTACATGATATATCATTCATTATATATAAGCAAAAGAAAATACTAGGTACACTAGAGTAGTTAACATCAGAATCCTCTTTTAAAGCAATTCACCATATTAACATAAAACAAATAACATTTGCTTGTCTGAATAGATGCAAAAATGCGTAAAATAAATACTTACTTATACTGTAGAAAACTAGGCAAAGAAGGAAATTTTATTGACCCAAGAAAAAATACCAAGAAAAAGCCTAAAGCAAACATTAAATTCAATAATAAAACATGGAAAACATTCATCCTGTGAATGAAAATGATATCCCATGCCACTGTATTTATAGCTAGCACAATAATTGATCATGATGGATTAACTTTTTGATGTGCTGGTTTGGTTTGCTAGTATTTTGTTAAGAATTTTTTTTGTTGATGTTAATCAGGGATACTGACTTGTAGCTTTCTTTTTTCATTGTGTCTTTGGCAGGTTTGGATATTAGGATGATGCCAACTTTGTCGAATGAGTTAGGGAGGAGTCTTGTCTCATCATTTTTTTTTTTTTTGGAATAGTTTTAGTAGAATTGTTACAAGCTATTCTTTGTATATCTGTTAGAATTTGGCTGTGTATTCACCTTGTCTAGGGCTTCTTTTGGTTGGTAGGATTTTATTACTGATTCAATTTCAGGACTTGATATTGGTCTTCAGAGTTTCAATTTCTTCTTAAGTCTTGGGTGGTTGTGTGTTTCCATGAATTTATCCATTTCCTCTAGATTTTCTAGTTTGTATGCATAGAGGGGTTCATAAGACTCTCTGAGCATCTTTTGTATTTCTTTTTTTTTTCCTTCCAGACAGAGTCTCACTTTGTCACCCAAGCTGGAGGACAGTGGTGCAATCTCAGTTCACTGCAACCTCTGCCTCCTGGGTTTGAGGTATTCTCTTACCTCAGCCTCCCAAGTAGCTGGAATTACAGGCATGCACCACCACACCCTACTAATTTTTTAATGTATATATATTTTTGGTAGACATGGGGTTTCTCCATGTTGGCCAGGCTGGTCTTGAACTCCTGACCTCAAGTGATCCACCCACCTCGGCCTCCCAAAGTGCTAGGATTACAGGTGTGAGCCACTGCACCTGGCCAGATCTTTTGTATTTCTGTGGGATTGGTTGTGATGTGACCTTTGCAGTTTCTGATTGTGCCTGTTTGGATCTTCTCTCTTTTGTTCTTTGTCAATCTAGCTAGCAGTCTATTAACCTTGTTTATCCTTTCAAATAACCAACTTTTGGTTTCATGGATTCTTTGTAAGAATTTTTAGGTCTCAATTCCATTTGATTTTGGTCTGATTTTAGTTTCTTTTCTTCTGCTACTGAACAGACACTTTTCAAAAGAAGACATACAAGTGGCCAAAAAATATATGAAAGAATGTTCAACATCGCTTATCATCAGAGAAATGCAAATCAAAACCACACTGAGGTACTATCTCACACTAGTCATAATGGTTATTACTAAAAAGTCAAAAAACAACAGATGCTGGTGAGGCTGAGGAGAAAAGGGAATGCTTATACACTGTTGGTGGAAATGCAAATTAGTTCAGCCACTGTGGAAAGCAGACTGAAGATTTCCCATAGAACTCAGAGCACAACTACCATTTGACCTAGTAATCCCGCTAATGGGTATATATTCAAAACAAAATAAATCATTCTACCAAAAGGACACATGAACTGATATGTTCATCACAGCACTATTTGCCATAGCAAAGACATGGAATCTGCTTAGCATTCCATCAAAAGTGGATGGATTGGATAAAGAAAATGTGGTACATATACACCATGGAATACTATTCAGCTATTAAAAAGGCCGTTATCCTAAGCAGATTAACAGAAACAAAAAAACAAATACTGCATGTTCTCACTTATAAGTAACAGCTAAATATTGGATACTCATGGACATAAAGATGGCTACAACTAAGACTAAGGACTACTAGAGGGAGGAGGAAGGAAGTGGGGCAAGTGTTGAAAAACTGCTGGGTTTCATGCTCACTAACTGGGTGACAGGATCATTTGTATCCTAAACCTCCGAATCCTACAATATACCCATGTAATATACTTGTACATGCACTCCTCCAGTCTAAAATAAGAGTTGGAAATTTAAAAAAATAAAAATAAAAATAAATAAATAACATTGTGCCTATACCCGGAAAGTAAGATTGAACATGTAGAAAAACTTTAAGAATCTATAACTTTTTAAATTTGCAAATGCATATAAGATCATTCAATACAAAAACAATATACAAAATACAAGGTATTACATTACTTCATACCAGCAACATCAAATATAAAAAGCAAACAGACCATTTAGAGTAATACAAAAGATAAAACACCTATGAATAAACATAACTAGAAATATGCAAGACCTCTATGCTGAAAGCTAGAATTTTATTTTAAATTGAAAAAGATAAAATAACACTTGGAGAAAGATAAGTTTTATGGATTGGAACAGTAGGTATAAAGGTGTCAATTCACTCTAAATTAAAAATATAAATTCAACATAATGTCAATTATGTCTCAAAAGTTGCTTTTTTTTTTTTTTAAGAATTTGGCAAGCTGAATCTGTATGTATGTAGAATTGCAAAACGCAATGGATGCATTACCCACATCTATCCAAGCACTCATATGCAGATTATACGAGAACTCTTACATTCCAATAAACAACAACAACAGAAAACACTAAAAGATGCATAGGCAAAATTGTTGAATAGAAATTTCCAAAAAAGGATATTCAAATATGGAAAGATGCTCTACATCATCAGTCATTAGGAAAATGCAAATTAAAACTCCAATGATATATCACTGCACAATTATCAAAATAACTAAAACTAAGACCAAAACAAACAAAAAAAAGTGGCAGTAATTATAATATGATTCAAAATATTAGTTGGGATTTGGAGCAAATGCAACTTTTGGAATAGCTTATGGGACTATTAAGTTAATATATGTTTAACAGCATTTGACAGTATCTTTTAAAGGTAAAAATATCCCTACACTTTGACAGAGCAATTTCAGTCATATATATTGTGACTTTTGGAAAGACAACAATTTTTGGATCTAAGTAGCTTAATAAAATTCCAAGCAGGAAAGTAAAAATACATATAGACATAATCTCATGCACAGTGAAACAGCAATAAATAAATTTTAAAACACATGATTTTAAAAGCAACCAGAAAGAAAAGATAGATTACTTGAAAATGTGTGATTATTTGACCTGTTTAGCAATGGAAGTCAGAAGATTATTTAATAATATAAATATTCATGATGCCAAAACAAAATTACTGTCAATCTAAAATTATATAATCAGAAAATTATCTAAGAATGAAATAAATATATTTTTAGAATAAGACAAAATTAAAGAGCTTACTACCACATACCATCACTAAATGAAAATCTAAAGGATATTCTTTCCACAGAAAGTAAATGACATCAGAAATTTGGTTTAAAAGCCAGAATAAATTTTGAACAAATATATGGGCAAATAGGTGGACAAATGTGACTGTTTAAAACAATAATTATTTCTATCTTGTAGATTAAGAACCAGAAAGATTGCCTCTCTTCCTCTTATTCTCCCTAGTGCTCATGTAATATAGGCAGCATGACTGATTGGTTTCTATCTAGCACAGGGTAACCCACCCAGCCAACAGCACCTGGGGGAATCAAGTGGAAGAAAAGTTAATTGCAAAGTAGTTGAACAAATATGTAAATACATAGACAATAATGGGACTTCAGATTTTCATCGTCAGAAAAGATTCAAATATGAAAAAAGAGATAAACTAAATTAATCCTGCGGTATAAGACTGTAGTTAGAGTTATTGGTATAAACTTTGACACATTTAATAGATTTAGTAAATGTGTGTGTGAAAGGGTGTTCATATACAGATATGTTTCCTAATCTTGTCCACTGAAAGAAACCTAAAAATGACACTCCAATAGCAATGAACACACCTGGCATCCAAATCTTGGTTTTTGAATAACATTCTCTGTTAGAGGATACCAGGTTTGAAGGAATGATTGATTCCAGAGCTGGAGTAGGAAAGGCATAAGATGAACCATGGTACACCTTGTTGTGGCTATAAGTAAAAAAGTATTCAAAGAACAAGACAGATTAAGGGACTCCCACTGTCCAAATCTGGGAAAATTTAAGTATCAAAATAAATAATAATTATTATGAATTATAAGTGGTTAAATAAAATAGAAAACTATGAGTTCATATTGTTATTTATTTGAGTACATAAATAAACTAGTGGAGTGGGGGGGAGAGCTTTACCTTAGAGTGGAATGCTAGCTAAAATAATCACTTATGAATTAATAAGTATAAAATACTTATTAAAGTTCCAGTGTAGAAAACTGGCAGACACCATTTTCACCAGGTGATAAAATTTAGCATCTTCAGTAATAGGGAAGGTAATATCATACACCTGATAGGATGCACCGAAGTCTTCCTGTAATAGTTGTATAAGTTGCCATAGTGGCATAATCTTAGGGAAACATCAGACTGAAACTGAGGTGGCTGGCTTGTTATTTTCAAAAATGATCAAGTCATGAAAATAAAGCACTGAGGAACTGCTTTATATTGAAGGGATTGGAGAAACTATTGAATGAAACACATGATCCTTAATTACTGAAATAAGAACATTGTGTAAACAATTTCTGAAATTTGAATGGAGTATTATAAGGATTGTATGACATTATTGTATAAAATTTAAAAATTTTGATGATTGTACTGTGTGGGAAAGTGTCCTTGTTTTTAGTAAATTCGGACTAAATTTTAAGGGATAATTAGACAGTATGTCTGTAACTTACAAACTGTTCAAAATGAAAGAATGGCCAAATACACTAAAATGCTGACAATTGTGATATGAGAGTTCTTTGAACTACTCAGCAAATTTCTTGTAGTATTGAAATAATATCAAAATGAAAAGTTTAAAACTATTGGAATTTAAAAACTAGACATCAGAAGCTCTTTAGAGAGGATGGGAAGTCAGAGCTAAGGCTGGCAAGGGACCTGTGAGGTTCAGTAGGGAGATAAAGCGACTGATAATCTTAGGCTTTTGTAAATCTGAAATGGAGATAGATTAACAAAACCACTAGAAAAATAGTAATAATGATTTCTAAAACAATAGAAAGAAGAAAATAAAATGAGAAAATATTTCATCCATAATGAGTTTAATATTGAAATTCAAAATAGTGAAGATTAAGATGGGAAAAGTAAAAATTGTGACTTCTGTTTGCAGCAAACATTTAAACTATATTCATGAAAAAGTTTCTCCCCACTTAAATCACATAAAAAAACTATTATACATAAACTAGATTCATGAGAAAGTTTTTTCCCCATTTAAATCACTTAAAAAAACTATGATATATCTATTAATCTAAAGTCATTGCTGAACTTGAAGAATATAAGTAAAAACCTCAGGAAGCAAAAATAGAAATAGAATTTCTTGACATAAATTCAGACTAATTATCTCAGGACAACTAGAAAAATTAGGCAAAATATAAAATGAAATAATTTGCTTAAGACATTGGATAGCTAACACACACACACACACACACACACACACACACACAGAAAAAATTAAGGGGATGGGAGATGTGATATGACTGGAGTGTTTTAAGGCTTTCATTTTGATCAGGAGAAGGATGAAAGTATCAGCTAACATTATTTGATAAGGCAACACGCATGCTGAGTTCTATAGGGCAATTACTAGAAGGATAATAAAGCCAAAGGATATGAAACAAAGGAAAAAAGCAAAAGACACATAAGATGTATGTAATAATCACAAAACTAAATGGTAATATAGTAAATTCTACCCAAGATAATAGTATTTTTATTATAAATAGAGTAAATATCCGAAAAAGGATTATCATAGTAGGAAAAGAAAAAAAACCTATGCAACTTTAAGAGAAACATTTAAAACCAAAGTGTCCAAAATTTTGAAGGTAAAAAGCATAGAAAAATATATACTAGGCAAAACAAACAAAACTAAATTTTAGAATTTTAGTGGAAGAAGGTTTATTAGAGATAAAGAGGGCCATATTGTGTTGATTAAAAAATTTAAATTTCATATTTGAGGAGAGAGGGGATTAGGAAAATTAACTAATTGATACTAGGCTTGATATCTGGGTGATAAAATAATCCACCCAGCAAAACCCCATGACACAAGTTTACCTATATAACAAACCTGCACAGGTACCCCTGAATTAAAATAACAGTTAAATTTAAAAAACTTTTTAGGCCAGGCACAGTGGCTCATGCCTGTAGTGCCAGCATTTTAGCAAGCCAATGTGGGCAGATCACCTGAGGTCCGGAGTTCAAGACCAGCCTGGCCAACATGATGAAACTCCATCTCTACTAAAATTACAAAAAAAGAAAAAAAAAAAAAAGCCGGACATGGTGGCAGGCACCTGTAGTCCCAGCTACTCAGGAGGCTGAGGCAAGAGAATAGCTTGAACTCTGGAGGTGGAGGTTGCAGTGATCTGAGATCTTGTCACTGCACTCCAGCCTGAGTGAGTGAGACTCCATCTCAAAAATAAAAAAGAAGAAAGAAAATAAAAAACTAAAACTAGAAAGTTTTAATTTTGTACAAATTTGACCTAGCCTCTCAACTAAAAAACAAAATATTGCTAGAAATAAAATAACAAAGAGACATATCCACAATCAGTTTCAGATGGAAAATCAAAAGATCTAAAACACTTGAACAGCATACTTAACATGCATAACCGAGTTATAGAATACTGCATCCAAAAATGGCATAATACGCATTATTTTCAAACATAAGGATACTTAAAATCTGACCCTATGTGGGACCTAAAGCAGGTCTCAACAAATTTTAACACTGTGGTTTTCTAACCAAAATGATATTAAGCTAGAAAATTTTATTCAAGTAATACAAGTTCATCTTAGACTTAAGATGAAGATTTTTTTCAAATTTATTTAAAACAGTTTTTTTCAAATTTATTCTGCCTAATTCTCCCTTTCTTTTTTCTTTGAAAAAACTTTCTTTTTTCTCTGAAAAAACTTTCTTTTTTCTCCCTTTTCTTTTTTCTTTGAAGCCATTTACTCATATGTTATCAATTTAAGTGCATTCCATGTTATAAAAACAGAATAATTTGAAAAAACTGGGTAAGTTTTTCTTTCAAAAATGATTTAAAATTCTAACCCATAGATTTAAAAATCCCAATGAAAACCACGCAGGATAATTATAAAGGAAAATCACATATGAGTAGACCATAAAGTGCTGAAATGCACAAGAATGCCTTTAGCAGATTTATAAGAGATAAACAAAAATAACACAAATGTTCATCAATAGTGGAAAAAAAAGGATAAATTGTGGTATTATTTATACAATGGAAACTATAATGTAGAGAAAAAGAAAAAAACTGCAGCGACACATTTAGCAAACATAATGGGGAGCCAAAGCAGTGAGATAAAAGGGGATATATGATATGTAATTCTAATGATATTAATGTAAATAACAAGCAAGTTGCAACTATAATGTTAGAAGCCACTATAAATTACCTTTGGTGAGAAAAAGGGACTAGAGATTGTGACGGCCTAAGAAATTTGGAGGTGGTGACAATAGTCTGCCTTGACCTGGGTGATAATTATTCAAGTGTTCACTTTGTGGCAAGCAAGTAAGCAATATAATTAAGACTTTTGTGGGGTTTTGTTTTTTGTTTTAGTTTTTGTGCATTGTTTGTATGTACGACTATGAAAAAACACAAGAAAACTTCTGTAACTTACCACATTCGCTGTAGATAGGACAGAAGAGGATGAAACCACATAATTTGATGGTAAGTATAAGGGACTGCTTCTTTGGTTTCCAGCGCTCTCTTGGTGCTTTTCTTTTCTGAGGCTTAGGTTCTCGGGTTTTTATTTGATTCTGGGAGCTACCCAGGTATTTCCAGTAAAGTTATTTCTGGCTTATTTATCAGAATTGGTTTCAGTTGGTAATAACCAAAATATCCTCACCTGTGTAGCTTTAAAATGGCATGGTTTTTGTCTTTTTGTTTTGAATATCTTCTATTAATGAAGTTTCAGATGAAGTTTGTATTTTAGTCTCACGGCTTTTATATTATACACATACTATTTTTCATCAATTTAATTTATGATAATTACAACTTGTAATGAATGATTTTGAGATGTTGACACACGATTTTAAAGTTTTTCTAAATTATCACAGTCTTTGATGAGCCATAACTTGGAATCAAAAAAATAGTGAGGAAAATAATTTTCTACCAAACATTAAAACATAATGCCTCAGGAATTCAACAGTGTGGCGGTATTGGTAAAGGAAAAAAACAAGAACAATGGATTTATATCTGGGGAACAAACAATCAATTGCCAAATGATTGTTCATTCCGGAAACAAATTTAAGCATATAGATAATAAATTAATGTGTGAAAGATAACCCACAATAAATAATTATTGAAATAACATTAGTTGGGGATAAAAGTTAATGAAGATCTATGCCTAACAACAAAAAAATTCAAAATTGAATTAAATGGTTTAAGAGTAGATGTAATTACAAAATAACTGCAGAATACATAAAACCAAAAGTTATGTTGTCCTAGAATTAGGAAGGACTCTTAAATTTGACTCTCAAATAAATTATAAAAGAAAGAGAAACATTGATTTGACTTCAAAACATGTTATGTTTTTATACAGAGTAAACGCACTATGGAAAAATTAAAAGACAAAACATCAAATAGGGAAAATATTTGTTCCACATATGCCTGACAAAAGACTTATATCTGCAATGAAAGAAAGCTTATTCTAGGCATTAAGATAAAAAATAAATGTATCCAGAGAAGATAGGTAAGGTATAGAAAAGGGAAAATTAGGAAAGCAGAACCACACATTTTCAGTAACTATTTAAACTATTCAACTTCTCTTTTAATAATGGTAGTAAGAGACACATTAAAAAAACTATCTAATTGTCAACAATTAAAATGAAATTTGTTACTACAGTTGCAATAAAACTGCAAATAACACATATTCTTTTTGTGAGTATGAATTGGACTATTTCTAGAGGCAATTTGAGCCTATGAAACTATCAGCTTTGAAGTGAGCATATTCTGTGGAGTAGTAGTTATATTTATAAATATTTAAAAAATCCAATATGGCAATATATAGGTAGAAGGATTTTCACAGGAGACTCTTTAAAAAGATGTATAAATAAATTAGAAATAATGGCAGTACATCCATTCAGTGAAAGTACATCCAATCAGCTATTAAAGTAATGCCTCAAATATTTTTTACATGGAAATATGTTTTAAGTATATTTGTAAGTTTAAATGATTGCATGGTAAAGAATATAAATTTTTTTTAAAATAAAGGGTAAGAAATATATATTTATTTAAAATAGGAATGAAAATACCTAGAAAAATGCAAAAATGTTAAAGTAATTCTCTTGGTGTACTAGGTTCATTTTCTTTAAGCAAATGTACATTCTCTAATTTTCATACACAAGAGGAGCTCTCAGCATTCATATAACATAGAACTTCACTCAAAGTTGGAGCATCCAGGGTTGGCTATCTAACCTGAACTGAGAGTTTGTCTGTCCTAGGAATCTAGAAACAAGTTAGAAACAGGTGGTAAGAGTGATTGAATCTTAGCTTCATTCTTTAATGTGTTCTCCATCAAATTTCCAAGACAGCTTATTGCTATAACCAAGAGGCCTCATAGCTCACTGTACTTCCTGAGACTATTTTTATCTTTTTATTCAGTGAAAATTTCCAGCAGTGTTTACAACTGGCCCAATTGTTTAAAAGAACTAATATTTACAGGTTTTTGAATAAGCAGAAATTGACTCTCCCTGGTCTTAAACCTTGAAACTTACATTGGTCTCATCTGAGTTCCTTCCTCAGGAAACTAACCATCAGGCAAGGAACTGAAACTCTGGATCACCACGTGCAGACAGATGCCAGAATCCCTCATCCATCATGATCACTTCCTTACCCCTCCCTAATTCCTGTTCTCCTCTCTACTTTCTCAACTATATACACCTCCCAATTTTAGTCAGAGATGGATTTGATAATTTATCTCCTGTTTTCCTAAGCTGCAGCACCTGATTAAAAGCTTTTGCTTTGGCAATACTCATTGTCTCAGTGATTGGCATTCTGTGAGCTGATCAGCAGGACCTAGACAGAACCTCTAGTGTTTTGGTAACATCTTTACTTTCACCCATTGTGTTAGCTATAGTTATTCTGTTACTTAATTCCCAATAACCTTAACTAACAAGAATATCCAAACAGTCTTTTCCTTCATTACCGTATAGAGTTTTTAGTTATCATTAAGATTTGGTCAGCCAGGTGTGGTGGCTCACGCCTGTAATCCCAACACTTTGGGAGGCTAAGGCGGGTGGATCACGAGGTCAGGAGTTCCAGACCAGCCTGGCCAACATAGTGAAACCTCATCTCTACTAAAAATACAAAAATTAGCCAGGCGTGGTGGCATGCACCTGTAGTCCTAGCTACTCAGGAGGCAGAGGCAGGAGAATTGCTTGAACCTGGGAGGCAGAGGTTGCAGTGAGCCAAGATCATGCCACTACACTCCAGCCTGCAGAGCAAGACTCTGTCTCAAACAAAAATAAAAATAAAAATTTGGTCATAATTCTGATGTTAGCCTGGCCCAGAAGACAAATCACATGAAAAAGACCTTGCTATATGGGGAATTGCCATCTTGATGACTCACATTTGTTTGCATTATCAAGCTCATGACTCCTGCCTTCATGAACAGATCTTTTTTCCCAGACAACTCATTAGTCTTTGTGTAGTATCAAATGCCTTCTCTCTAGATATCATGAACCCAAAAACTGTTGATAAAACAAAGCTTGAGTTTTTTCTTTACTACAGTAAAGGAGAATTCTTCTTGACAGATCTCTGATAGTGTCATGGGGGAAAGGAAAAGAAGAAATTTATTAAGAAGTCAAAGTTTGGGTCAGTCAGATCTATCAAAGTGAGATATATACATATATATATACATTTTCTTAAGAGATGATGTCTTGACATGTTGCCCAGGCTGGAGTGCAGTGGCTATTCACAGGCATGATCATTGTTCACTACCAGGCTCAAGTAATTTTCCAATCTCTTTAGTGGCTGGAACTACAGGAGCTCTTCGCAGAACCAGTTCTCTAAATGAGAACTTGACTGGAATTGGATAAGAATTATGATATAATGATAGAATTGATTAAAGCAACACATATGGATTTTATTGAAATGTTGATGAGTCTTTTGGAAAGTTCCTCTAAGGAGCAGTCAAGCTATTTGCCTGGGCAAAAGTCATAAAATAGTAATGTTATGCTGATGAAGACAATGGGGTAGTAAAGTCATGTTAATATGGTCAGTAATCTGGGTAGGGGCAGGTAATTTCCATTTTCAGTGTTCAAGCTGCATATAGTGGTACATGATTTTGTTTTCAATAGGCCTCTAGTTTCCTGGACTACTGTTCGCCAGACATAATATTTTATAGTCCTAAATTCCTATTTAGGCTCAGCCTAGGACTCTTGCTGATAAATTTAATTTTGAAAGAGGGAATTTAAGATAGGCTTCCAATACAAAAGAGTAGAAAGTTGGAAATAAAGCATATTATGCTGAGGACAGTGGGAATTGTTTAGATACAGTAAAACCTTTAATTAGGAATAAGAACAAAATTGATGAATATATAGTAGTGGCCCAGATTTTACCACTAAATTTTTATGAACTTAAATATTTGAATGCTTGTCATTAGGACAAATTTTCTACAGTTGTAAAATAAATTCTTAATACTATTTTTTTTGTTCTGGCTCTAGCGTGCTATAGTAGCTTATGAAAATTAATATTATATTACGATAATGATGAATACCTTCCAAATGGGCATATGGCCAAACATTATTTTTCTTTCTCTCCATCCTAAGTACCTTCTTGACTAGAGGAGAAATGGTATCCCAGCAACAGATAAGCAATGCTCAATTTAATTGTCAAAGATTATATTTTAATGAACTTTGGAGAAAGGAAGTCAAGTTGACTACAGGGTTTTTTGTCTGATTAATTTGATGAAAATCTGTAAACATCTGACCTAGCTCATTAACACATTAATGAAGACAGAAGACTCTCTTATGCTCAGTCTCTAGGAAACGAGTGTTGTGTGTGATATTTTGATTTTTTTCAGCCAAAGAATATTGAGGTTCATAAGGCAAAATTAACATAACCATAGGTCAACGTGAATATGGCAATCATCATCAAAACAATTGGGATGCTGAAGACTTTGTTCATGACCTTATTAAAGGCTATTTCCAGTTCGTACTCTACCCCTTCCTCTCTTCTGTTTCCCTCTTCTTCCTCACACTGCTCTACGACTGCCATGCAAGTAACAGTGTATGTCTACTACTGCCTGAAAAACAGATGTCTTAGAACACCAAATGTTTATTGATAAATTATTTTATTATTTTTAGGGATTATTAGAGTTGATAGGGACATTGAGGATAAATATATATCATCCTTGCCCCTGGAAAGCCAGTAGATTCAGCTAATTATGCTGCAAAAGAGTTTGAGGATTTTTTGTTTTGTTTTGTTTTGTTTTGTTTTGTTTTGTTGTTGTTGTTGCTGTTGTTTTTAAAATAATTCACATAATAGTTGGCAAGGCTGGAGAACCAGACTCAATGACTCAAATTTAATAGCCAGGATCACTACTAGAAAGATGCTGAAATACGCCACCTGTCTTTTATGTTTTTATTTATCATTTTCTTTATCTGTTCATCTATTGATGGGCACTTAGGTTGTTTCCATGTTTTAGCTATTGTGAAGAATACTCCAATAGACATGAGAGTGCAGATATCTCTTTGGGATACTGATAGTTTTTTTTTGTTTGTTTGTTTGTTTTTAACAAAAATACCCATAATTGGAATTGGTGAATTATATGATAGTTCTATTTTTCAGTTTTTGAGGAACTTCCATAAACCTTCACACTGTTTTGATAATGTCTGTACCAATTTACATTCCCATCAGTAGGGTACAAGGGTTCCTTTTATGCCACATTCTCATCAACAGTTGTTGTCTTTTTGATAATAGCCATCATAATATGTGTGAATTAACATCATTGTGATTTTGATTTGCATTACCCCGATGATTAGCGATGTCGATCACTCTTTCATTTATCTGTTGGCCATTTGTATGTCATTGAGAAATGTCTATTCAAGTCTTTTGGCCATTTTAAAATCAGATTATTTTTTTTTCTGCTATGGAGTTGTATGAATTTTATATATATTTTGGATGTTAGCACCTTATAAGATATAAAATTCACAAACATTTTCTCTGATTGCATAGATTTGAAACGGCCTCTGCAAGATTATAACTGAGGAAATTATGACAGTGAAAGAAATCAGACATAACTGACTCTATCTTGCCTCTAACACTTAAGCTGTCCTTGTTTAATCTTGGGCATAGGCCGAACAAACTTTGGGAAAGAATTCAGTTCATGGTTTGACTCTGAAACAAAATCGATAGCAGCCTTTTCTGAAAAGACCCCCTTCTTGCCTGGGGTCCAGTCTGCCTTTGCAGGACTAACAAATTAGCTACAGATTAGAAATTACAATTTATGGATCATGTAGCCTCTGGCTCCAAGAGTCTGAACCTTCCCAATTTGCTCCTGCAGATAACATCATTATTGTAAAACCTAAGATCAGTGCTTGAGATATTTTGCAGATGCTGCACTCAATGGATCAGCTGACACCACCCAGACCAGTAATCTGGCTCAACTAGTTTTGCCATCCCACCTAGGAACAGAAGAGAGCAAGAAAACCTCATTTCGACCAGCTATGATTTCATCTTCAACCTGACCAATCAGCACGCTCCACTTTCTGAGACAATACCCACCAAATTATCCTTAAAAACTCCGATCCCCAAATGCTCAGGGAGACTTATTTGAGTAATAATAAAACTCCTGTCTCCTGCATGGCCACTTCTACGTGAATTAATCTTTCACCATTGTGATTACTATCTTTACAAATCGTATCTATCTAGGCAGCAGACAAGGAGAACCCATTGGGCGGTTGCAGATTGCCTCCTCATTTTGTTGATTGTTTCCTTTGCCATGCAGAAACATTTTAGTTTGATGCAATCACACTTGTTTATTTATTTTTTTGTTTTGTTTTTTGGTTTTTAGTTTTTTTTTTTTTTTTGCTTCAGTCTTTAATTTTTTGTGAGTTGATTTTGTGTATGGTGTGAAGTAAAGATCCAATTTCACTCTTTTGTGTGTGGATATCCAGTATTTTTAATATTATTAGTGGAAAAGATTCTCCTTTCCTCATTGTATATTGATGGCACACTTCTTGAAGATTAGGTGACTGTATAGGTATGGGTTTATTTCTAGGCTTTCTATTCTGTTCCATTAATGTATGTCTGTTTTTATGCCATTTTTTGATTACTGTAGATCTTTAACACAATTTGAAAAAGAAAGTGTGATGCCTCCAGCTTTATTATTTTGCTCAAGATTGCTTTAGCCATTGAGAGTATTTGCTGGTTCCATATAAATTTAATTTTTTATTTTTATTTTTTAATTTCTGTAAAAAATATTGAATTTTTAAAAAAATGAAATATATTGAATCTGTAGATCACTTTGGGTGGTATATACATTTTGATTCTTCCAACCCATGAGCAATGAATATCATTCCATTAATTCTTTTCATTTATAATATCTTTTGTGACTGCTTTATAATTATCAGTGTACATATATTTCAACTCTCTGGGCAAATTTATTTATAAATACATTACTTTATTGTTGTAAATGAGATTATTCCTTAAGTTTTTTGATAGTTTACTGTTTATAGAAACAGAACTGATATTTTATGTAGATTTTTGCATTATACAACTTCATTGAATTTATTTTTTCTAACAGCTGTTGAAGTTGTTAGGGTTATCTATATATAAGTTCATGCCATCTTCAAAAAGAGACAAATTTACTTCTTCCTTTCCAATTTGCTTGTCTTTTCTTTTTCTTGCCTAATTGCTCTGGCTAGAAATGCTACTTTCATAGAAGTGTTTATTAGGAGTTACAAGATTGAGTATCCTTATCTTGTTACTCATCTTTGAGAAAAAACTTTCAACTTTTCATTTTTGAGTATGTTACCTGTGGGTCTGTGATATAAACCTCTATTTTGTTGAGGTGCATTCCTTTTATGCCTATTTTTGTTGAGAGTTTTTATCATGAACAGATGTTGATGTTGTCAAATACTTTTTCTGAATCTTTTGAGATGATCATATAATTTTTATTCATTCTGTTAATGTGTTGCATCTGGTTTATTAACTTGCATATGTTGAAACATCCTTGTATCTCAGGGCTAAAGCCCACTTAATTATGATGTATGGTCATTTTAATGTGTTATTGAATTGGTTTGCTAGTATTTTGTTGAGGATTTTTGCTTCTGTGATTACCAGGGATAAAGCCTGCAGTACTCTTTTTCCTATAGTACTCTTGTCTGGCTTTGGTATCAGAGTAATTCTGGCCTGGTAATAGAGTTTGAAAGTGTTCCCTCCTCTTCAGTTTTTTGGAGGAATTTGAGAAGGATTGATATTAATTCTTTTTTAAATGTTTGGTAGAATCTACCACTGAAGCCTAGTGGTCCTGAGCTTTTCTTTGATGAATGTTTTTGAATACCAATTCACCATTCTTAATTGTTACAGTCTGTTCAGAATTTCTATTTCTTCATGATCCAGTCTTGGTAGGTTGTATGTGTATAGGAATTTATTGATTTCTACTAGGTTGTCCAATTTGTTAGAATATAATTTCATGTAGTAGTCTAATTACCCTTTGTATTTTTGTGGTAACAGTTTTAGTATCTTCTCTCTCATGTTTGATTTGAATCCCCTCTTTTATTCTTGGTCTGTCTACCTAAAGCTTTGTCATTTTTTTTATTTTTATCTTTTCAAAAACCAAATCTTGGTTTTGTTTATCTTTTCTATTGTTTTTCTAGTCTCTATTTCATTTATTGCTGCTCTGATCACTGTTATTTCTTTCCTCCTACTAACATTGGGCTTAGTTTGTTCTTATTTTTCTAGTTTCTTGAGATGTGAAGTTAGGTTGTTAATTGTAGATTTTTATTTTTTTCTTCATATAGGCATATATTGCTGTAAATTTTCCTCTTAGAACTGCTTTTCCTGTGTCTCGTAAGTTTCGGTATACTGTGTTTATATGTCAATTTTTTAAATTTTCCCTTTTGATTTCTTCTTTGACCCATTGGTTGTCAGAAGTTTGTTGTTTAATTTCCAAATATTTGTGAATTTTCCTCCTGTTACTGACCATTTCTTCTTAGAAAAGTAGAAATTGTGATTAGAAAAGATACTTGATATCATTTTCATCTTTTAAGTGTGTTAATAGCTATTCTGTGGCCTAAATTATGATCTATCCTGGAGAATATTTTGTGTGCACTTGCAAAGAATATGTATTCTATTTCTAGTGAATGAAATATTCAGTATGTATTTGTTAGGTCTATTTGGTCTAAACAGTAGTCCAAGTTCAATGTTTGTTTGTTGATTTTCTGTCTGGATGATCTGTCCTTTGTTCAAAGTAGAGTGCTGAAGTCCTCTACTATTATTGGTTGCTGTCTCTTTTTCTGTTCAGATCTGCTCATATTTTCTTTACATTTTTAGGTGCTCTGATGTTGAATGCAAACATGTTCACAATGGTTATATCTTCATGATGTATCATTGTCTTCTTGGATTCTCTCGTTATATTATCCTCTTGATAAATTAGTTACTTTATTATTACAGTTTATTATTATTACGTATACAATAGGTTTATCTGTCTCTTGTTACATTTTTTGACCTAAGGTTTCTTCATGATGTATCATTGTCTTCTTGGATTCTCTCGTAATATTATCCTCTTGATAAATTAGTTATTTTATTATTACAGTTTATTATTATTTATATAATAGATTTCTCTGTCCCTTGTTACATTTTTTGACCTAAAGTTTATTTTGTCTGATGTAAGTATAGTTAGTCCTATTTTCCTTTAATTTCCTGTCACATGCATTTTTTTTTTTTTCTTCTTGAGACGAAGTCTTGCGCTGTCGCCCAGGCTGGAGTGCAATGGCGTGATCTCGGCTCACTGCAAGCTCCGCCTCCCGGGTTCATGCCATTCTCCTGCCTCAGCCTCCGGAGTATCTGGGACTACAAGTGCCCGCCACCACGCCTGGCTAATTTTTTGTATTTTTAGTAGAGACGGGGTTTCACCATGTTAGCCAGGATGGTCTCGATCTCCTGTCCTCGTGATCCGCCCGCCTCCGCCTCTCAAAGTGCTGGGATTACAGGCCTGAGCCACCGCGCCCAGCCTGTCACATGGAATCTTTTCCACCTTTCCATTTTTACGTGTTAGTCTATGTGCTTTAAAGTTAAAGTGAACATTTTGTAGAATGCATAGAGTTGGATCTTTTATTTTTTAAATTCATCCATCTATGTGTTTTGATTAATTTAATTTATTTCATTATCTTTTAAAGTAATTGTTGATAGGTAAGTACTTACTCTTGCCATTTTGTTTATAGTTTTCTGGTTGTTTGTAGCTCCTTTGTTTCTTGCTTTCTCTTGTGCTGTCTTCCTTTGTGATTTGATGATTTATGCTTCAATTCCACTATCTTTTGTATATGAACTATGGATTATTACTTTGTTGTTACTATGTGGTTTACATAAAACATATTAAAGTTGTAATAGTCTATTTTAAGTTGACAACTTTAATTTGATGACATACAAAAACACTGCATATTTTTCCCTCTTCACCACATTTTGTGTTTTTGATGTTGTAATTTATATTTTTGTAATTGTATTCGTTAATAAAATATTAGAGCTATATTATTTAATATTATTTTAGCTTTATATTAGAGTTTTAAGTTATTTATACACCCCACTACATTATTACAATATTCTAAATTTGACTTTATGTTTACCTCTACCAGTGACTTTTACACTTTTATATGTTTTCATTTTGTTAGGGTCTTTTCATTTTAGCTTAAAGAATTACCTTTAGCATTTCTTGTAGGCCAGATATATTGTGATGAACTACCTCAACCTCTGTTTGGAAAAATCTTCATCTCTCCTTCATTTCTCTAAGACAGATTTTCCAGGTAAATTATACTTGGTTGGCAGTTTTATTCTTTCAGCATTTAAATATATGACCTCATTCATTTCCGGCCTGCAAGATTTCTCCTGAGAAATCTACTGATATACTTACTTACATTCCTTTGTATATAATGTGCCTCTTTTTTATTATTACTACTATAAATAATTTTGTATGTCAGCAGAGGAAAGTGTTAAAACTTATCCTCTTCACGTGTCAGCTAAACCTGATGTGTCACAATTAGAATCCAGAAAAAATATATTCCATTGTAATCTCTCTCCTTGGGACTGTTATCTTTGGACTTCAGATTCTAATTCCCACATCTCTCAATGTAGTAGATGTACATTTCTCACATATGAGATGAAGAGACATTCATTTTTGGGGGGCACAGTTAATAAAAGCCTCTATGCAGGCAGCAAATGATCAAAGAGAAGTGACTTGGATTGTTGGTGCTTTTTCAGTTTTTGATTCCAAGTCCTGTCTGAGGCCTAGATACTTCTCCTTTTTTTATGATATGACTTTTTTCATTCTATATCTTCTCATTTCTTGCTAAAGGGATGTGGAGTTAGTATGTATTACTTAGAGCCAAAATGACCCAGTGAAAACACTTTTTAAACTCTAAAGCCTTGAGTATTCAGAGAGCGAAGGGCATATCACAGAATGTGGAGTATAGGATCTTCAAGGGTGGTTTGTACATGGGGGCTAAGAGTATTGGATGAGAAATTTGTAATGTGTCCTTTTCCTGTCCAGTTTCCCCATGAGATCATGTTTAGCCCCATAAAGAGAGAGACTGATTTTCACAAGAAAATATGTGGGGCATGCGGTCCTTTAATTTCTAATTATTGGAAGCCAGGTAATAAAGTGAGATGTGATCAGGCCACATTGTAGCCTACTTGGAGAGATGTAACTAAATATTTGGCATCATAGCCTCAGGCATTATTTCCATTTTTTATTGATTAATATTTGTCTTTATATTTAGCCATTTATACATTTAGTCACTGGCAAATACAGGTACAATTGAGCCACCACTATGTGTAGTAAAAATCTAAATCAAGGGTAGCACATTGTCATTTTCCCCCATGCTTTGTACTTGTTCCTAAGAACCACATACACTTCCCTAGCAATAGTGCTTTATGCTGTAATAAATAACAACTAGACTTTCTTCATAAAGCACAGTATGCACATTTGAAGACATAAATATTGTTTTTAAGCAGTCTGAAATGGTATTTTATTATCTGCTGACAAGGGAACAAAGGACTTCTATTCCTAGGTTTTTAGCTATTCTGTCAGAGAAGAAAATGCATTCATTTTATTGGGGTGATTCTATTCTTTGGAAATCATGAAGTCAGAAATAATGAATGATTGACTAATGTTACTTATTACAATACATGACTGAGTACACAAGGCCTGATTTGTAAACATGTGTTACTTTCTTCTGTATTATTAGTCTTCTGAAGAATAAAAATATTCTTACATGAAATAGCCATTTTTCTTACTTCATCTGCAATAGAAAAGAAATCATTTGTCCAGTTATGTTAGTCAAAATGTGTAAATGGAGACATCTCATGTCCAATGACTAGAGGAGTATAAATCCAGTATCGGCCTCATTTGCCTCTTGGACGTCTGGATAAAAATGAAATTTGAGATATTTAATTTCTTAATTACATGTAATCAATTTCCGTTATCTCTCACCTATCCCTATGGCACTGCATTAATCATTTGGTTAGTTTTCCATCATTGTGAAGTTAGGATCGTGTTACTACTTCATGGACATTTTAAATAATTTAACATATTATGCCTGAGTTCTGGTTCTACAGTAGAATTTTTTTTTTTCTGAAAATATGGTTGAAGTGGATTAGAAAAGCCATTTGGGGAAGCATCAGTTTTTCTGATGCTCCTAAATATTGTCTGTTCTACTTATGGGTGAGGTTGGACTTGAATAGATCCCTTTAATGAGGTGGGCTCTATTGCTTCACACTAATAGCATGGAAGGGAACAAAACAACCACACGGTGAGAGTGATATAAAAATCAGTGGTCAGACAATGAAAGCAATTCAGAAAAAAACAGCTTTTAACTTTTTAGCTTCTCTTAGAGAAAACCCCACTGCCTTTTCAAGCCCCATTGTGTATCCCAGCTCTGACACACAGGAGACTGCTTAAATGAGATTTTAAGAACACTGAGGTATTCTCTGAAATTCCACACATCTTATTCTGTTTACACCTTAAGTTATCATCATCACACTTCCTCCTTAAATTATAAATCCCTTGGCCTAATAGATTTACATAGTAAATTGTGAAGATACATATGTAGTAATCTCTATTTAACTATTATTAACTTACTATTCTTCTAAGTAACAATTAAGGAGGATACAGCTAAAAGTTTAAGTTGAGAAAAATCTAGAGGTTGGGTCACATATAGGATTTGAAGAGTGTGTGTGTGTGTGTGTGTGTGTGTGTGTGTGTGTGTGTGTGTTTGTGCATGTGTATCTGTTTTGAGGGAGTAAGAGAAATGGGCCAGGGGTACTACCTAGTTTTTCTTCATTTTCTTGGGTAAATTGACTCATAGAAGGGAGACAAGCACTGAAATATATGTGGCATATCGTTGAATAATTTTACAGCTTCACAATTATGTAAAAAAATGGCCTTGTGTAGTCCACTTGGTCTGAATTTCTTTCAAACTAAAGATGCACTTAGATAATACAGATCCATTTGGTTAATTTGCTTCTCACAGTAAATAAATAAATAAATAAATAAATAAATAAGTTGTTTGTTGTTCTAAGAAACCAGAAAAAATTTTTAATTAATTCACATAAAATGAATGTACATGGTGTCAGGACACCCACACTTAAGGATCCTGAAATATAAGGGAATTCATGTTAAAAACGTTTTTTTCTAAAGTAGTTAAACATTATAAATTTTATTTCAGAGTAAAAACATATTTTTCAGTTGAGGAATTAAAATACACAGATGGATATATAACTATAGTACCTGCTTGGGAAAATTTTATGTCTTCATATAAATATGGAGTCTTTTCTTGTTTCAACATTAAGGATATTTCCCAAATCAGAAATTCTGTTGTCTCACAAGATGATATTTTACTCTGATTCTTTTGAAAAAGACATATCTATCCCATCAGTCTGATCCTTAGGATTCTCATTAAACAGAAAATGGAATAATTTGTTGTATATTGATAAATAAATTCCAATGCCAGAATATTTCTGTATAGCTCAAAACCATTGCCTCAAATTCCATCAGTAGAGTCCATCAGTAGAGTCATTTGTTTAAAAACAGTGTATTTAATATAAGTTGCCGTAAAATGATATTGTGCATGGTAGTGGTAAGTTATTTAGTCATTTCCTACCATCCACATCTTGGTAGAAATTATAAAATCTTTTCCAAAATGACTCCAGGCTAAGGGCAGTCTTGAATATGGGATTATAATAATTTGGGCATCAATGAGTGAATGGATTGAGAGGGCTTAAGCTCCCCCCATAATCTCTATTGATCAGTACTATACCCATAAATAACTCATTTTTTTAAAAAGTACATAGTGTTTTGGAGGGCTGGCTGGGTATGGAATTGGAAATGAAACCAATGTCATACTTACAAGGGGCTAGACTTTTTCTCTTAAATGAACTTTAAAGTTATGTTCCAGCTTCCCATTCAAAATAAATTTCTGCCCCAAAACACTTACATCAGCCCACAGAGGATGTGCTGAGTTAAGTCAAGCTAGATGCACTTCCTCAGCAAGGGATGTTCTTCACAGCCAGGTTTCTGTAAGAAGTTATCATTGGCTTGATTGGCAGCAGGTTGGTGGAAACAAAGATGCAGCCTTAAAGGTCATACTTAGGAAGCTTGGGGAACCTTTGCTATTTTGGATATTGTGGCTGTCCTCGAAAATCAGTCCAGATTCTCGGATGCTTATGCTACTTGCCACTTAATGCTCACTCTAAAAGCATCTTAACTGAGAAGTCAAAATAATTTTGAAAATTCATAGAATCTCATCTTTGAAAAATTCCCAGCTTTATTACAATTTCATCATTTAATTTGGTTTATATCTCACCTCTACTTTTTTTCATTTTTTATATACATTTTTATTTTAGAACAGTTTTGGATTTACACAAAAATTGTGAAGATAATACAGAATTTCCTATATAGTCCACAACCTGGTTCTTCTAATATTAGTATCCTGCATTAGAGTGGAACATTTGTTATAATTAATGAACCAAGATATTATTAACTAATGGATTTCTTTAGTTTTTACTTAATGTCCTTTTTTTTTTTTTGAGACGGAGTCTCACTCTGTCGCCCAGGCTGGAGTGCAGTGGCGTGATCTCGGCTCACTGCAAGCTCCGCCTCCCGGGTCCACGCCATTCTCCTGCCTCAGCCTCCCGAGTAGCTGGGACCACAGGCGCCCGCAACTAAGCCCGGCTAATTTTTCTGTATTTTTAGTAGAGACGGGCTTTCACCGTGTTAGCCAGGATGGTCTCGATCTCCTGATCTCATGATCTGCCCGCCTCGGCCTCCCATAGTGCTGGGATTACAGGCGTGAGCCACCGCGCGCGGCCTACTTAATGTCCTAAGTTGGTTTAGGCTGCCCATTCCTAAACCAATTAAACATTGGCAAGAAAATTGGGGTTACTGTGATTGGTTTAATTCATTTGGACTTATCACTGTAGATTGTTTTCTTAAAGGTCAGCAGTTTGTCTTTGTGACATCTTTTTCTCAGCCCGTAGTCTCCACCTAGGATAATGACAAAACTGGGGACTCATTTCCTTTGATTATTTTTCTTCTTCATTAAAAAAAAAATTCAACAGCAATTTATTGAAACTTGACTAGTTACTGGGCACTGTTCTTAAATTTAAGTACAAAGATAACCTCACACTCTATGCTTACAAGCCTGTACTGTCCAACATTATTTCTTACAACTTAAAATTCTCCACTGCAAGTTTTCACACAAAATTTCTTTATTTTAAAGCTGCTATGGTGTTTCTGCCAGACTCTCATCTTTCTAAGGCTAGCTTCTTTAATTCATTTAATTGTTTCTCAGAGAGCATGGTTTCCAATCTTTCTAACATTTTGGTCATTCTCAATTAGCTTTTTGTCCTATAAAGCACAGCACCAATAATTAAATGTACATTACATTTAATTACCTTCCCTTACACAGAGAAGAGTATCACTTTCACACTTTTTATTCTAGTTATCTTCATGCTTACTCTAACATAAACTAAAGATAATTAGCCTCTTTTTTGTAGCCACATGGCAAAGTGGATTCGAATTGAGCTTATTGTTTATCAATGTGATTATGGTTTTACATATCTGTCTCACTTTAACTTGAAGAGTTGACTTTTTAAAATTCACTTGCTCTCTTAAAGCTCATTCATCCCTGTTAAACTCATGCCATTAGACTGAGTTTGTTGCTCAGACTTGACATCATCTTTTGAGATTTTTATTTTGTCATTTAACATAGTCTCCCACCTTTTCAACATCAGGACACACTGATTTCCTGAGCATATATCTTCTTTACTGTCATACAGATTATGAAAAAAACATTGCTGTTACAGTGTCAAGGGCTATCCTTGAGGCTGACAGTAATCTAGTAACAAATACTCTTTAAACATAATTATTCCATTATTAATCTACAACTGCATAGAGTGTATAGAACTTCTCCTTTTAAATAAAAGTTGTAAAACTGCACAATGAAAAAATTCTGAGATACTTTTTGTGATATAAATAAGTCTAATAACATGGTCAAAGTGAACAATTAAATGAGTCTGATATGATGTACTTTTGTAAATCCATGCCAGCTCCCAACAATCACTGCTTCTTTTCCTACCTACTTTTTGTGTTCACAAATATGTAATTCCTGGAATTTCAAACAATTGTCTCTCTCCAGTTTTTTTTTTTTAATCATCTTTCACATTCTCAATAAGTACGTAAAGACTACTTATGTTGATTTGGAAGCCTAATTTTCAGGTTATCTCAGTAAATACAAAATGTGTGGAAAAACATATGATGTTGTGACCAAAATGAGTTTGACATTTTCAAAGGCAGATGTATATCCAAGTGCACATGATTACTGAAGAACAGATTACTAGATCTAAGTGATATAACCTTCTGCTTTTGGACATTCTTTTAGCTTTCATCCATTTCACAAGGAGATTATCTTAACCTGCTTTAACGGACCGCTGGAAAAGTCTGTTTGAAGCATTTGGGGAAATGCAGGTAATGTAAGAGCTAAAAGATCAGAGTTGACACATTCATGGCTTCCATTTTCATTAGCTTCAGTCCATTAAACAAGCATTTGCCAATGTAATATTGTATGCATAAAACAACTGAAATATTCATTACATGGAAAAACGACTAAGGATGCAGGCCAACCGTTTCTCCTAGCCAGTTTTGCTGCAGGAATACAGCTCACCAGGGTCCACTGCTTTGCCATTTAGTTTAATTTTTTGAATATAAGGTTTTTAAATATCTGTGATTCATCAGACAAATATATTTAAATTTTTATGTTGGAAAAGGTTTTTTTTTCTTTGCATCAAAACCATTGAAATATTAGGCAGGGTTCAAATACTTTTCAGGAAATATCCTGATCCATATGATTCAAGTCGTCAGACAGAGCCAGTCCCCTTATTTTTTAAGTAGAAATACTTCCTCTGATGAATTAATTTGATTAATTCCCCCCAACATCCTTTCATGAAAGGAATAAAACAATTTTTCAATGCATTTCCAGGAATAAAGCAACACATGTCACTGCCTTCATACTCATAGATTAATGGAGAGCTTAGACAGGCACATACGTTAGTATAAAGTAAGGTAAAATAATGATGAAAAAATGATCTGAGTGAAATCAGTGGGTCAGTTTAAAAATAGGGAAACATTGCATATGCTTACTAGATAATATTTTACATGAAACTCAGTTTGACAGGATAGGTAGAAATATGGGGTGTTTGATTCCAAGTGTGTGAAGGAAGACCCACAATGGCAGCAAGCATTTGCTTTGGAATCAGGAAACCAGAATTTCAGTTTGGCTCTGCAAATAACTAGATTTGCGACATTACACAGTCACTTTTTCTATTTGAGAAATATTTATTACCTCTAAAATATGCCTATAAGATCTCTAATGTCCAACTGTAAAATGAAAGACGTGTGAATATCATGTGCAAATTCATGAAGGTAATAAAGTGTGTGTTTAGGGAAGAGCTGCACCATCTAGTTTGACTAGGTTTTATTATGTAGAAGGTAGACATAAATGGAATGACATAGCCTTTGAAGTTCTTCAGTGTAAAACTTAGGAGTTTTCATGTAACTAAGGAGGTATGATCTTAAAAATCCAGGATAATTTATATACAAGAAAAATTCACCAATTTTTAAGAATACAATTTCATTAATCATGACAAATATGTTTATAAATCTTAAAATGTATCTCTTATGCTGATAGTTAATCCCCTGCACCAATTCCAGGTTTCTGGCCTTCTTTTTGTTACTATAATTTTGCCTTTTCCAGAATTCTAAATAAATTGAATCATGCATTATATGGACTTTTGTCACTGACCTTTTTCACTTCCCATAATGCATTCTAGATTTATCCAGGTTGCTATGCATCCATGGTTCGTTCTTTTTTATTACTGAGTAATAGTGGCTATATGGCAATCTTACAATTTGATTCCCTTCACCAGCTGATAGGCATTTGGGTGGCTTGCAGTTTTGGACTACTATGAATAAAACTGTGTGAGAATCCAAATATAAGTCTTTTGTGAATGATTTATTTTGGGAAAACACCTAGGAGTGAGGTGGCTGTGTTACATGAAAAATGCATGGTTAAATGTTGAAGCAACTGCCAAAGTGTTTTCCAAAGTTGATGTGCTATTTTCATTCCCAAAAGTAAAGTGTAAAAATTCCAGCTGTTTCAATTCCTTGCCAATATTTGACATCTTCAGAATTCTTAATGTGTGTAGTAGTATCTCAATGTGATCTTAATTTGCATTTCTCTAAGGACTAATCATGTTAGCACATTTTATGTGTTATTTGCCATATCCTCATTTTTTAAAAGTTTTATCCACGTATTAATCAACTTTTAGTTGAGTAAATTTTGAATACTAATGAGTTTTTGATGTTTGCTGTATAGCCTAGATACAAATCCTTATCAAATACGTGTTTGCCAGATATTTGTTCTACTACTCTTCCATACATTTTGCTTTTTCATTTTCTTAATAGTTTATTTTAAAGAGTAAATTTTAAAATTTTGATGAAGGTTGATTTACCACTTTTCGTTTTGTGGTTTGTATTCTCCGCATCCTTTTGAAGAAATCTCGGTATAACCCAAGTTCATCAAAACAGTCTCCCATGTTTTATCTAGAAGTTTCATAGTTTTGGCTCATAAGTGTAGAACTGTGTGTTTTTTTTGTAGAAAAGCAATTGATTACTTATGAGTGGAAGTATTTCTGAACTCTCTATTCTGTCTATCCTTATACCAATACTGTACTATCTTGATAATTGTAACTTCATAGTAAATTTTGCTATCAGATAATATAAATTCTCCACCTTTTATGCATCTAACAAAGGTCTAATACCCAGAATCTATAGGGAACTTAAACATCTGCAATCAAAAAACAAACCGCCCCATTAAAAGTGGATAAAATTAAACAAAAGAGCTTCTGCACAGCAAAAGAAACTATCATCAGAGTGAACAGGCAACCCACAGAATGGGAGAAAATTTTTGCAATCTATTCATCTGACAAAGGGCTAATATCCAGAATCTACAAGGAACTTAAACATTTTACAAGAAAAAAAAAACGTCAAAAAGTGGGCAAAGGATATGAACACACACTTCTCAAAAGAAGACATTTATGTGGACAGTAAGCGTGATAAAAAGCTCATCATCACTGGTCATTAGAGAAATGCAAATCAAAACCACAATGAGATACAATCTCATGATAGAATGATAATCATTAAAAAGTCTGGAAACAACAAATGCTAGAGAGGATGTGGAGAAATAGAGACACTTTGACACTGTTGGTGGGAGTGTAAATTAGTTCAACTATTGTGGAAGACAGTGTGGCAATTCGTCAAGGATCTAGAACCAGAATACCATTTGACCCAGCAATCCCACTACTGGGCATATACCCAAAAGATTATAAATCATTCTACTATAAAGACACATGCACACATATGCTTATTGCAGCACTATTCACAATCGCAAAGACTTGGAACCAACCCAAATGCCCATCAATGATAGACTGGATAAAGAAAATGTGGCACATATACACCATGGAGTACTACGCGGCCATTAAAAGGGATGAGTTCATATCCTTTGCAGGGACATGGATGAAGCTGGAAATCATCATTCTCAGCAAACTAACACAGGAACAGCAAACCAAACACTGCATATTCTCACTCATAAGTGGGAGTTGAACAATGAGAACACATGGACACAGGGAGAAAAACATCACACACTGGGGCCTGTTGGGGCGTGGTGGGCTAGGGGAAGGATAGCATTAGGAGAAATACCTAATGTATATGAGGGGTTGATGGGTGCAGCAAACCACCATGGCACGTTTATACCTATGCAAGAAACCTGCACGTTCTGCTCATATATCCCAGAACTTAAAGTATAATTTAAAAAGTGGGTAAAATACATGAACAGACACTTCTCAAAAGAAGACATACAAGCACCCAACAAACGTATAAAAAATGTTCATTGTCACTAACCACCAGAGAAATATAACTCAAAACCACAGTGAGATACCATCTCATACAAGTTAGAATAGCTATTATTGAAAAGTCAAAAACCAACTAATGCTGGCAAGGCTGCAGAGAAAAGGGAATGCTTAAACACTGTTGGTAGGAATGTAAGTTAGGTCAGCCACTGTGAAAAGCAGTTTGGAGATTTCTCAACGAACTTGAAATAGAGCTACAATTCAACCCAGCGATATAATTACTGGGTATATAATGGGTACAGATCTAAAAGGAATATAGATCATTATACCAAAAAGACACATTTATTCCCACATTCGTCACTGTGCTATTCACAATGGCAAAAACATGGAATCCACCTAGATGCCCATCAGTGGTGGATTGGATAAAGAAAATGTGGTATATACACACACTGTGAAATACTATGCAACAATAAAAATAGCAAGCCATCATGTCTTTCGCAGTCACGTGGATGGAGCTGGAGGCCATAAGGCCATAATCCTAAGCAAGTTCACGTAGGAACAGAAAACCAAATGCCACATGTCCTCACATACAAGTGAGAGCTAAACATTGAGCACACATAGGTGTAAACATGAGAACAATAGACACAGTGAACTACTAGAAGTGGGAGAGAGGGAGCCCGGCATGAGTTGAAAGACTACCTATTGGCTACTATGCTCACCATCTGGGTCCAATATACTCATGTAACACTCCTATACATGTACCCTCTGTTTCTAAAATAAAGCTAAAATATTTTTAAAAATAGACTTTATTTTTAGAGCTCTTTCAGCTATACAGAAAATTGAGCAGATAGTACAGAGAGCTTCCAGATTTCTTCTCTCTCTGCCACTGACAGTTTCCCCTATTTTTAACATCTTACATTAGTGTGCTACATTTGTTGTAATTGACAAGCAGATATTGATACTTTTTAACTGAAGCCCATAGTTTATTTATTTATTTATTTATTATACTTTAAGTTCTAGGGTACATATGCACGAAGACGTGAAGGTTTGTTAAATATGTATACACATGTCATTTTGGTTTGCAGTGCCCATTAACTCGTCATTTACATTAGGTATTTCTCCTAATATTATCCCTCCCCATCCCCCCACCATATGAAAGGCCCTGGTGTGTGATGTTCCCCACCCTGTGTCCAAGTGTTCTCATTGTTCAATTCCCACCTATGAGTGAGAACATACAGTGTTGGGTTTTTTGTCCTTGTGATAGTTTGCTGAGAATGATGGTTTCCAGCTTCATCCATGTCCCTGCAAAGGACATGAACTCATCATTTTTTACAGCTGCATAGTATTCCATGGTGTATATGTGCCACATTTTCTTAATCCAGTCTATCATTGATGGACATTTGGGTTGGTTCCAAGTCTTTGCTACTGTGAATAGTGCCACAATAAACATATGTGTGCATGTGTCTTTATAGCAGCATGATTTATAATCCTTTGGGTATATACCCAGTAATGGGATGCCTGGGTCAAATGGTTTTTCGAGTTCTAGATCCCTGAGGAATTGCCACACTGTCTTCCACAGTGCTTGAACTAGTTAACACTCCACCAACAGTGTAAAAGCATTCCTATTTCTCCACATCCTCTCCAGCACCTGTTGTTTCCTGACTTTTTAATGATCGCCATTATAACTGATGTGAGATGGTATCACATTGTGGTTTTGATTAGCATTTCTCTGATGGCCAGTGATGATGAGCATTTTTTCATGTGTCTGTTGGCTGCATAAATGTCTTCTTTTGAAAAGTGTCTGCTCATATCCTTTGCCCACTTTGTGATGGGGTTGTTTGATTTTTTCTTGTAAATTTGTTTATGTTCTTTGTAGATTCTGGATATTAGCCCTTTGTCAGATGGGTAGATTGCAAACATTTTATCCCATTCTGTAGGTTGCCTGTTCACTCTGATGGTAGTTTCTTTTGCTGTGCAGAAGCTCTTTAGTTTAATTAGATCCCATTTGTCTATTTTGGCTTTTGTTGCCATTACTTTTGGTGTTTTAGACATGAAGTCCTTGCCCCTGCCTATGTCCTGAATGGTATTGCCTAGGTTTTCTTCTAGGGATTTTATGGTTTTAAGTCTAATATTTAAGTCTTTAATCCATCTTGAATTAATTTTTGTATAAGGTGTGAAGAAGGGATCCAATTTCAGCTTCTACATCTGGTTAGCCAGTTTTCCCAGCACCATTTATTAAATAGGGAATCCTTTCCCCATTTCTTGTTTTTGGCAGGTTTTTCAAAGATCAGATGGTTGTACATTTGTGGTGCCATTTCTGAGGGCTCTGTTCTGTTCCATTGGTCTATATCTCTGTTTTGGTATCAGTACCATGCTGTTTTGGTTACTGTAGCCTTGTAGTATAGTTTGAAGTCAGGTAATGTGATGTCTCCAGCTTTGTTCTTTTTCCTTAGGATTGTCTTGGCAATGCAGGCTCTTTTTTGGTTCCATGAGAACTTTAAAACAGTTTTTCCAATTCTGTGAAGAAAGTCATTGGTAGCTTGATGGGGATGGCATTGAATCTACAAATTACCTTGGGCAGTATGGCCATTTTCAAGATATTGATCCTTCCTATCCATGAGCACGGAATGTTCTTCCAGTTGTTTGTGTCCTCTTTTATTTTGTTGAGCAGTGATTTGTAGTTCTCCTTGAAGAGGTCCTTCACATCCCTTGTAAGTTGGATTCCTAGGTATTTTATTCTCTTTGAAGCAATTGTGAATGGGAGTCCACTCATGATTTGGCTGTTTGTCTGTTATTGGTGTATAGGAATGCTTGTGATTTTTGCACATTGATTTTGTATCTTGAGACTTTGCTGAAGTTGCTTATCAGCTTAAGGAGATTTTGGGCTGAGACGATGGGGTTTTCTAAATATACAATCATGTCATCTGCAAACAGGGACAATTTGACTTCCTCCTTTCCTAATTCAATATCCTTTATTTCTTTCTCTTGCCTGATTGCCCTGACCAGAACTTCCAACACTATGTTGAATAGGAGTGGTGAGAGAGGACATCCCTGTCTTGTGCCAGTTTTCAAAGGGAATGCTTCCAGTTTTTGCCCATTCAGTGTGATATTGGCTATTGGTTTGTCATAAATAGTTCTTATTATTTTGAGATACATTCCATCAATACCCAGTTTATCGAGAGTTTTTACCGCGAAGCGCTGTTGAATTTTGTCGAAGTTCTTTTCTGCATCTATTGAGATAATCATGTGGTTTTTGTCTTTGGTTCTGTTTATGTGATGGATTACATTTATTGATTTGCATATGTTGAACCAGCCTTGCATCCCAGGGATGAAACCCACTTGATCACAGTGGATAAGCTTTTTGATGTGCTGATGGATTGATTTGCCTGTATTTTATTGAGGATTTTCACATTGATGTTCATCAGGGATATTGGTCTAAAATTCTTTCTTTGTTGTGTCTCTGCCATGTTTTGGTGTCAGGATGATGCTGGACTCATAAAATGAGTTAGGGAGGATTCCTTCTTTTTCTATTAATTGGAATAGTTTCAGAAAGAATGGTACTAACTCCTTTTTGTACCTCTGGGAGAATTCAGCTGTGAATCCATCTGATCTTGAACATTTTTTGGTTTGTAGACTATTAATTATTGCCTCAATTTCAGAGTCTGTTATTGGTCTATTCAGGGATTCAACTTCTTCCTGGTTTAGACTTGGGAGGGTGTATGCGTCCAGGAATTTATCCATTTCTTCTAGATTTTGTAGTTTATTTGCATAGTGGTGTTTATAGTATTCTCTGATGGTAGTTTCTATTTCTGTGGGATCAATGGTGATATCCCCTTTATAATTTTTTATTGTGTCTATTTGACTCTTCTCTATTTTCTTCTTTATTAGTCTTGCTCGTGGTCTATCAATTTTGCTGATCTTTCAAAAAACGAGCTCCTGGATTCATTGATTTTTTGAAGGGTTTTTTGTGTCTCTATCTCCTTCAGTTCTGCTCTGATCTTAGTTATTTCTTGCCTTCTGCTAGCTTTTGAATGTGCTTGCTCTTGCTTCTCTAGTTCTTTTAATTGTGATGTTAGGCTGTCGATTTTAGATCTTTCCTACTTTCTCTTGTGGGCATTTAGTGCTACAAATTTCTCTCTACACACTGCTTTAAATGTGTCCCAGAGATTCTGGTACATTGTGTCTTTGTTCTCATTGGTTTCAAAGAACATCTTTATTTCTGCCTTCATTTTGTTATTCACCCAGTAGTCATTCAAGAGCGGGTTGTTCAGTTTCCATGTGGTTTTACAGTTATGAGTGAATTTCTTAATTCTGAGTTCTAATTTTATTGCATTGTGGTCTGAGAGACAGTTTGTTGTGATATCTATTCTTTTACATTTGCTGAAGAGTGCTTTACTTCGAACTATGTGGTCAATTTTGGAATAAGTGCGATGTAGTGCTGAGAAGAATGTACATTCTGTTGATTTGGGGTGGAGAGTTCTGTAGATGTCTATTAGGTCTGCTTCATGCAAAGCTGAGTTGAAGTCCTGGATATCCTTGTTAACCTTTTTTCTCGTTGATCTTTCTAATGTTGACAGTGGGGTGTTGAAGTCTCCCATTATTATTGTGTGGGAGTCTAAGTCTCTTTGTATGTCTCTAAGGACTTGCTTTATGAATCTGGGTGCTCCTGTATTGGGTGCATATATATTTAGGATAGTTAGCTCTTCTTGTTTTGTTGATCCCTTTACCATTGTGTAATGGCCTTCTTTGTCTCTTTTAATCTTTGTTGGTTTAAAGTCTGTTTTGTCAGAGACTAGGATTGCAAGCCCTGCTTTTTTTTTTGCTTTCCATTTGCTTGGTACATGTTTCTCCATCCCTTTATCTTCAGCCCATGTGTTTCTCTGCACATGAGATGGGTCTCCTGAACACAGCACACTGATGTGTCATGACTCTTTATCCAATTTGCCAGTCTGTGTCTTTTAATTGGGGCATTTAGCCCATTTACATTTAAGATTAATATTGTTATGTGTGAATTTGATCCTGTCATTTTGGTGTTAGCTGGTTATTTTGCCTGTTAGCTGATGCAGTTTCTTCCTAGCATTGATGGTCTTTACAATTTGGCATGTTTTTGCATTGGCTGGTACCCGTTGTTCCTTTCCATGTTTAGCACTTCCTTCAGGAGCTCTTGTAAGGCAGGCCTGGTGGTGACAAAATCTCTCAGCATTTGCTTGTCTATATAGTATTTTATTTCTCCTTCATTTATGAAGCTTAGTTTGGCTGGATATGAAATTCTGGGTTGAAAATTCTTTTCTTTAAGAATGTTGAATATTGGCCCCCACTCTCTTCTGGCTTATAGAGTTTCTGCCGAGAGATCAGCTGTTAGTCTGATGGGCTTCCCTTTGTGGGTTACCCGACCTTTCTCTCTGACTGCCCTTAACATTTTTTTCCTTCATTTCAACCTTGGTGAATCTGACAATTATGTGTCTTGGGGTTGCTCTTCTTGAGGAGTATCTTTGTGGTGTTTTCTGTATTTCCTGAATTTGATTGCTGGCCTGCCTTGTTAGGTTGGGGAAGTTCTCCTGGATAATATCCGGAAGAGTGTTTTGCAGCTTGGTTCCATTCTCCCTGTCACTTTCAGTACACCAATCAAATGTAGATTTGATCCTTTCACATAGTCCCATATTTCTTGAAGGCTCTGTTCGTTTCTTTTTAGTCTTTTTTTCTCTAAACTTCTCTTCTCATTTCATTTCATACATTTGATCTTCAATCACTGATACCCTTTCTTCCACTTGATCGAATCGGCTACTGAAGCTTGTGCATGTGTCATGTAGTTCTTGTGCCATGGTTTTCAGCTCCATGAGGTCTTTTAAGCTCTTCTCTACACTGTTTATTCTAGTTAAGTATTCTTTAATCTTTTTTCAAGGTTTTTAGTTTCCTTGGGATGGGTTTGAACATCCTCCTTTAGCGCGGAGAAGTGTGTTATTACCAACCTTCTGAAGCCTACTTCTGTGAACTCGTCAAAGTTGTTTTCCATCCAGCTTTGTTCCATTGCTGGCGAGGAGCTGCGATCCTTTGAAGGAGAAGAGGCGCTCTGGTTTTTAGAATTTTCAGCTTTTCTGCTCTGGTTTCTCCCCATCTTTGTGGTTTTATCTACCTTTGGTCTTTGATGATGGTGACCTACAGATGGGGTTTGGGTTTTGGTGTGGATCTCCTTTTGGTTGGTGTTGAAGCTATTCCTTTCTGTTTGTTAGTTTTTCTTCTAACAGTCAGGACCCTCAGCTGCAGTTCTGTTGGAGTTTGCTGGAGGTCCACTCCAGACCCTATTTGCCTTGGTATCACCAGCGGAGGCTGCAGAACAGCAAATATTGCAGAACAGCAAATATTGCTGAACAGCAAATATTGCTGAACAGCAAATATTGCTGCCTGATTCTTCCTCTGGAAGCTTCGTCTCAGAGGGGTGCCCAGCCGTATCAGGTGTCATTCTGCCCCTACTGGGAGGTGTCTCCCAGTTAGGCTACATGGGGGTCAGGGACCCACTTGAGTGGGCAGTCTGTCCATTCTCAGAGCTCAAACACAGTGCTGGGAGAACCACTGCTCTCTTCAGAGCTGTCAGACAGGGATGTTTAAGTCTGCAGAAGTTTCTGCTGCCTTTTGTTCAGCTATGCCCTGCCCCTAGAGGTGGAGTCTACAGAGGCAGGCAAGCCTCATTGTGCTGCGGTGGGCTCCACCCAATTCAAACTTCCCAGCCACTTTGTTTACCTACTCAAGCCTCAGCAATGGCGGACGCCCCTCCCTCAGCTGGGCTGCTGCCTTGCAGTTTGATCTCAGACTGCTGCACTAGCAGTAAGCAAGTCTCTGTGGGCATGGAACCTGCTGAGCCAGGTGTGGGATATAACTTCCTGGTGTGCTGTTTATTAAGAACGTTGGAAAAGCATAGTATTTGGGTGGCAGTCTCCCGACTTTCCTAGTACAGTCTGTCATGGCTTCCCTTGGCTAGGAAAGGGAAATCCCCCGAACCCTTGCACTTCCTGAGTGAGGCAATGCCCAGTCCTGCTTCGGCTCGCCCTCCGTGGGCTGCACCCATTGTCCAACCAGTCCCAGTGAGATGAACCAGGTACCTCAGTTGGAAATGCAGAAATCACCCATCTTCTTCATTGATCACGCTGGGAGCTGCAGACTAGACCTGTTCCTATTTGGCCATCTTGGAACAGACCTCCAAGCCCATAGTTTACATTAGGGTTCACTCTACTGTTCTGAGTTTTAACAAATATGTAAAGCCAAGTATTCACCATTATAGGATCAGACAGAATAGTTTTACTACCTTAAAAATCCTCTGGGCCCCACCTCTTTATTCATTTCTTCCTTTTCAAACCCCTGGCAATTACTGCTATATTTATTTATTTATTTATTTATTTATTTATTTTTAGCTGTCTTTATAGTTTTGCTTATTCCAGTATGTCATACTGTTGAAATCATAATGTATACATTATTTTTAGTCTTTCTTATTTTATTAAGCAATATGCATTTAAAATTTCTCCATGTGTTTCTGTGCATTGATAGCTCATTTATTTTTATCACTGAATAATATTCCTTTGTATGGATGAACCACAATTCACTTATTCTCCTGTCAAAGCACATCTTGGTGGCTTGGTGGGAGAGTATGAATAAAGCTACTATAATCATTTGCATGCAGGTTTGTATGTGGACATGAGTTTTCAACTCATTTGGATAAATACCTAAGAGTGCAATTGCTGGATCACATGGTAAGAGTACGTTTAGTTTTTTAAGCAACTGCTTTACAAAGTGGTGTGCCATTTTCTATGCCCATCAGCAAGGAATGGAAGTTTCTGTTGCTCCACATTCTTGCAAGCATTCCGTCTTGTCAGTATTTAAATTTTAGCCATTCTAGTAGGTGTATAGTGACATCTCATTCTTCTTGTAATTTGCCGTTCTATAATGACATATAATGTTGAGCGTATTTTCATGTACTTATTGGATATTTGTACATCTTCACTTGTGAGATGTTTGTTCAGACTTTTTATGGATTTTGTGGCTTTGAAAAAAAACAAAAGAAAATGGACAGGAAGAAGCAGAGAAAGAAGAGAGAATAACCACAATTATGAGTTATCACAGAATCTGCCTTTCATTCCAAAGGACACAGACCTACTGTTTATCTAAAAAAAATCCTCCAAAAACATAGAGTAAGTTCATGAATAAACTGAAACTAAAAAGGGCGGAAAAAAAACAGTAAAAAGATCAGCTCTTGTAATGAAATATACTATCTCCTTTTTTATTACATCTTCTCTCGGTACACATGCTCTGTTATTCTCTTTCACCCTTTCAGTGGGCTGCTTCTGTTCACTCGTATTTTCTGATTTCTCATAATCTGGTTTGCCAGTTGACTATCAAGGCTGCCTCAAATGTCTTCATTATGGTTTTTCAGTTTCAACCTCTACTAACTAGTTCAGTCTGTTTATGTTCTTGGTTTAAGAGGCTATAACTCAAATGAATATCCCTCACTTAACTTTTTTTTATAGCAAATTATATGTCGTAAGTCACTTGTCAGCTAGTTTATTGGCTACTGTTTGGAGAAATATCTATCTTAGAGCTAATCAGGAGTACCTGAGGGGTTAACATCAAAGGATATAAAACACAGATGCTTACTCAACAGAGCCCTTGGGGTTGGCACTTAAAATGGACTCTAAGGTGAAAGCAGATAGACACTATATAACATGCCTATAACCAAAGTCACTGGGAAAGATAATTTTAAAATTGAAGAGGTGACAACCACCTTAAAATGTAGATAGTGCAAACAGAATGAGGAATAAAAAAAGTCTTTAGACTTGACCCTTAAGAAAGCAGCATGAATTTGTGATGATTCACCATAGAAAGGAAAATTTGCGGAATAATGAAGATTGGAAAGAAATATACAAAGTGGTTAAGTCATCGTTAGAAAGAAGTGAAAACTTTTTTTTTTTTTTTTTTGAGACAATCACTCTGACTGCGAGGCTGGAGTGCAGTGGTGCAATCTCAGCTCACTGCAACCTCCACCTCCCAGGTTTAAGCAATTTTCTTGCCTCAGCCTCCCGAATAGCTGGGACTACAGGGACTACAGGCATGTGCCACCACTCCTGGCAAATTTTGTATTTTTAGTAGAGACAGGGTTTCAGTATGCTGGCCAGGCTGGTCTCAAACTATTGACTTCAAATGATACACCCACCTCTGCCTTCCAAAGTGCTGGGATTATAGGATGGAGCCATCATGCCCGGCCATGAGTTAGAACATTTTTGATTGAGAAGCAGCATAGCCAAAATCCAGAGAAAGGGATTAGAAATACTGAATACATGGAGAAGATAAAAGGAATTGTAGAAGGGAAAATAAATTCAAATATTGCAATTGGTTAGTTAATATTAATAAGGCTTTAGTAAAGAGTTAGCATATTAGAATATGTCTTCTAAGAAATATACTCTATTTAAAAATGTAAGAAAGTGAGCTAAAATGACCAAGTATGTTAAACCTTAATAAAATGTTACTTTCTTATATAGGCATTTACTTTCACATCACTGCCCTCATATCTCATGATTCTAATTGAGTATTTAGAAGACAAATGCCATTTACAATTAGTCCAGCCTGTTGTTACTTGTTATTACTTAGCTTTTGTAAGAAACACCATAAATTACAAAATTATAGTCTCATTTGGAGCTGTCAAACCTCTTGTCATGGAAGCAATTTAAAATCCTAGTATTTGATGACATCATTACATCAATCCCTCTGTTTTTTGGAGGAACACAATTTAACCTGCTGAGAAAGAAGGCTCTAAACAGTATTGTGAGATTTTCTTCTTTTCTCATCTTTGAAACTATCAGATAACATTATGTGATCCACACAATCTGGAATCACAATATTTTATATTTTGTTTCCTTAAAATCATCAAACCTTCTCAATTTATCCTTAATCTGCTTTGTCAAAATAGAAAAGAGCTATGTTGACAATAATTTAGTGGACTTTGTTCTCCTATTCTTGTCCAAAAGCACTGAAAAATGACTGAATTTTTGAAAATACACAACTTTCAAGATGAAGACAAAAATTGTGTATTTTTAGGTTTTTTTTTTTAAGTTTTCCCATTTATTCCTAAAATGAATGATCAAACACCCCAGTGACTTAAATTGTCTTCCCCTTTTCAACCTGTCTTTCAGATCCAATATGGAGCAAGTTCTAAGTCTGCAGCACATGGCCAGAGACATGAAAGTCACAGAAGAACTGAGGATTAGAGATAAGTAACTGAATGATGTCCTTTAAGGTTACATATTGACTTGACAAGTTGGGTAAATAGGCTAGAAACTTGATTATGCTCATGCTGCACAGATACTGACAGAGCATAATGATCAACTTGTTTGTAAGTACAAAAAGAGTTTATAAGTATTGGGAGCAAGAATGAGTTGCTAGGAAGCCATAGCATTCTAAAACAGACCCCATGTGATAGTCCTGCTAACAAGAACCGACTCCAGTGTTTTTCTCATTGTGGAAGTGTTGTGGTCCTTTCTGTTTCACTGTTGAGGAATGCATTCATTTTCTATTTCCTTTCTACCAAATTTAAAATGTAAGATAGCTGCATTATGTTGTAGAAGTACCAGAGAATTGGGCCCTTGCTTATTGTTCTACAGATAAGCATAAATTTACTGGTTTAGGGGAAAAAATAGAATGAAGAAGAGGATCTCTATTTTCATAGGAACTTTTAGCCTCATGTTCTCAAGAGACACAGAAGGCAGAGATTACAAGGAATGTGTTTTCAGAAGACAAGTCATAATTTTCTCTCTCCATACTTTGGAGAGTCAGGGAAGACTCCCTAAAGAGGGATTTGAGTCAACACTATAAACCATCTAGTCTTTAACATTTTTCTTAACTGCCCCATTTAGCTATTAGGTGACTCTAAGGATCACATTCATTTCACTCCTCCCCTATGGAAGAGAAACATTGCTGTACGTGAACTGTGCCCAAGTGCATGTGTATCTTAATACTAGAAAATAGGATACAAGATCAAAAGCTTGGATTTTTGTCTGGTGAGTCCTCCTAAGATTTTAAACCCTTGGGAGGCCAAGGCAGGTGGATCACCTGAGGTCTGGAGTTCGAGACCAACCTGACCAACATGGAGAAACCCCATCTCTACTAAAAATACAAAAAAAAAAAAAAATTAGCCGGGCACGGTGGCACATGCCTGTAATCCCAGCTACTTGGGAGGCTGAGGTAGGAGAATCACTTGAACCCCAGAGGCGGAGGTTGCAGTGAGCAGAGATCGCACCATTGCACTCCAGCCTGGGCAACAAGAGCGAGACTCTGTCACAAAAAAAAAAAAAAAAAAAAAGAATTTATACCCTTGGGATTGGGCATAATTTTAGATTACTTCTTCACAGGAATTTCTACTCTGTTTTTGTGAATATGGTAGGGAACTGGGTGGGAACCGGTCCTTAGAAGGCATAGGGAATGAAGAAGAAGTCAGGGGTGCTTTTATCCTTGGAAGACCCTTTCCATCCAGTTTAGAATTGGCTGACATTTGGTGAGATCTAGAAAGTCTAGAAGAACAAAGTTAAATAAGCCTTTCCGCCCTTGTAGTGTAAGGTTTTGTTGCTTTGAAGGACGGAAAGAAGGAGTCTATTAGTTCCACATGGGCCAGCTCAGTTCAGCCAGAGTGGTTGTGTGGAAGGGCGCCCTGTATAGCATGTGGGAGCAGAAGCCTTACAGCAATATGGAACGTGATTTGCATAGAACATCTCCTCCGCATATATTATCACACAATCTGGCACTCAGTGAGATAAATAGAAAAGGATTCATGTATCCTGGATGGTGTCAAATATCACCTAATATGAAATAAACTCATTTAAGCAGTTTTGTTACTAACCATCATTTCAACCTGCTTAGTTGTTTGATGCTGTGGTTAAAGCAATTGGGAAAAAAAAAAAAAAAAAAAAAAACAGAACAAAAAAAACAAAACAAAACAAAAAAAACAACCTAGGGAAGAGAAGCGAGGTTCCGGCCTTTATCATCAGCTCCAGTCTAAGTGACAGGAGAAAATAGAGAGCCTGGTTTTCTATAATCTGACACAGAACCCACTGCACTCCCATTCCCCACCATGCTACATGTCAGGGCAGTTTACTACAAATCTGCCACTTATAACAAGATCACTTCCACTTTCACAACTTTTACTTTATTGTTCTTCTCACCAGGAAGGACTCCAATTTTCTTGTTGTCTAGAAAATTTCTACTTATTCTTCAAGGCCTGGCCCAAGTACCACCTCTTCAATCAAGTATTTTCTGTCCTTTCCCCCAACAGCTTGTGAACACTTAATGCTTTCTGAGGATTTTTTAACTTTTTAAATGGTGGTATCTTGTTTCAATTTAATTTCAGGCTCATCAAAGACCATAAATACATCTAACCATTTCTTGTATACATTAGAGCACACATTATCGGTGAATTGCTTGACTTAAACTGAAATAGATGGTGTAATATCAACACACCCAACAGTGACTGTACACAGTGCTCTTGTCTGGAGATGGGATATTTTTTCATTTGTCAGTCCTAGTAAAATATTTAATAAATATTATCCATTTTGCTCTTTGCTATATATATTTGGTATTTATTTGACATAAATGGGTTTCCTTTCACCTATCTGTGCCCTTTGGCAGTGTCCCCCGCCACACACTGACTCCAGACTGGCCTGACAACTTTCTTTGGTTAGTAAGAGTTGTAATGTGCTGCATGTTGGTCTTTATCTGTCTCTTGCTGCTCTTTGGAACCTGGGGACTAACATGTGCAGAATCAAAGACAAGCCTCCTGAAAGGTGAGAGACCACGTGGAGCATAGATAAGCCAACCCAGCTAAGCTTAACCATTCTGCCAACTGACAAGGGAGGAAGGCCATCATAGACCATTCATGCTAGCTCAGCTGATTCATTCCAAGGGTTACCCCAGCCTACGTGCAGGCTTGTTTTAAGCCACCAATTCGTGCATAATTTCTAAGTTAGCAAAAGCACACTGATTTCTCAAATCACAGCATGCAGAATGAGAATCAATTCTTTTGAATTATCTCTGCCCGGAAGTTTTGTGGCTGCCTAGAGGTCTTTATGGCAACAATGATAAATGACTATATTAGTCAAAGGTGGAAGAGTTAGTGGTACGCTCAGGCTCTGAGTCGAAAGGCATAGGGAAAAAGTCTTCTCCTGTGAAATATGTCTTCCAGCCTAAAATTCTTCCATACAAATAACTTGGAAGATGGACAGTATTGCATATTTAGTCCCACAAAAGATTCTGGTAAGTTTATTTAGTCGAGCATCTAATTATTGAGATAATGGGATATGGGAGAGTTTTTTTTAGTTTCTGTAAGATTTGGATAATATTGAGATTATCTATTCATTGATTAGAAAGTAGGAGCTTCTCTAAACTACTCTGAATCTTTTATTTACTGATGCTGACAGATTGATTTTTCATAACTGAGTCAAAACTTTAATAGGAAATTTTTTACTTTAAATTTTCAAATTCATAATATTTTCTCTATGTGTTTAAAGAAATTTATATATTAGCTGGTTTTTAAATACCAGTATTATTTATTTCTGCATATTATATTCATTGTTTAGTTTTACTAGAAGTCCATCTATTTCAATAGCTTTTTATAAAAAACACTTATTTTACATTGTTGACTCTATTTATTTATTTATTTAGACAGGGACTTGCTCTGTCTCCCAGCCTGGAGTGCTAGTCTTGAACTCCTGGGCTCAAGTGATCCTCCAACCTCAGGCTCTCAAAGTGTTTGAATTACAGGCATGAGCCACCATGCCTGGCCAAATTGTTGACATTTCTTCTTCTTCATTTTTTTTTTTGCATTTTTATGATGCTTTATTTATTATTTTGTTTTAATTTCTTCTATCATTCTTTTTTATAAAAACAATAAATAAATATATGTATAATTTGAAGTCACAGAATTATAGGCTTTTGATCTGGGAAAGTTTAAATCCACAGAAACAAGCACAGAGATCGGCCCCACATAAGGGCTCAATAAATATTTTTTGAGTTGAATTAAATATTATTGTTTTCCATTCTACATTGTTCATCAATTAATGATCCTGTATTATGCTTCAGATGTAGCAGCACTGTCCAATATAGAATATTTAACTCATTAAATTTCGGTATTCCTTTTTTTCTCAAATATAAATCTTCACAAGTTTCGATGTGCTGCATTTACATGACAGTCATTTTCAAATATTTTTTAGTTTCCATTAAAATTTTCTAGTTTCCATTAAAACCTTCCCCCACAAAGTACTCAAGCTCTTCTACAGTGAAAGCATAAGTCTATAAGCAGTGACTTTTTCTATCAAAAATATTTATTCATTGTGTCTTATGAAATAATGACACAACTGATTTTTGGCATAGGTTCTAAGTTAGCAAAAGTTAACTGATTTCTGAAAACACAGCATGCGGAGGGAAAGATAAATCTTTCAAATTACCCCTGCCCAGCAGTATTGTAGTTGTTCAGCAGTTTTTAGGACCACAATGACAGAAGATTGTTTTAGAAGATCCCAATTTTGGCAATATGATTTCATAAAGTTGGCGGTAAGAATTTGGCATGACACTGTTTATATTCCAGGGCTTATGTGGTTTTTATTTAGAATGAAATTGAGTTCTAAGTGAAGGTTGGAATTGGAAGACTGCTTTCCTCAGTATATTCAAAAACTGTTTTTGCTTTCTTGTTTTTTTTTTAATTTTAAATATTTATGGAGTCTATACTGTGAGTCAGGGATAGGAATAAATATTTTAAATATGAAATCTAATATCATTCTGTATTTTAACATACCTCATCTTCATTTAAATTATGTAGAAACTAGGGTTTAGAAATGTTAAATTACCTTGACCAAAATCACCCAAGCAATAAGAAATTGAATCAGGGGTTAAAATCCAAGCTAACTTACTCCATAGTAGCCTCTAGTCATAACCTTCTCACAAATGAGTTGCATACAAACTGGTTAATGTTCATATGAAATTATTTAACTTTCAGGTTTTTGAATCAAATTAAGGACTAAGGTCAATTTTTGTCCTAGAAGTATTAATTCACACATTTATCTATTGGCCCATGATTAGGAAAATATGTGTGTAAAAATGAAGAAAAATAATTAAAAAAAATCAAACAGGGTAATGAAAAAAAACAACTGGAAGAAATCAGGAAATAATTCTGCTCGGACTCTGCCATCAAAAGTGTGAGTGATGAGTAAACGTGGATAAGTTGTTTGAGCTCGAGAGTCTCCTTTTTGCAGTGAGAGATGAGAATATGGTTTCTCAGGTTCTTTACAATCTTGATAATCTTTTAGAATCTCAGTTTAGCATCATCCTAGAGAGGTGACTGTAATAGTCTAAGGACAAACACATCCCTCCAAGCACTTTTTGAACCACAGCTACTAATTAGTCATTCTTTTTGATGTAGATATAGAGTTTGTCCTGGAAAGTCATCATAAAAATGTATAATTTGAAGTTGGAATTATAGGCTTTTGATCTGGAAAGGTTTGCATCCACAGGATCAAGCACAGAGATCAGTCCCAAATAAGGGTTCAATAAATATTTTCAGAATTGAATTAAATATTATTGTTTTCCATTCTACAATGTCCATCAATTAATGATCATGCATTATGCTTCAGGGGTAGCAGCCCCATCTCATCATCTGAGTTGTTAATCCTTCAAGGCATGAGTCATTTCTTCTAGTCCTTTTCTTATCAACTAACAAGATGAGGGCAAGGAAAGCATTCTCATTGTTTAATTTAATCCAATGGGTAAAACACCCTTCCTTTTTGGATTTGTTGAAAGCAACTCCATTTAGGTAAAATGACACCTGTCAAGTTCCTTGATGGTTTCACATTTCCTGATACAATTACAGAAAGGCACACAATGCTGGTCCTAAGTACTTCAGTGGCATGAACAGTATAGCTATAATTAGTGACTTTTGCCTGGTGTTAACAAATGCTAGAGGGCATCTCAATCTCTGTAGATGAGTTCTCCAGGATTTAATTTGCTCTCTCCTTCATTCTTTGTAGAACTGTGTTATTCCTAATATACCTGGTGCTTGCTTCAGGCAGGGGTCAAAACATGCAGCTGTCAATTATTTAATATTCATGACATTTTAAACAAATGAACTGTGCAAGAAGCCTGTAGTATTAAAGGATATTGAAGCCAGTTCATTTATGGAATAGATAGCTTAAATTTTTTAAAATAATAGTATGAAGAACTCAGAGACCCAAGAAATTTTGTTCTTAAATCTAAAAATCTGTCTTCTCTATTTGCTTGTAATTATCGAGAGAGAATGAAGCAAGTATTATCTGGGTTTTGGTTTCTATTCTCTGTTATCTCAGTATATCAATTTTGCACATCACTGCAGGTTTCAACTTTTCATCTTTAAAATGGATAATTGAAAGAGCTGATTTCTAAGACTCCTCTAGTTTTAAAAGTCTAGGCTTTGATGGTGATTATGGAAATTTTTATCAAATACAGACTCACTTTTCTTTAAAATAGATTTCTGGGAGAAATTCTAATTTTTGCTTTATTATATGTGTGTACTATAGCGAGAAGGATATTACATAACTTTTAAAATTCTATAATTTCTGTTCCTTGAAAAGTTTGAAAACAATTTTCTTGGCTATGCCAGTGACATGTGATACATAAAAACGTTTTGGAATGAATCCCTGGAAATAAGTTATGCAACTCAGAAAGTTACTGTAGTTTTTTCCAACCATCAGGTTACATTTCGGTGCCCTAAAACAGAAATTTACTGAGTATCCTGGTTAATATGGCTTCCTGAAATGACTTTTATGTCTCTGGAGAAGCTGGCTCCTTAAAATATACTACAGTCAATTTTTAAGTTAATTCTGAAGATTGGGCTAATGGCTTAGCTAATGGTCATTGCTCATTTAAGCTAAAGTCAGCATCCCTTAGAGACTAGACCTGTGATTTCACTTTTACTTATCTTAGCAATTATCCTGTTGACATCCTGATGGACAGGCAATGTACATGGTATAAAGTTATATGGATATGATAGTGAGCTTCCTTTTAAGTCTATCTGTTGCATTATGACAATTTTTAAGTAATAACAATGACATATATGTAGATATACCACAGGACTACACTTTGCGTAGAGTATGGCAAGTCACCAACTCTTATGAATAACATTTATTTAATTTCATATGGAAAGTAATAAATATTTTAACAGCTTTACTGAGGTAAAATGGACATATAATAAACTTCATATGTACAATTTAACAATTTTGGCAGATGTATGCACCTGTGAAACTATTACCACAATTCAGATCCTGAACTTATTGTTAGCTCCCAAAGTTTCCTTATGCCCTTTTTGAATCACTTCCTCTTGTACCTCCCAATCTCTTTCCCTAGCCAATACTGAGATGTTGTATGTCACCACAGTTTGTACTTTCTATTATTTTATATAAACTAAATTGTATAGTATGTACTTGTTTGTGAATTTTTTTCACTCAGCATAATTATTTTGAGATTCACTGGTGTTATTGTGTGTAGCAACAGTTCACTTCTTTTCGCTGTTGAGTAGTATTTTATTGTATGAATATACTACAATTTGTTTATCCATTTCTCTGTTCATGAATATTTGTGTTATTTCCAGTTTTTGGCTATTACAAATAGAGCTCCTATGAACATTTGCATATAAGTCTTTGCACATTATACACACACACAAACACAAACACACATATATGTATTTTCTTTTCTCTTGGTTGGTTAAATAACTGTAAATGCTCAAGTGAATTATCAGTTCTAATAATTTTTTTGTAGATTCTGTCAGGTTTTCTATATAGAAAATATCATCATCGTGGCCAGGTGTGGTGGCTCATAACTAATCCCAGCACTTTGGGAGTCTGAGGAGGGTGGATTGCTTGAGGCCAGGAGTTTGAGACCAGCCTGGCCAACATGACGAAACCTAGTATCTACTAAAAATATAAAAAATAGCCAGGCTTGGTGGCAGGTGCCTGTAATCCCAGCTACTCGGATGGCTGAGTCAGGAAAATCGCTTGAACCCCAGAGGCAGACATTGCAGTGAGTCGATATCATACCACTACACTCCAGCCAGGGAGAAAGAGCAAGCCCCTATCCCAAAACAAAACAAAAAAGAAAAAGAAAGAAAGAAAGAAAGAAAAAGAAAAGAAAATATCATCATCTGAGAATAAAGATTATTTTACTTCTTCATTCATAATCTGAAAGTATTTCTTTTCTTTTATTGCCTGATTGCACTGGCTGGACATCTAGTACAATGTTGAATAGAACTAGTAAGAGCAGACATCCTTATCTTGTTTCTGATCCTGGGAAAAGTCATTTAGAATTTCACCATTAAGTATTATGTTATCTAGCTGTAAGTTGTCATAGATGTCCTTTATCAGGTAAGGTTTCTTTGTGTTACTAATTTGCTGAGAATTTTTATCAGGAATGAATGTCAAACTTTGTTAAATGCTTTTGCTGCATTGATTGAGATGATCATGAGTTTTTCTTTTACAGCTTGCTATATTTGCTACCTTGATTAATTTCCAAATGTTAAACTGATCTTTCATTTTTGACATAAATCCTACTTGGTCATGATGTATTATCCTTTTAATATATTGCTGCTTTATTTAGCAATAATATATTTCTTAGAAATATTCAATAATTATATACTTTGGATGTAGTCATAAGCATTTATTAAGAGCATGGGCTTAAGTGGATTTGGTCAGAACACCAGCCTTGGTTAAGTTACTTGAGCTTTCTTTCTATCTTTTATCTTTCAGTTTGCTTAACTGTCAAATGTCAACAAGAACAACAGCTTAGCTATTTCATAGGGAGTTTCTGGTACAAAATAAAGTAATGCATTTGGGATTGTAGTATAATACCTGGTACATAGCACATGCTAGACACGGTTAAATAGCATTAATATATTTTCAGTGGCTGTAGTAAGTCCAGACCATTAATGTGCAGCAAGTCATCAGTGGTGGGAAAATATGAGGGGAAAGGGTTTTGAAATAATTATGAGAGTGAGTTATTGAGACAGTTGGAGGAATTTCTAAAAGCCAGTAAGAGACAATGAGAGGTTGCATTAAAGATAGACATGCTGGTTTGAAGTTGGTAAAAGGGAAAGGTTCTAGACATTCTACAGGTGAAAAGTTGAGTGTCTTAGAGTATATCTGTCTAGGTACATATAAAGGGACTTTTATAGAAAAGCTATCAAAGGGCCAGCTAGATACTTAGAGGAAGTTAATAATACCAAGGTCAGGATTCCAATTCCAAAACCTCCATCTAGTCTTTTAGGATGCAGTTTTTAACAATCCCTAACTCTTAAAGAGCTTCAAATAATTTTATTCCCTGGACTCTTTTGAAGTGGAAGGAACTCTTTCTAACTCATTCTACAAGACCAGCATAACTCTGATACCAAAACCAGACAGACAAAAAAAAAGAAAGAAAGAAAAAAAGGAAAACTACAGGCCAGTATATCTAACATAAACACAAAAATACTTAACAAAATATTAGCAACTGAATCCAAAAATGCATTAAAAAAGATAATATACCATTATCACATGAGATTTATTCCAGGAATGCAAGGATGTTTCCACATATGAAATCAATAAATGTGATATATTACATCAACAGAATTAATGACAAAAACTATATGATCATCTGAATAGATGCAGAAAAAGCATTAGATAAAAGTCAGCATCCCTTCATGATAAAAACTCTCAATAAATTGGGTATAGAAGGAATGTACCTCAACACAGTAAAGGTCATATATGACAAACCCACAGCAAACATAATACTAAATGGAGAAAAGCTGAGATCTTTTCCTTTAAGAACTGGAACATGACAAAGATGTCCACTCTCACAACTCTTATTCAACATAGTCTTGGAAGCCCTAGCCAGGGCAGTTCGGCAAGAGGAAGAAATAAAAGGTATCCAGACTGGAAAGGAGGAAGTCAAATTGTGCCTGTTTGCAAATAACATGATCTTGTATATAGAAAAACTTAAAGAGTCAACCAAAAACGCTTAGAACTGATAAATTTAGTAAACGCAGGATACAAAATCAACATAAAAAATCAGTAGCATTTCTATACACAAGAAACAAACTAGCTGAAAAAGCTACCAAGAAGGCAATCCCATTTATATTACCTATAATAATAAAAAAAATCCTAGGAATAAATTTAACCAAGGAGATGGAACACCTCTACAAGCAAAACTACAAAACACTGGTGAATAAACTAAAGACAATATAAACAAAAGACATTCCATGCTCATGAATCAGAAGAACTGATATTGTGAAAATGACAATACTATCCAAAGCAATCTACATAGCCAATGCAATACTTATCAAAATACCAATGACATTCTTCACTGAAATAGAAAATTGTGTGTGTGTGTGTTGGAGTCCTGTTCTGTCACCCAGGCTGGAGTGCAGTGGCATGATCTCGGCTCATTGCAACCTCTGCCTTCCGGGTTCAAGCGATTCTCCTGCCTCAGACTTCCGAGTAGCGGGGACTACAGGAGCCTGCTACCACACCAGCTAATTTTTTGTCTCCATTTTTAGTAGAGACAAGGTTTCACTGTGTTAGCCAGGATGGTCTCAAACTCCTCATTTCGCCCGCCTCAGCCTACCAAAGTGCTGGGATTACAGGCGTGAGCCACCGTGCCCCGCCTAAATTGTTAAAATTTGTGTGAAAGCACAAAAGACCCCAAATAGCTGGAGCAATCCTGAGCAAAAAGGACAGAGCTGCATGCATTAAACTACCAGACTTCAAAATATACTACATAGCTATAGCAAGCAAAAAAAAAAAAAAAAAAAAAAACCACCACCAAAAAAACATGGAATGGAACTAGCATAAAAACAGACACATAGACTAATAGAACAAAGTAGAGAAACCAGCCAACTAATTTTTGACAAAGGCTTCAAGAACATACGTTGGGGAAAGGATAGTCTCTTCAATAAATGGTGCTGAGAAAACTGAATATCCAAATGCAGAAGAATGAAACTAAACCCCCCAACTGTCATCCTATACACAAATCAACTCAAAGTGAATCAAAAACCTAAATGTAAGGCCCAAAATGATAAAACTACTAAAAGAAAACATAGGGGAAACACTTCAGGGCATTAGTGTGCAAAAAGATTTTATGAATAAGAACTCAAAACAGGCAACAAAAGCAAAAATAAACAAATGAGATTATACCAAACTAAAAAGCTTCTGTACAGCAAAGGAAACAACAACAGAGTGAAAAGACAACCTCAGAACGGGTTAAAACCGCTTTTTGTGAAATACTGTTTTATATACAGGCCTCTCTGAGGGGATTGGGGTAAGGGATTGTGCCCATTGATCATAGGTAAAGAATCTGTAAAAATAAGAAATTAGAGACTGATATTGAATAAATTAGAAAAAATAAGAAAACATTTTATTTCTTAAATATCTTATCCAGTGAAATTTATACATATTCCTGCAGTTCTTTATTTGAATGCCACCTTTCAGTAAGGTCTTGTCTGGCTACTTTCTCTAAAACTGCAATATTTGGCTGGGCATGGTGGCTCACACCTGTAATCCTAACAATTTGGCAGGGGAATCACTTGACCCCAGGAGTTCAAGACCAGCCTGGGTAACATGGTGAGACCCCGTCTCTACAAAAAAATACAAAAATTAGCTGGGTGTGGTGGTGCACGACTGTAGTTCCAGCTACTTGGAGGCTGAGGTGGGAGAATTACCTAGGCCTGGGAGGTAGTCGAGGCCGCAGTGAGCCACGATTATGCCATTGCACTCCAGCCTGGGTGATAGAGTGAGATCCTGTCTCAAAAAAAACAAACAACAATAACAAACCTGGCAATACTCTCTAACCTGCCAATAGTGCCTGAACCACTTCTCTAATTTAGTTTTCTCCTTAACATTTGCTATTATCTAAACCCAGGCTCAGCAACTAGCCCATAGGTCAAATTAGGACCACCTCTGGCTTTTATATAATCCAAAAACTAAAAAAAATTTTTTAATATTTTAAATGATTTTAAGTCAAAAGCACAATATTTTATAACACAAGAAAGTTTTATTAAATTTAAATCCTAATGACCATAAAGCAAGTTTTTTGGAACAGAACTCATTTTGTGTATATGGCTGCTTTCTTACTCAAGGGCAAAATTGGGTAGTTGTACTATCTGGTCCTTTACAGTAAAAAGTTTACTGATGCCTGTTTTAACATCGTATTTTAATTTCATTTTTACATATGATATTTTATATATTGTATTTTTATTGTCTAATTCCCCTCACTACTTATAAACTATTTGATGATAGGACTCTATGTCTTTGTTTTGTTCTTTAGTAATTCCTAGTGTCCAGTAACAATATATGGCACATTGTAAGGCTTACTAAGCATTTGCTGGTTAAATGAATATTTGCCACATTAATAACATACTATGCAGAACAGTTGAATGAAACAAGAATTATCAGGAAGAGAAGAGGTTGATCAGTGTGTGAGTTTTTGAGAATGCCTTAATAAAAGAATCGTGGTGGATGAGTATGCCAACCCACAGGGGTGCCAAAAATCTCCAGGAAAATAAGAGCAAGCTCCGGTTGCCAAGGTGGCAATTAGCATGGTTCGTTCCGGGAATAATGAGGAAGAAACCTAGAGAAATAGTTAAACTTTTAAGGTGGGGAAGAAAGATAAATACAATTGAAAAACATATAAATGAGGCCAAGTTATGTGTAACCTAAAATGCCAGGATGGAACTTTGGTTTGAGACCAACTTTTGAATGTCCTCACTCAAATCTGTTTGTTTACAAACCTTGGAAAGAAATGGAGGCTGAAAAGGTTACAACTCAACCGAGAAGATGTCAGTTTGCCCTGTAGTTACTTGTGATTTGAGCAATTCCAAACAAAAGCAGCAAATCGAAATATCCCATCCCCTTTATTTTCCACCCTTCACTTTAAGAATACCAATTACAAGTGATTGAAAGAAAACATTTTCATGGTATTTCCCCAGACCTGATTGTATTACAAGTCTGGAGACAATCTCCAGGGCTCCAGCCGGGACACATTTAGAGGATATCGAGTTTGGATTTTATCCCTTGTTTTTGCCATTATGTGGAGGTTACTTTGACGTTTATTATACTGCTGAATTGATACAAATTATAGTCAGATAAAGACAATCAACATTTTTTACTACTTCTTCAAATTGTGACTTGTCCTCAGCAGGAGTCAATGGTAATTTTTAGTACTTTAGAAATTTAGCTCAACTCCCAGGACACTGAAGGGTATGTTTCATATTTTTAGCCTATTTAAACATTTTATATTTAATTTAATATGCACTTACTGGTACACATTGTTACCATATCAAAAAAAAATTTAATAAAAGACAGACATTAAGTGTATGAATTAGCAAATTCAAATTCACAAAAATATTTAAAAATGTGGTAATTTTCTGGTTGATGATAAAATAGAATTATGTGATTATTAAATGGAGCTTGATAATACACTTCACATTAAATACCAGCACATATTTTTATAATGCTAAATCATGCATTTTCAACAGGAGTGACACCATCTTCTGGGGGGTGAAATTTATACATGGGGAGTGAACCAATTTTTAGATATTACAATGGTTTATGGTCCTCCAAAGTGCTCATAGTTTAAACACAAACATACAACATATCTCTAGTATAAAAATTTCATAGGGGAAGGTTCTTTTAAGAAAAAAAGTATTAAAAATCTCCTTGGCATTGAGGATCTTTAAAAAGTTTGAAAAACCATGATTTTAAAGAAATAGGTGCTTGTCTTCATTTTGCCAGTCTTCTCAATATCTTGATAATGCAAACAACTTATAAATTACTTTAAAATATTCTCAAGGTGTCTGTGGGGTGTGTGTGTGTGTGTGTGTGTGTGTGAATGTGTGCTTACATGTTCTACCCACTAAGGTATAGACTTCTCAAAGATAGGGTCTGAGCCGCCTATGGTTTTTGACCTTGTGAAATTATAATTGATATATACCTTAGAATATCTAGGCAGTCTGACTGATGAATCATTAGGTTTAAGTGCTTTTCTATCCCTTATTCTTTTACACTGTCTACCACTTTAAATAGATTTGCTAATAATCTGTAAACCAGAAGAGTTTTTAATTAGAAAATTATCCCAGCACAAATTCTAATGTCAAGTAAGGAATTTGTTTTGTATGTCTATATTTTACTTGCTGAGTTTTATTAGATATGTCTCAATAAATGTGACTTCTAATTGCCTGAACTGACATTTGATTTTAACACAATTGATTCAAGTGTTAGATAAACCTCACCTCTGTGAAGAAATAGCTTAATAAATGTTAACAGCATTTATCAGTACCTTTTTTGTACTGATGACATTTATGGCTTCAGTTGGACCCTTTCAATTTTGAATGGCATTGTAAGGTGGTATAATGTAGCCAGACCTGGGTTTCAAACCCTGCATTAGTCATGACTACATTTCTGAACTGGAGGAAGTTATTTAAACATTTTTAAGCCTCTATTTTATCTTATTTAAAATTAATATTATAATATAAGCCTCACAGGCTTGTTGTGAGAATTAAATGACATAACAGACACAAAACTGTTAGTATACATACTAACACATATTAAAAGCAAAATAAATAATAATGATGATAGTGGTAGAAAGACAGAAGTAGTAGCATAGTACTGATAATCACAGTAGTAGTTTGATTTGCGATCATGTAATTTACACATCCAAGTTCCTATGTAAAGTTATTATTTCAGAAACACAACCCAGTGATAGTAAAGAAGATGATGCCCGAACCCAGGAGGCGGAAGTCGCTGTGAATGGAGATTGCGCCACTGCACTCCAGCCTGGGCGACAGACTGAGACTCCATCTCAAAGACAAAAGTTGAGACTCTATAACATATTTAACTTGAGATGTGATTAGTGGCTTTTGGAAAATTAGTATTTGTGGGGAGCAAATGAAGCCAGTATGAGGCAGTTCAACTAGGTAAAATAGGGAGAAATTCAACTGAAAGAGGCCAAATAGGAGTAAATTACAGATTTCATACATGAGATACAAAAGAGAAAAGGTGAAAGTTGAAAAAGATGTCATTTTAAGGGGGTATTCCTAATTCAAATTTCAAAAGTGAAAGTTTCCAGTCGGGATGGGAACCAATTATGGCTGTGCTCATGGTTTATAGCTGAACATCATCTAATCTTTGGTAGTTGAGAAATATTTATATCAGTTCACCAGATGAATCATCAACATGTCTCTTAACTTGAAAGAGAAACATGCAGTAGATGGCGTGAGAAAAAAAAATAATTGGGCCAGTTGTTGAAATCCTCAAGAAAAATAGTGCAGTCAGTTGTGGTGGCTAATGCCTGTAATCCCAGCACTTTGGGAGGCCAACGTGGAAGGATGGCTTGAGTCCAGGATTTCAAGACCAGCATGGGCAACGTAGCAAGACTTTGTCTCTATTAAAAATGAAAAAAAAAAAATATTAGCCATCCAAGGTGGCATGCACCTGTAATCCTACTTACCTGAGAGGCTGAAGTGGGAAGATCACTTGAGCCTGTAAGTTCGAGGATGCAGTGAGCTATTACTGTGCCACTGCACTCCAGCCTGGGCAATACAGCAAAAGACCCTGTCTCAAAAAGTAAATAAGTAAATGGAAAGAAAGTACAAGTGTGTAATGAGGACAAAAGTATTCTGGTGACAATGGTGATGAGGGATTTGAGAGTGTATAATAAGATTTTATTAAGCTGAATTAAGATTTGTGAAGAGTGTATATAGTGCATGACATATACCAACTGCTGAATAAGAATATATTAAATATAAACATAGTACAATGTGTAAATAACATGATCTCCAAATTTATTTATAGAGGTAACCTGTACTCCTAATGGTGCAGGCACACAATACACATTCATTGAAAGTACAATCACGGCAATTAAGTTGGAAATAAAACACCAATGATTGTTCATTATGTGTGTATTGTAGAATTAAACAGGAACCAATTCCCTGAAACTGCCCAGCCGATCTAAAAGAAGTTGGCAACTCAAATCTCTTCCATTCAACCAGACTGGGAAGTTAATATGTTGTGTGACCTTTCAGTTTACTTTTAATGCATATAATAAAAAGTTATAGTCAAACTATTACATGTCCTAAGAAAAAAGGAAATTAATTATGAACATCTCATTGAATATAGGGAATCTTGAATGTCTACAGCTTCCTTTAAAGTTTCATTGACATAATTCCCCCACTGCTGATTGTACACTTCTATAGAACTCATCTAAATGTGCTCAGTCAATGAATCCCTAGAGAGTTTCTGCATCATTAACTGTTTACATGGTGACCTCAATAGAATGGTTTTAGCCTGATGAGATGTATATCTCACAGGTTGCCTCAGGCAGTAGTTGTAATAGTCCATATGACTCTGCGATATATTGAAATATGAAAAATATCACATTAGCTTTCTTAATCTCATCTCATTAAGCACTGAAATTCCCCTTGTGTTAACCTCCAAATAGCCTCCATAATGCTGTATCTTAAGCCATATCCCTGAAGTCCTCAGTTTCCATTGATTTGGAGTGAAAGATATTTATATATATGTAAATAAACAGTGCTTCATATATATATGTAAATAAACAGTGCTTCATATATGTATATATAGAATGCAGCATATATATGCAGCACTATTTATTTATTTAGCACTATTTATTTATATATATATGCAGCACTATTTATTTCCTCCTATATTCCAAAGCTCTATAATCTTAAATTTGAAAGCAGGTGCTTTTAAGTGTTGAACTCATTTTTTAATGATCCTATTATTTGGTTTCCAAATTATAATGTCAAGGAAACTAATATATTCAAATGTCACTGAGCATCTTTCTAGAAAGAATGATTTCTTAATCAGCTAAATGTTAGAAAAAGAAAGAAATGTATTACAACACAATATTTGTCTGGTAGTAGAGTCTCTATTATAATAATGATTGGATAGGTGGAATCATTCAGCAGATGAATCACAGAAAGATAGAATAATGCTGTTTGAGTTTTGCATAACACAATGCCTTCCAAACTTATCTTTTGATATACTGTAATAAACCTGATGCATGTAGAACAACATAAATTTTAAAAAGAAGTGTAAACATAAGAGAAGGCACTATAGCTGGGTTCTGGTCCCAAAATAGCTGGTAAACTCTGCTATATTGTGCAAACGACTTTATAATTTGTGGCCTCAGTTTTACATTTCTAAAATTAGGGAAATGAGTGACATAGTCTCAAAAAATTTAAGTCAAAATTCTGTCATTCTATGATATATTCGATACCATTCCTGTCTATAAAATTATTGAACTAGTATATCATAAACTGTTAGGTGTGATTAACTAAAAAATTATATGATTTTAGTGCTTTTCCCTATTTATTTATTCACTACCATTGTTTTCCAACACAGGCTTAAAATGTTTGCTTCAATTATTTTTGATAATTATCTTCTCACTAATTGCGCATTTGCTAATCTTTCTTTCCCAGTCATATTCTATTCAATAATTAGACTCATGTTTCTAAGACATAAGTATTCAAAATCAGCCAATAATCAGTAACGTTTAGAGAATAAAATCATTTCTGTCTAAATATACCTCATAGTGTATTTTATGTTATATTCCATTCGCACCTTTGTTACACCCTTTATTGGCTCTTTATGCCCATATCAATTTCTCTCCTATCCACAGTCCTCCAAAACCTAAGCTTAAATATGCTTCTTAGTTGTTGTTCACTTATAGAAAATCCCTCAAAAGCAGGCTTATCATTCCTTGTATTACCTTCAGTTCTTAGCACAATAATGAACATACAGCTGGTGTGTAGTAGATAATCACTGCTGAAATAGATAATAGATAGCATTTTTAAAATACTTTACCATCCTTCCTCATTGCACTAGGGACTGGGTTTTGAAACTTCTAAGAATGAGATGGATTTTGGTTATTCCATCTTTATCTTCTCATCTGAGTCTCTTCACATCAAAGAATGAATTTTCAAAGGATTTTAGTATTTTTCAATTTAGAGTTAACTTCAGCTGAAAAGTTGGATGGAAATATTTCTGTGATGTGATGAAAAGGTGAGAGGAAGTCAGAATATTTGATTTTACTAGTCTTAGTCTCCTCACCAGTCTAAAGGATATACACATGTCATCTACACTAACCTCACTGGCTTTTCAAGGGACCCAGATGAGGAGCTGGACTTGAAAGCACTCAAATATTGCAGAATGTTGTGAGATAAGATGATTTTGTGTTTTACTAGCAGGAGTATTATGGGTAGTAGCAACAGTAGTAGTAATTTTAGTAGTGATTGCAGTATCATTATTTAGGATTCTTTTGATCCATAGGGGTAGGAAGCATTCTCAGGACCACCACATCCAATACCTAATTTGTATTTGTATATCTTGTATGTGTGTGCATGCATGTGTTTGTGTTTACACATATATACAGCATGTATGTGTATATCTGTATATGTATATTTGTATTTGAAATCAAAGGTACATATATATTCTCCTTTCCAAGCTATTACAACAGTTCCTTATAACTCAATTCCCTAGATTATATATACATACATATATATATACACACACATATATTATATATAATATACACATATATTTTATATATATATTTTTCACAACATACAAGTTAAGTGCTCAAGGCTGGAAAGAAGCATGAGTTGTCTTGATGTCTTCAGCTGTATCATAGCCCACTCAGGATGCTATACCAAAATATCACAGACAATGTAACTCATAAACAAGAGAAATTTATTCTCACAGTCCTTCAGGCTGGGAAATTCTAAACCATGAGTGGACAGATCAGGTGTCTAGTGAGGACCCATTCCTTATAGATGGTGCTTTCTGGCTACATATTCATATGTGGAAGAGGAAAGGGAAGGGTCCCTCTGGGGTCTCTTTTATAAGGGCACTAATCCCATTCATGAGGGCTCTGCCTTCATAACTTCTCAAAAAACCCACTTTTCCTAACACCACCACTTCAGAGGTTAGGATTTCAACATTAACTTGGAGGCATACAAACATTCAGACCATAACAGGTTGCAAGGAACTGGACATATTCAAAAAGACTCAAGTACAAAGTTGCTTAATTAAAGATTTCAGGAGGTAATCCTGTGAACAATCAAGTATCACGAGGCATATAGAAATTGAAAGTAGGAACAACACGTATTTCCTTAGTCTCTCATTGAAGTGTATTTTGCATTTCTGGTCATTTTCTCATGTACTTCCTCATAGTCCCTGGGCTTTCTGGGACTTGCTCATGCATTTTGTTTGCCCTGGAGCTTAGTCACACACAAACTTAACGTGACTTTTTATTTTTAGAGCTTACCATTAGTTGATTGATTGATTCTTAAGGTTTCAAAACCCCAATTTCCTTGGAAAGGAAACATAATAGACCCTTTGAAAATTGGGGTTCACTAATGGTTTCATAAGTTATGGGCTGTAGATAGTAGTCAGTTGGGAGAGGGGGCAGAAATGTATTGCACACAGAGTTAGCCCTTTATGGAGAGTAGTTTCTTCCACAACAGACTATTGGTGATGAATCAAAGCTTTAGATGTCTTTTCCATAATAAAAATTAATTGTTTTTGATATCATTCAAATGAAACTAACAATTATGTGTCTTTGTTAAAAATAACTCCATATTTACTGATACTTGTAAAGTATCTGCAATCAATCTATAGGAAATCTATCCATTTTGGGGGATATCAGACAATGAATCTCTTACTCAGTGTAAACGTCCAGATACTTTCTCATCTCCTCCTGCTAGTGATCAAGAAAGTTTTTTGCTCTGACCTCCAAGGTACTGCTTAACAAAGTAAGTTTTGTCCATATCTTAAACTAACTTATGCAAGAATAGACCATATGTTCATGTTTTTAATTCTTTCTTTTATATGAAACAAGACTGGATAGAATGGGATGAAAGAAATTGTAAATTGTTGGGGGACAATTAAACGGCATTCAAGTTCCTTATGTGGTAATTTTCTGTGGTAATTTACTGTGGTAGTTTTCTTGCCTTTTATCATATTGAATTTATATTTTTAAAGGCAGATAAATTTCCTCTTACTCATTTGCCTTTTATTTTTCCCTGAACAGGGTCAATACTTAAACATTTTGTTATCTTGAATATTTTGAGACTGTAATAAACTCATGGACCCCCTTCCCAGAGAAATCTTTTAAAATTAAAAATTTCTATCCCACTTTATGTGACTCATTGAATTTCCATAGAACCCCTAGAGGTTCGGAGTTCATTTACCGAATGTACAAACATAATGGAAATGATTACAGAAATGTTGCCCAATCATGGTTTAGAAAACACGCTTATATAGGACATTATAATTATTGATGTATCCTTCTTCCTGAGTTTTCCAAGTTCACCAATAAATGAGTGGAAAAAAATCTCCAAAAATATTTTACATGCCCTAGATTTTCATTATGCAAGTGGACTATCCAAGATAATCAGAAATCTAACAGATGGCAGAGAAGCTCAGTGGTGTTGAATTTTTTTAAGTGTAGAAAACTCTTTTTTCGAATGAACTCCTACAAGGAAACCCAATATGTAAAACAGATGAAAAGTTTAGTTGGTTGGTTGAAGTGCAATTTGGTGAGGCCATGTATGAGTACAACTGATAAATCCTTTTCTCACCTGTCTATTCCATCTGCTAATAGAGCTCTTTAGATCACTCGGGGGTCTGAAACACATAAATGAGCCGAGGATATAGTGAAGAAAGAGAAAGGGTATTTTAGATAGAATCAATGGCACTCACAAAGGTAACAAAGAAAAAGATGGTAGTTAAATATTGCCTTAAAATTATATTGGAGGTAAATAGAGAATTGATAACAGACTTTTAAAATAAGAGCCTGTGGCTGGGCATGGTGGATCACGCCTCTAATCCCAGCACTTTGGGAGGCTGAGGCAGACGGATGACGAGGTCAAGAGATCGAGACCATCCTGGCCAACATGGTGAAACCCTGTCTCTACTAAAAAGTACAAAAATTAACTGGGCGCAGAGGTGCTTGCCTGTAGTCCCAGCTACTCGGGAGCCTGAGGCAGGAGAATTGCTTGAAACTGGGAGGCGGATGGAGGTTGCAGTGAGCCGAGATTGTGCCACCGCACTACGGCCTGGCAACTGAGCAAGACTCCGTCTAAAAATAAAAAATAAAAAAAGCAGCCTCCTTCTTCAGGGACTTGTATTCTAAAGGAAATAATTTAAATATTATTTTGCAAGAATGAATAATGAGTAATTTGATTAGGCTTACATTTTAGAAATATCATCCTGGAAACTGTATAGAAGATAAGTTAAGGGAAGAGATTGGAGACAAAAATATGGAAGATAATTTAAGTAATTCAGAAGAGACATTATTAGAGCCGGAATTAAGAAAATTGAGAGTGAAGACGGTAACAGGTTCCAAAAATATTATGAAAGTAGAAGTGACACATCTTGAACCATTTGTATATGGTGATCATGATTTCCACGAAGTTGTCCATGTGTGGCACTAAAAATAAAGGAATAACTACGCAATAGAAGGGCTAGATAATTGCAAGTTCACCTTTCCCTATCTTGTAATTCCTTCATGTGCATAAAATATCACTTTCCAGTTATATAATGATTTCTCCTGTTACATTATATGTTTTATGAAGAATTCTGTAAGTGAAAGTGGAAATAGTTTATTCAAATTGGATTAACTATCAGAAGCAAATGTATTGGTAAGTTGAGAAGAATGGCTATACCATAGCTAGGTTCTAAGAAAGAACATATTATGTATGTTTAACAATGTCTACCATGTCTGTGGAAGAGAGAAATACCTTTTTATATCTTCTACATGGTTGTTATCTACATATCTACATATCTCTATATATCACCTTGCCTGCATAGATTTGTTAGAAAGAATATTTATTTTTCAATAGCAAGGCCAAGAAAGATTTCCAAATTTGGTGAATTAAAATAAGCTTGTGTATGCCTTCATTAATTCCTTTATTTATTTATTTATTCATTTAGATAAGATTTCGAGTGAGAATATAAATGTATTTCTCTCAAGGTACAAGATGGAAAGTAATGGCAAAACTGCAATTACTTCTGCACCAACCTGGTAATAAAGAAAAAGAAACAGTCTTTGTCCTTAAGATGCTTAAGGCTGAGAAGTAGACACTAGTGTAAGCATAACATGACATAATTAGACCATAATATGCGGATGTGCATACTTGTGGTAACAAATGTTACTAAGGGCAGTCAGTATCACTATAGTAGATATCAGATTAATACCATATAAGCATCTGGATCTTGTTTAGATCAGGTGTTGGCAAATGGTGAAATTTGGGTGAGCGAAAATAGTGGCAGATTATGGCAGGCTATGGCTAGGTTATTAATCTGTCTCTCTAGTTCCTCTGCACCAATGATCTCTCCTTCTCTACCAATTCTCTATGCCCCTGGGACTCAGGGTTTGTGTATTGCTTCTGACCACCCATGGCGTCCTGTCCCTGCTTTCAGGTAGGGCTCTCATCTCTGGGTCTTGCCCTTACTCCTCATCCTTTGGTATATCTTATTGAGAGGTGCACGTCTGAATTTCTAGGGTTTTATGAAGCAATTTTCCTTCTTCATTAAGGGGTAAACTTGTAATCATCAAAGGCAAGGTAAAGTTATGCTAGTGAAAATAAAACACCTCACTCTCCACCAGAAATTCCAGCTGTTTTAGAGAGGACCATTTGAGGATACCTGGGGGAATGCAGATACAACAAATAGTTTGGTCTAAATCTCATAACCCTGCTGGAATATATCTAGGTTCTAGTTAAAGATGTCTAGAAGAAAGTGCAATGCTTTGCAGCAAACATATACAGCAACAGGGCACTGAAAAACCCCACCTCTGAGGAAGATCTCTAGGCACAGGTTCTCTTAGGGTGTCTGGACAACATTACATAGACAGTGTATTGAGTGCACACATGCATGAAAATGAGTTACCTTCAGGAAACAATGAGAAACTTACTCAACGGCCAATGTAAAACCAGTATCCTTAGAGAAGAGGTTGTCAACAATTCTCTAGAATTTATTGTGACACTGATCATCTTTGGATACGTCTGGCTTACTCTTTGGATATCTCTGTTCTAGGAAACTGTTCATCTAAGTCTGAGTTGGGTTGGAAGCAACAGCAAAAAGAAACAATAGCAAGCACAGTTTATTTCTATTGTCCCATAGGCTAATCAAATAGACACACAATAAATATGTACTGACCCAAGCAATAAATAAATAAATAAATATATTTAATTCATAAAGGTTCAATGCATTTTCATTAATGCTGAGCTTTTTTTTAAAGAAATAAAGTCTCTGTTGCCTAGGCTGGAGTGCAATGGTGGAATCATGGTGCACTGCAGCCATGATCTCTTGGACTCAAGTGATCCTCTTGCTTCAGCCTCCTGAGTAGCTGGGACCACAGGTGTGCACCACTACATCAGGCTAATTTTTATTTTATTTTATTTTTGTAAAGACGGGGTTTCACTATGTTGCTCAGGCCGGTATTGAACTCCTGGCTTCAAGCAATGCTCCAGTCTTGCCCTCCCCAAATCCTAAGATTACAGGCATGAGCCATCGTGCCTGGCCCCCTGCTATTGCTTTTTAATAAAAGATAGGTTACTTTCATATTCTATCTTTCTACTGCTCCATTTATCACTTTCTTTCTTAAGTGGACATATGGCCTCCTGCAAAGGATATGTGCTATAAGCTGATGCTGCTTTCTCTTCTGTGTGTAATATCAAATATATACATTATAGAATGTTCTGTCCTTTGATTCATTGCTTAATAGTAGATACTAATAAAGTATCATCATCATCAATGTCATCATCATCATCAGGAAATATAGCATATACTTTGAGCCAATATTAGTGTGCATGTCATTAACTGCCAACATTCTGTTAGTATCTTAATTGGGAATCACTTAATTAAACTAACAAGGTCAATGGCAATTCTTTTTTCTTAAGCTTGAGAGCACATTCACAACCATGACATTTTTTTTTCTCCTTCAGATTAAATGACTCTCTTTTTAAACATTCGTTAACTTCAACCCTAACACTTTTTCCCCAAACTGGCCTGCAGTGTAGATTGGACACACACACACACACACACACACACACACACACACACACACACGGAGAGAAGGTTGCTTGGGAAAGGGCTCCTCCTTTCTGACTTTCGGCGTACTGCTAGAGAGTTGAGCAGGTTCAATGATAAATCATGCAGTGTTTTGGTTTATTCTTCATTGCAATTTCCCAAAAACGTTTTTGACAACCATTTAATTTGCAGTGGAATATTCATGTACCAACCCCACATTTCAAGCAATTTATTCTTGAAAATGAGGTAGGAACAATAGACACAATAGTATGATTTCAATAAATAACAAAAATTTACAGCAATTGTTGTCATATTAGGATATAGCTTACTATCTTCAGAAACAGATAAGATTTTAAGAGGAAAAATGCCTTTCAAAATGACAAGCAAGATATAAAATTAAGACAAACAGCTCAGGAGAGTGAGTACCCAGCTGTGTATAGTATTATTTGTGAGCTTGTTTCATTTGCTTTTCTGAAGGATTCCATTCCTTCCTGACTCTGGGATAGAGTATCCTTTTTTAAAGTCTGATACATAAGAAAAATAGTACTCTACCCAATAATTTTGTCTGCTCTTTCTATTCACAAAGCATTAGAATTAGGTTTAGTTTCCCTAAGAAAATTGGGAAAGAGTAAAAGTTTGCCTTTTAGACTTAATAGTAAAGCTTCTCATTTCGCAGTTTTTGTTGCTGTAAGAAGAATCCACTCTGTCCTTTATAAACACTAATGGGATTGAGGGCAAACTGGATATTTATTTTTCAGTGACATGTTCCTTGGCAGAGGCTATAGGTTCTGATTGCTACAATCAGACTTTCCAACAATTCACTCATCCTATTGTATTTAAATATTATTTTAAGCCAAAGGCACTGCATTGCTACAACTACAGTGGGAATAAATCCACCAACAGATACCTCCTAAGCATTTACCATGTGTTAGACACTATGTTAGGCATGAAGAAGGTTTCAAACAACTGTAAAGCATCAATGAGACTTCAATAGACTCACAACTACATCAAGGGATAAATAATGGTGATTTAAAATATGAACAAAATGTTACTTCAGAACAAGACAATGCTCCAAGAAATGTCTCATTTTAGATGAATAAAACAGGATTACAAAGTGAGTACTTTATGCACTAAGTGGTCCAGAAACAAATGTCTCATCTCAGATGAATAAAGTAAGATTACAAAGTGAGAGTTACCCACAAACTGGTCCAGAAGCTGGAGGACAGAAAAAAATGTTCTTAGAAAAGAAAAAAAAATTGGTGCTTGCTTTAGTAGCACATATACTAAAATTGTAAAGAAAAGAAGGAATTTGGGTTGGACCTACATATTATAAAAAGAGGTAGGTTTTGAAATAGAGAAGAGAAGGGGGTGTGAACTTTCACAAAGTGAAAATGATTATATGTGTATGGTCTGAATCTTCCTCTACCCCAAAATTTATATGTTGAATTCTGACCCCCAAATCGATGGTATTGAGAGACAGGATCTTGTGGGAGGCAATTAGGTCATAAGGGTGGAGCCCTAATGAATGATATTACTGCCCTTTTAAGAAACCCCAGAGAGATTCCTTATTCAGTCCACCGTGGGAGGACACAGAGAGAAAAGAAGGCCATCCGTATACCAGGAAGCATGCCCTCACTAGATACGAATCTCCTGGCACCTTGATCTTGGACTTCCCAGTCTCCAGTACTGTGAGAAATAAATCTCTGCTGTTTAAAAACCATCCAGTCTATGGTGTTTTTCTTTTAGCAGCCCGAATGGACTAAGACAATAGGGATGTTAAAAATTTTAAAGTCCTTCTGGAAGACACTTAACATAGCATTTTGTAGGATAGAATTGTTTGTACTAACACTGATGAAAATTAAGTAGAGTAAGCATAAAAGTCCAGAGTTAAGGAATTTAAAGGCAGACTGTTTTTCTGTATTCTATTTTATATAGTTTGAAATTTATATGTTTTGTATTGCCCCTCTTGCAGGGATGACATGTAATTTTAAATTTAATTTTAAAGGGACTAAAATGTATTCATATATTTATTTATTTATATATTCTTGAATTTACTTTTCAAATTTAAGCAGTGTTTTGATTATAGAGAATCTAGCACTGAAAAGAACAGAAGAAAAAAGCATGGACTCACAGAATGAATATTCTGGTTGTAGTTAACACATAATCAATAAAATATATACATAAAACACTTTACATTTTAGATATAGCTAAGTATATAAAAATAAAGTCAAAAGAAAAAATATGAAGTGTTTGGGATGGTGCATTGAAGTGTTTGAGGGTTCAGCAAATGCCTCTCTGAGAAGGTGACTTCTGAGTAAAGACCAACAGGAGTGAGAATCTTCCATGTGGATATTTGGGGGCAGGAAGAACATGGCAATCAGGGGAAGGAGTATGTACAAGGCCCAAGAGAAGGAACAGTCCAGAGGGATTGGAACAGCACAAGCAAAAACAAGAGTGGTGAAGATGAAGTCAGAGAGAATAAGGATCAGCTCGTGGAGGAGATTGCAGCCCTCCCGAGGACATTGGCTTTTACTCAGAACTGTGAAACTACTAAAGGACCATGAGTGGAAGTTTGATGTGATCTGACTTATAATACATTATGCAGTGGATGTTAATATTACTATTGAATATATTTACAGATAAATGAGGTTTCAAAATTGCTACTGTTGACTTAGAAAGTTAAAAGTACAGAAGTTGAAAAAAGTATTCAACTATGTGTGTATTTGTGTTAGTCCATTCTTGCATTGCTATAGTGAAACACCTGAGACTGGGAATTTTACAAAGAAAAGAGGTTTAATTGGCTCATAGTTCTGTAAGCTTTTCAAGGAGGCACAATGCTAACATCTACTTCCCTTCTAGGGAGACCTCAGGAGCTTGCAATCATAGCAAAAGATGAAGGGGGAGAAGGCATATCACATGGCTAGAACACGAGCAAGAAAAAGAGAGAGTGGGGTAGGGAGGAGCTATACACTTTTAAATGATGAGATCTTGCAAGAACTCATTATTATAAAGACAGCACCGAGCCATGAGGAATCCGCCTCCATGATCCAAACACCTCCCACCAGGCCCTACCTCCATCATCGGGGATTACAATTCAAAACAAGATTTTGTTGGGGACAAATATCCAAACTATATCATTCCACCCTGGCCCCTCCTGAAGCTCATGTCCTTCGCACATTACAAAATATAATCATGCCTTTCCAAGAGTCCCTCGAAGTCTTAACTCATTTCTGCATTAACTCAAAAATCCAGTCTCATCTGAGACATGGCAAATCCCTTCCATTGATGAGTCTGCAAAATTAAAAACCAGCTATTTAGTTCCAAGATGCAATGGAGGTATAGGAATTGGGTAAACATTGTCATTCCAAAAAGAAGAAACTGGCCAAAGGAAAGGTGCTACAGGGCCCATGCAAATTTGAAACGTAGCAGGGAGGTAATTAAATCTTAAAGCTCCAAAATCATTTTCTTTGATTCCATGTCCCACATCCAGGGCACACTGGTACAAGTGGTGGTCTTCCAAGACTTTGGGCAGCTCTGCCTCTGTGGCTTTGCAGAGTGCAGCTTCTATGGCTACTCTCACAGGTTGTTGAGTGATTCCTTTACCACAGTTTCACTGGGCTGTGCACTGGTGGGACTCCATGTGGGGAATCTAAACCCACATTTCACCTTGGCACTGATCTAGTGTATGTCCTCTGTGAGGGCTCTGACCCGGCAGCAGGCTTTTGCTTAGACACCTAGGCTTTCTCATACATCCTATGAAATCTAGGTAGAGAATTCCAAGCCTCTTTCACTCTTGTATTCTGTGTACTCACAGGCTTAACACCATGTGGATATCACTAAGGCTTACAGCTTACACCCTAGGAAGCTGCAGTCTGAGCTATATCAGGGTTCCTTTGAGCCAAGGCTGGAGCCAGAGTGGACAGGAATCAAGGAGCAGTGTCCTGAAGCTGTGCAGAGCAGTGGAGGCGGAGGCCCTGTACCTGGCCCACAAAACCATTCTTCCCTCCTAGGCCTCTGGGCCTGTGATGGAAGGGGTTGCCTGGGAGATCTCTGAGATGCCTTCAAGGCCTTTTTCCCAACGTCTTGGCTGTCAGCACTTGGCGCCCTTTCAGTTAGGCAAATTTTTCTAGCGAATCTCCTTGAACTCCTCCCTGCAAAAAGCTTTTTCTTTCTCTGGCATATGGCCAGACTGCAAATTTTCCAAACTTTTAGGCTCTGCTTCCTTTTTAAACACAAGTTCCAACGTTAGGTCCTTTATTTCCTCCTGCATCTGAATTAGGCTGTTAGAAGCAGCCTCGTCACATCTTGAATGCTTTGCTGCTTAGAAATTTATTCTAATAGATACCCTAAATCATCATTTTGAAGTTCAAACTTCCACAGATTTCTAGGACATAAACAGAATGCAGCCAAGTTTTTTGCTAAGGCATAACATGTGTAACCTCTGCTCCATTTCCCAATAAGTTCCACATTTCCATCTGAAACCTCCTTGGCCTGGAATTCCTTGTCCACATCACTATCAGCATTTTGCTTACAACCATTTAATCGGTCTCTAATGAGTTCCAAATTTTCCCTCATCTTCCTGTCTTCTTCTTAGTCCTTCAAACTTTTCTAACCTCTCTGCCGGTTATCCAGTTCCAAAGTTGCTTCCACATTTTCAGGCATCTTTATATCAATACCCCACTCCTTGGTACTGATTTGCTGAGTTAGGCAGTTCTTGCATTGCTATAAAGAAATACTTGAGACTGAGTAATTTGTAAGAAAAGAGTTTTAATTGGTTCATAATTCTACAGGCTGTACAGGTAACATAGTGCCAACATCTGTTTCTGGGGAGGCCTCAAGAAGCGTTTAATCAGGGCAGGTAAAGCGAGAGCGGGCATTTCACATGGCAGGAGTAGAAGCAAGAGAGAGAGAGAGAGAATGTGGGGTAAAGTGCCACACACTTTTAAATGACCAGATCTCATATGAAGTCAGAGCGAGAGTCCACTTATCACCAAGGGGATGGCCCAAGCCATTCATGAGGGATCCGCCCCCATGATCCAAATACCTCCCAACAGGACTCACCTCCAACACTGGGGATCACATTTCAACATGAGATTTGAGCAGACACAAATATCCAAACTGTATTAATACTTCTAAAAGACTAACAACCAAAACATATTAATATCACCTAAAGTTAAGTTTTGAAATTCCTATGTAACAACTGTTTTTAAATTAAATTGGTACAATTTGTTGAAAGAGTGTAAAATCTTCAGATCTATAGGAGTTATGTTAATAAAATAATATATCTTTATGAAAGTACTTTCTGTTCTTTAGTAACTTAGTTTGGTTCAGCATTTCTATGTGAATTAGTGAACAAGCTTAAGATTGCAAGTGAGCTGATACGGATTTTAAAGCCAGATGAACAACTAACTAGCACTACCGTTGCAGGTAAACAGTTAATTTATACAGACCTCAGCCAACAATTCCTACCCTGCCCATCTTATGTTATTCCTACTTTGGATCCTTTAAAATGTAAGCAGGGAACTCCCTCAAGTGCAGTTCCTCCAGTACTGAGCCAGATCACTCTATACTCCTTTTCCTATTTTCTGTTTTTCACTCTAATCTCCCGTGATTATTTAACTGCGGCTATGTTTCATAGTCACCTCCAGTGCCCATACTTTACTTCCTTTGTAAAGTGCATACTTTACTTGTGTAAAGTATTATTTTAGCTCCCCATCTCCATCTCCCACCTTTCTCCCTGGAGTCCATTCAATATTCTTCCTCCCATGATTCAGGAGTTCTCTTTGGTGTACTCCCACTTGGCTTGCCTGTCAAAACAGGGATGGATCTGTATAATTTTGTACACGGCTAATATTCTATACTAAGAAATCCACACCTATGGTGACTTTGCCAAATACACTGTATTAATTTTTGCTTCTTCAGGCCCTCAACTAGTAATGTTAGTCTTGACTAACATGATGGATTCATAATAGATGACCTTTGGTAGTCACTGAAAATCTACCTAAGTTCCTTGCTGGACATTCAGTAGGCACTATGAAACCTGTTCTGGGTATTTTGTCTTTGACTTGGACATTTGGAAACAGAGCAACACAATTATAATCCTCACCATCAGTATAATCACCGACATCACCATAATTATTATAGTTAATAAATACTGAATACTTGCTGTGTATTAGGGTTAGAGCCAAGAATAGTATATGGGTCATCTCATTTAATCTTCACAACTATCCTAAGAAGCAATTATTAGTATTAACTCTATTATTTTAGATGATGGAACTGAGGTAAAGAAAGGATAGTTTATTTACTAAAAGTGAATTAATTGTAACTAATGAAGCTGGGATTTGAATCCATAACATCTGACTCTGAATATATTCCTTGAAGATGTCTCCAGCTATTTATTTTTGTCAATATAGTGAAATTAGGGTTAAGATTTTTCTACAATAACAAAACTATAAAGATTTTATTTAACTAGTATAAAAATGAATAAAAGTGGTAATATTTTTGAAATATTTGAGAATATGAGAAAAGGTGAATGACAACTTATGTATATATAAATGTACATTACACATATACCAAATTATGGTGCTATTAAAGCAAATCCATACAATGTGCTTCAGTACTTTTTAAAGCTTGCATTAAAAATGGTGGGCAGTGTTATTGATTTGTGTCCTTGTAGATTTTGAAACAAATCATGCTGTATAACACAGGCCACGTAGTATTTACAGATGAGCGAAGGCACTGACCAACTGTCCAAATACACAGAAAGCAGAGGAAATGATGTGAGTTTATTCGGAGATGCCTATCATCAAGCTCACATTTCAGGCCATCATAAAGCTGCAGAATACATTACAAACAGATTTGTTATAATTTAATAGTGTTTTTTCCCTCTTGGAACAAGAGAACATAAATGTGAGCAATAACATTTTAGGATATGTAATACTTCAGTATGTGCTTTCTTTGGCATTTTGATGAATAAAAGAAAAGATGAGAACAAAATTTTTCATCCAGGCAAATGGATCTGGATTATTAAAATATAAAAGCTGATCATACAACCCCATTAAACACAGTAAAGGGAAGATATAATAGCAGGAATACTAATGCTAGGAAAAGTCCTCACAGGACACTGAAAAGAGGGCTAAGCACAATCAGGAGGCTCAATGGTTCTTTCACTGACTGGCTGTAATTCACATAATTTCCCTGGATTTCAGTTTCTTCATTTGTAAAATGACTAATTTAGACTGAAATAATCTCTAGGATCCTTTCTAGTCCTAGCATTCTGTTATTTAGATTTGAATTATAACAGAGAGAGTTCACTTGGGTGCCAAAATTTACCAATGAAAACAACTTTAAATAATATGTATTACATTGTTTCTTGGGGACTGTAGGATTATTTTCATTTACAAAAGAGTTTGTGGTGGTAGAGTGAAAGAAAAATTCCCTTTGGAGTCATAGACTCAGGTTTTTATCCCAATACTTTCACACACAAGCTATGAATAGGCTACGTAAATCTGTTACATGTGAGGCTCAATATATTATTAGATGGTTGAAGTAACCTGGCCTATTTTACACAGATGAGATAAGCATTAAATAAAGCCATCTGAAAGGACTTTACAGCTTATGAAATGACATGACTATAAAAGACACTCACAGGCCTTTACAGGGACTCTCAGACCTTTAACACAAAAATTCTGTGAGGGCAGGGATGATATCTATCGAGTTCATCATTTGATTCTCAGCATATAGCAGTGTCTGGCTCAGAATAAGTGCTCAGTAACTATATTTATGATTGAATAAACAAACAGGTAGTTGACTTACTTTTGCATCACAGGGCCTTCCTATAATGTTTCAAATTGCTTTTATCAGGTTGCATATCCATGGCATTCAGTGCTAATCTTGATCATGTATTATAGATGGATCCCGATCTTTGACATCCTAGTAAATAAAAACAGGAATCTTTAGGAATCCTTTCATGGCACATCTTCTCTTAAGTCAGTTAATATAAAATATATTCACAGATTTAGTGGATAAAGTGTAGGCTTTGTGTCTCACGGTTCTGGTTAAATTCTTACATCTTAACCTCTCTTAAATACTCAGAGACAGAAATTTCCTTGCATGATTATTAGGGAGTTAAGTTAGATTGGTTTATAAATTAGCTAATACAGTGCCTAGTTCATAATAGGCATTAAATAAACATGCATTCCATTTTCCTCCATGCTATAATTTCCCATATTCAATGAGGAAGAGACTGAGTTAAACAGATGAGAAAATAAAAAGTTTCATTGCTATATTTAAAGAATAAATCTCTCCTTTATAGGTAGGTTATAAGAAATTGTAATATGTTAACTAAAATAAAAATTTGGGTATGCAGAGTGGAAGAAAAGTAATATATACATATCATCTAGAATATATGCTCTAAGAGGTTGTATCAACTTGATTTTGAGATGTAGTTGTATGCAAAGGTAGATGAGATGTGTTTTTATTTCGTGTTTTTCCTGGCTTTATTGGACTTTAGATTGATTTAAACATTAGAATAGAGTGATTTTTTTTTGATATGGATAAAAAGACAGGAATCCAAAATACCTACTTTATGCTGTCCAGAATCTCTTCCAGTGGGACAGCAAACTTTTTCTGTAAAGTGACAGTAAATATTTTCAGCTTTGCAGGACATATTCTTATCTCTGTTTCAACTACCAAACCTTGTGGTTGTAGAATGAACACAGCCATAGACAAAATGTAAAATAATGGTCATGGCTGTGTTCCAATTAACCTTAATAACATTCTTATTGTTGCCATATTTGGCCCAGGGTCCATAGTTTGCCGCTCTTAATTAGTTCAATTGGATACAAGGATTTTCCATAATTAATAATGAATGTCCTGTTACATGCCTAACCCTATACCATATACCTTATTTGATGGAACTGAATAGAATATACATGGCATATCAGTCATGTAGCTCCATCAATAGAATTATGAGCAAGTGACTCAAATTTCCGAGGATGTACTATTGCCCTTTTCTAGAAATTCCTGTTTTGTTTCTCCATGTCTCCTCTTTCATCCAGTTAGATTCACCATACCATCCTCTATTTTATTAATTCATTTAATTAATATTTAGTAAGTCTTTTTCCCAGACTACTCATTTTAAACAAATTTTCAATGACTGGCAAAAATATCCCAATTCTTGTTTAGAGATAAATTTTAAAAAATTAAGGTGAACGTATTAATCCATATAGTGAAAAAACAGGTACCAATGAACAGCTGAAATAGATTGTTATGGTAGAAGGATTGTTTTCTTAAATTCACTTCCACAGGGAGAAGATTTTTTTGATCAAAGGTTGGTACCAGGCTTAAAATTTCGTTACTTAGAGTACATTAAATTTAATAACTCAAACTTCATTTTTTTATAGTAGAATTATGGCAGTAACATGCACATACATATATTCTCATATGTATATTTGTAAGTTAATTTCTATAAAACTAACAGTTTGTGTTGTTTTCAATCATTCACATTCCAATGTAAATTAAATTTTCTCTTGCCTTCTCAACTGGGAGTAAACTAGAGTATAGAGTTCTCATAGATATACAACAGTGGTTCTTAAACTGTAACCAGCATCATGAAACATCACCTAGAAACTTATTAGGTCTATTGAATCAGAAACTCTGTAGTAGGGCAATCTAGAAATCTGAGTTTTATAAAGTCTCGCAGGTGATTCTAATGTTAAAGTTTGAGAACCACTCTCCAAGAGGCTAATTAGGCAGGCTCCTTTTCTTTTCTCAACTCACTGTCTTTAGTAAACCAACTCCAAAAATCTTGTGACTAGGCCATTGTTTTCCATCCACTGACCCTTCTACTAAGTGAAAGTTAATATATGTGAAACACATAGAAGAATGCCTGGACTATGTTTATCCAACTCTGTTATAATTTTTATCCTATTTTTCTCTTGTTCTTACATACCTCCTTATCTAGCTTTAACTCCAAGGTCAATCTTTACAAACATTATTTTGCTACTTGTTCAACTCTCTTGGCACTTTCTTACTTCATTATACTAGCTTGACAAAGCTTTGAATACAATTCTCCAAGTGCTCTGAATAGATATCTGCATAGCTAAATGGGAGAAGAGACAGCCAGGTGACTGGTCTCACTCAAAATTCATGATCACTAAACTCAAATGGGACATAATCTGAGCGCAATAATCAAACTGTTATTTCTGAATCCCCCTGTCTCCCATTCCTCTGGCTAGATACTTCATAAAAGTTCATCTTCCAAATTTCTAACATCTCTTCCACTATTGCCAATCAAATCTGATAACTGTATTTCACTGAGATAATTCAAGCAATCAGAGAAATTTCCAGAAAATCCTACCTCATCTACTTATCCCATCTACTGCAGTATTCAGTATGCTCTATTAGCATTATGGATGGACTATCCATGATCTCACCTAGGGCCACCTCTTTGTTGGTGTTAGATCTCATCCCTTCTGACCTACTAAAGACATTGCTTCAATAATTCTCCCATCTCCAACCTCTCCAGAAACAGTAAATTTTCCCTCTTTAGTGAATCATTCTCATCACTATACAAACAAGCCATTGTTTTTCCCATCTTAAAAAAAAACTGTATTCGTCTCACCTTCCCTCTTTATTTCTTTTTGTCTTTCTTTCTCTTTACCTCAAACTTCTTAAAAGAGTGTGTATACCTCAAAGTTCTTAAAAGAGTTGTGTATAATGGTTCTCTTTCATGTAACTTGGATCCACTCTGATGAGACTTCCCCCCAGCTCCTAATACCCTACAAAAACTATGCTTAACATTACCAATTACATGTATGTTGCTAGATCCAATAGTAATTTTTTGGTCATTTTCTTTTTCTTTTCTTTTTTTTTTTTTTTTTTTTTTTGAGATGGAGTGTCGCTCTGTTGCCCAGGCTGGAGTGCAATGGAGCGATCTCGGCTCACTGAAACCTCCACCTCCCAGGTTCAAGCGATTCTCCTACCTCAGCCTTCCAAATAGCTGGGATTATAGGCACGTGCCACCACGCCAGGCTAATTTTTTGTATTTTTAGTAGAGACGGGGTTTCACCACGTTGGTCAGGCTGGTCTCCAACTCCTGACCTCAAGATCCACCTGCCTTGCCCTCCCAAAGCGCTGGGATTACAGGCGTGAGCCACAGCACCTGGCCAGTCATTTTCATACTTTGTTCTCCCTAAAAAACTTATTCCACTTGACTCAAAGGACCCTCTATGGGCCTAGTTTCCCTGTTACTTCCTGGCTTCTTTCTCTTTATCTCTTAAAGTTTCTTTTCATTTTCCTGAACTCTAAATTTCAGAGTGGCCTAAGACTCTGTTTTTGTACTTATATTTATACTCACTATTGATATTATCAAGTAGATGACTCCCTTAGACTCCCGAGTCAAATATCCAAATGCTTACTGGCATCTTCACTTGGATGACTAAAAGGCACCCTAAAATTAATATATTCAGGAGCTTTCACAAGCAATAGGAACTAGATTTATTCACTCAATGATAAAATTAACAAACAGTACAAAAATATATATAAGCAGTGATTTTTAAATATTGAACCTTCTGTAGTACAGGACAGAGATTTCTGAGAAAAGTGAACCAATGAGGTGAGTCTTATGTTGCTCCAACTTACTGTATAGGGGTCGTTCCAGGATTAAGCACATACAGGAGGTATCTAAGAGGAATCTAAGTTTCCCTGTGTTGAGGAGACAGAAATCCAGAAGGGTTAAGGTAAACTGAGTTCACAGTGCAGAGTGCCAGACAGAAGACAGCCACACATAGAGGGATTCTAGAGATTTGAAGAGGGTCTCCTCAAGTTTCCAACTGAGTATTGATCAGTGTATTTGTGTATGCAAACTACTTTAGGCCCAAGAGTGTGGGAAGCACCCAAAAGGAGCAAAAAGAACAATCTTTGGCATTTTCATAAGACCAGTAATGGTTTGTGTTTTCACAAGACAGAGTAGAAAAACTTCATAATTCATCAAATATTGGATAGAGTACTCAGAATAGTGTGGACTTAATAGTGGAACAAAATGAGTCCTGAAGAAACATTGTCCTGAATCAGCCTCACAAAGCACAAAAGGAAGCATTATGAAGATCAAAACATTTCTAAATAACATAATTGCACCTTAGATCAATGCTCAAGAATATTTATAGTAATGTCAAAAAATCCAGAACACAAAAAAATGAAAGTCACAATGCACGACATCCATTCATAAATCATCAGCATGAAGAAAGATGAAAAATCAATCAATGGAAATAAGTTTATAAATAATTTAGATAATAGAATTAGTAGACAAGCGTTTAAAAATAGTTATCATAAGCTGCATTCCACATGTTTAAGAAAGAAAAGATTAAGCATATTAAAAAAGTGGAGAGAAGAAATAAAGATACAAATTGATTTCTAAAGAGGAAAACTACTTGTCTAAGTTAAAAAAACACAACGAATTAGAGTTTGAAGAAAAAATCAAACTTGAAGGCATAGCAATAGAAACTGCAAAACAACAATAAAACCTCGAGTGACAACCAAGGAAACCCCAAAGTATTAGTGAGCAGTAATATAGCATCAAGCAGCCTAATATATGTATAAATGAAGTTTCCAAAGAAGGCTGTAAAAATAAAAGAAAAAAATTAGGAAATAAGGCAATAGTTTTAAAATTTAATAAGTAGTCTAAACCTACAAAGTCCAGAAGCTCAACAAAACCAGAGCACAAAAAAGTGGAAAAAATCTATACCAAGGCACATCCTAATCAAATTGCTTAAAACAATGATAAAGAAAAATACCTTAAAAGTAGTCAGAGAGGGGAAAAACACATATTCAGAGAGGAACAGATAATGACAGCAGACTTCCCATTGGAAATAATAGAAGTGAAAAATCAAGAAAGTAGGATAGATAATTTACTAGGGGAAAAGTTATCTAATTTTCAGTGAATATTAAGATTCCTGCTGGGCACGGTGGCTCATGCCTGTAATCCCAGCACTTTGGGAGGCCAAGGCGAGTGGATCACAAGGTCAGGAGTTCAAGGCCAGCCTGGCCAACATAGTGAAACCCTGTCTCTACTAAAAAATACAAAAATTAGCTGGGCGTGATGGCACATGCCTGTAATCCCAGCTACTTGGGAGGCTGAGGCTGGAGAATCGCTTGAACCCGGGAGGCAGAGGTTGCAGTGAGCCAAGATTGCACCACTGCACTCCAGCCTGGGTGACAGAACAAGACTCTATCTCAAAAAAAAAAAAAAAAAAAAAAAGAAAGATTCCTTTACTCCTTTACAAAACCCTCTTTAGTCGACCTTCTACAGACAGGACTTAAGTACTAATATTCGTTTATAATTCATCAAGCTTAGTACATCTCTGTCCACTGTAGCATATACATTTCTAATATTCTTTTTTCTTTCATGGATATTTTCATCAGGTCTGTGCACCTGATGTTTTCTATAACAAAGCATCCCTTTCAGATTTTGGGTCCTAAAACCTGAATTTGAGGGTACTATCTGCCCCTTAATAGTTCTGTGATTTTTTAGGAAGCTATTTATCTTTCAGCTTTAGTTTCTTCACTTACAAAAATGGGATAATATATTACAAAGTTTCTTCTAATGATTAAATAAGATCACACATTTTAGAGTACCTAGCATATGATAAGTAGCTAACAAATATCAGTTATGTATTAGATCATAATTACAGAAAGCTCTAATGTGGGAGGGCCCTCACCAGGCCATCAAAGAAAAGGAAATTGTGTAAATACAAGTGCAAAATGGATGGGCAAAACACAACCCTCTCTGTGGTGTCAGTGCTGAACATACTTATTCTATCTTTAATAGTTCCACGTTGTTTTATTTTATTTGTATTTATTTATTTTATTTATTTATTTATTTGTATTTTTTGAGACAGAGTCTAACTCTGTCACCCAGGCTGGGGTGCAGTGGTACGATCTTGGCTCACTGCAACCTCTGCCTTCTGGGTTCAAGTGATTGTCCTGCCTCAGCATCCCAAGTACATGGGATTACAGGTGTGTGCCACCACGCCTGGCTGATTTTTGTATTTTTAGTAGAGATGGGGTTTCACCATGTTGGCTAGGCTGGTCTTGAGCTCCTTACCTCAAGTGATCCGCCCACCTCAAGCTCACAAAGTGCTGGGATTACAGGCATGAGCCACTGCGCCCAGTTCCATGTTGTTTTAATAACTTTGTGTTCTTTGAAAAATGGGGAAATAAATACTCTTTTTAAATATATGTCTCTTCTACAGAGAAAGAGTTAAGAGAAGCCAGCATCTGTTGAAATTCCTGGTCTGCTATGATGAAGGGCTCATAAGGCATAGGAAGACCATTTGGCAACTATGGCTAATGGTGTCATAGCCACAGGACCACAACCTCAAAGAAAAGAAAGTCTACCTTTTGGGGGTAGTTGAAAGGAGGATTTAGCACTTAAACACTTCTACAGGCCAATATTTTATGGGAATCAGTGCTCCTTTCCTGCTGATATCTTTTGTGTGCATTCTTGCCCTAACCTTAAATAAAATATTCTTAAAACTAAACAACCTCAAATACACAACCTTGTGTTCAGTAACTTTTGAATGAAAATTGAACAAAGGCCAATTAAGAGCTTTGTTTTTACCTATGCAGATAACACCTCAATTAGTTGCATTTGTGACATGAATTTCCTTGGATAATTAGTCTCATGGACTTTTGCCAGAAGGCTTATTTCCTTTTCCCTCTGCACTTTCTGGCAGTGGCTGAGATATTAGATGAGCATTCTTACAACCAATTATATTAAGAAGTTTAATTAGTAGGAAATAAAATATTACACTGATATTAATCATTTAGTGGTTAGACTGCATCTAGACAATGACAACTACTTGATCTATGTAACCCTTTGAACAAACCGGCAATTGTGGCCCCTTTGTTCCATTGCTAGTTTGTCAAAATAATCTCCATTGAGTGGCTTTGCTTCTTTGTTCAGTCTTGCTAAATTTCTAGTGATTCTTTTGCATTTGTTGGCTTCTGTGTCCTAAAAAGGCACATGAGTCTTCATAGTCACTAAGATACAAAATTAATTTATTTTTTAATGCTCTCATTAACATACACTAGACATCAATATCTGGTAGCCACTTAGAAATCTTCTTGTAGCAACTTCAACTGAGCACCATATTTTCTCTTTACTGTAAGTGGCTCAGATCTTGGTTCCTCCAATCTATAGACCTTGTAGTCCTTACTCCTTTCTAAACTACACCTCAACTGAATTAAACAAGGCTGAAATACTGTCTGATGTTTCCTATAGGATTTCTTTCACTGGCTGATGTAATCAAATTTCTCTTTGCCTATCCCTCGGCCTTTGATAGTCTTGTGTTTTGCTTTGTCCTTTCAGCCTCCTATCAGACTTTTTTTTTTCTTTTTTCTTTTCTTGAACGTACTCATAGATTCCTTCTCAGAAAGCACTTAGTGTTTTTAATTTATATTTTAGGTTTTCAGTTGTCCATTGAGTAATCAATGATTGGAATTACTATTAATATCTTTTAGGTCTTTATACAATATAAATATTTTAAATGTTAGAATCCTATTATTTATATGATATGTGCGATCCTCTCGTCTACTCAAATCTGGAAAGAATCTAGAAGTTTGCCATTATGTTGGCAAGACACACTTTTGTAGCTCAAATTTTAGTGTGTGTGTATACACACACACTTTGTGTCATTGTAAAACAACTTAATTTCTTCCTTCAGGTGATAATTTTTATTAGTAAAGGGTAAGTTTCATGATAATTTTCTCATCAAGCTGAGAAGCAATCCACTTCAATTTATTTGAAATTCTTACTTTTATATCAAAATTAAGCAGATTGACCAGTATATACTTGTCTTTATCAATTAAAAATTATTATTAAAATAGAGAAGAGTGAAACATGATTTTCTCTACTAAGATTGATTTTCACATTATTACATATATGTGCTCTAATGTTAACCAAATTCATAATAATAAAAAAAATTAAGAAGCTAATGGAATGTGAGTTGATCAGTCAATTATATTGGAAAAAAGATGACAAAAATTTATTTGACTGAGTAAAGGTAGTATTTTGAGCCTAAGCCTATAAAATTGAATAACAGAAAGGACATAGGAGAAGGAGTAAAAAAATATTGTGTTTTATCTTTCTCTGCATTCATCATACATTTGGTTTGGTTAAGTTTACTCACCTTACTCAGTCTTCTTAATTATTCATTTGGAAAGATAAACTGAGAAATATCTGTGGGTATTTTGTTCTAAGGAGGAAATTCAAGAGTGCATTCAATGTGCATTAAAAGTTAGATCAAATCGGTCACAAAAACTCAGAAAACATATTAAGACACCATTTTCCATAGAACATGAAGTAAATATCTAAAATGATGAATGTTATATTAAGTCCTTGAGACAATCTCATAAGTAGTTGTAGTATGCTGAGATGTATTTTATGGCCCACCTATTCCAAAACACTCCACCTACTGGGTCCTCAGAGGGGAAACAACCTAGAAAAATCTAAGTTGAATCACAGAAGCACAGCAGGCAGCCTCTAGAAGCTGAAAAAGGCAAGAAAACAGATTCTCCCCTAGAACCTCCAGAAGGGAACACAGCCCTGCTAACAGCTTGATTTTAGCCCAGTGGGACTGTGTCAGCCCAGTAGGACTAGTTCTACTTCTAACTTGTATAACTGTGAGATAATCAATGTATTATTTTAAGCCACTGAGTTTTTGGTAAGTTTTTATGGCAGCCACAGAAAATTAATACAGATAGTTACAAAATAATATTAATATTAATTAACAGTTTTCTATTAGAGAATGTAAACATACTTTTTTATACATGATTGGCCATTTATATTTCTTCTTATGTACATTTCTTGTTCATAATTACAATCCTTCTTGTTTCTCCAAGATTCCTTTTTTTTTTTTTGAGATGGAGTCTCACTCTCTGTCACCCAGGCTGGAGTGCAGTGGCGCAATCTCGGCTTACTGCAACCTCCACCTCCCTGGTTCAAGCAATTCTCCTGCCTCAGCCTCCCAAGTAGCTGGGACTACAGGCGCCCACCACCATGCCTGGCTAATTTTTTTATTTTTTGTATTTTTAGTAGAGATAGGGTTTCACTATGTTAGCCAGGCTGGTCTCGAACTTCTGACCTTGTGATCCACCTGCCTCCACCTCCCAAAGTGCTGGGATTACAGGCATGAGCCACTGCACCTGGCCGATTTCTTTGTCTTATCCCCAGTAGTCTTTTGCATGATTTTGGAGAAATTATATTTTCTTATGTCTTATATCTCTGTATAGCTAACGCAGTCTGCCGTCTGATTTTCAGGAATTCCTTAAAATGTGTGATTTTCTGATGGTACTCTTTTTTCTTCCCTTGCTACTCTTTCGTTATGTAAAATGTGTTTATTTTGCCATTTGATGGGAATTTAGATGGCAGGTGAAATAGAAATATCAGCTTAGCCTGCCTTCTTGACCCAACTAGTATCACTTAATTTTTACGACAAATCTGTGATAAAGCTTGTAGAATTCCCATTATACAGATGAGAAAACTGAGACTCAGAAAATTTAAATAACTTGTGCAAACAGACACATACCAACGGGGAATCTGGGTGTGAAATCAGAAGTGTTGACCTCAAAGTCATTTTTTTTACTTTCACTTCAATGTAATGTAATGTCTTAAGAAATTGATGTATGATCTAGGTACTCTTGCTTTGATGTATTTATACTTGTTGGCAGAGGTGGGACTTTCTGAAGCTCTTTTCTGTCTAGTTTATTCTAACAATGTCTAAATAAATAAGAGTAACATTTATTGGAAATACTATTAACACGCAAGAAATCACGGGTTCAAGTGACAAGCATGCATTTTGGAGTATAGCAGATTCCTATTTAGATTGTGGTTTTCAGTTCCAGTTATTAGCTATGTAGCCTTGGACATGTGATAATTATTTTCAACTTTCTTATATTTTACCATCTTCATTTGCAAAATACATACAGTAACATGTATTTCAAGGGCTTATGTAAGGATTGAGAGGCATATTTAAGAGCCTAGAAGAAGGTGGAGCATATGATAAACACTGACCAAAGGTTAGCTGTTTTCTCATCCCACATATTATTTAATTTTAAGAACAACCCAGAAGTTGTGTACTATCATTATATTATAGGCGAGAACGTTTTGGCTTAGAGAGGTGAAGCATGACTTGCACTAAGTCATGTATCTAATAAATGGTGTAGCCAAATTTAGCATGAAAGTCTGTGGGACACTACACTTTTTGTTTTCTCCAGGGATGTTTCTAATTCACATTCTGAACTTGGTACCACATGAACACTTCCTTTGATCTAAGCAGTCCCTTCCGTTGGAATCCCCTGAGTTTACTTCTTCTCTTTGGTGTTTCAAGCCACTGGATTTAATTAAAGAGAACTGAGTTTCTGTTTGTTGGAAAACCTTCAGGAAAGGAACCTATTTTTAATGATTTGGAAAATGAAGAATTAAACAAATCTGAGCCTGTAGCTGCAATTATTAGCAAATAGTTTGGGTGATAGGACTATGGATGGAGAGAAATAAACGTTCCACAGCAGAGCAAAATCATTGCAAAGGGAAAAGACTCTTCTTCCATTCATGTAAATAAAAAGGCCTAGAATTAATAGGAAGTTGCCCAGATGCCTATATTTACCTCAAAAATATATAAGTCAGCCTGGATTTGGCTTTCTGCAACGAAAAATTGTACAGTTTGCAAAAGTTTTGTTTGTGTTTTTTTGTTTTGTTGTTATTGTGAAAATCAGTTTTTTTTTTTTTTTTTTTTTTTTTTTTTGAGACGGAGTCTCGCCTTGTCGCCCAGGCCGGACTGCGGACTGCAGTGGCGCAATCTCGGCTCACTGCAAGCTCCGCTTCCCGGGTTCACGCCATTCTCCTGCCTCAGCCTCCCGAGTAGCTGGGACTACAGGCGCCCGCCACCGCGCCCGGCTAATTTTTTTTTGTATTTTTAGTAGAGACGGGGTTTCACCTCCACCTCAAAACATGCTAATAGACATATTGCCAGTTATGTTGTTGTAGTAATACATAGGGCCCTAGATTTTATTCAGCTTTTACCCCCAAAGAATAATGAAAATTGCTGAAAGAGGAAAGACTAATTCCCAAAATGAAAGAAGGGAGTTTAACAAGTTGGTTCTTTTTTTTTTTTTCTTTTGAGACGGAGTTTCGCTCTTGTCACCCAGGCTGGAGTGCAATGGCGAGATCTTGGCTCACTGCAACCTCCACCTCCTGGGTTCAAGCTATTCTCCTGCCTCAGCCTCCCAAGTAGCTGGGATTACAGGCACCTGCTACCACGCCCGGCTAATTTTTGTATTTTTAGTGGAGACGGGGGTGTCGCCATGTTGGCCAGGCTGGTCTTGAACTCCTGACCTCAGGTGATCCGTCTGCCTCGGCCTCCCAAAGAACAAGTTGTTTCTTAAGGATAGTCACGTGCCATCATGTGCCACTTCAAAATTTCCCTAAGAGTATTAATATTGTTATTTAATCCTCACCAAAATTTTTAGGTAAGTACGTCAGGTTTCACATGCCCATGTAATAGACAAGATTTCTAGGGCACAGAGACGTTGTACCCTTTGTAGTGTTTCAGTAGTGATTTGGTATCAGTTTGGAGTATAACACAAGTGTTAAAGCAATGAGTCTAATTCTGATTTGAATATATTTGAAATAGCTTAACAAAAGTGATTGCTTTTCACTGTGGCCATTCTATTAAAACGATGAATCCCGATTACTAAAAAGAACCTCTTAGAAAGGTGATAGGTGATGCATCCCAGACCCTGAGTTTGTGTGGTAATTCACCCAAATGTTTACCATAATAAAAGTCGGGTTTCTTTTTATACATTTTCATATATAATATGTGACCTAAGAAATCATTCAGCTTCAATGAATATATATATATATATTCAAGTAAATTTGTAAAGCGTATCATGGATATAATGCAGTTACGGTCAAAATTTTTCTTTGAGGAAATCTACATCTTTGAAGTCCTTCAGGATGGATGATATAGAAATATCACTGTAAATGTTCATCAGATCTAAAGTGGACCAATTAGTGACCGAGCACATCTTGGTCATGGGACTTAGGGGAATCACAGATGCAACATTAATTATAACTGTAATGGGACAGATCAACTGCTGCTGACGCTGCTTTTGCAGATACCAGCTTCACATGTACTAATGCGGTTTGACAGAGAAAGCCAGCAAGCATAATTCTAGCAAACACACAATTTAAATATATAGCATAAACCTGTAGATATGGAGGGAAACCTACAAATTAACCCCTGCAAACACTTCCGTTTACATAGGTGGCAACAGAGGCACAGACAGCAGAAGTAACTTACCCTAAATCACTTTGTCAGTGAGGGATAGATTTGAAATTCAAGTTTGTCTTCTGGTGCCAGCTACCTTGGCCTACTTAACATTTTAATTGTTATTTTGTGTATGAAAATAAACACGTGTAATTTTCAAACAACTTCAGATTCAACCATTAATTTAGAGATGCTTTCTTCTATATGTCTATTAACATTACAAACTTTTTTTTTTTTAACTTTTAAGTTCAAGGGTACATGTGCAGGTTTGTTTATATAGGTAAACTTGTGTCGTGAGTTTTCTTTGTACAGATTATTGCATCACCTGAGTACACTCGTTTGATGATCAAAAGAACAAGTAAATAAAAACATGTGCCCAATATAGACAACTTAGCCACTAATCCCCTTCATGGCTTTGCACAGACAAATATTGAAAATTTCAAGCCCCATTTTCTCAAATAGAAAATATTAAGGTTGAATTACCTTCTTAAAGTATATGAACATAAGTACAAAATGCAAATTCGTAACAAATAAGTACATCGAAGATGGTACGGAGTAAGACAAAGTCTCCTCTAAGTACCAAAGGCAGAAAATGCTTTGTTTTGATATCTTCTGCCTGAAAGAAACTTTTTTTCTCCCCTTTGTTAACTGTAGTTGATTTTCCTCTGCAGATTTGAAACATCTATGACATCCATCAACATCATTATATATACTAGAAAAATGCTAAATCTTTATTCTGTCTATTTTGGCATATAAAGATTCTGATTTAAAGTAAGCAAGATAAATAAGACATAGAGTATCAAAAAGTCTGATCTGCACATTCAAATTATCTGGCTAACCTGTGTATGCCACTGCACGCACACACACACACACACACACACACACACACACACACACACAATACCACTTACACATGGACTTATCACAGAGAAAGCACCACTTTCAACAGTATTATTCCCCATCTAGTTAGAATGCAGTTATTTGTTCAAAGTCACAAAACTTAGCTGGCAGCCCTACAAAACAAGATTTATTGAAATTCCCACCCAAATCTTGCTATGAATTCACCAATTAATATGATGAAACAATAATCATTAGAATGGAAAAACAGTACAAATATGAAGAAAAACATAAGTGATAATTTGGTACCAAATAATTTTGAAGAAATCCTTGTTTATAACAAATTAACCAAAAACTTATTTCAGAAATGTTTTTAAATAGTTTTTATGATTTATTTACTTTTGAAAAGTATGAAGCTTGTTCCTGGAAACTCTGGTTAAAAAACACTAGGGCAGAGTTTAAAGTTAACAGCATGGACCATAGAACATTAGTTACCCAATAAAACCTTAATATTATTTCCTTCTGAAGAGAACTGCTTCTTCATTAACTTTTGAAATAAACAACACACTCAAAAGATTACTCATTCTTTTGTTGACTTCAGCCCAGTGTTCTTACATGTTCACACTAAAAAGTTCCATGAGGTTTATTTCAAGCAACAGGGGGCTGAGAAAGCTGATTTCACTTATAGTTTGAGGTTTCTTCTCCTGTCTTTAAATATTTATACTTCCAATAAACAAACACAGATGTTTAAAAAGAAAAAAAACTAACTAAAAACCTTGCCCTGTGAAAACAGGCATATGGCAGAGGTTTTTCAGTATGGTTTGATTTGGAATATACTAGAAATGATGCAATTATTTAATGGCTTTGCATAACTAACACAAAAATTCTTTGGCTTATGTAGACAATAAAGTTTTTACAAGTCATCTAAACTTTTTACAAATAGATAAGTGATTACATTTAGATAGATGTGGCAGAGCTGTCTGTAAGACCGAAAATATCTGGCACGATTCGAGTACATTAATCAAATACAGACGACTGGATAAGCATCATGAATAGATATTCTGTCTCTAGCTACAACATCAGTTAATATATCAGCAGGGAAGAACAATTAGGAAAGTCATCAGTTATATTCATATTTATACTTTATTATTGAAAGCTATTTGTTTCTGTAGCTAAAATATTATTTATTGATTATAGGCCATAGAAAGTTATTTATAATGAAACTATGCTTGATTATTCGAAGTACTGATTTTCACAAATGAAAGTTAAAACCACTAAAACAGTGATGTTGTGATAACCTGTGACCAAGGCATCAGCCATACTTGAAAATTTAACATTTAGCACAGGAGTTGAACCATAAACAAAAGGAAAATAAGTAAGTCCATGCCCTGTTCTCATCTTACACAGGGATTAGCCTGGATTTTGTCTTGGCTAGATTTGGGAATATTTTGACATAAATAAAGATGTATTTACTCACTTTGATAAGCTGTTTCCCTAGCAATAAATTAAAATAACCACATCACAATTTTCTTGATATCAAGTCAATAATGAATGTAAAGTATACATAATAGGCATACAATAGTTTGTTTGTTTATTTGTTTCTCATTTTACACTATTTCTGCTCTTTCCTGGTGTTGTGACATCATAGAGAGACACTACTGTCTCTCTTAACCTCCCTATTGAAAAGGCATTGTCCTGGGCTAGGGAAACCACAGTATGGCACAGTAAAACATTCAATAAAATTGAAGTATCCCCAGTTTTTATCTTCTGGCATACCATTTCAGAGAATCTTGAGGGAAAAACAATGACAGTGATATTGCTTGAATATTGTAGATGATTAGTCAGAATGAAATAATTGAATAATCAAAAAGGTCTGGATTCAAATTTTAGCTCTGTTACTTTCTAGGTGCATGACTCTAGATGAATTACTTAATCCCTCTGAGTTTTAGTTCTTCATCTATAAACTGTGAAAAATTACTCATCAGAGTTATTGGAGGAGTTAGAAACAATATATATGTAGTATATTCCATTTATTAGGTGCCACATGAAATAGAGAACCCGGATTTATGTTCCCCTGAAGAGGATTTCTGTTGTGTTGTGACTTCTGCACTGGGGTTTAAGGAGATAGCAACTCTTCAGCTTTGAGAGTTTCCCTCCTATTAATGCCTCACAAGGACGCGAAAAAAAGAAGATGAGAACAGATTTCTCTCTCTTTCAAACTGACTTTTATCTGCTTTTGCTTTTCTTTCATGTCCTGTTGAAAAGACTGTGATTTGAGAGAAACTACAACATTTTCATTGAAATTAGAGATAGAAAGGAATAAAATAATCATATGGTTTGGCTCTGTGTTCCCACCCAAATCTCACGTTGAATTGTGATCTTGAGTGTTGAAGGTGGAGCCTGGAGCAAAGTGATTGAATCATGGGGGTGGTTTCTAATGATTTGGCACCATCCCCCTAGTGCTGTCTTGTGATAGAGTTCTCACAAGATCTGGTAGTTTGAAAGTGTGTAGCTCTTCTGCCTTTGTGTGCTTTCTCTCTCTCCTGCTTCCAAGTCAAGATGTGCTGGCTTCTCCTTTGCCCTTCTGTCATTATTGTAAGTTTCATGAGGCCTCGGAGCCACGCTTCCTGTATAGCCTGCAGAACTGTGAGTCGATTAAAGCTCTTTTCTTCATAAATTACCCAGTCTCAAGTAGTTCGTTATAGCAGTGTGGAACGAATTTAATACAAAGAAAAAATAAGTGGATGAAATGAAAGCAAATTAAAATTAAAATAATTCCTATTAAAAGGTTCAGAGGGCCCACGATGGTGCATGCCTGTAATCCCAGCACTTTGGGAGGCCGAGGTGGGTGGATCATTTGAGGTCAGGAATTCAAGACCAGCCTGGCCAACATGGTGAAACCCCATCTTTACTAAAAATACAAAATTAGCCAGGCACGGTGGCTTGCGCCTGTAATCCCAGTTACGGGGGAGGCTGAGGCAGGAGAATCACTTGAAACTGGGAGGGGAGGTTGCAGTGAGTCAAGACTGTGTCACTGCACTCCCACCTGGGTGACAGAGCCAGGCTCTGTCTCAAAAAAAAAAAAAAGTTTCAGAGGCTGTGAACTTTGGTAGAACTCATGATACATGACGGAAAATGCCTGAAAGAATGAATGTGGATATTTTGAACTTCATTCTGGTATTTACAAGACAGATATTTTCAATACATGAATTGATTTTAATATGAAAAATAGAAGAGAAAAATCATCTTTTAATGGAAGAAATTTAAACAAAAACATTAATGGCACATTGGTTATATAATCATAAGTGGTAGTTATTTATTTCAATCATTCATTCATTTACTCAATCAAAACATATTTATTATGTACTGAGTGTAGGCTGGAGGATAATGAAGGAAAAAAGTAAACTCACTACTGGAACACCAACCTGCCTGCTACTATTTACTTTTCAGCAGTAAGAGCAGATTGGCTGCTTTGTGCATTACCAGGTTTCCTAGCTACATTCAGTGGGATAAACAGGGTATCTGTGCTTACTCTATCTTAACCAGAACTGAAACTAGACTCTCTTTTAAATTCAGTGAAGTTTTTGCCTCCTACACTCCTCTGAAAATGCTCCCATGAGGTCATCAGGATTCTCCATGGTTCTAAATCCAGTGTTTAATCTTTGTCTTCAACTTTGTTAAAATTTAAGCCTTTAATCAAATTTCACCTTCTCAGGGAGGTTAATTCTAACTACTTTATTTAATGCTATAAACTTCTCTTATACACCTCAGCTTTTCTGTGCCTTGCTTTACATTTTTTTCATAGCACTTTCATCTTCTCATATTTTAGACAATTCAGTAGTTTATTTTATTCATTTCTTGACTGTACTAAAATGTAATAACCATGATGTCAATGGTCTTTTATTCCACATGCCTAAGATAGTGGTAAGCCTAGAAGCCTTCAGCCAATATTTGTGGAATAAATGAATGTGCTTTAAGAATTTTTTAATTTTTTTCTTTGAAAATTTATTTTTTTTAATTTTCTATATGTTTTGTAGAAAAGTGTTAATGTAACAGACTGCTAGGTTTAGAAAGCTCTTTTTTTCCAGATTGGCCCTTGACTGGAATCCAGGAAACTGGATTTCAGAAAGGCCCCCACCATACCCAGAAATGATGAGTAGCATTTATTACATGCTTTTACAACTTATTGGTTGGGGAATTAAGTACATCCTGTATGATTCCACTGGGAGAGTCTCTTGCAAGCCTGCATCTGGTTTCATCCGGACTTTGTGTACTTTCCCTTGCTGATTTTGTTGTGTATCCTTTCACTCTAATAAGTCATAACCATGAGGAAGACTGTATTCAGAGTCCCGTGAGTTATCCTAGCGAATCATTAAAACTGGGAATTGTTTTGGGGAACACTGATGCACACCCCACACATAAATGTATATATATACACACAGACACACACACAGACATATCTATCTATCTATCTATCTATCTATCTATCTATCTATCTATCTATCTATCCAATTGGCACATATATGTGGCATAAATTTGTCAGATAAAAATATAATTGATAATTGCCTTCTTGCCTTATTTCCATTATTTCTATGTTTTCTTTTTATTTTATCTTCTATTGCTTATATTGGAAAATTTCCTCAACTGGGCAGACATAGTTGATTATTAATTGATATTTAAAAGTAATGCCTCTAACATAGATTGGCAGTTTTGTTTGTATTGATGGGAGTCTTTGCTTAAGAGTGACCAGTAAGTAAGCCAACAATTATATTGGAGATTCCTGAATATAAAACTTCAGATATCTTTTTTTTTCCTGGAAATATTTAACATGAGAATATTTCTCATGTTTATTTCCCATAAGACAAAGTCTTCCTACTGCTTTCCTCCATGTTTGGAGTGGTAATAGTAGTCATGGTGTATACTACCTTACCGACATTTTTTAGCTCTATGCCTCAGTTCAGACCTTTACTTGCTCTAAGGCCCCAGTCTGCTGTGTTTTTGAGGGCACATTGGCTGCCTTACCATTGACATCCTGCTCTGTTGGCACACAAGGCCTAAGGATCTCTCAGCCCTGCTTCATCAATTATCACCTACCCCATCTGCTTTTAATTTTCAAAAATTATGTTGAAATCTCTTATCATTGTGGCTACTTTTCTGCTTCTTCTGTTTTCTTTAATACTGTGGATTTATTCATTTTTATTAGTTTTACTATTGTGTTAATAAGGTCTTGAAACAGACAGACGATGGAAACCTCTGTTAAAGCCCAATTATAAACATCTTATTAACTATTTTACAAAATGATCTGTAGACAAAATCCCTGAGCAGGATGTTAGGCTGTCTACATGGTATGATTTCAGCAGTCACAAGATGTCTCTTCCCCCACAATCTCTGGTTTACCTGCTTCTTCACACATGAAATCCTTGTTCCATTAAATAAACGCTTTAATTCCACCAGTAGAGACAACAGTGAACAGGTAAATGTCTATGAAATGTTGGCATAATTCAGACTCATATTTAAAACGTAGACTTTAGATTTTTTACTGAGAGCAAAGTTTGAAAAGGAAAAAGTAAACCATAGTGTTAAGACTCTATACCTAAAAGTAGGAATTTGAGCAGCAAAATAAACATTGAAGCAATGTACACAAGATGGGATACTCAGTTATTAAAACCAATTCACTTCTGATAAGGTTATATAAAACACAATGTGAGCTGGACTGGGAAACAGACTTATAAACATACCCTTAGCATCACCAAAGTGTTCAGTGGTTTTCTGCTATGCCTGAAAGGGATTACACTAGTGGTATTAATTCCTCTTCACCTCTGCAATCTTATAATGCTTTAAAAATGTTTGTCCTGCAACTACAATTATGTTTGCTGATTTAAATTTAGCATTATTATTGATCTTTAAATATTACTATTTTTAAAATATTTGAACATATATCATTTTCTTGGATTTCCTTTTGTTGTTCCACAGTTAATGTTTCTCAAGTTTAAAGAATTTGTTTAAGAAAATCTTTATTTTGTCTTCATTTTCAGTAATTTACTACCCCTCATTGATACAAAACCCCTTCAGCTTGCAGATTTTTCTGCTCCATATTGCTATGAACAGCACTGCCATTAGGCCTTGACAAGAAAAGACCTATCCCAGGATTCAAGTTTTAGGAGCCCATACATGGGGAATGCCTTCCTTAAATTTTTGAAGTCCCACTTTGATGGCCAGGAGTGGCCTGAGCTGACAGTGTTATAGGAACAGGGCCAGTAAGCCTAGATTCAGACTTTTTGAGATCTCATTCTTGGGTTCCACTAGATGTCCCTATCAGAAACTTATCCCTATCAGAAACTTATATCCATAGAGTCATCCCAGGACCTGTGGCCGGGTCTCAGTTCTAAGAGGAAAGTCTGGAACCTCCCAGATGGCCAGTGCAGTATTTTCTTTAAAAGATCATGTGATATCCATCCACCAAAATGGTGTAAAGAAGATGATTTTGTGTCACTCATATATGTTATGCAATAAAACCTCTCCATAATAAGAAAATTTCAAGGTTCTGAGCTATCGTGATCCACTCTTCATGTAGTATGGACCCATGTATCAGCTTTCATTAATCTGTGATAGCACATCTAGTCTACAGCCCTCGAAGGCAGCAATTTTTGTGGCAGATATTATTTACACTGTGTGTCCCCTACTTCTGACATATAGGTGATCATTCCACTCTTCTGCTAATGTCATGTTCTGGTTCAGGGAGTCCTCCAGGGATGGCCATACCTTTCTCTCCAAGAGCTTTGGCGAACTCTACTCCAATCTGAACAGGTATTTTGATTCTTGCACTTTGTTGTCCCTAATTGATGTACTAATGTACTCTCCCAGATGTTATAAATGGAATAGACATTACTTACACAAATGTAACTGCTTTCATTCTGACCATGGACTTCTCATCTTTCCTCCCTGCTAGAAGCAAGGTGTGGAAGACAGGGGTGCATCATTTATATTTTTCTGCATACCCTGGATAAAACTTGCATTTGAAGTCATTATCGACAAAGAACAGTCACAATATTTGAGACAGTCATTAGAAACCAGTGCTCATGGGTGGCTCAGTGGATGGTGCAGTATCATGAGCCATGAGGCAACCAGCATTAAATAAATGGTACCAGAGAAATGCAGAGGCAAAAACATCCAGAGTTATGGCATTGTGATTAATAACAGCATTGCTGCCCTGCCTCTTATTGCAGTGAGATATGAAATTAGCTAGGAACAGTGCATTTGACAATAAATTACAGATAGAGATGGTCCCTGGACACTGTGAAGAGTCGTTGTTTACTGGTCAATAATGAATAATGTCAGCTTTCTTTTTTATTATTATAAATAATAATCAATAAATCACTATACCTTACATGGGCCCATGAATTTTATAAGTCCCTTTTAAATCAAATTATGTATATACATAGGAATCCCATACACACACCAAAATATTTGCCCAGAGCCCCACATACCCTAGGAGTAGCTCAGGCTATGAAAGCTAGTTCATATATTTTATCAAATGGTTTGAATTGGAAGAATCTATTGAACAATGATATTAGGATTTCAGTTTTCACTATTATATTTGACATAGTATATTTATCAATTAATAATTAAAGAGATCAGTTAAAAGAAAGATTTTAAAAGACATTGATATATAATTATTATTTTTCTAATTTATATGACCTTAGAATTTATTTCACAATTATGTGTTAATATGAAGTTTAGATAATTTTTGAAATCTCTAAAATCCAGGTAAATAAAACTTGATTAGTGTCTTGTCTATAATATCATAGATTCAGTTTGAATACAGCTAGTTTAATTATTGCCTTTACAATTTAAAAGGCAAATTATATTTATTATAGAACCTAAAATATCAACATTTTATACATTGGTACTACGTAGTTTCCTGTAATATTTTCGGAGTACTACATGTGTTATCACAAAAGCCAAGTTCTGGGGACCTCCAATATTCAAATTGAGATGAATTTTGTAAAATAGAGTATTAGGCAATAAAATTTTAAAAAGTGTTTTCTATTTTTCTGTTGAATAGAAAAATCGAGTTGCAGAAACAAACTTGCAGTTTGAAACAACTTATACATAGTTTAAAATTATTTACAACAGTAGAATATATATATATGATGAATCAAAGAAAATTTGTAAAATAATAAATGCCACCTTAACAATGGAGGATGTGGTGGGAAAAAGAAAAATGAATGAGGTTGAGAATAACCCTTCAGAAGTCTTCAATCATATTTTACTTTTTTATTGACAAGTATACCAGTATTTCTTTAATTATTCATTAAATCTTTGTCTATTACTAAAAAACATTGTAATAAGTTTTTTAAAAAATCTAAATACCTACTCTCTTTCCAAAAATACAAAATATATGCATAATAACTATTATATATAATAGCTATTATATAAATATACATATAGTAAGTATTATATATAATAGTTACACATTTGTATAATAGTTCTGTATGTATAACTATTATATATAATAGTTATTAAACAGAAGTTATATATAAAGTTATTATATAGCTATATATGTTATGTAAGTTATATATGTATAACTATTATATATGATATATACATAAAACTTTATATAGATATATAATATATAGAGATATATAGAGATATAATACATAGAGATTTAATATAGAGAGATATAATAGATATATAATATATCTATATAAAGTTAGTTATTATATATCTATATTATATATCTATATAAAATCAGTTATTATAATAAATACTAATAACTATAGTTTGCCAGGCAACTATAGTTTGCAAGTCAACATGGCCTTAACTATTCTAATTTTACAGTTGTTCTTTACATAAACCACAGCATGTTGGTCAGTGTATTAGTCTGTTTTGCGTTACTATAAAGGAATACCTGAGACTCGGTAATTGATAAAGAAAAGAGGTTTAGTTGGCTCAGAGTTCTGCAGGCTGTAGAGAAAGCATGGCAGTGGCATTTGCTCAGCTTCTAACGATACCTCAGGGAGCTTTTATTCCTGGTGAAAGGCAAAGGGGGAGCAGGCATGTCACATGGAGAGAGAAGTAGCAAGAGCAGAGAGAGGTGCCTGCCACACGAAGTCAGGAGATCGAGACCATCCTGGCTAATACGGTGAAACCCCGTCTCTACTAAAAATACAAAAAATTAGCCAGGAATGGTGGCAGGCGCCTGTAATCCCAGCTACTCGGGAGGCTGAGGCAGTTTGCTCTTTTCACTAGGATAGGATGTATCTCTCATTTTACACACCAGAAAACAGAACAAGAGAATTTATCTCTTGCCTCATATTCAAGCACTATATCTACTTAAGTACTGGTTCCTCATTCCCACTTCATTCTAAGGTATAACTATAGGGAAGTATGTGACATATGCTTATGTGAGTTATCTTTTTTTCTCTCTCTCTCTGTTTCTTTCATACTGATACATGGAAAGACAAACATCTCAGTCTTAAAGCTTTTGACCTGAATGTGATTGAGTTGTCTTATGATAATGTGACTTTGGGTAGCATAGTGTTGAGGGAGAGGATGTCTTGAGGAACCAGACAGGAAAAGGCAGAGATGCAGAAATGATGACAAGGGAAATATTACTAACATTTACAACCCTTAGAGACTGCTTATTTAATATTTGGACTTTTCTCATTCATAACTTTTAATCTCATTTATTCAACCCACTATTTGACTTACTTCTCCACACTCTAACTAGAATGAAAACATAATGTTAAATATTTTCTAATAAACTGCTATTTTGGAAATAGTGGAATAAGAAAGTTCAACCAGTTGTTTTCATGATCTACAGGACAGAATTAAATCACTTGCTTTTACGTCAGTGTCTGTGTATTTGGGGGAAACATTTATAAAACATGAATAAATATTCACTTGAAATTCTATAATTATGACAAATCCATTCCATTCAGGCCTATCCAACTGAGCTTTGCTCATGGAGATATCGTTACTGTAACAATGTTCTCCTGAGTGAAACAAAAGGAATTTAGCAAAACCAATAAGCAATCATGTTTTTTTACTTAAAACGTCAGCATACAGGCTGGCACCTTGGCTCACTCCTATAATGCTAAAACTTTGGGAGGTTGAGGTGGGTAGATCACTTGAGCTCAGAAGTTCAAGACCAGTCTGGGCAATATGGCAAAACTCCTTCTTGACAAAAAGTACAAAAATCAGTCGGGTGTGGTGGCATGTGCCTGTAGTCCCAACTACTTGGGAGGCTGAAGTGAGAGGATTGCTTGAGCCCAGGAGGTGGAGGTTGCCGTGGACCATAATTGTGCCACAACACTTCAGCCTGGATGACAGAGTGAGACCCTGTAGTTAAGTGGAATTACAAAAATCACTAAATATAGAGATTCTTCCTCAAATAAACTTATTTTCTTCCCTTACCCTTATGCATATCCACTAGTGAACCTTAAAAATCATAAAAACATTATGTTCAAAATAGTTATTAATTATTCTATGCTGTAAAGCTAAAAATGGCATAGGATTCATGAGGATCAGAAGGATAAAAGTACTCCTAAAGTGAACATAAAACAGTGAAATGTTCTTTTCATTTAACTGAGAGAAATAAAGAAACAGAGCTAAAAGGGAAGAAATTAAGATGAGATTTGAAAATAATTTCCATATTTCTATTTTGTTTCTGATAGCTTTGTTGTAGTCATTCAGGCCAAGGATGTTGTTTATGCTTAAACATTTCTCTTGCCACACTGATTTTTTTCACGAATATCAGCAAAAATATGTCATTAGAAATACACACATATACATGCATATGTGTATTTCTATTAAACATCAGCTTTTTCAGATGCATTGCTCCTACTTAGCCGAATTTCCCACCATTTATTTGAGGCACAGGGGAGCTGAAGACAAGATGAATTTTAAGGTTATATATCTGGAGTAAAATAGTCTCTACCTATTTAATGGTATGAATTCAGAATTAACAGCAAAGGAACTCAAAGGAATATACCTAAAACTGGTCACGTTAAAGAGCCAGAATTCTCACATTGACTACATCAATAGGTCGTTAAGAATCTAAGACCTTATAGAATGTTGGCATAAGGTGAACAAATTAATCTGTGATTTCCCAGTATTGATTTAGCTTGAATTCATTTGTGAGATTGTTTTAACAGAAAACAAGCCTTGTGGTTCAGAGTCTAAGACACATCAGTTTGGGATGGGAAGAAGTCTAAATCAAGAGACAGCATGCATTCTGCCTTGAATGGTGAAAATAAAATTAGGCATTTAGCTAAGAATCAATTGTATTTATACAACAACATAAAATAAAAACCACTTACTTTAACTGACTTGTGCAGATAGCTTCAAAAGTCAGATGCGACTTCATAGAACATGTATCCAACACTTCAACCTTCCCTTCATGTAAGAATCTTTTCTATCTGACTGAAAATCATTTGGCCTCTCCTGAAACAATTTTAGTGATGGATGGATCATTACTTCAAAAAGAAGCTGCATACGTGGGGATGCCTGGCACTAGAAAGAGCTTCTCCTTGCCATTCTCAGTTCTAGCTTTGGGGTAGTCCAGAGTAAATTTAAGCCCATGTTTACCTGATAGCCCTAGACACATATGAGATGCTTTTCAAATTCTTCCCTAAGTTAATCAACTAGAATTTCCTCAATTATTCTATATAAATTAGAATTTGTAAGGCAGTTTTAGTGTTTGTTTTATTTTGATAAAATGAACAAAATGATAAAAGCTATCACAGCCTCAGCTCAAGACATGAGCAGGCTTCCATAACAATGTACATAATTGCCGCTTTGAAACCATTTCAGACAGAATGCAAACAAAAATCTAACCAGGTTTTGAAGAAGAGTTAACCACGTTGGAGACATAAGGTAGGAATCAGAAAATAGAATTACTATAGGCATGAATCTAGGAAGGCCTCTAAAAAAAACCTAATAATATTAAGATCCTGCATTGGTAGTCCTACTGGTTAAATGTCTATTTTTCTATCAGAATATTCAGGTGGTCTAATGACTAAAGCAAGATGGAAATTAACATTGCACAATAATGTACACTGTAACTGCTAAGACTTGTGTCTTTTATTTTTGTAGGCAGGATGAGGGCATCTCTGTCAGAGTTCCATTTTTTGTGTGTTTTTTTTTTTTTTTTTTTTTTGACGGAGTTTCGCTCTTGTCGCCCAGGCTGGAGTGCAGTGGTGTGATCTCGGCTCACTGCGACATCCGGCCTCCCAGTTCAAGTGACTCTCCTGCCTCAGCCTCCTGAGTAGCTGGGATTACAGGTACCCACCACCACACGTGGCTAATTTTTGTATTTTTAGTAGAGATGGGGTTTTGCCATGTTGGCAAGGCTGGTCTCGAACTCCTGACTTTAGGTGATATGCCCACCTTGGCCTCCCAAAGTGCTGGGATTGCAGGTGTGAGCCACTGCGCCTGGCCCAGAGTTCCATTTTGTTAAGTGGCAACCTGAAAGTATTTTTTGTATGGCAATTCAAATATATACAAAGAGTGTGAGTAAGCAAAGAGATGATTTGTGTGTGTCCATTTTTACATATTGTTTTTGGCAGCAAATCTAAACTTCTAATTCTCCTCTGTGATACTAAGGCTGAAACTGGGCAAATGACATCACCAAGATTCTTTGCTACCTGGATCTATGTTAAATACTGCCAAGGGGAGTAACTACAGTGAAATAAAAAGGCAGAAAACAGAAAAAAAGTCTTCTTGTTTATTTTAAATGAACTTATTAAGGTATAATTAACATACAACAAACTGCACATATTTAAAATATGCAATTGGCTAAGTTTGGCCTGTGTATACATCCAAGAAAATGTAACCATGATCAAGATACTGAATATATCTATCACCTCCAGAAGTTTCCTGCTTTTCCTTGTAATCCCTTTCTCTCACTCCTCCCACCCTGTCTCCAGACAACCACTAATGAGCATTCAGTCCCTGTAACTTAGTTTGCATTTTTGAGAATTTTATATAAATGTAATCATATAGTTTGGATTATTCTATGTTTGGTTTTTTTACTCATCCTGACTTTTTGTGAATCACTCATGTTGTTGCGGGTATCGGTAGTTCATTGCATTCTATTGCTCAGTAATATTCCATTGTACAGGCCTACCAAAATTTATCCGTTCACATATTAATAGAAATTTTTGCATTTTTTGGTTATTGCAAATAAGGCAACAATGAACATCCCTATGCAAGTTTTATTATGGACATATGCATTCTCTTCTCTTGGATAAATACCTAGGAGTTGGATGTCCAGTTAATATAGCAGTTGTATGTTTAAATTTATCAATCTTCTAAGGTGTTTTTTTCCGAAGTGGCTGTACAATTTCACATTCCTCCTATCCATGTAGGAGAATTCCAGTTTTTCCAAATTCTGTCAAAATTTGATATGGTCAGTCTTTTTAATTTTAGTAATTGTGATCAATGTGTAGTGGTATTTTATTGTGGATTTAACTATGTTTTCCTAATGACTAATGATGTTGAATATCTTTTTATATGCTTATTTGTCTCCCATATATTTTTGGTGAAGTGACTGTTCAACTAACCATTTTGTCCATTTTTTATTTGAATATTTGATTTTTTTTGAGACGGAGTTTCACCCTATCACCCAGGCTGGAGTGCAGTGGTGCAATCTTGGCTCACTGCAACCTCTCCCTCCTGGGTTCAAATTATTCTCCTGCCTCAGCCTCCTGAGTAGCTGGGATTACAGGCTCATGCCACCACACCTGGCTAACTTTTTGTATTTTGGTAGAGATGGGTTTCGCCACGTTGGCTAAGCTGGTCTCAAACTCCCGACCTCAAATGATCCGCCCGCCTAGGCCTCACAAATTGCTGGGATTACAGACATTAGCCACTACCCCTGGCCAGCCACGGCACCTGGCCTATTTTTGAGTTTTGAGAATTCTTTATATAATCTGAATGCAAACCCATTATCAAATCAATGTTTTGCAAGTTCTTTCTCCTAGTTTGCAGCTTACCTTTTAATGCTCTTAACACTGTCCTAACAGATTGTTTCTTAATTTTGATGAAGACTAATTTATCAATTTATTTCTTCTATGTATTCTGCTTTTAGTGTTGTATCTGAAAAGTCTTTGCTTATGCCAATACCATAGATTATCTCCTATGTTTTCTTCTAGAAATGTTGTAGTTTTAGATTTAAAATTTTCTTCTATGATACATCTTGAGTTAATTTATGTATATAGCATGAGGTATGGATCAAAATACACTCAAAAAATATTTTTGCTTTTGAATATTCATTTGGTATTATACCATTTGCTGGGAAGACTATCCTTTCTCCATTGAACTTGCCTTTGTCAAATATCTGCTGCCTATATATGCATGTGTCTATTTCTGGACTTTCTGATCTGTTCCATTGGCTTATTCTTCTGTCTTAATGTTTAGTATCATTTTATATTGATTATTGTTTCTTTATTATGGATCTTGAAATCTGGTAATATCCCTCCCTCACTTTGTTCTTCTTTAACTTTGTTTTGGCTATTCTTACTGCTTTGCATTTCTATATGAACTCCAGAATAAGTTTGTCAAATTCCACAAAATGTTAGCTGGAATTTTGAGGAATTGCATTGTTTCCTTATATCAACTTGTAAACAATTTGCTTCTTACAATATTGAAAATGTTTACCTGGTAAGAGGTATGTCTCTCCATTGAGTTGTGTTCATCTCAGTAATATTTTACAGCTTACAGTGTGCTGGTCTTGTACATTTCTGTCAGGTTAATGAATATAGTTCTTTTTTTATGGTACATATATTTTTCAAAATTTTAATTTGCAATTGTTTGTTGCTAATAAACAGGATTACAATTATTTTTATATTAATCTGTAATCCTACAGTCTTGCTAAAAACACTTAATACTTCTTGTAGCTTTGTATATAGGAAATCATGTCTGTATCAATAAAGACAGTTTCACTTCTTCCTTTACAATTAGGACAGCTTTAATTTCTTTGTTTTGCTTTATTGCTTAGCTAGAATGTCCAGTACATATTCCAGAACCTCTGATTCTAAGGGAAAGACATTTAGTTTTTAATTATTAAATATCACATTGAGTAAAAGTTTCTGTAATTGTTCATTTATCAGGTGAAGAAAGTTTCTTTTTTTTTCTTAGTTTGCTGAGAGTTTTTATAATAAAGACAATGCTTCCTGTTGGAGTATAGCACAGTCATACTTACCATCCATTTTAAAGAATTATGATTCTCTAAACTTAATAATCATTTTTGGTAATTTAACTCATTTTGTGTTCTGGTATCTTCTAGTCCTATTTGTGTCACGTGTGAAAATTAAATCTTTGTGAATTGGCTGAAAATTGCCGTTACTCTGTAATTAGTGCTATAAGTAATAAACTGTCTTTCATCTCTGACCTAGGAGTTTTGTGTCTTCTAAAAATATCCTTGAAAATATGGCAGACTCTTTCAAGCTAAGTAAAATATTGAAAGCTACAGAGCTCTTGAGAGTACTAAGTTCCGTTTTCTTTAGGTCTAAGAGTGAGATTTCAAAAAAAGAAACAGTTTTATAGTGAAGATGCCTAAAGGGAACACATAGTTCATCATGACTATGAAGCCCAAGAGCATGAAGTTAGAAGTTGTCTCTCAAGGGTTCTGGCTAAGCCCATAAGTCCAATACATAGAAAGCTCTGAGAGTCCTAATTTAAAAAGTAATTATCATGAAATACAGTAAACTGAATAATTTCATTTAGTTTATCAAACACCAGGTGCTAAATTCCTTGAAAGCATTAACTAATTTAATTATTATAATAACTCCATCCCTTTGTTATGTGTCAGCATTTTCACAGCATTTCACTCAAATCAGCTTACAATGTTTCACTGGAATTTTAAGGTCTGCTTGGTAGCAGTGCAATGAGAGGAAACAGATAATCTGTTTTTGCTTGCTTGTTTGCTTTTTTTGTTTTAAATCTGGCACTCTCAACTTCAACATGGCTTCCAGGAAATGATAATCATGTTTTATCAGTAATTAGTATTCTAAAGAAAGGTACTCACCCTCTTCTGTACACATTCCACATGCCAAGTGGTATGTTACTCAAACATCACAGCTGCACAAACATATGTGGGTTATGTACACAATGTATCACTCCCATGCCCACACACACATGCACACACTCTCTCTCTCACACACACACAGACACACACACATGCACCCAGATTTTTTGGCAGTTGCTTTTGTTGTATTTCTACATAACAGGCTTATGGCTTCCAAGAGTGATAAGATAAGAGAATTATGCTGAATAGGCACCATTTTCTACTCATTACAATACTAAGTTATAGGAATAAACTATTGAGACTACTGATTTGACAGAGTAATGTACTTGCTCAAATACAAATCAATGACAACACAGCTAAAAATGCTATTGTCTCACTAGAGTATCAATGGTAGAGCAAGCATGTATTCCAATGTTCTGAACTATTGAGATGCTTAAGATTATATGAACAGCTGAAACACATAAATTTCCGGAAGCTTGTTTCTAATCAGTACTTTAGCTAATTGTGCCTATCCTGACACTTCTCTTCTCCACCTTTTGTAAAATTGTCCACAATGAAGGTCTTAACATGCCGAAGAGTGACAAAATATCAATCATTATTCTTGGAAGTAAACACATCAGCACAAGTTTCCTCTCTACTTTTTTTTTTTTACTCAATAAGCACCATATTTGATATGGAAGGATCGTATAAGGATCCTAAGTCACAAAGTCAGATAGACTTTGAAAGGCAAATAATACCATCTTCTGAGTCTCATATTTTATTCTACTTTTTACTTTGTACATTTCTTGTAAAAACACAATACAACAAAATATATAAAATGCCCACAAAATTCCTGGAATTTGTCCGGGCACAGTGGCTCATGCCTGTAATCCCAGCACTTTGGGAGGCTGAGGTGGGCAGATCACCTGAGTTCAGGAGTTTGAGACCAGCCTGGCCAACATGGTGAAACCCCGTCTCTACTAAAAATACAAAAATTAGCCAAGCGTGATGGCAAGTACCTGTAATCCCAGCTACTCTGGAGGCTGAGGCAGGAGAATCACTTGAACCCAGGAGGCGGAGGTTGCAGTGAGCCGAGATCGAGTCATTGCACTCCAGCCTAGGCAACAAGAAAGACTTTGTCTCAAAAAGAAAAAAAAAATGCTGGAATTTAATGACTAGTAAGTCTTTTTTTTTTTTTTTTTTTTTTTTAAATTTTTTTTTTTATTATACTCTAAGTTTTAGGGTACATGTGCACATTGTGCAGGTTAGTTACATATGTATACATGTGCCATGCTGGTGCGCTGCACCCACTAACGTGTCATCTAGCATTAGGTATATCTCCCAATGCTATCCCTCCCCCCTCCCCCGACCCCACCACAGTCCCCAGAGTGTGATATTCCCCTTCCTGTGTCCATGTGATCTCATTGTTCAATTCCCACCTATGAGTGAGAATATGCGGTGTTTGGTTTTTTGTTCTTGCGATAGTTTACTGAGAATGATGGTTTCCAATTTCATCCATGTCCCTACAAAGGACATGAACTCATCATTTTTTATGGCTGCATAGTATTCCATGGTGTATATGTGCCACATTTTCTTAAAACCACTATGAGATATCATCTCACACCAGTTAGAATGGCAATCATTAAAAAGTCAGGAAACAACAGGTGCTGGAGAGGATGTGGAGAAATAGGAACACTTTTACACTGTTGGTGGGACTGTAAACTAGTTCAACCATTGTGGAAGTCAGTGTGGCGATTCCTCAGGGATCTAGAACTAGTAAGTCTTTCTTATACTCCCCCTTTTTCCAGTAGCTCCCATGGCTTACATATGGCAGCAACCATAAGAAATTTAAAAACAAAAACAAAAAAACCCTTAGTAATAAATTTTTAAAAAGACATTAACAACCTTCCAATTTGTTGATCAATGAATGATAGAATCTCCAAATATTACTGTGAAAAATATTTCTACTAAAGGAGATCAGGAAATGCCACCACAAAATATGCAGCTTGGGCATGCTGACTAATGGAAACTGAGGGCACTTGGGGAACAGCAAACGCAGGAAGGGACTTTCTCTGAACTTCCTTAATCTGCCTAAAGACAGATTGCCCAGAACGAGCACAATTGTCACGAAACCCCTCCGCAGGAACCTCATCAACTCAGATGGTTAGGAAAGGTTAACTCAAGAGGAGAAGAAACTGGAGGTGACGTCATGCCTAGACAGAATTTGTCACAGGCTGTCACCTCTTCTTTTGAGGGCTCATTCATCTTTCTCAAAAATCATTTATTCTCATCTAAATTGCCTACCTCTCCCTTCCACTCTCCCTAATGAAGAGGGCATGTAAGCTTCTAGATCTCATTGAGTTTCATATACTCACTTTTCTTTCATGTGAGGCTGCTGTGTATGTAATAAATGGGTATACCTTTTTTTCCTATTAATCTGTCTACTGTTAGTTTATTTCATAGACTCCATTATCAAACTCTCAGAGAGTAGAAAGATTTTCCCTCCCCTATAATCCTATGATCTTTCATATTTAAAGATTATGCTCTCTCATCTTAATTCTGGATTATGTGGCTGAAGGTATACATACTATAACCTTTTTCTGATTAACATAATCCCAGTTTTCTTAAAGAGGAAACAGATACCCGTAAGAAACAAGTTTCAGCCACCTTGCAGCAATGCGTGACTAAGTTATACAGTAATGATTAGCAAGATGAGACCAAAAGTGCAATGAGAACTTCTGGTTACTTTTTTTGTTTTCTTGATTCAGGCAACTTTTTTTCTCTCTTGTTCTTTCTCTTCCTGAGAATTCAAATATGACATCTTGTATACAATGTCAATCGTGGATAGTAATGATATTGTGATGTTAAGGGAAATGGTTACATTCCTGATATTATATTTTACATCTTCAGTTCTAAACTTCTATTATGTCATTTGCTTTATCTCATTCTTTTCAAAGATCATATAACATGTTTTAAGTTACAGGTTTTTGAAAGTTTAGTGATCATGAGTTCCAAGCTTGTCATTTTTTAGCTAGAAAGCGTAAAAATGTTGAAAAAATTGAATGTTGCCAACTCTGTAGGGGTAGAAGTTGTATAGACTATAATTGACAGGCAAATAATTCTTTTACTCAATAATGCATATTAATTTTGTCCAGTAAAGATGTAATTGATTTTCATCCTAAAGAAAAGATTATCTCAAATAACATATTTTATTTCCCCATAGGATGTTAATTAGTTTGTTTCTACTAGCAAATTTATTTTGGCATTACTGCTTATCTAGATATGTGTACAGTTTTCAAATTCACCTTTTACTGATTACCTTATTCAATTAATGAGTTAAATGAAATTGATATCTGATTATATATTTACATGAGTAATGTTTTTAACTTTTTGACAAGTTATACTTCAGTGTTGCCACTAATTCAATTTATAAGTGAAGCAAATACGATTCTGCATGGTAAAATAGTGGCTGAATTTGATTAGCTGACTACAAGCAAATCTCAGACCAGAGTCCAATTTTTCCTTTTTATTCTGCCTACTAATGCTTAATTCGTGATATAGCCTAAAACTTCAGCTTATATTTTTGACTTTTACTTCTCTACAATTCTGTTTTTACTTCTGATTACCTACTCCCATCAACATACACGTGCACTCACACAATCCAAATAAGAGAGACCTGAAAGTATTATGAAATCCAAGAAACATTGCCAAAACAGTCTATTTCATTGAATTTCTTCATTATTTTTATTTTCAACAGTCATAAGATGAGGAACTACAAGACAAACAGGGACAGCCACACGTTAGTGAATAGAAACATGCAAACAACATTTTAGTTTGTTTCTAGTCACTAAATTGCTACAGCCTTCAGTAAACAATGGTTATTTAAGTATGAAGGGATGTTAAGGGTTATTTATTTTTTAATTGTATTTAATTGTGTTGCTTGTGTGTACAGGATTACCATATTTGCAACCTTCCGGCCATTATTTTTTCTTTTTCTTTTCATTATGCCAGTTTAGGCATAATGTTTTCCTTCTGGACTGAAAGATGTTTCCACTTAAAACAATGGTGGACATGTCAAAGAACCACAGAATTTTTCTTTTTTTTTTTCAAAAAATAGCATGTTTGCTTTTTAAATAAAATTTAAGAGAGAAAAGGATATGTAGTTTAAGAACAGCACATGAATGAAAAGATGTGTCTAATTAGACTACTGTTTCTCTGTCAGAGACTGAGAGCTTTGCAGAAAAGTAAACAACGCTTTTTACTCCCTGGGTAGAAATATTCCATCAGGTTTATTTTCCTCTTTGAATAGCATAGAAAGGAGAGAAGAAGGAGAGAGAGAACTCTAGTTTTGGTAGGGATTTCAAAATGATTCTCTGCATAATATTTCTTTCTGAAAGAACAGCATATGCATAAAATAGCTCATTAGCTCTGCTCAACACTGACTCAAAGCTAGCTCTGATATCTCTTAGTGTTCTTTATGTCAACAACCCTTAGCTACTGAAGACCTTAGTTCAAACCAGTGTTTCCAAAACTGTGCTGTGGGAAAGCTTCACTGGGTGTTAGCAGTTACTGGGTGAGAAGGGGGAGGGGAGCAGGTGGGTAGTTTACAATTAAATATGCTTGTGAAACTCTAGGCTAATTGAAGTTAAATAGGTTTCTTTCTTAACAGGATGTTTAAGAGATTTTGTTATGCTAATTTAGCATTTTACAATTTATATTTATTATTTATTTTAAGTTAGCTTTTTGAGATTGTGTGATGGAAGACTGGTGGGCACCTCTTAGCATCTTGCTGTCTGGAAAGGGCAGCTCTAGAGAAAAGATAATCCTTAACACTAAACTGAAAGCTCTGTGATGAAAATACCATATCTCCCTTGTTCATCACCGCATTCCCTTTGGCAAGCACTGGACACATTCAATAGGTATTTTCTGACTACAATGCTATCTCTTTTTTAACCAACCATATTAACCATGTGTCTTCTACTTTAAACAGTCATTTAATCCACTCTTTGTCTATAAATGAAGTTTAGAGGATCAAAGTGAATCACAGAGATAAAGTATTTTTGATCACTGTAAACACTATTTACATATAGCATCACGGGATGCTGCAACTGGTAGTGTTCTTGAAGATTATATGGTTGAAATTATTTATGCAATAGTCAAAATTGAAGCTACTTGAACAAGGTCACACAGCCTATTATTGTTAAGCTACATACAATTAGAATCTAGGTCTCATAATTTCTAGCTCAATGCCCTTGATACTATGATTATTATTCCTATTTAATATGGGTTTTAGAATATTTATTAAGTAATAAATCTAGTGGTAGGGTTAAATCATATTTACTATTAGTATAGTCGAGGCTAAGTTGGAGAAAATAACTTAGTAATTGTCAGATACAATAGCGTGTCTATACTAAAACTGTACATGGTAATAAAAACTAACAGACAAATAAAAATATAAAAGAAAAACCCCTAAAAGACTGTCTGATCATGGATCATTTTATGGTTTCAGACTCACAGTTAGTCTCAAACATTTTTATGAAGAATTACGTAAAAGAGTAGATTAACTTAACTGCCAAAGAGATGAAGATTTGGACTGACAGTGTTTATGATGTCCGTAGCTTTCTCTCTCATTCTCTTTCCATTAACATAATTGGCTTTGACTGGGCAAATCATGTTGTTTTCATTGTAATGTCATTGGAATTTATGATTCCATAAGGCACATGAATAGATTTTTTATTTCATTTGCTTTGCATTTCATTTTAATGCTACCTAAGAAAATAACCTACACAACTATGCATGCTACCTTTTATTAACTTTACCATGTTTCCATTTTTATATTTTCAATCACTATCAAATTTTGTTTTAGCTGTATTATAAAATTAATTCTGCTTTCACAATTACATCATTTACCTTTAGACTCTTTTCTTGTGAATTCTCTATCTGTAACATTATGTTAAATGGAAGCATATACTCAGTAAAACAAAACTATAACAGTAATCTAATTATTATAATACAACATTTGTGATAGAATTTCATTTCCAAACAAGAATCTTGCTTTAGATTTTATCAGAGTTATTATTTTAATAATCTTTAAGAAGCAGGCAGAGATATAAAACCCTAATGTAAATATATTTTTGGGGGCTTAAGAAATTAGTTGTATCAGCCTTTTATTATATGTAAATGCACAGTTTCTATTCATAAGACTAAACACAAACACAATCAGGATAATGCTATTTTCATACACTTTATGGCAAATGAAGGCTCAGTGATGGGACTGGCAAGTATTGAGGAATTAATGTGACCCTGGGAATTTTATGTTTCACAAAGATAAACAATTTCCTTTTTGTATTTTTCTCTTAGATTTGGAAGTAAATTATTTTCTCTCTACATTCTGCTATCTATTCACAAGCTTACATTTGTCCGTTTGTATTTGGCACTAGCTTATATTTGAAACTGGGTTTTTTTTTTTAGTTTTAGTTATAAATTAATGTGTTTCACAAGATCCTTAGGGTTTCAATCTCTCTTTTACACACAGTGGAAGATCCAGGGAGCGTAGGAGAAACTATCAAAGATTATATGGTTGAAATTATTGAGTATAGTTTCAATTATTGAGTATAGTCTCAATTATTATTGAGAATTGAGTATAGTGAACATTGGACATTCTCTCTCAAATGCCACACTAGAAATTTCAGTCAAACCTAAATCTTAATGGAGTAGAGAGTTGGTTGTAAGCAGTGACGAAGAAAGATTTTGTATGTATTTCAAATTGTTATGCACCTGTCATTCTTTTAGCTATTAACATCCAATTTCCATCAGGTATGGGTCTCAAAGATTTCATAAATTAAACCTGTTGAGGCAGTTATATGATATGGCTTGTCAAGAATCAGGGGAAAATATTATACATTTTATATTAATCAAGTCATCTGTTACTCAGCACACATTCAATAAGAATCCACCATGGCTGCAGCAACTCTATTAGGCAAGAAAAACAGAGAAGAATCAAAGGGTAGAGTTCCTCCTCTTACAGACTAAGAAAATAAAGCTTAAAACAATCTTGTATAAAATAACTTAAAATGAACAATATCGTGTAGGATGTATTTCAGACTAAAGAGGTTCATTAGATAATGCACATCTCTGAGTTGTCTAGCCTGCTGTGTTTAAACATTATCAGCTCAACTAAAAAAATAAAGTCAACTTTCTTTTACTATATAACCATGATGAGTTTTTTTCCCTTTGGGGATCTTCTCTCCCCAAATAAAACAATAACATTTAAAAATAATATTTAAAATAATTTTTATTCAAAAAATGTTTACTGAGTGCTTACCAAATGTTTTGAACTCTGGAGGGCAATGATTACAGAAGAAACAAAACCATGAAACAACAACAACAAAATAAACCAACAGACAAAAATACCAGTTTTCACAGATCTTACACTCTAGTAGGAGACAAAAGAGGATAATGTTGGTTAAATATATACCATGTCAAATAGTGATGCTAATAATAAGAGGAGCAATTGAGAAAAATCAAGAAGTCCAGATGACAGGTTGGTCTATGGGTTTGCAATTTCAGATGGGGGTGATCTTGGAGCAAAGGGCTTGCGGAAGTGAGAGAGAGAGAGCCGGGAAGATATGACAGGGAAAAATAAGTACAAACACCCTGGTGGAGAAGTGCATCTGAAGTGTTTGAAGAACAGCTGAAAGAGTGTTATAAGGTTTGTTGAGCAAGATGGGAAGAAGCAGAAGAAGAAAGGAGCAGTAGGCAGAGTCACCTTGGATGCTGCAAGGACTGGTTTTTATTCTGCATGGGTTAGAGAGCCATATGGGTTTTCTTCAGAACAGGGACATGATTTGATTCGAGTTTCAAAGAATAATGTTTTCTACTCTGGTGATAATAGATAAGAAGGAAGTAGGAGATTTGGTAGCAGGCTATTCCAATAGTCCAGGTAAAATCTGATTTTTAACTTGACAGGAAATTTTAATAGGATAGCCGATTGTAGACTGATAGAAGTGGAATAAGGGATAAGTAGTAAAATTTTAAATATATCATTATGACAAAAATAACAATTTGCTGACAAATTAGATACAGGGTGGAAGCAAATTGGGAGTTTAGAGCAAATACTGGAGAAATAGCTGGATGAGCTTCCAGTGCAAAAGATCAGTTTTATTTTTTAAATAATGGAATAGATGCATTGCAGAGAAAATGATGATAGATAATGAAGAAAAAGGAGTAAACAATGGAAGCAATAAATTAGGAGAAAAGAGATGGGGTTTAGTGGATAAGTGAAGAGATTAGCCTTGGGAGCAAACGGGGGCTTATCCCTAGTAGCAGTTGGGAAGACAGAGTATCTGGGTGCAGGTGTGGAGAGAAAATAAGCCTCAGCATGTTAGCAAGTCCTACAAATTCATGCTAGTAGTCATATTCCTTTCTGCCATTGATCTATATTTGTACAATTTGTATTCCTGAACTCTACTCATGTGTCACATTCCTTTCTTTTGCTGCTTAATCTTAAACAATTTTTATTAGGTAAAGCAAGAGGAAAAAGTAGAGAGAACGAGGGAAAAGAGAATGAAGAGAGAGCAAAAAAAAGAGAGCAAGAAATGAAAAACGCACAAAAGAAGAAACCAGAGAGAGAAAGTAAAAAGAAAAAGTAAAGATTTAATAATCCAGTCTCTGCATTTTAGGATCCGAGATGAGAACAAACCAATATTTGATTAGAAATAATAAATTTATGAGGCCAGTATCATCCTGATACCAAAGCCTGGCCAGAGACACAACAAAAAAGAGAATTTTAGACCAATATCCCTGATGAACATTGATGCAAAAATCCTCAAAAAATACTGGCAAACCGAATCCAGCAGCACATCAAAAAGCTTATCCACCATGATCAAGTGGGCTTCATCCCTGGGATGCAAAGCTGGTTCAACAGACACAAATCAATAAACGTAATCCAGCATATAAACAGAACCAAAGACAAAAACCATATGATTATCTCAATAGATGCAGGAAGGGCCTTTGACAAAATTCAACAACGCTTCATGCTAAAAACTCTCAACAAATTAGGTATTGGTGGGACGTATTTCAAAATAATAAGAGCTATCTATGACAAACCCACAGCCAATATCATACTGAATGGGCAAAAACTGGAAGCATTCCCTTTGAAAACTGGCATAAGACAGGGATACCCTCCCTCACCACTCCTATTCAACATAGTGTTGGAAGTTCTGGCCAGGGCAATCAGGCAGGAGAAGGAAATAAAGGGTATTCAATTAGGAAAAGAGGAAGTCAAATTGTCCCTGTTTGCAGATGACATGATTGTATATCTAGAAAACCCCATCGTCTCAGCCCAAAATCTCCTCAAGCTGACAGGCAACTTCAGTAAAGTCTCAGGATACAAAATCAATGTGCAAAAATCACAAGCATTCTTAAACACCAATAATAGACAAACGGAGAGCCAAATCATGAGTGAACTTCCATTCACAATTGCTTCAAAGAGAATAAAATACCTAGGAATCCAACTTACAAGGGATGTGAAGGACCTCTTCAAGGAGAAATTCTAACCACTGCTCAATGAAATAAAAGAGGATACCTGAAGAACATTCCATGCTCATGGGTAGGAAGAATCAATATTGTGACAATGGCCATACTGCCCAAGGTAATTTATAGATTCAATGCCATCCCCATCAAGCTACCAATGACTTTCTTCACAGAATTGGAAAAAACTATTTTAAAGTTCATATGGAACCAAAAAAGAGCCCGCATTGCAAAGTCAGTCCTAAGCTGAAAGAACAAAGCTGGAGTCATCATGCTACCTGACTTCAAACTATACTACGAGGCTACAGTAACCAAAACAGCATGGTACTGGTACCAAAACAGAGATATAGACCAATGGAACAGAACAGAGCCCTCAGAAATAATGCTGCATATCTACAACTATCTGATCTTTGACAAACCTGACAAAAACAAGAAATGGGGAAACGATTCCCTATTTAATAAATGATGCTGGGAAAACTGGCTAGCCATATGTAGAAAGGTGAAACTGGATCCCTTCCTTACACCTTATACAAAAATTAATTCAGGATGGATTAAAGACTTAAATGTTAGACCTAAAACCATAAAAACCCTAGAAGAAAACCTAGGCAATACCATTCAGGACATAGGCATGGGCAAGGACTTCATGTCTAAAACACCAAAAGCAATGGCAACAAAAGCCAAAATTGACAAATGGGATCTAATTAAACTAAAGAGCTTCCGCACAGCAAAACAAACTACCATCAGAGTGAACAGGAAACCTACAGAATGGGAGAAAATTTTTGCAATCTACTCATCTGACAAAGGGCTGATATTCAGAATCCACAATGAACTCAAACAAATTTACAAGAAAAAAACAACCCCATCTAAAAGTGGGTGAAGGATACGAACAGACACTTCTCAAAAGACATTTATGTAGGCAAAAGACACATGAAAAAATGCTCATCATCACTGGCCATCAGAGAAATGCAAATCAAAACGACAATAAGGTATCATCTCACACCAGTTAGAATGGCAATCATTAAAAAGTTAGGAAACAACAGGTGCTGGAGAGGATGTGGAGAAATAGGAACACTTTCACACTGTTGGTGGGACTGTAAACTAGTTCAACCATTGTGGAAGTCAGTGTGGCGATTCCTCAGGGATCTAGAACTAGAAATACCATTTGACCCAGCCATCCCATTACTGGGTATACACCCAAAGGATTATAAATCATGCTGCTATAAAGACACATGCACACGTATGTTTATTGTGGCACTATTCACAATAGCAAAGACTTGGAACCAAGCCAAATGTCCAACAATGATAGACTGGATTAAGAAAATGTGGCACATATACACCATGGAATACTATGAAGCCATAAAAAAGGATGAGTTCATGTCCTTTGTAGGGACATGGATGAAGCTGGAAACCATCATTCTTAGCAAACTCTCACAAGGACAAAAAACCAAACACTGCATGTTCTCACTCATAGGTGGGAATTGAACAATGAGAACACATGGACACAGGAAGGGGAACATCACACACAAGGGCCTGTTGTGGGGTTGGGGTAGGGGGGAGGGATAGCATTAGGAGATATACCCCAATGTTAAATGACGAGATAATGGGTGCAGCAAACCAACATGGCACATGTATACATATGTAACTAACCTGCACATTGTGCACATGTACCCTAAAACTTAAAGTATATATATATATATATATAAAGAAATAATAAATTAAAAGCATGGTAGTGATAGAAATGATTACTTATTTATTTTTCTATCTAGCTAACAGTGAGTTTGCATAGCGGTCACTCAAAAATATTTGCATAACTAATTAAGTGCTCAAAGTGACAGAGAATTTTTAAGAGAGGAGGATTTAATTTATATTTATGTATTTAAAGTTTAACCTGGAAATGAAGGGACCTAGAGCTGTGTAAAAGGCCTAATTCCTAAAGAAGTCTGAATTACAGAGAGCATAAACTTTTGTTTTAAACAGAAGCTGAATTTATAACAAAGGAATTAATACTGCACTTTATATATTTTTTCCCGGATATCTAATTTTCTCTAAAGAATGTTACCATCTAAAATGCACATAATACATGGTTTTAAAATTTACATGTGGGGATATTGATTTACAAGACATGATATCTTTTATGTGTATACAACTCAATTGAGCAGTTTTAGTTGTATTAAAGGGAAATAATTGAGATAAGGAAAATGTTTCTCTCTTCAGTATTGAAGAGCATTTAAAATATGTTTGCTTTATGAAAGCTGAATTGATAATACTTATACACATTATATTTTATTATGTATACCTGAGTATAAATCAAGAAACTCTAAATATATGATTAGTTTGGATAGATGCATATCTCCATCCTATTTGTGTTGTTTGTTATCTTGAGAAAGTAAATTGTGATTTATTAGGTAGATACCTAATAATCTAATATATTGTACTCAGTGTAGAAGGAAACAGAGAATAGACAAGAGAATCCAAAAGAACACAAAGTGGTCAAAGACCATGTAAAGCACCGTCCAGAGAAAGGTGCCCTACATCCCAGACCCAGAGACTATTATCTCCGTGGCCAGAGAAGACTTGTCTTAGAATACTCAAAATGCTCTGATTCCATGTCCTCCAAAAAATCTTCCAATTAAAATTCAGCATATTGTGTTGCATACTTACATAGTGAGAAGAAAGTGATGCCCCATCTCAGCGTTCAGTTTACATCACAGATTTAGTCTCATAGAAATTGGAAATTTACTTCCTAATTTCTGTATCATCTTTGGTGAGCTTAGAAAATGATCATCCACCCTTGGGAGTGGGGTCTACTCTTGACGCATACACAAAATCAAATATCTGAGGATGAAATGTTCAACAAGTAGTTTGTACTATGGTCGTCTCCTCTTATTCACGGTTTTGCTTTCTGTGGTTTCAGTTGCATATAGTTAACCACAGTCAGAAAATATCCAATGGAAATTTTCAGAAATAAACAACTTATAAATTTTTGATTGCATGTTGTCTGAGTAGTGTGATAAAATCTCATGCTGTACACCTCCACCCCGAGCAAGACAAGGATCATCCCTTTGACCAGCACATCCATGCTGTATACACTACCACTCTTAGTTACTCAGTAGCCATCTCAGTTATCAGATCAACTGTCGCAATATCACAGTGCCTGCATTCAGGGTCAATAGGAACCTAATGTTACGTCACAATACCTAGTTCATTCACATCACTTCATCTCATTATGTAGGGATTTTATCATCCCACATCATCCCAAAGAGATGAGTGGGTACAGTACAATAATATATTTTGAGAGAGAGTAAGAGAGACCACATTTACAAAACTCCTATTATAGTATATTGTTATAATTGTTTTGTTTTATTATTTGTTTTTGTTGTTAATCTTACTGTATCTAATATATAAGTTAAACTTTATCATAGGTACGTATGTATAAAAGCAGACATTATGCGTATAGGGTTAACTACTATCCATGGTTTTGACATCCACCCAGGTCGTGAAACATATCCCCCAAACATAAGGGGATGCCTACTGTATTACAGTTTTGGTCATGGTTACTGTGAAAGACCAGAATGTCCTATTCCAAAATATGCTTCGTAAGCATAAGGATTATTTTGAGCTGATTGAGAAACACCAGCCACAGGAGAAGCTCTAAAAACAGAGTAGAATGTACCTTTTTTTATAAGGGAAATTTATGTTTATAAAGGAATAATCTCCATTTGTAAGGTTCTCTCTCTCTCTCTCTCTTTCTCTCTCTTTCAGGAAAATAAGGATATTCTAAATCACTACAAACTACTATGAATAGAGAAGGCATCAATTTAAATCTGTATAATAAATCTTATTCTTGTTTACTCCACTTTCTCTGGATATCTCTCTAGAACCAACCTGCCTAATCTATCTTTGTTTCACCAAATGATGACATTTAAGCTTATTCAAAGCCACCTTTTCTCATTTTTCTGTAGATATTCCCACGTATACATGAGGTATACATGTTATTAAATGTCTGTTTGTTTTTCTTTTGTTAATTTCTTTTGTTACAGGGGTCTGTCCCAACTAAGAACTATGAAGCTTAGAGAGAAAATTGTGTTTCCTTTTCCTTATGAAAATACGATAATTATATATATACTTTATGATGACAGAAAGCTAGCTTCACAAGAAAGTATAATACAATTTCAGAATGGTGTAAAATGAAACAATCTTCCCTACTTCTTAGTTCAGCAGGGTCTAGACAGCTAAAGAACTTCTTTATTCATCCTAAGGTACATGTCAATAAACTATGTAAGTTTAATTGCTGACCCTGGTTATGGGTATAAAATTAAATAATTCAGAATCAAAGCTATTGGAACTTTAAATTATTCTGAGCCTTAAGAGGAATGTGGCTATGCTGTCTGAGTTATGTTGCATGCAGATGCAACTTCTGTCATTTTTTTCTCCCTATAAATAATTAGGAAGACCAAATGGGGCCAGAGATAAGACCCTGTCAGACCACTTCTCCTCCTCACAGAGTAACAATATCTTCCTTGGAATGTAACATTCAGTAACCAATCAAATCATTATAACCTATACACTGGGCTCGTACAGAAAAATGTTGTAATCCTGCTACAATTTCTCTTTCTCTGCCTGTATAAAAGAAACCTTAACTTTCGAACACTGACCCCATACATTTGGAGTTGCTGTTTTCCAAGTGATCATCCTCAATCTTTGTGCGCAAATAAACTCCATACTTAATCATATTTTCTGAGTCTCATTATTTAAAATTGATGAGTCACTTGGCAAACTATCAAAAAAAAATTTAAATTACTCAATACTCACTTAATTTTAAAGTGAACGAGAGGAGATGAAGATCCACAACTACAATATGAGGAATTGTACAAGAGAAGTAAGTTTCCATGGGCAGAATTTTCTGTGAGCAGAATTTAGCACTCTTAAAATATTTTCCCATAGGATGTAAACATTTACATTTACATTTTTCCCTGGGCTTTAGTTTTTAATATTTTAAGAACAGGAGAATGAAGAGGAATTATTTGATATTCCCTCATCCCTACCCCAATGCAAGTGGTCAGAAAATAAAAGGCAAACAATATCTATTAAGGCTAATGTTACATTATATGGTGTGCTCGGTAATTTTGGCGATAGGATAACACTGTAGCCGCACAATGGCCCTGTGAATTACGTGTTCTTTCTCCCATTTGGTAGAAGATGCAATTGAGACACAGAAGGAGAAATGCTTTGTCAAGCAGCTTGTAAAATACAGGCCATAAGTTAGAACTCAGAATGAATAACTACCAAGTTGATTCTCTTCCACCCTCTTCTTTCAATAGATATAGTAAGAGTAGAACATTTCAAATGGGTAAGGGTGGGGAGATTTTCAAAATCTTCATTCTACTCAAAGATTTTTTTTCTTCATATACTCTCAGTATTTGTATTCTAGTTTATATCGTGAAATTTAAATTACACATGAATAGAGATGGAATATAGTAAAAACATTTCAGTTAGAAATGTATTTATTAAACACTTGCTACATGCAAATTATTTTCTTAAAGTTCCTCCTGGGACAACCAAAAAAGAAGAAATAAGGGAAAATATATTGACTCCCTCATCTCTACTTGACTACAGGGAGCTGTGTTTTTATAGTGCTTTCACAGTTTTATTAATCATAGTGTGCTTTTGATAGCTCTAATCTTGTGTCAACATGAGCCAGGGAGATTGAACAACTGTTACATTATTTATAATGGCTGATTACCAGACAGAGCCACTGAGGCCGGAAATCTTAACATTTTTTTTTTCCACTTGTTTAAATACCAATTTTGCTCTGTGTTTATTGATTGCCTTAATTCTTTACATAGTTGATGTAGTTGAAGCTGAAGGATGCACCACAATGTCAAAATTCATAGAGAATTATTGGTCCTTAGCACTGAAATTTTCATACAAGCCTATGTAGTCAGAGGGAATCCCAATAGAAGAAGGTAAAGGTGATGCTGTTCTCAACCAAATTAAAACTTCAATGCTTCTCTGAAGTAGGAAAAAGGCCTTCTAGAGTATGTAATCTTTTAAAACTTTTTGAACATCAAAGAGGTCTCAGAAAATGTCTTGATGGGTCAAGTAGACAAAAGTCAGAAAAAATATGCTCTATTTCCTTGACATATACTCTGTTTTCCATGGAAAAGAAAGGAGCACCGTCTTTAATTTGAACATTGTCTGTATCCTTCACCAGCAGACGATATTTCAAAAGTTCCAAACAAGCTTAACAAGCTTTAGAAAATTGACTAAAGGGAGAAAAGGATATATATTAAACATGAAAGAAAGGTCCCATGGTCAGAGTGTTTAAAGTATTCTATTTTTTCCATAGCAACCTAAGATTCATAAGTGCAAAATATTGTCTCTTTCTAAGATGAATTGTCTCTTTCTAAGAGAAGATGAATAGATTAATAGATGAATCTGAGCATTATATTTTACTTTCATGCTAAGAACAAAATTAATCATTCACATTAATGACAAATATGATAGTTCTCAAACATTTCAATCTGTGTCAAATTATAACGTAGACTTTCTTTTACAAAAAGAGTAAATCAAATATTTTCACATGAATGTTCATAGCAGAACTGATTAGAATATAACCAAAAAATTTGAAACAACCAAAATGTTCATAAATGGGTACATGAACAAACAATATGGGATATCCGTTGAGTATTCCTTATTCAAAATGCTTGGGAGAAGAAGTATTTTCAACTTCAGATTTTTTTTTTTGAAATTTGGAATATTTGCACGTACATAATGAGATATCTTGGGGATGAGACTCAAGTTTAAACATGAAATTTTTTTGTTTCCTATATGTCTTTTACACATACCCTGAAGAAAGTTTTGTACATTTTTGAGGTGGGAGGCAGGACTCAACTCCAGTGGAGATTTCAACTACAGACAAGATTAAAGACTAGTTAAAACAGGGTAGCTCCAAAGCACCTCTCCATAAGGCATGCCCACCAATGCCATGTGAGTTTACTATTGTCATGGCAACACCCAAATATTACCACCCCTTTCCAGGACAACGATGCAAAAATACCACCGCTTAAAAATAAAATTCTAAATAAACTGCCCCTTAGTTTGCATATAATTAAAATTAAATATAAAATATGACTACGAACTATCTCTAAGCTGCTACTGTGGACACACTGCCTATGGGTTAGCCCTGCTCTGCAAGGAACAGTATCTCTGCTGCTGCTATTCACTGTCATTTTAATAAAAATCACACCACCGGCTTTTCCATGAACTCTTTCCTGGGTGAAGTCAAAAACCCTCCTGGGCTAAGCCCAAATTTGGGGACTTGCCTGCCTTACATATTTTTTAATAATTCTTTGCATTGAAGAGAATTTGTGTGCATTGCACCATTAGAAAGCAGACCCCCATGAGGACAATCTGTAGTTGTTTGGCATCACTATCATTTCTGACTCATTTATTTGCTCCCAATAAGCAATGATTATCTTTTACTCATTCACCCATAAGTAGCTAATAGTAAAAAAAGGTCAAACCATTAATACTGTGAAAAATTAATGTGTTCAGGATAACCAAGCAGCAAAGTAGTACCAGTAGAACACCTGTATCAGCTATTAAACAATAGCAACAACCAACAAGGGCAGACTTTCAGTCTCCACCTATAATGCATTTTGATTAAACGTTTCCTCTATACTATATTTGATTTAGGTGAGAAGATATATCAGAAGAAGCTGGGGGCCCAGGAAGTGGGTCTTCTAGGGATACGGAGACATTCCGCTGGACGACATTTTAAAATGTTTCTTCCAGAGTCATCTGCCTTGTTAACAATCATTTTTGTCTTAGAAGCCTGTCTTTGATTTTATAAACTGACATAATTCCTTTTTCTGTTATGAATGCATGCTTATCTAGTCCTTCAATAAGCCTGTCACACATTTTCACCATGTCTTCTATAGGCACTTTGTCTGTAACGTTAACAATGTCATCTTCATTGTCCTGTCAGCACTCAAAGAGTTTCAGATTTTGGAGCATTTTGGATTTTGAATTTCTGGATAAGGAGTGTTCAGCCTGTATAGCCTTAAAATAGAATATTATTCATCAATGAAAAGGAAGGGAGTGCTGATATGTGCTACAATGTGGATGAGCCTCAGAAACATTATGCTAATTGAAAGAAGCCAGACACAAAAGACCATGTATTGTATAAGTTCATTTATATAATGTATCCAGAATAAGTAAATTCATAGAGACAGAAAGCAGATTAATGGTTGCCAGCAACTAAGGGGAGAGAAGAATGAGGACTAACTGATCAATGGGTAAGACATTTCCTTCAGGGAGATGAAAAGGTTTTGAAACCGGATAGTGGTGATGGTTGCACAATGTTGTGACTATCCTATACACCATTAAATTGTACATTTTGAAATGGTTAATTTTGTGTTATATAGATTTCAATTCAATTTTTTAAATGAATAATATATAACCTTTTAAAAGACATGTTCAGCCAGAGACATACACTCCTGTTGACTCATTTTATTATAATTTTACTTAATTAGCTACAAGCATAAAACTTTTTATGCATATAACTTCTATGCAACTATAAAACCAAAATAAATTTACAAATAAAGTACTAAGAAGCTCTAAAAAAACTAATAGAATACAAATTAGCCACATAATTTAATGTGACAGATAATCTTGTGCTGCAACTAGATTGTTTCTCCCAATGTGAACGGGGTATTTAATATGATGGCACAGGTTCTATTGTATGGAGCATTTTGCTACCACTGCACACACTGAGATGACTCAATGTTCCAACTCTTTGTTGTTTTCTTTTAAAGCATTGGGGAAGCTTCATTTGTAGAGTATAGCATACTATCAAATGGTCTATCATATAGGCATATTTGCAAAAACCAGAGACTTGGACACTGAAATCTTATGGCAACATTCAATTATGAATAAGGTGACCGTATACCTGATCTTCCAAATAGTGGAAATATGAAAATAAAAAAGAATGCTTCCAAAAATTACTCTGGAACAGCAAGTAAAAACCAGTACAGTTTATCTTTGAACAATATGGGGGTTAGGTGCACCAACCTCCATGCAGTGGAAATATCTGCATATAAATTTTAACTCTCTCAAAACTTAACTGCTAATATCCTACTGTTTAACAGAAGCCTTACCCATAACATAAACATTTAACATCTATTTCATGTTATATGTATTTATTGTATTCTTACAATAAATTAAGCTAAAAAAAGAAAATGTTATAAGAAAAGCTTAAGGAAGAGAAATATATTTACTATTTATTAAATGGAAGTGGATCATCATACAGGTCTTCATCCTTATTGTCTTCACATTGAGAAGGCTAAGGAAGAGGAGGAAGGGGAGGGGTTGCTTTGCTGTCTCTGGGTTGGCAAAGGCAAAATATCTGCATATAAGTGTACATGTAAGTGTACCTCTGAAGTTCAAACTATGCTGTTCAAAGGTCAAGTGTACTATTCCTGGCCACTCAGGATATACCATCTTCCCATTTGTAAAGCAGTTGTTCCAAACCCCGAAATTTGACTTTGCTTGCATGATATTTATTGTTAATAAAATTTCTTAAGTTTAATATTTTTAAAACTTAAATCTTATTTATTGCTTTCTGCTTCCTGGTTGAAGGAATTCATTTTCATTCACTATTAGCACTTTCTATACCTCCCTATTTCTAAATTGGGTAAGGGTTGAGGTCTTTTTAAAGCATAGAACTATTTGTATTTAAAGAGGGCCAACTCATCTTGATTTTATATAACTGCTATCACTCATAGTCAGTCTAGGTGAGCCTTTGAAGTCCTGTGTATCTGCTTCTTTTATGCCATTGCCATCCGTGCTGCACTTGGGCGCAGGAACACTCAGATGGAGTCCTGGCATCTTCAGGACTGCCTCCCTCATGCTCTATTCTGCCATTCCCCTTAGACATCTCCTACATTGAAGTGATACTGTTTCCACTAGTTACAGAACCACAAAGTCACATCCTATTTTGAATCTTGGAAAACTTTCCTCACTCATCCATAATCCCAAGACAAGGGGGAAGCCTCTGGAAAGAGAATTCAGAATGTATTCTTAACTTTTTTTTTTTTTTTTTACGATTTTTATCCTTGAAAAATGAGGAATAAGTATAAAGACATACACTACAATACCATAAAATGAGGTAATTCAATGCAATATTTTAGTAATTATAAAACATGGTGTATGTGCTACAAAGGTCTCTAAGGACTCTCTAGAGAAATGAATAACTAGAAGACTAGTGAAGAGCCAAACTTCAGATTACCTTAAAAAATAAAAACAAAACACTCATCAAATTCAGCAGGCTCTTGCTTGTGTTCCTGCCACAAGCCTTTGCAGAGTACAAACACAATCTGAGAAAGACTGCAGACAGGACAGAAGAGGAAAACTATTGGCAAGACTAAGTAAGAGTGGCCTGAAATCACAGCCAGAAACATGAAGTCCACCATCTATGTGAAATGTCACCACAATGTCCTGGTAGACCAGAGTATACTACCCGGGAGGGAGATAAACGTATTCAGGTGATCAGAGAATACCGTCTGGGAATGGCCACCCTTCAGCAGCAATTTCAAAAAACTTCAGGAAAACAAGTATCAGACCGTAACATTGTATCTAGCCAAACTGCATTTAACTCTCAAGACTATAGAAAAATAGCTTTCAAACATGCAAGAGCTCAGATGATTTTGTGTCCTTGGTTCATTCTCAAGCAACTACTAGAGCAACAGTTAGTAAACTATGTCGGTATGGTTTTGTAATCAAAGTTTTATTGAAACACACTTCTACTGAGTTTATGTATTGCCTATGGCTGCTTTTGCTTCACCATAGCTACAACATATGACTTGCAAAGCCTAGAATATTTACTATCTGTCTCTTTGTAGAAAAAAAAAAAAAAAAAACCTGCTTCTGGACTAGAGGAAGCACTTCATTCAACCAAAAGGTAGTCAGGGAAAATTTAGAAAAATGGTTAACAGTGAATATGCATAAAACTGTAGATGAAAGTCTAAAACAATAGTGGGAATAAGGGTGGAAAAATATGTTCTATATTATGTGTTATAGAAAAGGAAAGACAAAAGGTAGAAAAGAGAAAATAAGAATAAACTTACTGATTGGTGTAAAGTCCTTGGTAAAACTTAAAGACACCAAGAACAGCTGATACTGGACAATAAAAGCTTAAGTAAGGAAATAGTGGACTAAGGAAATTTAAAATAATAAAAATATAATTTAAATATAACAGAAAACGTGACTGCAAGAACAAAACTACAGACCTTCCAAAATATAAACACATTTTTTAAAAAGAGGAAAGAAGACACATGACATAAATAGAGCAAATTTCATATAATACAAATTGAAATTGCAACATAAAATATTATGTAGTTGAGACTAAACATATCAGTCATATTATAATCATAAATGGACTTTGCTTAACTATACACACATAATTATACAATATATACAAGGGGCACACCCAAACTAAATGATATAGAATGATTAAAACTAAAGGGAATAAGAAAGGTATAAGAAGATGGAAATAATAAGATATGAAGAGTGGGGATCCTCTTACATCATAAGAAAATTCTAACCAAAAAGCATTAAATATGACAAAGAAAGACTTAAGTCAAATTATGTTCTTTTGCACTTAACATAATAGTATAGCTAGAGTTCCTAATCAATAATAAAAATAGCTCAAATGATAAAATAATTCAGCAGATTAGTAGAACATAAAATTTAACATGCAGAAATTAACAGCTGTCATATAATCAAAAACCACTTAGGGGATATAATCATAGAGAAAACATCATTAAATGACAAAAACAGGATAAAATTCTTCCAAATAAACTTAAGAAAAAATGTACAACACATACGTAATACGAACCATAACACATTTTCGAAAGTATGCTTGAATTAATGGAAAGACAGCTCTTGCTCCTAAACAGAATAACGCAACATTATATATGTTCAGTTATCCCTGAAATAACTTACGAATGCAATGCAACTTTAATAAAAATACCAATAATCTTTCTTATGGAGTCATAGAATTTGGTACTCAAGTTTATATGGAAGCATACCAGAATATCCAGACAAATGACGGAAAAAAAATGCAATGGGTCATAGCCATTCCAGAAATTAAAACAGACTGTAAAGTTTCTATAACTAAAGCTGTGATACCAGGACTGACTGATAAACATACCAGTGAAATATAATAGAAATATAATGAGAACTTTATGATGAAGAGGGAATTTCAAATAACTGGAATAAAGAGAATTTTGTGTTCTTGTTTTTAAATAAATGGTGATAAAATAACTGCTTAAACATTTGAAAAAAAAGATAGAGTTAGGTCCCTGTTCTTCACACCAAACATAAGAATGGATTCCAATGGATCAGGGATGTAACTGTAAAGCATACATTTCAAACAATGGATTTCAGCATTGATATAATTGGAAAATAATGGAAATAGTCTAAATGCCAGGATAGAGATAAGTTGTTGAAAAACAGTGGAATGTCTGCCCAGTAAAGTACCATTGTGCAAAAACCAGAATGAAGACTATATCTGTGAACCATATCATGTGATTTCCAGGACACATGGTTAAATGGACAAAAAACAAAGTGCAAAAATATATCTATAAAATGTTACCTTTTGGAAAAGAAAAATGGGAAAATAAGAAAAAACACTTATGTTATCTCCCATCCTACAGGAAAAAAAGGAAAAGAAGAAGGAGAAATAAAAAAGAAATAAGATTGGATTGTTATGTGGGGGCAAAAAGTATGGGGTAACAAGGCTGGAGCAATGGGAACAAGGAGAAGGGGTGAGAAGAGGAGTGATATTTCTTTGAGTTTAATTTCAACTTTTAGAATGACATCATATTTCATATTCTCAATTAGAAAAAGAAATCAACAAGGATGGGGCAAAAGGGAATACAAACAAAATCAAATAAATTTAACCGTGCTGAGAAGGAAACAAAATAAAAACAAAAGAATCTAACTCAAAGAAGAGAAAAAAGCTTATTCAAAAAATTCTTGAATAAATTAGTTGGATTATAAACATAGTCCAAAGACAAAAACAAATAACAAATATTGAACTCTAGTTAGTAGTTTTGCTGTCATAGTGGTATCTGTTGGCAATGTTAAAACTGCTTAATCTGTATTCAATGATTGAGCAAATAAGTAAATTTACTGTGGATAACAGGCTCCAGTGGGAAAGTGAGTCCTCTTTGAGGTCATAAGTCTGGGTTCCTAATCCAATAAGAATGGTGGCCATAGAGGAAGAGAGAAAAATCTTTCTTTCTCTTTTCCTGCCATAGGCTGCCATTTCAAGCCAGGGAGAGAACACTCAGCAGAAACCAAAGTAGCCAGCACCTTGATCTTGGACTTCTCAGCCTCCAGAACTGTGAAAAGCAAATTTCAGTTGTTTAAGCCACCAGTCCATGGTATTTTGTTATGGCATCCCAAGCCAACTAATGTGGAAGTTAAAATACGGAAAGGGGAAGACTAGAATGAGCACTATGGTCCTGAGTTATAATTCAGATATTAGTATAAATTCATAGCTTTAATATATAAGTAGATAAGATTAGAAATAGATATGTATGTGTGTGGCTTGTGTATATGTAAACAATACATATGTTCTGTCAATACATACTAGCTCTGCCTGCTGAAACAGACAAGAAACAATGGGATACCAATAACATCTGATAGCCAGATCTTGATTTCTAAATACCATTATCCACTAAAAGGAGCCAGAACTCCTTTTAAAAATGGCTGATTTCAGAGCTGGAGTAGGAGAAATACTTAAAATATCTTGCAGTCTCAGGAAAAAAAGAAATACTAAAAGTAAACAAATATTTTTAAAAGATGGGGCATGTCAGAGGGACTCTGGAGCCCCCTTGGAGCTTGGTGGGACTTCCACTTGTGAAATATGAGGTAATGCAACCATCAAAATTAATAGTAATATTAAAATAAATATAACCCAAAGAATAAAATAAGAATTCATGAGCCTATGCTGATATAAATAAGTGAATAAAAAAATTAATGGGGAAAAAGGTAAAATTCTTTCCTACAACACAATAATCAAACAATTCATGTAAAAGAAATAATTGAGTTAGAACATTACCATTTGGCAGCCTCCACAGTAAGAAATCGTTTCTGGTAAGGGACTCCAAATTAACTGCTTGTCCAAAAAGAGAAAAATAGTTACTTTTCAGTAAAGAAACCAGGCAGACACCACCTTAACCGAGAAATCAAAATTAACATCACTAGTAATGAAGCAAATAGATTTCTTGTGTCTTTTTGATTTGATAAACTGAGAAGGGCATAACATTACTGCTATGAGATTCCTGCCAAATATTATAAGTTGAACTCATCATGAGAAAACATCGAACAAGCCCAAATTCAGGGAAACTCTGGAAGAAGAAATACAAAATCATACTCTTCAAAGATGCCAAGGTCAAGAAAGACAAAGGAAGTCTAAAGAGCTGCTCCAAATTAAAGGATATTTAGTCATGACAATTAAATGTAATATGTGTTTCTGGAATGGGTTCTGGACCAGAAATATTTTTATTAGTTTAGTTGCCATGTAAAAGACATTAATGGGACAATTGACAAAAACGTACATAAATTTTATAGATTAGGTCATACTTTATCAATGTTAATTTTTTGATTTTCATAATTTTGCCATGGTTAGCTATAGATTATAATTGCTTTTTGAAAATGTACACAGAATGGATTAGGGATAAAAAAATTATATACAATATCTTCTAAAATTATTTAGGAAAAAAACTAACATCTCTCTCTTTTCTCTCTCTTTCTCCTGCCTCTCAGCCTATTATCTATTTATGTGTATGTATAGAGAGAGAGAGAGAGAGAGAGAGAAAAGAAATAATAAAGCAAGAGAGGGCATGGAAAATTTTAACATTAAGAGAATCTGAGTAAATATTATGTGGGAAATCCTTATACTGTTTTTGTAACTTTTGTAAATTTGAACTTATTTCAAAATCTTTGAAACATTTATTTTATTTAAAATAAGGAAAAAAATGTTTCAATATAGTATTGGGCACCTAGAAATTCTGTATGCCATGCCTTTATGTATATGAACTGTAGGGAATTAAGAGACACAGTAGTTGTAATTGTCAATATCCAGTGAAATGTAAGTTAATTGAGATGGGCTTATTATACCCTATGTATCACAAATGACAGATATTATGAATTTATTAAATATGTGTATGCAGTATTTATTATTATCCTCCCACCCCTGACTACCAAAGCCTGACTACCTTTATGATTTTCTTATTTCAAGACTACTACAATCTATTTAAACTGCAAAAATAAGTAGAAATTATGTCAAAGTAGATGCTGCAGAATGGGTTCCCAAGACACAGATTCAGAGACATATTTGCACATATGGAGTTTATATTAGGGAGTGCCACCAAAATCAACACCTATGGGGAAAGAAGTAAGCTAGATTGGGCAGAGGAAACAGATGAATTGTAAGTCACAATAAAGGAGCAGTTGGGATAATGTTCTTAAGCTGAGGTAGCCACTCGGAGTTGTCATGAAGAGAGAAAAGGAGGCTAAATTTTATACCCATGTCAACTAGTCATTGGATGTAGGCTTCCCCCCATGACCTTGGATGAGCTTGTTCTCCTCAACCAGGGCTGTCCTGGAGAAAGACAAGGCCTTGAGAACTCTCAGCTGTCACTAATCCCAGCAGCTGGGGAAATGAGCCCTGAAGCCTTGTGGGTTGGGATTTGGGCTGTGTACATGCATTTATCACATCATTAGCGCTCAAAATATAACACCTGTGACCCTCCCACAACAAGGTGAGGGATAAATGATATATCTCACATGCCTAACATGGCCTGAAAGAGTCAATTAAATATGTGTCTTTTGAATTAATGTGGAAACAGGAATTTGAACTGCCGGTGGGAAGAGCATATTCAAATACTAATTGGCGAGGGGCTGGGAGAGGGGGGACACAGCTGATTGTAGGAAAAGGAAAATATTGAGGAATAGTTGGAGATAAGACATAGGAGAGTTGGTGCCACACTTCGTTTGCCCTTGGGAGCCAAATAACAATAATGCTATAAATGTTAGAAATACTGTCTTATTTCTCAAGTGAAAGTATGGTAGAAGGGCAAGGATATTTGAGGATATTTATTTATAAAAGGAAGCATATGTGGAATGATTGTGGCCTGAAGGACCAGTTAGCAAGGCTGTTAGAAGTAATCTTAACAAAAATTGAGTAAGTACTTGTGCTGGAGACACCAACAGGAGGGTGCAAAGAAAGCAGCGGTGTTGTGATTGGGTATGTGCTGACTACTGAATATCAAAGAGAAATGTACATCAGAGACCACCCAGCCTTCACAGTATGTAGCCTGGAGAATACTGTAGTTGATGGGAAGTAGAAGCAAGAAAATTTAGGTTTGAGGAAGTTCTTTTTTAGATATACTAAGACTGAGGTAAGACAGGATCCATTTGTTAGAACCTCAGGTATGTCAGCACTAAATGAGAAGCCCCAAAGGGGTCTCATCCTGGGATTTGTCACTTCCATCATCAACCTATATGTCCCCCTTCAAGGCTATTCCTACTTTAATTAGATCCCTGCATCTAAGGAAAAAGTGGTCTCTTTTTGCTTCTGTGCCAACATCTGTAGCTGCAACAAAGATCAATTACAATGCCCTTAACAGGACTTCAGTTCCAAGTTTTTACTGAGTCAGGCCGCATGCCTGGCTGATCAAACTGCAACCCTCACAGACTGGATGGCTGCACTTCACTGAAGGGCAAAGTGATTAATGGATGACCTTTACTTTGCCAAGCTTTGACGGACCAGACAAGAAAAAGAACCACTTATGTATTAAATAAATGATAAAGATATCATTTTTTTTCCAGGCATTAGATCCCTAAATAGAAATGCATTAAGCTTGACTGGGATTTCCAAATTATTCTCCTCAGGGGCTGGGAGATTCTAGGAAATAGATATCAGGGTGCCTGGAAAGAGACATTCCAGGGACACATCAGCTGAATGGGTTGAATTTCTGTTCTTAATCAGCATGATTAGTCAGCACACAAAGTTAATAAAGTCAAGGTCAGAGGTTGGATCTTTCTCTGGATCCGTTAATTATTCTCCTTCCCTGAAAGTGGACTCAGAAGCCAAATGACTCACACATTGGGGAGTCTTACAGTAAGAGAGTGTTTGGAGCTTCGGCAGAGCATATCTGTGTCACTATAAAAACAAGAAGATGACACATCTTGTTAATGTGGTCAGAAGTGCTACGATGGTGTATAAGTGTGTGTGATGTGTAAAACATATGGTTTCTAAAAGATTCTATGAATAACTCTATTTTGTCCTGTACATCTGGCAATTACTAAGCATCATCTGTGTACCTACAACATGCAAAGCTTTTTATATACATGCTCTGTGTTAGGTGAATGACCATTTATCTCTGTTACTGGGAATACAGCCTCACCTGCAGTATACACTCAATAGATATTTTCTGAATGTATAACACACAAATTTGGACCATTGCCACTATCTATGTTATAGGTGGGTCAACCAAGCCATGAAGACAATGTGTGTTTTGCCCAGTCACACAGCCGGAAAGCACCAGAACCAAGATTCAGCGAAGATTTTCTGAATCCAAAGTCAGCACATTGCCCAATTGTCTAGTGAAACCAAAATATAATGTAGGAAAAATAATATAATGTGAAAATTCATAATCAGTCCAAGAGGATTTTGAACTTGTAGAAAAGAGATGACAAGAAGTTTTACCTGATTCATAAATGGAAATGAGCTTGAGAAGGAAGAGACTCAGCTGAATACATGAGAGAGAATAATACAATTTCAGAGTTCATAAGAAAAAGAAAAAAGATAATTGCCAATAAAGAATAAAAATATGTAAATTTGCTGATAATAAAGTCATGCAAACTAAAGTAGTGATGAGATTGCTTGCTTCTTAAAATGATTTAACCAATATTCAAGAGAGCTTATTATGTGCCAGCTGTAGAAAAATAAGACATTTATAATTTTTAATTTGGGAGATTATATTGGTAATATTTTATCATTGGGGTGTAAAATGTCAATCACTGTCTAGCCTTGAACTTGTGGACTCAAGCAGTTCTCTCACCTAGGCCTCCCAAAATGTTGGGATTACAGGCGTGGGCCACCATGCTCATCCTTAACATTTTCTAGGAAACAATTTGGTGACATATTTCAGTAGCCATTTAAGTTGTTTATACTCTTATCAAGGAGTCATCCTTACCTTCTTCATAGGACGCTATTCCTAATAAAAAGATCAAAAACTAGAAAAATATTTATACACTAGGATGTTTGTAACAACGTTATTATGACAAAACATAAATATAACCTAGGGTATAGGACAGTTAATTAGCAAATCAAAATATAATTATGTTATTGAGTATAATAAAGCTATTAAAATGCTATTTTGATGCCCATATGTAACTACAAGACAGAATATGCTGATGATATAGTGATACAGAAAAAATCAGTATCCAATGTCTTTGATTTCATAAATTGCACAGTTACATAATTCTGCTATATGCATATATACATTTCATATGCATATAGCATAATTAATTTATTCACACTGCCATATGAAAACACAGGTGGTTTTTTTTCTATTACTTTTTTCTCTGAAAAAGATTTAATTAAAAATTTTAACTGACACATAAAAATTCTACATATTTATGGGTACAATGTGATGTTTCAATATATGCATGTAATGATCAAATCAGTATAATTAGCATATCCATCACCTCAACATTTACCTTTTTTTAGTGAAAACACTCAAAATCCTTTCTTCTAGCTGTTTTGAAACATTTAATACATTATTGTTAACTATAATCACCCTACTGTGCAATAAGGACATCAGCACCTATTCCTCCTAAATAATTATAACTTTGAACCCGTTAATCAGCCTCTTTCCATTCCCTCCTTACTTAATGTTTTTTTTTTTTATTATTATACTTTAAGTTCTAGGGTACATGTGCACAATGTGCAGGTTTGTAACATATGTATACATCTGCCATGTTGGTGTGCTGTACCCATTAACTCGTCATTTACATTAGGTATATCTCCTAATGCTATCCCTCCCCACTCCCCCCACCCCACGACAGGCCCTGGTGTGTGATGTTCCCCATCCTGTGTCCAAGTGTTCTCATTGTTTAATTCCCACCTATGAGTGAGAACACGTGGTGTTTGGTTTTCTGTCCTTGTGATAGTTTGCTCAGAATGACGGTTTCCAGCTTCATTCATGTCCCTACAAAAGACATGAACCCATCATTTTTGTGGCTGCATAGTATTCCATGGTGTATATGTGCCACGTTTTCTTAATCCAGTCTATCATTGATGGACATTTGGGTTGGTTCCAAGTCTTTGCTATTGTGAATAGTGCCACAATAAACATACGTGTGCATGTGTCTTTACAGCAGCATGATTTATAATCCTTTGGGTATATACCCAGTAATGGGATGGCTGGGTCAAATGGTATTTCTAGTTCTAGATCCTTGAGGAATTGCTGCACTGTCTTCCACAATGGTTGAACTAGTTTACAGTCCCACCAACAGTGTAAAAGTGTTCCTGCTTCTCCACATCCTGTCCAATACCTGTTGTTTCCTGACTTTTTAATGATCGCCATTCTAATTGGTGTGAGATGGTATCTCATTGTGGTTTTGATTTGCATTTCTCTGATGGCCAGTGATGATGGGCATTTGTTCATGTGTCTGTTGGCTGCATAAATGTCTTCTTTTGAGAAGTGTCTGTTCATATCCTTCGCCCACTTTTTGATGGGGTTGTTTGATTTTTTTTTCCTGTAAATTTGTTTAAGTTCTTTGTAGATTCTGCATATTAGCCCTGTATCTTACCTAAGGCCTATTACTGCACTGGAAATTAATAAAGATAAATTACTTCAAACTTGGAGGAAGTCAGTATCTCAGTTGTCTGTTGGACATGAAAGCTCTTTCACTCCCATATGTGCTCTTATCCAAGATAGTTCTGGGTAAATAAGGAGAAGTAGGAGGATGAGAGGTTTCATGTCTTTGTAGACATGACCTTCTGACCTTCACTGGTCCGTCCTGTGGAATAACTGGTCTCCTAGAAGGAACCCCATGAGGTCCAACTGCTGTTTTTTGCTTTTCAGGGGAACCTGCTGGTCATGTCATTAATGCCTGTGGTCCCAGCCATTGCTTCAGTTATAAGTTCACCAGCCATGGCAATCACCTTGTTCTTACTTTGGATGGATGCTCATCTATCCCCCTCTCTCTCCAGCTCCTCTATACCTTTTCAAAAGAACGGATCAAACTTCTCGATTCCATAAATATTGTATAAGGCAAAGTCAAAGATGATGGGATCTGATTCAGCTTCATTACCTAAATGCCCACTGCCACCACTTCATATTCCATGCTATGTTAGATGTGCTTTGAGACAAAAATCTTTGCTCTTGTTTAGCTTTCCCATGTAACTCATGATAAGTGTGCTACTTACGCTAATATTCTGTGGTTCCTTCATACCTCTTTAGATGTTTCAAATCCCTCTTTTCCCAATACCTTATTGTTGGCCCTGAGGCAGGGGTGGAGAATGACTAGAATGTTTGTTTTTGGCTTTCTAGTTCTATCTCCTTCTCCCTTCTTCTCATAGACAGTAGACCCAGAAGAGATGATCTGACCGTGACTCCAATTCATATCCTGAGTTCTCCTGGAATATATGGGAAGCATTTGATCTACTTTACCAGGACTAGATCACAAAAAATTAGTACCCAGAGAAATTTGAAAAATCTCTTTCTTTCCTATGAACTATACTTTCTAGAATCCATGGCAAGTCCAAACCAAATGTCAGGTTTTTAAGACAATTTGTTTATGAACCCCAGAAACCAGCATTGAAACTGCTAATTACTTTTTTCATAGCAGACTCAAACTTGTTTTTCCCTAGTACAGTAAAACTCATGGTTCAGCTTTGGAGGTGGATGGCTAAAAGGAAGCGTGAATTAAAGACAAAAATCCCATGATTTTAATACGTTAAAAAATTCAAAACTGTTTCATTATAAACATAGGCATACAAAATAACTAAAAGACATATAAAAATGTTAAGGATGGTTAATTTTGCCGATTAAGATAATAAGCAATTTTTATTTTCATCTTTACAGCTCTGAAGTTTTCAAATAATCTAAAACAAGTATGTGTAATTTTTATAATGATAAAAATAATGCTAAAAGAATCTTTATTGATGCAATCTCTTCTTTAAAATTCCCTTCTCCCTGGGGAAAAAAAGCAGAAAACAAAATCATATTTTACGACGTTTTGGCTACAATATCTAAACTTTTTAGAGCTCTGGGGAAAGAACCCACTGTTTTCCTGAAAAGCAGTCTTTGCATCTATATATTTTTTACTTTTTCATTTGATTGTCAAAGTAAACATTTTTCAAGTAGACACGTCTGACTCAGTGGAGTTCTTCATTACTTTATGTTGGGTCTTGCATTGCACAACATCTGGTTATGCTTTGTTTTGCCAGTAATATTTCATCCAAGACATTTTGTTCCCATTAATTATCATACATAAGAAGACATCTTTGTTTTATTTTTATGGTTCCAATTCTCACATAAGGCAGGCGATGGGGTTTTTGTGGGGTGGGAAATGGAGAGTGAAGAGAGACATATCCCAGTGCAATGGTATGTGAACAGCCACGAGGATGCTGCATCCCTGCAAGCAGATGTTGGGGATAAAACACAGGTCAAATTATGGAACCATTGTGTATGACCCAGTGTTGTTCTGTGCATATTTTATTGATGGGGGACTCTAGCAAGTGGAAGTTGAACTTCTGTGTTTGAAAAAATCATTCAATCTCTGCTTCATTTGATCATTCCATAATAATGTATGAAATATGCATAAGTCACATGCCAAGTGTGATGTAGAATATAGTGACAAAAAAAGACAAACGAAAGACACAGATAAGCAACAAAACAATGCCTGCTCTCAGAGATGTTACAATGAACTGAGAAAGACAAAAGTGTAAGCAACTAACTATACTAAAGAGTAGAAACAAAAAGAGCCCAAGCTTTAAATAATGTTTAATGAAATGATAAATTTTTCTGAGGAACTTGAAAGGCAGCTCAAAAGTGTGAATTGGAGCTTGTTCTTAAAGAATGAAAAGTAGAGAAGAAAGGGGGAAGAAACACAGAAAAAGAATAAGCAGAGAAATTGGGTAGGGTATTCAAAGCTGAACAACTAATGGTTCAAGGGTATCACTATCATTAACACATGCTTTAGTCACCAGGAACTGCTAATTTTACTTCTCAAATCTCTCAATTACATCTGCTTCTCCATTTTTATTTCCATTGCCATCATTGCTTGTCACTGAATTTATTGTAATAACTTCTTCATAAGAATTTATTGTTAGATGGATTTATTGTCTGTTGCTATATTTCAGGCACAGAATTAAGCACCTTTTGCACAGCCTCACTTAATTCTGAGGTATGGTGTATTCTATTATTAGCCCCATTTGATAGAAAAGGATTCTGAGGCTTGAAGACGTTGGTGGAAGAAACAGAACTTGCCTCCAACTAGCATGACTTCTAAGAATGTGTTGTCAAGGGCGTAAGTGACTCACTCACCTTGCTCTACAGCAGGGGGTCCCTTTGTTCCATCCCCAGGCCAAATCCTGCTGCTGCCTGTTATTGTAAATAAAATTTGTTTTAACACATTTACATCCTTATGTTGACATATTGTTTATGGGTGCTTTTGTGTTACAATGACAGAATTGGTGCAGAGTTGAGTGGTTGCAGCAGAAACCATCTGGCCCCCAAAGCTGAAAATTATTTACTATCTGGCCCTTGACAGAAAGAGTTTGTACCCCCGTGAAGCACCCTGATATTTTGTAGTTTTGAAATTATCTAGTATATCTTCTTGTTATTGCAAACAATTGTTCCATTTAAAAGAAAATACTGGTTAAATATTATTAGATGCCAGGTACTGTTCTAGGTGCTAGGACAAAAGCAGAACAAAACAGGTATAGCTGCTTCTTTGTGGAGCTCATATCTTAAAATGCTGAGGAGAAAGAGGAGAAAGAATGAGAAAGATAAGCAAACATGTAAATGCATAGGATACTATTAAATATTAGCAAAAATGCTGTGAAGGGAATGAGTTCAACTGATGGGATGGAATGAGGCTGGTGTGTGTGGGTGATACTTTTCACTTTTATGAATGGTTTGGCTAATCAGGTGTTTCATGAATGGGAACCTGAGACATATGAAGGATCAACTGTGTGTAGATTGAGATTAGAATGTTTCTTGTAGAACTGAAAGTGCAAAAGCTTTGTGTAGAAATAAGCTTGGAATGTTCAAGGAACTTGAAGAAAGCAAGTGAAGTTTACAAGGCAAGAATCGAAGTTAAAAAAAGGGGGCTGGAGACAGAGAAGACTGAACTTTGTTAACCGTCAAGTTGAGATAATATTAAATATTTTAGTGCATTTGGAAAATGTTTGAGAACATTAGTAGAGAAATGGTGTGGTCTGATTTACATATGAGGAGATATAATTATAAAGTAAAGCCAACGGATTTGTTGTTAGACAGTAGAAATATACACCCACACTGTGACCAGCATTGTGCTGTTTACCAATACATGATTCTCTGCTCCTTTTAGGCAAATGAGACATTGTATGTCCTCACCACCTTTCAATTAGACTCAGCCATTTGACTTGCTTTAGGTAAAAAATATAAGAGACTAAATCTGAGTCAAAGTAATTACTGGCACTTTTACAGAATTGCAGTTGAGCAACTCTCCAGCACACTTCTCCCTGCCACCAACAATGGAAGCACATGTCTGTAAGTGGGTGGCATGAGCTCTAACCAGACATTCAAACTGAGCCAACATGTATAGAACAGCTGCCCTGGAGAGTCAGCTAGACCTGCATCGAACTTTGTCAAAAGGGAGAAAAAGCTTTATTTTTATTTTTAATTGATGGTAAACAAACCAAAATATTGGGGTTTCTTGTTCCTGAAACATATATTAGCCTCTCCTGACTAATATGAATGCCTACTATCATTGGTTTTTCTCCACTTGAATTTCAATATCCAACTTAAATCCCACTTGTTATGGAACATCTTCAACAAGCATTTATTGAGTACCTAGCATGTGCCAAGTACTGCATCAGCTGTTATATGACTACAGGAATAAACACTTCATCTCCCCCGCAACCTGGCAGAAACTCAAAAACTAAAAAAGAAAAGCATGCATTATTAATCATAATATAATGTGGTAGGTGTTGTATAAGAAGGAAAAACAGGCCGAGCGTGGTGGCTCACACCTGTAATCCTAGCACTTCGGGAGGCCGAGGCAGGCGGATCACGAGGTCAGGAGTTTGAGACCAGCCTGGCTAACACGGAGAAAAAATAAAAATTAGCTGAGTGTGGTGGCACACGCCTGTAGTCCTAGGTTTTCAGGAAGCTGAGGCAGAAAAATCTCTTGAACCCGGGAGGCGAAGGTTGTGGTGAGCCGAGATAGCACCATTGCACTCCAGCCTGGGCGACAGAGAGTAGAGAGAATCCTTTAAAAAACAAACAAACAAACAAACAAACAAAAAAGGAAAAACAGCATATCATGGCCCATAGAAGAACAATCCAAAAAGAGCTGAGAGCGTGACATTTAAGCAGGACCTTCCTGTCCACACATAGCCCTATTTACATTGCTGCATTTCACATTCCCAATAATCCTGAAAGATACGTAAAGCAAGTATCATTACTCTCATTTTATAGATAAAAACAATGAAGCTTGAAGATTATAAAGAGCTTATCTGTGATGAACTAGTCATAGTTATAAAAAATCAAGCCTTGTCTTTGATTCAAAATTTAGTCTATATTTTGCTTAAAACAACAACAGAGAATAAAGTGACCCTAGATTCCCTAAGTTAACAATAAAAGGCAAGAAACTTTGAAAGCAGAATTCAGTTTTGCAAAACTTTCCATTTAGTAACCTCATTGATTTGGATTGAATCGCTTTGGAATCTCTGACATTTTAATAAAAAGTTTACTTTGGTTAAAATTGTTTTATTAAAAAATAAGACTAATTAGTTGGATAAAGAAGCTCACAGGGGGCATGTTTAAAATAATCATGAGCGCAATCTGTTTTCAAATACTACACAATAATTAGGAAAAATCTATTTACATATGAATGATCAATGATCTCACCATGACCATAGCAACTTAGAGATGAAACAGATTCTTAGATATTATTTAACTTAATTATCTTGCCTGAAAAATTGAGGCAACTGATACTGAAGTTAAAAAAGAAAATATATTAGACAATTCATTGTGAGCCTAGCTATAGCTTCTGTAGGAACAAAAGCAACATTCTTTGCAACCCAATCATAGTCAGTACTAGTGTCTACGTGGGTATTATTGGCTTGGCATCTTCAGACTGGAGATGACTTAGAAACCAGGTAGAGCCATAGGATCAAGACCAGGACATGCAGTTAGGAAAGATACAACCTAGGACACAGATGACTCTAGCCAGCTACATAGTCATCTTCAAGTGAATCCAAAAGAAGAAATTGGAGGCCACAGCAAGTAGTGAGGACACAGATGATAAGCTTGTACAGGTGATAAGAAATCAATAGGTCAATATTCAGATACCAGGCAGCATGAGCAGGAGAAACAAGACCTACATTTCTACTGGTGGTCAGAGTGAACCAGTTTGTGAGGCTTGTTTTGCTTGTCTCCATGAGGTCTTCTATTTACGTAACCTGTCAATGTTCTCCATTTTTGAGCCCTTATAGTATTATATACCTCTCATTAGCCATTTAACACATATACTTTTAAAAATTATTTTACTGAATGTTTTATGCATATATGAATTACTTACAAATTAATTGTTCATTATAGTGTCTTAGAAGAAAATATATTTCACTTAGCTTTTTGAGTAGTTTGTACTCATTGTTATTTGTTTATTGATTCCTTTATATTCAATTTCTTTATTGCTTCTTACCGTTCTCATAATGGATCAGGATGTCTCAGGTAATATTTTGCTGAAGCCACTTCATCACAGCACCTTCTGGATTGAAGCCCTAGTATCCAGGGGGAACAGGTGGGTAATCAGTGATCTTTTCTAGCCTAAGGCTCCAGCTCAAGAGGTTGCTGTTTTCCCCTTTCCCTGTGTGAGCTGTACTCATGTGTAACTTTTGACATCTGGAGGCAAAGACAGAATATTTTCTGGGAAAAAATTCAGACTTCATCAGATTCTATTTTTGTCCTCAGATCAGCAGCTTCTGTGTTTAATTAAGAAGAAAATAAGAGTCATTGCAAATATAAGACAGAGCTGACATATCCTGGTATTATATTAAGAAACATTCATGGAAACTTGCTCAAACATGACAAAACTGCTCCCAGAATGTGAAATAAAACAAGCTCATTCTTCATTTAGAGATATTAATTATTAATTGGTAATACATTAAAGACAAACACACTCCAGTGAAATCTCCGTATTCCAAAATTTTAAAATCAGAGTACAGATCACAAAGTCTTTCTCACATGCACTTCACATGCCTTCAATGCACGCTTATAATTATGCTTTGCACACCTTTTCATTAGAATACAGACATCTAAAAAATCTAGATAGAAGACGTAGATAGTAGTTTACATCACCCTACTTAACTAGGTGTGTGACTTCCGATGTGTTGCTTTACGTCTCTCAGCCTCAACATTTTATTCCAAGAAAAAAGATATTGGGCAAGATGAGCCCTAAAACTCTGCAAGCTGTAATGTTCCACAGTGTAGATGTCAGAGTAACACCTTGAAATAGGAATTTTCTCCCTTTTCCTCCATGAAATATATGATTATATACAACAAGCACCCTGTTCTGGTAGTCTTATTCCTCTCCTTCCCACCATCCAAGCTCAACCTCTTTCTGAAAAGTTACTGACTTGATACATGAAAGAAATAAGCAAAGCCATTTATCCTGAAAATATCCAGCTGGTGTGAGATTTTGGTCTACAGTACATACTAATTAAATAGAGAAGCATTTGAGATTTTATATAAAAAAAAACCTTAATTTACTAATTAAATGACAAGTACTCTTCTCAAATTGTCCCTTTGGCTTACTGTGCATTTCAAGAATTAATTAACAATGCAATCAGGCTACAGTTGTGAAATGCCAATATGGATGTGATTTGAACATGCAGCTTCTGTTTTCCATGCTGACTTCCTGTTGTTGTTGTTGTTGTGTTTCAATGCAAGCTGCACCCTAATGAAGACATTGGGTCTTTCAATTTGTCTGTGTAAAATTAAAATGAGTTTGTGGCATCTTGCAAGCTCTGCACACAACTCAATGACACATTTAACGGTGCATTGCCTAGCCCCTGACATAGGCATGTGTCTTGATTAGATTTCTCTAATCGTTTACTAGAAATGAGGAACATAAAGTCAGTTTGGGTTTGATGATGTCCATATGTTGAACACTTTTGAACTCGGTGATAATAATGCCTCTTGGGTGTGGAATCAGCGCAACCGATAGACTGAGTTCAAAGTAGGTTAATGCCCTGAGGTAATGAGGAAAGGAAAAACAGTAACGTGCTTTCTCTTTTTTTCTGCCTTGAAATTTGAGGTGGCCAAAAGAGCTGTGTTAAAAAGTAGAATATGAATGTTGTTATACTTGGATTTGGTAACTTGGTTTTTCTTCATTCTTCCACATGCTGTCCTGCTGTCACCTCACCACTCACCCTGCCTGAAAAAAACACATAACAGTTTGCACATACCACAGCCCTGGCCTCAGCTGTGACTGGAAGAGAGTGAAGTGCTGCCAGTGGGCCCCGCAGAGGACAGGGAGGTGGGAGGAGTTAGCAGTGAGAAGAGGAAGGCTGATGGCAAGGTGGTCCTATTGGGTATACTCTTGTCCTGCAAGGAAGTTCAAGTACCAAAAAGTGAATCTCTAAGTTCTGGAAGAGCCTTGGGCAAGAGTTAAGGTCTCTCTCTCTCTTTTATCAAAATTTGCTTTGAGAGTCATTTTGAAAGTAGCCATATTTTCCTCACTATAATTCTTAGCCTGTGAGTTACTTTTCCACATTTTTGTACTTTGAGCTGTCTATTTAATATATGGCACATGGCTTTTTCCCTCCTTAAAAAGGAATCTTAGACTTCAGGTCAGTTGGTCATGGTTACCCCTTCAGAGAAGGAGTAGAAAACATTCCTCCTGGAATCTCATCAATTATTTTCCATGGGGCCATTGGAGAAAGTTGAACACTGGGGTGATGTAGTACTTTCAACATAAGTGTTTTTTATTTCATTGCAAAAACCAGGCTTTAATCACACAGTGATATGCATCATTCCTTCCAGACATCAGGCATCTAGTTTCCGTGATAGCTCTAGACACCATTACCTTGACAGCAATACCTTGAATTTCTGGTCATTGAAAGAAATAGATAATCAGTGAACTAACTGTCTTTCCAAAAACAATAGTGATTAACCTTCCATAACTTCATGAACAGGAGTGAACTAAATAGTGAAGTCCACAGAATGTTAAATTTTACTATCTTATTTCTACTTTTCCTAGTGTTTTTCAAAATAACACCTTATTTATCTTGCTTGTTTTGGTGATTTTTCTGAATAATTTCATTTTATCTTGGTACTTGGAAAACAAATCTGTGAGGAAGGCATAGCATATATTTCGGTAACTGTCCCCCATTATCATGTCCTGTTTTGCATTTATTTATTCATCCATCTTTCAAAAACATTTATTATAAACAGGATAATAACAACCATAATAGGTACAATTTCTGAGTAGCTAAATTGTTGCACTGTATTTGAAATTAGAAACACAAAGATGAATGATTCACAGTTTCTGTCCTTAAGAAATTTGAAGTCTAATGGAAAAGACACCTGCATAAACAATAGTACTAAAATGTGTTTAATAAAAGAGAAATAACTGAGAAATATGGGAACACAGAGCAGAGGCATTTAACCCAGCCCCAGGATCTGGCAAGTTTTTCTGGAGTTTGGGGACTCCATTTAGTAACTTCCGCAGTGCCAAATTCAAGGTTTTAATATTTGAGATGACACAGTGATTAAAAGCTGACCTTGTTCTCATGGACCATGCAGATGATTTACAGAAATATACTAGTAATCAAGCAATTAAACCCCAGTTCTAAGGTGGCATACATGTAGCCCATTATAGAATACATCAAACCCAACTTTAAAGTGGAAGATCAAGGATGCCTACCAAAGAAGGCACCAAACTCAGGCCTGAAGAATCAGTAGGGCTCTAGGTTGAGTTGGAAGAGTGAACAGAATAACAGAAGGGAAGTTCATTGCAGTCTCAGTAAGCAAGTGCCATGAAAGAATATGGCATTTTCAGGGAACTGCAAAGTCCTATTAGAATTCTTCACAGCTGAAATCTGAAATGTAAGGCAATCCATAGGCTGAACTGGTAAACTGCTATAGCAGTTGGGCAGACTACAAAATAATTTGTACATTAGTTCAAGATGCTTAGACTGTATCCTGAGGATAAAGACAGCTATAGAAAGGTTTTTAAGAGACGTGTACCACAATCATTATGTTTTAGATTACTCTCACCTATTGTGGCAAAACTTGAGCTAGAATCTAGGCCCCAGGTTTTCCCCAAGATTATGCTTTGAACTCACTATCCCAACTTTCTTTGTCAGTGGTGCGCTCTTCGTGCCACCTTCACAGAAGGGCTTCTTTGGGGAAAATGTACGATTATGAAGGTTTTTCTCTCCAGCTTTGATTATTATTTTTCTTGTACATCTAAAACAGAATATCTCACTCCATTTTAGAACTTGTGTTCAGATAATTCCTCTGTGACAGTTATCAGATGTTTAGTGAGTAAATAACCTTTAAGAACATTATTAGAGAGTTGCAAAAACCCTCTGAAGATATGGGTTGGGGTGACATAATTTTCACATTCCCAAATAGCTGAACCAATTATATGCTGTGAGAGATTGCTCTAGAAAGAATAAAACAATGATGCCCTGTATTAACCATGTTTCTAGCTTCTGTAAACTTGGTGTTTCAGCATCTTCCCTGCCTGCATATGCCAGAAACACTTTGTTCTGGACAACCTGATAATCTGCCTGAGTCACCTCACCTTGGCCTTTGGCCTTCCTCATCATCCCCCCCTCTTCAGGTGGAGTCCGCCTTCTGAGACTGCACTTTTCAAACACAAACCAACCAGTTCCGAGTTACTCTTCCGACCAATCAGACTCTCACAAACCAGGCCACTATACATCTACCCTAGTCACCCTAGGTCTAGGTACAGGAAAACTAGGGATATTCCGTACACATCTGAGATGCTGACGTTACTCAAACCAGCTATTTCTAAAACAGCTTCCCCCATTACTTTCCATGGAAAACACAATAAAGGCTCTTGCCCACAACTCCCCACTCTCCCTCTGCCTCATGACTGCTCTTGCTCATTCCCTGGTCCCCCAAGGCATGATGTATATTCTCCCTCTCTTGAGATCTATAACTATAATAAACTATCTTTTCAGCAGCAGTCATCTCCTGATCTATTGGCCTAACCACACCTAAATAATAACGAAACTAATTAAAACATGCCCTCACCATGAAACTTAAATGTGTTCAGAGCTTAGTTTGTCAGAATGCTTTAACATATGGAATCTCCTTTGATCATGTTGCTAATCCTCTGAGTGAAGTGGTTCAGCTATGACACCTCCCTATTTGCAGAGGAAGAAAGGAACAAAACCATTAATTTGTCCAGAGTCATGTGGCTATTAGATGGTAGAGCCAGAAATGGAAAGCAGATGTCCTGATCTCATACAAGGCTCTGGGTATTGTGCCCCGCCTGACTGTCTCCTGAGGAGACACAGCAAACAGAGATTTTTGTACTATCGGCCCTTGAAAATGGGAGCAAATTGGAGTGTGGGGCCATCTGAAATAGTGGTATGTCTAATTAATCAAAATATGAACTAAATGTAATAAATCAAATTAATTGGATAACAAATGTTTCCAAGTAAATGTATTTTTCAGGAATTTATTAGTGAATAGAATGATTCATGGGTTATTAATATCATCGAGACATATAATTTCTTGACTTTAAAAATCCTTAAAAATGCTTGTTCTCTGAAATAAATTCTGTCAGTGTGATGCTATTAGTTTGATTTATTTTGTTAGTAAAACCTTTATTGTTATATAATACAAAGCTGTACAAATAGTAAAAGTGAATTCATCACACTGTAAATTAATGAGAAGAGTTGGATTGTATACTAGACATAATCAAATCCATTTTTTCTTATTTTTACATAAAAAGAGGGCCTTATTTTTCTGAAATTCTATTTGCCAATAAGTGATGGATTCAAAACAAGCTATGGCGGTTTGAATCATTGTTCATAAGCCATCATGCCCTCTCTGTGTTACAATTATACTTTTCTATTCTCTAGCATGAGACTCTCTGATAGCATCCACTGGAGTGGGCAAAGCATAGTATCCTGCTCCATTGATGTTGAGGTTGAATATATGACCTTCACTGACCAATGTAATGTGGGAAGAAGAGTCAGTCTGTTCATTCTGTACTGAAATCTCCATATGCATCATGTATTTCTGTGCACCCTCTTGTACTCCTGTTACTCAATAAGAAAATACACCAGGACTAGCAACTGGCTCGAGTAGGATGGTGAGAAGCCTGAGATGGTAATATGTGGCTGCAGCCTCAGCTACTTGAGGGGCTGAGGGGGAGGAGGTCACTTGAGCCCACAAGTTCAAGGCGGTAGTGAGCTATGATAGTGCCACTGTAGCTAGCTACAATCGTGCCACAGCACTTTAGCCTGGGTAAAAGAGCAAGATCCCATTACAAAAATAAACAAATAAATAAAAAGACAGATGAATGAATGAAAGAAAGAGAAAGAAAGAGAAAGACAGAAGGAAGGAAGGAAGGAAGGAAGGAATGAAGGAAGGAAGGAAGGAAGGAAGGAAGGAAGGAAAGAAAGAAAGAAAGAAAGAAAGAAAGAAAGAAAGAAAGAAAGAAAGAAAGAAAAGAGAAAGAAAAAGAGAAAGAAAAAGAGAGAAAGAAAGAAAAGAAAAGAACAGAAAAGAGAAGAGAAGAAAAGAAAAGAAAAGAAAAGAAAAGAAAAGAAAAGAAAAGAAAAGAAAAGAAAACCAGAAAAAGTCCTGTGGAAAAGATCTCAACCCAGCCTCCAGTCTGGAGTTAAGCCTAGTGGAGCTCCAGTCAAGCGCCAAATTGCCAACCTAAGAATTAGGCAACACAAACAAAAAACATGCTGAATTTTGGAGTACTTTCTTGCAAAGCATTATTGTAACAGTAGTTGACTGGTACACTAAGCCATCTATTTTCCGTCTTCCATTCCATGGATCTTATGATTGCAAATATGTTCATCTTTATGAATTTGGTTTAGCTCTGTGTAATGTTTTCTAAAAAGGCATGAAATCCCTCACAAAATGTAATCTCATTTACTTTATTTTAGGGATTTTGATATACTATCCAGGCAAATAAAACCTGCCAAGCACAAAGTGTACTGGGAATAACCAAGAATCCTATGTTGAACTAAAAATATTTTTCTTTCTGTATCTTTTTAGGCAAGCGCAGCCTGTGTATATGCTGAGTAGCTCACTTCTCTACTCTGAGTTACTTGAGAACTAAGCCAGGGACCACATCTCCTCCAAATTATTCTTAAAGTAGCTTATATGGTTTTAAAATCTTATTTCAGTAACCTAATTATAATCCCTACTTTTAGTACCCTTGAAGAGTCAGTCCCCTTAGAAAAAATATTGCTTCTTAAAACATCCCAGATAAACGTATGAAATGTTTGAATATGTACATATAGAAAGATTTGTAAAGCACCTCATGTACCTAATTAGCAAACAGATTTGTGCAATCTAAGAAGTGATTCCACATCGATGATCTCAGGTTAATTCATCAGGACAGATAGCATTGCACCATTTCAAGGGGAGAAAACTGAGGCCAGTAGAAATTGTTTAGGCCATACAGCTAGGAAATGGACTGCTCCAAATCTCACGCTGGAGCCACCTGCAAGAGGTGGGAGCTAGGAAGGAGGAATTGCCCTGACAGAACAAGGGCCAGAAAGGAGATACAGCAACTCTCTGACAGGCCACCAGCAACCAAAATGAGGGACAAAACACCTTTGCTTTTCCCCTCTTCCTGTTCTATAGTTTCCTAGCAGTGCTTCCCGGGGGCAAAGCTAAATAAGCGGCAAGAGAGTCTAAGAAACATAATTTTCAAGGGCCTGTGCTCTGCTACACAGAGCAAAGTAGAACAGAAAAAAGTCAGGAATCCAAGAGCTGAGATTGTGTAGGCAAACAGCCAACACAGACCCCTCCTAGACTGCAAACATTTCAGAGAAGCAAGTTTTGAAGGTATTTCTTAACTGAGAGCAATGCCTGGTTTTCATGGGAGTCAGGTTAGCCTGACACAGTGGAAGGAGTAACTGTTGGAGGTGGGGGCCGGGGTGAAGAAGATACTCTGAAAGATGATATCTAGCCTGTCTGAAAGCAAACTTTGCAACCATTGGTATTTGCTGTTGTTGCTGTCTAGCAAGCTCTGTATTTATGTTCTGTACGATTGATTCAAGTTTGTTTATCTTTTGACAATCCTAATAATCTCTCCCCACCCCGTACCCCCTTTCAGAAAGCATGTGAATAAATGTGTGTGTGTTTGTGTGTGTATGTATGTGTATACATACAAACGCATCAAAATCAGTATCTCACGCAGTCATGGCAGGGGGCTTGGCTCAAATTTCTTCCCCGCTGTATCTGATCAATGAAGGAGACACCAGGGCCAGGCGTTGGTCCTGCATGCCTGGCAGCTTCTCCAGAGTTGGAATCTGATGTACAAAGAACACACTAGCCAGGGGCATAGGAAGGGAATGGAAAAGTACTCCTGAAAATGTGTCTAATTTCTTTCAGATGTCTCCCATCAGCTGGTGGTTGGCATGCTTTCCTGTTTTCCATTTAGTACCTTTTACAGTCATATCTTCAAATATGAGATGAGTGAGAACAGAGTTTTTAAAATGAATGTCATACATCCATATTCATATCTACCCATAGAGAATACAAAAACTTATAAACACACTTATAAAGTGCAACCATATATAAAATATATACACATATATGCTTTAAAGAAAAAATTGATTGCTTTTTACTTAATTAACTTTGATTTTTCTGTCTCATCTATTGGTGCCTACAGAAGAAAACAATAATAAATCATTTATAAAAATGGCCCCATCCTTTCTACTGGGAAATACAGTCAGGCAGACTTTCTCATAAATTGTTTAGAATAATGCAAATCTCCAGTGATTTTTCTCTGATATGTACGTTTCAAAGGAGAATATATCAACCCCAAGCTTTGAAAGATGATTTACTGGGCGGTAGGGGATGAAATTTGCCAGGGGAGGAAGAAGACGTGTTGAGAAAATCTGTGCATTTTAACAAATAAGGATATAAATTACTTCCCCATCCCCATATCCTTGCTAAAGAACTCAGACTCTGTCCCTTTCGGGAAAACAAAACAAAGCACTCAACCAGTAGCTAGAAACCACAAACAAAAATTGTGATGCCTGTAACTAAGTAAATAGCTAGGTAAATAGATAAATGATTAAATAAAATAAGTCCTGTTCTTTCTCCCTGGGCTTTCCAGAAGTTTTTCTCTTGCAGGGGACTTAGGTTGTATTAACACTGGATCTCCCAAGCCAGGCATTGTGAAATACACCCTTGCTCATCAGCTGAAAAAGAAACAGCTTTTCAGCGTTGGATTTTGTGAAGTACCATCTCTTGGACAAGATTTACCCTGAACTCATTATTTAAACATGAGTTGTTTTTTGTTTTTTTTCCTACTAAGCAAATCAATTCTTCCAATTAAAAATTCAAGGGGAATGCTTAACTTACCTAAGAGAAATAACTATCCTGAAGGCCATAAAATATGCCTTTTAAAATAATACAAATGACATGTCAGTTCATTGCCATTTATTTAAATTCAGGGCCTAAATATCTCCTCTGTACCTTAATTTTACTATCACACCAGATAGTTTGCAAATCTTTTCATCATTACAGTAAAGTTGTTTCTTAGGCATTTCTGTTAGGAGTGAAGTTCTGTCCATTATATACTATCACTCACATTTTTTAAAATTTATGAAAACATTACATGCCATTAAATCTTCTACAAGCTCATGTTGAAAGCTAAATATTCTGTAACATTAATATATCTCATTTTATTTAGCCAATAACCTAAGGTTGAAAATTTAAATTATTTTCATTTTTGTCTTCATTACAAACACTGCTGTGATGATGTTAGCACCCTAGCAGGAAAATCTCAAAGTATTGTCATGATTCATTCCTTTAGAAACATTCATAAAAATACAATTACTGGGTCAAAGAGTATGCACATAAACCTCTCTATACACATTTCCTGCCAACACCTTGAAAAGTTCACCAGTATTTATACCCATTAATGGCAGAAAAGCGCTCACTTATTTACTGTGTATCTGCCAACTGTGAACATTGTTACTTATAATTTTAATCTTATTTTAACATGCATTTTGATTGCTAATGAAATGATTTTCATTTATTTAATCATCATCTCTATGTACTGATTTGAGAATTCTTATTCTTGTTCTTCAATAGTCATGACAAAATGTATTAATTTATATTTGCATCAGGTTCTATGCTGAGAATCTGGAATGTAGAGGTGAACAAAACAAACAAGAACCATGTCTACAAGAAGCTTACAATTTAGTGAGGACAGAAGATGTGAACATGTCATCTCATGGGTGTGAAAGGATTTGAAATGCTCTAATGCTTCAAGAGATTTATTCTGATCTAGAGAGACTGGAAAGGCCCCATTAATGAAGAGTGGTCAATTTCTTTTTTTGTCTCTTTGTTACTTTTGATTTTTAAATGTTGTTTATTTAAAAATCATTACTTCCCCACGGACTTATGTAGAAAATATTCCTAATTTGCTGTTATGTGTCTTTTAATTTTGTTATGAATTTTTCTCTTGTCAAATTTAGCAATTAACTATCATATAGTTCTTCTGTAGGTCATACTTAGAAATCTCTACCAAAATTTTCTCCAATCATGTTTGTGTTTTGTTATATTTTAGTTTTTACATCAAATGTATTTTATAATATGGATTGAGATAATATAATGTTTTCTAGGTTTTTTTGATTTGGCTTTAAAGATATTTTTTAACTTTAAATGATAACAATTGACCCAATATTTACCAATATTTATTTTTTAATGATCCATCTTTTTTTTTTTTTTTTGGAGTGCAGTGGCGTGATCTCGGCTCACTGCAAGCTCCGCCTCCCAGGTTCACACCATTCTCCTGCCTCAGCCTCCTGAGTAGCTGGGACTACAGGCACCCGCCACCACGCCCGGCTAATTTTTTGTATTTTTAGTAGAGATGGGGTTTCACCATGTTAGCCAGGATGGTCTCGATCTCCTGACCTCGTGATCCACCTGCCTCAGCCTCCCAAAGTGCTGGGATTACAGGCATGAGCTACTGTGCCCGGCCGATCCATCATTTTTTTTTTTTTTTTTTTTTTTTTTTTTTTTTTTTTTGAGGCGGAGTCTCGCTCTGTCGCCCAGGCTGGAGTGCAGTGGCGGGATCTCGGCTCACTGCAAGCTCCGCCTCCCGGGTTCACGCCATTCTCCTGCCTCAGCCTCCCAAGTAGCTGGGACTACAGGCGCCCGCCACTATGCCCGGCTAATTTTTTGTATTTTTAGTAGAGACGGGGTTTCACCGTTTTAGCCGGGATGGTCTCGATCTCCTGACCTCGTGATCCGCCCGCCTCGGCCTCCCAAAGTGCTGGGATTACAGGCGTGAGCCACCGCGCCCGGCCGATCCATCATTTTTTAATTTAATTAGCTAATGTAAGTTTATAATATACAAAATTATTACTATGCTTTCTAAACTAAAAATTTTTTTAATTTATATGTGCCAGACCAATTAGTTTTAGTAATTATAGTTTTATATATTCTTCTGATCTTTTATAAGACCGTCATCAATACAATTGTGTTTCAATAACCGCTTGCATATTATCAATGTAGGTATTCTTTTTTTTGTTTGTTTTTGTTTTTTTTTTATGCTAACTTTTCTTTTTTTGTTGTTTTTGTTTTTGCTTTTTTTAATGCTAACTTTTATTTTATTTTATTTTATTATTATTATACTTTAAGTTTTAGGGTACATGTGCATAATGTGCAGGTTAGTTACATATGTATACATGTGCCATGCTGGTGTGCTGCACCTATTAACTCGTCATTTAGCATTAGGTATATCTCCTAATGTTATCCCTCCCCCCTCCCCCCACCCCACAACAGTCCCCAGAGCGTGATGTTCCCCTTCCTGTGTCCATGTGTTCTCATTGTTCAATTCCCACCTATGAATGAGAATATGCGGTGTTTGGTTTTTTGTTCTTGCGATAGTTTACTGAGAATGATGATTTCCAATTTCATCCATGTTCCTACAAAGGACGAGAACTCATCATTTTTTATGGCTGCATAGTACACCATGGTGTATATGTGCCACATTTTCTTAATCCAGTCTATCATTGTTGGACATTTGGCTTGGTTCCAAGTCTTTGCTATTGTGAATAGTGCCGCAATAAACATACGTGTGCATGTGTCTTTATAGCAGCATGATTTATAGTCCTTTGGGTATATACCCAGTAATGGGATGGCTGGGTCAAATGGTATTTCTAGTTCTAGATCCCTAAGGAATCGCCACACTGACTTCCACAATGGTTGAACTAGTTTACAGTCCCACCAACAGTGTAAAAGTGTTCCTATTTCTCCACATCCTTTCCAGCACCTGTTGTTTCCTGACTTTTTAATGATTGCCATTCTAACTGGTGTGAGATGGTATCTCATTGTGGTTTTGATTTGCATTTCTCTGATGGCCAGTGATGGTGAGCACTTTTTCATGTGTCTTTTTCCTGCATAAATGTCTTCTTTTGAGAAGTGTCTGTTCATGTCCTTCACCTACTTTTTGATGGGGTTGTTTGTTTTTTTCTTGTAAATTTGTTTGAGTTCATTGTAGATTCTGGATATTAGCCCTTTGTCAGATGAGTAGGTTGCGAAAATTTTCTCCCATTTTGTAGGTTGCCTGTTCACTCTGATGGTAGTTTGTTTTGCTGTGCAGAAGCTCTTTAGTTTAATTAGATCCCATTTGTCAATTTTGGCTTTTGTTGCCATTGCTTTTGGTGTTTTAGACATGAAGTCCTTGCCCATGCCTATGTCCTGAATGGTAATGCCTAGGTTTTCTTCTAGGGTTTTTATGGTGTTAGGTCTAATGTTTAAGTCTTTAATCCATCTTGAATTAATTTTTGTATAAGGTGTAAGGAAGGGATCCAGTTTCAGCTTTCTACATATGGCTAGCCAGTTTTCCCAGCACCATTTATTAAATAGGGAATCGTTTCCCCATTGCTTGTTTTTCTCAGGTTTGTCAAAGATCAGATAGTTGTAGATATGCAGCGTTATTTCTGAGGGCTCTGTTCTGTTCCATTGATGTATGTGTCTGTTTTGGTACCAGTACCATGCTGTTTTGGTTACTGTAGCCTTGTAGTATAGTTTGAAGTCAGGTAGCGTGATGCCTCCAGCTTTGTTCTGTTGGCTTAGGATTGACTTGGCGGTGCGGGCCCTTTTTTGGTTCCATATGAACTTTAAAGTAGTTTTTTCCAATTCTGTGAAGAAAGTTATTGGTAGCTTGATGGGGATGGCATTGAATCTATAAATTACCTTGGGCAGTATGACCATTTTCATGATATTGATTCTTCCTACCCATGAGCATGCAATGTTCTTCCATTTCTTTGTATCCTCTTTTATTTCATTGAGCAGTGGTTTGTAGTTCTCCTTGAAGAGGTCCTTCACATCCCTTGTAAGTTGGATTCCTAGGTATTTTATTCTCTTTGAAGCAATTGTGAATGGGAGTTCATTCATGATTTGGCTCTCTGTTTCTCTGTTATTGGTGTATAAGAATGCTTGTGATTTTTGTACGTTGATTTTGTATCCTGAGACTTTGCTGAATTGCCTTGATATTCTATATCAATTGAGGGAGAACTGACATATTCCCAATATGTGTCACCACAGACTATATCTATTCTGATGGGCTACCTTTAGGCAGCTCAGGGTTAATTATTATAATTTTACCTCTTTTTCTTATCATACCATTTCCACTTCTTGTGTATATTATCTAGAATTGAAGAGCTAAAATAAAATTATTCAATTTTGACATAGTATGCATTGGATTTCTAGAATTAACTTTGGCATGTTTACTTTAAAGTACAATTCATTATCAACTCTGCATTTGATTTATAATAATTCTCCATTCATGAGTTCTCTATGTTTTCTCATTTCACAGGGTGCTAAAGTATGTCTTCCCATAATTATTTTCAGTAGAGTGCATGTATATTATATATTTGGTAATATTCAAGGCTTAAGAACATCTTGTTTCTTCTCAGATACGAACAATGTGACTGAGTATGGAATGTTTTGGATAGAATACTTTATCTTCAAAATCTGTGGACATATATTGCTTAATCTTTGGTATTTAGTGGTGCAAGAAAAAATCTGAAGTCAGCCTTCATTAACTGTTGTTGTTATTAGTATCATTTGCTTTAACTAGCTCATTTTTGGCTTCATATGATTTTATTTTCATTTTAAAATTAAATTAAGCTTGCCCCTTGATATTTCTCTCTTTTTAAAATATTTCTTGGTTTTGGAATACTACAAAAACAAACAAAAATTTTTAAAAAATATATTTCTTGGTGGATGGTAAAATTACCATACACAGGCTGGACACAAGGATGTCTTCTACCTAAACAAGCTCGCTTATGCAATTCTTTAAACACTATTTCAACTCTGTGTAATTCTTTAAACACTATTTCAACTCTGTGTAAGCATGTATCTCATTTCTTCTCCAATCATGTTCATGGTTATCATTTAACTGAACTATAAGTTCTTCATTATCTTTCTGTTCTTCATTACTTCTTAATTTTGCAGAAAAGATTTTATTTCCATGCAATTTTTTGTAATCTCAGATTTTTCCTTCTTTGTGATTGTTTTCTCTGCCTTCTTGAATCTTTATATAAACCATAGCCATTTTCTAAAATTTTTTCTGCTTCCTTTAGGAAATCAGAGTGACCATTTTTCCAAATCATTACAGGAGTACCTGTATGGATTGTACTACCTTTTTGTAGACGTTTTTATTTTTCTCTATTTTTTTGAGAGGTGTGATTACCTGTTCTAACACAGCCCTGCCACCATGCCAGCCAACTTTTTGGTGCACTCATATGTTCTGAGGGTTCATTCTACAGAAGTCACTCTATTCTTGCTGTAACCACAGGATCCAGACAGAAGCTGTCTGCTCAATGGATTGGATTCCTGAAAAATATGCATTCCAGCCCTAGCTTCTTAGCCAATGCAAACATCAGCTCTTGGCAGAAGAGGCCTTGCTTTGTTGAGTTGGTTTTCTCTCTGTCATCTGCATGATAGCTATTCCCTCTGGGAAAAGGTTCTGCCGCAAAGGTAGGACTTTAAAATGGTGCAAACAGATTGTTTCACTATCTGGTTTGCTGCCAGCTGACCAGAATAACCCTAGTATCTGCTTTCTACTTTTCAAATTAGGAGTGTCAGTGAAGTTTTGACATGGTTTCTCTAATTACTTCCTAAGTAAACAGCTCTTTAATAAGGAGAAATGTGAAGCCCTTTGGCAGTTTTTCAAGCAGAAATTCCTTAATAGTTTTTGTATATGAATGACATCACCTTCCAGGGCTGTTGCAGGTTTTCTCCTCATATTTCAGGTCCCCTCAATGGAAATTATAGGAATAATGACTTAGTTGCCTTTTTAAATGTTGCCAGAATAAACAGAAGTCTGCAATCTACTGAGAGTTAGAGAACTACATTTCTTAAGAGAAAACAAACATCAAACTTTTCAATAATTCCAACTGGATGTTGCTCTGAAATACTCTGAATTTATGAGGGTTGACAATAAGGCCTCATTATTCTTAGCAATGCCTGGACAGTAATCACTTCATAGATGAAATAATAATGTCCTCCATCAGCCCATATTTATTAAATAGCTACGATGTGCCTTACTCATGCCAAGCTGTGAGTGGAAACCAAATATGTATAATGCAAAGCTGTATTCCTTGCCTGCAATTCATTAATTATCTAGTTACAAGAATACAGTATGTTTAATGAACTAGCTGATAAATGAGAGTATATTAACAGATTGTTACAATTATTTAGTTCCATACAATGTCTAAGTTAGAGTGTGAATGAACATAGTGAATGGTAACATTGTCGGCAAAGGTGGGACTTAAGCTGTACCTTACAGGACTAATGATATATAGATAGGTTAGAATGAAAGGAAAATTCCACGTGGTGAAAAGTAAATTATAATAATAATTATTATAACAACAGTCACCAGAATCTACTACCTCTCACGCACTTTACTGGCATCTTCTCAACTGTCTTAGATGCTAACACAATAGCCCCAACTCATAGGGGAAAAAGCTGAGGCTTTAGTGAATGATACAGCCTGGATTTGAACACAGACTGGCTAGATTCCAAAGCCTATGAATTTAATTGCTAAATCTTACTCCACAGGACCAAAGAGTCATTGTTAAGAGAGAATATAGAATATGTGGGGATCAGCAATCCTTCAGGATGAAAATGATGAGTACTCATGGGAGGATCTGTCAGAATGCTGTTATATCAATAGCATTTGGACTTAAGAAGATCTGAATGTCATTCAGATCCACGGGATGCAGTCTGAGTGGGTAGTTTACCAAGTATTTCCTATTACTAATAGAACATTATGCTTTATATTCTACCTTTCAGAAGGTTTCCCCATTGCTTTTCTTATATGGGGCAAGCACAGGGAAGATCTAAAAAGCATAAAGAAGCTGACCTCGATGTTGTGTTCTTCTATAGTGTTATCATGGTGAAAAGGTGAATTGAGTGCCCCTGGGGGCACAACATGGCCTGGATTTGGGCAACTGGAAATATTGAGGAGCTGTGATTGAGAAAATTTTCCACACATTTAAGTTGAACTTTCTTGACATTTAGTGTCTTTACAAGCAGACCAAAGGGAATTAGGAAGGATTTATTTTTGTGGCTCTTACTCCCAGTGGTTTAGAATTAGCTTAACATTTTATAATGCTGCATGGAGGGACTGAGCCACGTTTTAAATTCCACCTATTCTACCTGAGTGAATAGAGTTTTTCATGCATCATTTCTGATTGCCTTGAGAAATAACACAAATCAACATTAGTTCATATGGATCTGATGACTCTTGCATAATTGTTCTGTACATTCCCTCTCCCATTCCTTGATTTAATCAGACTGGTTTAGTTTTTTTTCTACTGATTTATGCATTGTCTTATTTTTTTAGAGACAGGGTCTTGCTCTTTTGCCCAGGCTGGAGTGCAGTGGTGCAATCATGGCTTATTATTTCAGTCTCAGCCTCTTGGGCTCAAGCTACTCTCCTGCCTCAGTCTTCTGAGCAGCCAGGATTAAAGGCACATGCCACCACATCCAGCTATTTAAAAAAAAAAAATTGTAGAGATGAGGTCTCACTATGTTGCCCAGGCTGATATCAAACTCCTGGCCTCAAGCACTCAAGCAATCAAATCACTGAGATAACAGGCATCATCCACTGCATCTAGTCTCCCTGATTTATGTTTCTATGTGTTTACAACCCCCCAAACCATGACCACAATCTCACTGTGTCCACTCCTGTGCATATATTGTGGAAAGATAAACCTCCCTGATTTTGACATATTTTTGTCATACTGCTAAAATCATGTCTCATACATAAAGAAATAAAATCTAGTGGAAATTGCTAAAAATTTTTAGTAATTCATATTTACCAAAATATAACTAGTGTTATCTGTTTTCTCTAGTCCATTTCTTAGATATTCCCATGTTAAACATCCTAAGTTTAGTATTTATTCAACTTATCTGCATAGAATACTAGGTTAAGTTACCCAGATGGTAACCCAAGGCAACTTTTATTTGGCACCAACACTAAGACTGGTAAGATTCTTATTTCCTTCAAGTGTCTTCAAGACTTAGTCTGGTTTTTACATCTTAGTTCAATCCCTCTGTCTCTGAGTTTTTTACTACTTCTTTTTTATGGTCAGCAATATATTTGTCAGTCCTGCTCTGTTCCTTTAATTAATAAATGAAAAGGCCCATTTCTTCCTCCCCATTGGTTTCTTTCTATGCTGCACTGACCTGCAGTTACTCCTCCTGCTAAGGTCTCTCTGTCACTGACTCCTAAAAACTGTCTTCCCTGCTCTTATTTCCACATGGCTTGACTTTTATCTGCAGCATAGTCCAGCTATGAAGATTGACTGGTGAAAAGCTGGCTTCAAAAACCACTGCTTAGTCATGTTGAAGACCATGTAGCTTGGAGAGCAGGTGGCATCTTTCTGGCACCCTGCTCAAATTCTATTATTCCTTTCTGGTATGCAAGGTTAGGTGACCTCTTTCCATGTGAAAACTTAGTTCTTATTGAATCACTAAGACAATGTATATTTCCAGTCTCAGGTTGATCTTAACTTTCAGCTGTCATCAAAACAGAGGTTTCAGCCTTACTCTGGACCTAAGGCTGATCATTCTCCAGAAGATGCAGCATATTGCCTCATAAGAAGGCATTTCTTCTGGAGACTTATTTTGTGACCTGATTTTATTAAAAAAAAAAACACACAATGTTTTCAAATCCTAAGAGTACAGATGAAGAATAGAAAAATAGTGTAAATTTGAAATAACAAGTAACACTCTCAGCTGAGGGCAAGAACAAGAGGGTGGCTCTCCTCTTAAGCCTTCTTAAATTTGACCAATGTCACTTTTATCAAATAACCTTTCCTAATCCCCCTGTTGAATTACTTTCATTTTTTCCCCTAACTGTATAACACTTGCTTTTATCATTCTTATAGTATTTGTCATGTATTTTTTTAATATCGTCTTCACCGGTGTCCCAGTGTTTTCTCCTAGAGTAAAACCTTCTTGAGGGCATAGCTGCATCTTACAATCTTTCATTCTCTCAAGCTATCAGTGCCTCCTATCTCTAGGCTAAAACTTATGGCCAAATACTTTTAAAAACATTCTCAGAAAGGCCCTTAGTTTTTGTTTCATTTGGGTCAAGTCAGAGGATCTTCTAACATACCCAGAGGAAACCACTTACCCATTCTGAGAGACCACTTTTTAAAAATTAATTTGTTCCAGTATCATGTGGTCTTCCAGAAATGCTATACAAAATGTTGACTTATTCCTAACTCATAATTTTTCCTTTCCAAGCAGTTCCAGTTCTTTCTATTTTCTTTCAAATATCTCTATCAATAACCCTCTCAATTTTAGTCACTTAAGCTTCAATTTCTCAGGAAACAGGAGCTGTTAGGAGTATGGCTTTCACATCTCCTGCATTATCTCCAATCTATACTTCTATTCATTTTTTCCTATCTGAATCAAGGAAGTTTCTCTACCTTTGTAAAAAATTATCAGAGCATCTCTCTACCTGTGCCTTTGGTTCTATTTCTTTAAATCTTTTTGGGGCATTCTCTACAAAATACCTCATCTTTCATTAATTTCTCCTTCTCCATAGATGTTATTTATTTTGTCTGACAATGTGTTTAAGACATCAACAGTAATTAAACTACGCCTCCACTCTACTTCCCACTTAAGCTACAGTTTATTTCCTTTCAGTAACGAACAGTGTATCATAATTTTCACTCCATCCTCTTATACCTTCAAGTCTACATACATCAAATTTTTACCCCCATAGTCCAACTGAAACTACTATAACAAAAGGTCACCAAAGGCCTGCCACCAGTCAAATCTCACGATTTTATTTCTAGGCCCCATCTTTCTGGACCTGTGAGAATTTTGATTGAGAGTTCGACTCTTTTGTCCTTATACATTTTGTAACTTTTTTCCCATGAGGTTTTATGAAATAACTCACCCATTGGCTTTTTCTACCTCTAATTACTTTCTCTCTTTTACTCCTTTACTGGTTATTGCATTAGTGTTAGTGTTTTCTAGGGTCCTATCATAGCCATCTTCAATGACATTAATAGTAACTGAGATCTTTGAGTTCTTCTCTATGTCAGTGCCTGTTCTACGGTTTTTGAAAGAATTATATCACAGGAAGTCAGCACAGTAAACTAGTAGAAGTAAGTAGTTCTCTCGTGCTTGTTTATAAAAATAAAATCTAAAATTTAGGAAGGTAGGTAACTTGACCACAGAGCTAATAAGTAGCAGAGCTGGTGTTAGTGTCTAAGCATGCCAATTCTTCAGACTGGGCAAAAGCTTTTCGTGGAAAATTTTATCTACGTTAATGATGCTAAGTATTATCTTTATATTTCTGGTTCTAAGATCTGTATCTCCAAACTTGATTTTGCCTATACCCCCAGATCTGTGTTTCTACATGCCTTGTAGATCTTGAGTCCCATCAGAATTTCTGAACTCATCTTTGGCCATACAAAGGTCTGGTCAAATCGTGTTGGTAACGTGATGTTCATGACTCCCTACCTTGTTCCTGCTTTGCTATAGAATGCCCTAATCTGTATATGTGGTCCACAAGGTAAACTAAATGATTCTTCATTTTTAAAGGTCTGTCTAACTCAAATATGTTTTCTTGCTTCCCCTGAGTTTCACATGCAAAATTAATTTCTCTGACATCTGCATGGCATAACAAATTTAATGAATATAGCTCCATTATAATATTTAACACATACCATTGCAGTTGTTTTGCTTGCCACAAAAATATCTTTTTCAATAAATATATGGTAAAGCATATTACTTTGTGATTGCCTTTTTACACAGGGTAGAAATCAATATACTTTGCACATAGTTATGACCTCAGTAGTCACTTCTTGAGTGAGAAAAGTGAATGATTACCTCTCAAATTACATTTTAAAAATAACAATTCTAGAATTTCCATATGATCATTTTGTATCTCTGGCTGGTGTCAATAGCTAATCTAGGCCCCTAGGACATACTGCTATGATGTCTGAACTCTGCCCCACATTATTTCTGCCATGTCAGATGTTATCTGATGAAGGTAACAAACATTATCTAAATGATAATGTATACATTGAACAAGTGCATGATGTAAATAAATTATTGTCAATATTCTTTCTTAAAATGCTTCTCTTTCATTTCTGCGTATCCAATTTCTACCTAGCTTTCACAAACGTCAGTTCAAAGGTCATCTTTTCCAGTAATCTTACCAATAACATCCAGTTGAAAAAAATAATTATTGTAGCTCTGGGTTTATCTCTCTCATGATGTCTCCCTTTACTTTTTGCATCTATGATCTACTGGTCTGTAAGATGCTTGAGGATAAGTTTCTCTTTCTTACTCTTTGTTAATATGCTTGTGCCTTGCACAGTTTTTCTCACAGTAGGCACACAATAAAAATAATCCACATATGGGTGATCATAATTTTCTTTTTAAATAATCTCAGGAAAATAACTGACATCCTAAGGCTCATTAAGTCAATCCAAGAAACATTAATTAACTGTTAACACTATGTTCAAAGAGTAATGTAGAAGAAAAACACAGATTGTGCCTCTTGTAGCTTTTATAAAGTAGTTGGAGAGACAGAGTTTTATAAATGAAACTAGAGAGCCGTATATAATCAAATGAATGATTTTTTCCAATTACATCATCACCATTTATATGATGGAAGAAGATATTTTTCTCGAGTTCTTAATTGTGTCCAATGACTCTGAACTTTAACAGCTGGAAATGAACAGTTTGGTTGACAATAGTCAGTGGAAACTCTTGTCTGGGAATGAGTTCAAAGCACTGTGATTACCAAGAGTGGGATTGTGAAAATCAAGTACAGCCCATGGGGAAAAAGCTCTCATCATGAAGACTATCTAGACAGGGAATGGAGATGAATCAATGCAATTGGAGATTCAAGCTGTGAAACTGGAAGCTATTTGGGTGAGGTTTGATGCTGAGGTCACTATTGAATTTAATGGCTTTGTATTGCTAACAGCAACCACCAGGCAAGAGTTAGGAACAATTTGTCCCACTCTAGGAAGAGTGCCAATCTAAAGTGCGAATGTGTCCAGAATCCATCCCCTAACCTCCTCCCTGACTCCAATAATATTTAGCTCTTGACCCTGGCAGTTTTCTTAAGTGAGCTTTGTTTTAACCAAAAATTCAGAAAGTATTTTTTGACCTTTGAAATATTGGCTAGATAATTTACGTATTTATTTTGAAAACAAAATGTGTGAGTATGCAACTATTTGTTTAAAATGGCAACTGGCCACTGATGTAGCCTTATACAGTTTTATTTAAAATATCTGTGAAAATATAGAAAGGTTAGAAACTCATAAATGAGTAAAAGTATTCCCTAAAGACTGAAAATTTATTTCCAAAATCTGGAAAGTATTAACTTGTATGAGGAGCCTGATGGATGTGGATTATTGTAAACAAATAATGCTTCTCCTTGTGAGAAGAATGTAACCCCTTCCATGAGGGAGAAGGTTGCACTCTGGTTTATACCTGGCTCCTGGGCTATCCCCTGGCTTAGAGGCACAGTCTATGTAGAGGAGAAAACAGAATGAGTACCCTTTCCCCTGCTTCTATATAGCTGCTGCTTTTAAACGTTACCTAAAACTTCACTTGTACCAAATTAAAATATCTTTAGTGTTTAGTTATCTTAGTGCCTCAAGAGCCTAGGTGATTTAAGAAAATCTCTATGTATGTGTTACAAAAATGTGCTTCCTTTTCCAGACACTTTATTTTCATGTTTTGGAAACCTATTACAATAACATTATTAGGGCAGGGCATATTACTGTTATATACCAAAAAAAATCTTAATAATAAAAAATGCTATGATGTCTACATTGTAAGAATAGTCCCTAGATGTGTGCAAAACACACTCTGCCTAACTATTCTTGACAGCTATATCTGACATTTCCAACACAAACCTCTTAAGTAGTTGTAATTCATTAAAACACAAAAATAGCCAAGGATATCTTAATGTGTGAGTTGCTAGCAAGATTACTATGCTCTATCATTGAAGTCATTTGCGATTATCTTCCCCACTCCTTTTTCCTCTGATTTGAGTTGCTATGACATTACTAGTGACATCCTAGCATATTGCATTTTTTAAACACTATATTTATGGGTTAAAAACTTGAATATTAACAATTTCATGGTTTTTAATCTAATAAAATTGTAATGTGTTTTTAAGTAGATGGTTATTTAAAATATTTTTACATAAATTTTGTTTTATTTAAATTCTTTCAGATCATTGAATGGATGGTGCATTTAAAACTGTGTGTGGGTGAACAGAGAGCTTTCAGGGAAGATGGAGTGGATGTACTTTTCCCTATTTCTCACTAAGTACAACTAAATATCTTAGTTGCATTTGGACGTTATATATAAGAAGACTAAAAGGTAGAGAAGAAAAAAACACCAGCTAGGGACCTCAGGACCTAATGATCAATATGGTAGTGAATTCCTGCCGTTTATTTATTATTCTTTTTTGGCTTCATATATCTCAAAATAGGAGCTGAGCAAGGCAGCAGCTCAGAAACACCAAGAAATGTAGACCAAAACCAAACCAAAACAAAAAGCCTTGACAAGAGCCTGCACACTCAGCCCAAAGACCAGAAAAAGTGCAGACAAAATGTTATTACATCGATGCAGAAGTAATTCCGGTTTTTGCCAGTAAAAGTAATAGCAGAAACCTCAATAACTTTTGTACCAACCTCGTAGACAATAATCACTCTATTTGAGTCAAGTATCATAGAAAATTCTGGCCCCTGCTCATGTACTCCAACAAAAGCCTAGTAAGAAACCTAGAATTCCACGCTCTCCAGGCTGTAAGGAGGTAGGTTAACCTCCCACTGTACTGGAATAGTCTCAGAAAGGGCCAGTAGGGAAGCAGAGAGGCAGAATTTCCATCCCTATAAGGTGGTGATGCACCCCCACCCCGCCCCACCACTGTACCCATCTACTACCTGGAAATCACACAGAGAGAAAAAAAACAAGATACCACTGCTCCTCCAAGCCAGAGAGACATCAGTGGAGGCTGAGTTGGGACTCCTACCCATCAGCAACTAGGAGGTCCTGCCTCCTTACCTTCTCCTGGCAGTACTGACACAATATTTCCAGTCCTTTTGTCACACTTGAGACAAATAGTGAAAAGCAGAAAGTTTCACCAAAAAATAGAAGATATGAAGAAAAGCAAAATAGTAATTTTAGAACTTAAAAATATAATAACTAAAACAGAATACTTGATATGTAAACTCCATAGTAGAATAGCTATGACAGAGAAAAGAATCAATGAGTTTGAAGACAAAGCAATAGAAAATACTCAATCTGAACAAGAGAGAGTAAATAGACTCAGAAAAAAATAAAAGGAACAGAAATTTGCTTATATGACTCAAAATATCAACCACTCATGTTATCAGAGTCTCAGGAGAGAGGAAAAAGAGCAGGACTACAGAAACTACTTAAGGAAATAACAATAGAAAGGTTGTTAAATTTGGCAAAATATTCAAGATTCAAGAGGCTGAGTGACTTCAAACAAGATAAACTCAAAGAAACCCATGACAAGACACATCATAGACAAACTTTAAACTAAAGTCAAAGGAAAATCTGGAAAGCAGATAGAGAAAAATGACACCTTACTTATAGGAGAAAAACAATTTAAATGATAGTAGATTTTTCATCAGAAGCTACAGAGCCTGGGAAGAAGTGGCACAACATTTTTCAATGCTAAAATGAAAAAAAAATGCAAATGCTGAACTCCAAATCCAGTGAAAGTATTCTTTTTGAATAAAGCAGAAATCAGGACATTTTTAGTGAAAGAAAAGATAATTTGTCATCAGCCAACCTATCATAAAATAAATGGCTTGAGAAATACCTCTAAATAAAAAGGAAATGATAAAAGAAGGAATCTTGAATCATCAGGAGGAAAGAAAGAAGAATAACAGAATTAGTAAAAAAATATGGGTAAATATTTAATACAATACATGATCCTTATCATCTCAGCTCCTATTATTGCTACAGGTAGACAGGACCACCTGGCAGTGCTCTGTTTGTGGACCAGTGTCTTAGAAGGCTTGAGGCTTTGATGTTGACACTACTGTGGCAAGATGAGACCAAATGAGGGTGTTCTATGAAATGGGAGCAGGGAAGGCCAGGAACTCTGTTGCTGCCATTGCTATCAGTGCTATGACTGTCAGTAGAACAAACCACCCACCAGGCTGGGGGTGGAGCAGGGGCCAATATAGCTGGGGCCCTGCTGTTGTCAATGGATCAAAATGCCCCAGGGCCATCAGAAAACTCTCCATTAGTTTTCTCCACATAATTGTATTTAATAATAGTAATAAATTATTAATATTGCCTACAATGAATAGTAATGATATCATAATTTATTTTATACTTTAAATGAATACAATATCCTGTCATTATAATGGAGCATTATCGTCTCTGCAGCAATATTACTTCACCATAGACTTCATTACTGATCATGATAATAATGATTCTTTGTCACCAGCTATTTGTCACATTACATGTAGAATAAAGCCTGAGGATTATTTTATCCTCCATCAAAAAAAAAAGTGACAACAGGGGCATATAGAAACAACTTTTAAAAAGTTGATCAATATGTATCATTTTATACATCATATGACATTATACTACAATGACTTTGCTCATGAATGACAATAAGATTTATCATATATCCTTTATAGCTATGTTCTCTGCCCAATGTCATTTCGTACTTTATTCAGTCATGGTATATTATTAATCACTAACTGTAGCTTCAAAGGGTAGCAAAAGTAAGGTATTATCTTAGCCTCATGAAATCACAATAAGGAAAACTGAATAACAGAGCCAGTGACAAGTCCTAGGCTATTTGGTAGATTACGTTTTTCTTTAGATAAGGAGATATTTTCTAAGTTAAGGAGAACTCAAAAGAACAATATAAAAATTCCAACTAACATAACATTCTTCTTTGTTATTTCATTCTTTTAAATTACATGGGTAATAAATGTAGACAGTAGATTAAGTTACTTATGATGCCAACATCCAGGAAAAAACATTATTTAAAGTTTTACATGTAGCTTTCAAGAAGTTCTTCTTTTCATTTATAGCAGACCAGAAAGAGAGATGCAAAACTTGACTATTAGATAATGGCATGAATAACTAGTTTTAGATTGCCTTCTTCTTTAACTATACATTATTTAAAAGTGAATTATACCTGCTAGGTGATGCAGGTATAAAACAAGATCCCAGACTTCAAGAAGCTTTAAAGTGATTTTGAGGAACAAGAACAACAAGAATGCAAGAATATAAGCAACCTTCCTGATAGGAAGGATTTTGTTCTTCATTCACAGTTATATGAATGTAACACACATTGAGAATGGCCCCTAGTGGAAACTCAACAAACATGGTGTAAAAGATGAATGAATGAAAGTGTTTTAGATGTAGTAAAACACACACAACTAAAAAGGATAAAGTGGCTTAAGTTTACTTGGAGGTGGTCAGAGAAGTTTCACTGATAAGGTGCTTAAATTGAACAATTGAAAGATGTGTGGATTCAGAGAAAAGAAGGGAAAGCCAGAGTTCTCCAGAAAGGCAACACAGGAGAAAAAGCATAAGATCTGTTCAGAGTATCCTTGCAGACATTTGAATTGGAGTGTGATGTGCAAATCCTATAGGACAATATTAGCTTGAGCTCAACTGACTACGAGGTCCTTTAAAGCTTGAAAAGAAGAGTGTTTTATATTTTAGGAATTTGAAAGTCAGCTTATATTTATGATCAGCTTGCTGCTCGCATGAAGAAACTGTTTCTTTTTTTTTATTATTATACTTTAAGTTTTAGGGTACTTGTGCACATTGTGCAGGTTAGTTACATATGTATACATGTGCCATGCTGGCGCGCTGCACCCACTAACTCGTCATCTAGCATTAGTAGAATCAGAATAAATTTGAGGAAGGAAAAGTTGAAAATAGAGTGATGAGCAATGGGAATAGTCTGGGCATGACATGGAAGTGACAAGTGCAAGGGGTGGCAGTGATAGAGGGAATACATGGATGTAAATGAGCAGAATCACACTAGAATGGGCACTGCACAAAGAGTGAGAGAAGTGCTGTATACTCCTGGGCCTGAGGAAGCAGGTATATTTGGCCATCCTTGCATGTTATAAAGTAATACCTAGACTGGGTAGTAGGTTATAAGAAAAGATGTTTAGAAGTTGTATAGGAAGCATAGTGCTGGCATTTGCTTCTGAAGAGGCCTCAGGAAGCTTTAACTCATGGCAGAAGGTGAAGCAGAAGCAGGCACTTCACATGGCCAAAAGAAAAAGCAAGTGAGAGAGGAGGGAGCTGCCACACTTTAAAACAACCAGTTCTTCTGAGAACTCACTCACTGTCATGAGGACAGCACCAAGAAGTGAGGGATCCGCCCCATGACACAAACACCTCCCACCAAGTCCCACCTCCAACACTGCGGATTACATATCAACATGAGATTTGGAGGGGACATCCAAATCTGATGTTCCCATATCAGCAGGAAATGAATTACGGAGAGGGCTGAACTAACATATATTGAGTAAAGTGCTAGAGGCAGGAGGAACATGGGAGTAAGAGCAAGAACATGTTAGACCTGGCTCCACTCTGTACTGACTGTGCAATGTTGATGAGTTAGTTTAACTTTTTTGATCATCAGTGCCTTCATATTTATAATTAGATCATGAAAACTACCCCATAAATTTGTACAAGGAGTAAATGAACTAAAGCTTAGCACATAGTAATCACTTCCTAAAAGCTGGAAATTTTGATCAACACTTTACCTATGGTATCTCATCACATCTGTTTGGTTCCTTTAAAAATTTTATTATGTAATATTTGATACATGGCAAATTATATGTGCTCCATATGTTTTACGAAGTAGGATAATAAACCAAGCACTTGTGAACTGATCATCTAACTTCAAAACTAAAACAGATCTTCTGTCCCTGAAGTCCCCTGTGAGCTCCTACACAGAGGTAGCCATTATGTTGACTTAAAACTATTGAGCTTTAATTTGCATGCAACAAAATACAGCCATCTTAAGTGTGTAGTTCCACGAGTTTTGACGAATACATATACCACGACAATACCAAGTATGACAAGTGTGTAACCACAACCCTAACAAATACATAAATTAACTCTATTACCCTAAGAAGATTCCTCATGCTCATTTACAGTCATCCCAGTTACCCCAATTTATCCCAGGCAACCACTGATTTGACCTATTTCCAAACATTCATTTCACCCAGTTTAGAACTTCATGCAAATGTAATAATTTTTGTGCCTCTTCTTTGCCTCAACCCAATGTTTAAGTTCATCCATTATTATGTTTGACAACAGTTTCTCTACTTTTATTGCTGAGGAGACTGTGCCATGTAGAATATGCCACAACAGATGACACTTGGGTTGCTTCTACTTAGGGCTACTATGAGTAAAACTGCTATAAACACTTATGTATAAGATGGTGGGTTTGTTTCATTTCAGGCTAATACTTAGGAGTCAACGTTCTGGATATACAATAGATACTTAACTTTGTAAGAATCTAACACGTTTCCAAAATTGTTTTTTTATTATTTTTCTGTGTTTGGTTTTTTTAATTGGCTTTGTTTTCATATATTTCACTCCCACCTGACATATATGAGAATAACTCTATATACTTGCTAACATTGGGTATTTTTAATTTTATACACCCTTATTGATATAAAATAGGTATCTTATTGTGTTTTTAATTTTCATTTACCCATGACCAATCATGTTAAGCATCTTTTCATGTGCTTATTGGACAGAAGTACACCTTCTTTTCTGAAGTATCTGTTAACAAAGTCCTGTGTTCATTTATTTTTAAAAGGATCTTTGTTTTCTTATAATTGAGTTGTAAGAGTTATTTATAAATTATGAATGCCAGTCCTTTGTCAGATATATGCATCACAAATATTTTCTCCTGGACTGTGACTTGCTTTTTCATTTTCTTAAAAGTGTCTTTTTATGAGCAAAGCATTTTAATTTTGATGAAGTACAATTTATTGTTTTTCCTTTATGGTTTATTCTTTCTGTGGCCTAAGAAATCTTTGCTTACCTCAAAATTGTCCTGATTTTCTTTGTGTTTTCTCTTAGAAGTGTAATTGTTTAATCAAACATCTAGTGAGATAGGCATTATTATCTCCATTTCAGAATCACAGAAAAAGACATTTTAAGGCAAAGGTGATAAAAGTGCACATTAAAGCCAGACAGGCTATCTGAATTTCTAATGCATTACAGTTAGGGTAAAAACAGTGGCAACAAAATAGGACTTAGAATTAAAATTCCTGAAATCTAACTCCGAAGCTCCTGTATCTGAGTTGAGTGACCTTGTGTAAGTAACTTTACTCTCTAGGGTCTCATTTTCTCACTTGTTAAATGAGGGGTTAGAATGGAAAGCCTCCATGTGCTGCAGCTCTAATTTTACAAGTAAGCAAAGCCCAGTCTCTCTTAATGTGGGCTCCTGTTGGCCAGTCACAGCTGCCCCTGGAAGCTTCTCATGTATATTGTGAGTGATGTGTAAACCCCTTCGGCCCTTGCAAACAGAGGGATGCAGACTTTGTTGTGTCATTTCACCCTGGTGTGTTGGCCAAATTCCAATTACTTAATTACCTTCTGCAACCCCCACAATCTCCCCTAGGGTTTTAGTTGGGATGGAGTGCTTGGGGTTCTCACACCCTAACTGCCTGCCTTCCTCAGCCTTTGGGATCTATTGATGTGTGTCGTGAAACAACTGCCAGGCCAGCCAGGGAGATGGCCCTTGTGTGGGGCCCCAGCACAAGGATTCCAGGAGGATGCTTTAATGGGAGTGGCTTGGAAATCAAAGACTTCTTATCAATGAAAATGACTCTGGTCACTCCCTCCAAGCACTAGAAGAAACCCAGGGTCTAGGCAACACCAATAACAATGATGTAGGAGAGAACACAACTTGGAAGGAAAATTACCTTTTTTTTTAATTTTAAGGGAAATGAAAAAAATATGGTTCATGCAAAAAACAAATGCAAGCCTGTGTTTATTTCCACTGGACTACTGCAACAGAGGTAACCTTGCTAATTAGATTTTTTGTGTGTGATTTTGTTATTAGATCTTTGTTAATGAGCTTGCACCATTACATCTTGTCTGCAATCTCCCTAGGCTGCTCTGGAGGTTTGCAAATGAGAAAGCAGAGAGAGGTGTCTTCATAAAACATACTTACGCTTTATGCATACAACCAGATTTGCCTTTTCATCGAAAATTCAAACACCCTGAAATCTCCATGAGGCAGATAGGCTGAACATCTTTGACTTACAGAAGAAACTGATGCTCCAAATGGTTAAATAACAACATGGTTAAATATGGAAAAGATTAGATAGCAAATAAACTGTTGCTTGTGACCTAATCTTGCCTTAGGCTACTGCTACGCAAATAGTGGTTCACCAATCTCTTCTTTCTTTTAATTTTATGACAGTGACAGAGTCTTGCTCTGTCTTACAGTGCAGTGGTGTGATCATGGATCACTGCAGTGTTGGTCTCTAAGGTTAAACAATTCTCCCACCTCAGCTCTCAACTAGCTGGGACTACAGGCAGGATCAACCGCACCCAGATAATTTATTTACTTACTTACTTATTTATTTTTTGTAGAGACCTATTTTAACCATGTTGCCCAGGTTGGTCTGGAAGTCCTGGGGCTCAAACCTGCTTGATCTCTTATTTCTTTTCTTTTTTTTTTGAAACAGAGTCTCACTCTGTCTCCAGGCTAGAGTGCAGTGGTGCGATCTGGGCTCACTGCAACCTCTTCCTCCCTGGTTCAAGTGATTCTCCTGCCTCAGCCTCTTGAGTAGCTGGGACTACAGGTGTGCACCACCATGCCCAGCTAATTTGTGTATTTTTAGTAGAGATGGGGTTTCACCATGTTGGCCAGGATGGTCTCAATCTCTTGACTTCTTGATCCGCCTGCCTTAGCCTCTTTGGGATTACAGGCGTGAGCCACTGCACCTGGCCCATCTCTTATTTCTAATCACTTTCCATCCCAGTGTTTTTGTTTCTTTGATCTTTTAATTGTTCCCATCTCTTTCTGCCTTATGAATTATCTTGTAAAATCACTGTCCAGAAAACCATGATGTGTGGATGAAGTTTAGTTCTATAGCCCAAGCATTCACTACCTTGCCTTCATTCTTCTTACCTGAAGCATGGGAGGCTAAGCTCCTCTGAGCTAATCTACTATTGCATCAGTCTACAGATTATTATCCTAAATGTGCCTGTGTTGCACATTTGTAAATTTATAAGTGAGTGTGGTTCATCTTTGTACACTGAAATCATATGAATTTACTTAAGAATGAAATTGCTAGTACTACAATTTCTTCACTGACAAAATAATAAAACAACAGGGGTGTTTTGGATTGAACAAAGTATATTGGTTTATATTAGTTCTTCTTGCCATTGCTACATCCAGCAAAAGTTTCTAATTATGAATTGCTCTTAAAATCAAGATCAACATCACACTTTATTATCTCCAGAAAATCCCCTTTCACCTTTCATAGGCTGTCTTTGTTTATCTTGTCATCTGTTACATCTATTATATCTGCTTATAATTTGCCTTTTCCTTTAACTAACGTTTTTAAAGTTCCATGATGCCATAAAGCAGAGGCTGCCACTAACATACCATGCCAATAGCTTAAATGCTCGTAAAGCTATTACCTCTTTGCAGTGAAATCCATCTGGTCTACCTATGACCCATATATAAGCAGTCTGAAAAAAAAAAAAGGAATAGAGCAATTGATGGTCTCAATCCAACTATTACACTAACTAAATTACCCTGGGCTACTCCTATAATTTTTCTGGCTTATTTTCTAAAATATAAATCTCTGTCTCATCTAATTCAAGAAAATATTATGAAAAATAGATGCATCCATTAATTGATTCACTCAAAGATATTTTCTGAACTCCTACCACTCACACAACCAAACAAGAAAACACTATTGTTGGAGTTTTGACGAGTAAGATATGATTCCTGCTCTCAAATATCTTGTGCTCTATAGAAGATAAAATGTAGACATAAATGTGTAAAGAACGAAAGTAGTGGAGCAAAATCTATTTCAAGGAAGGATGGGATCTCCATGGAAGACAATGGGGAAAGTTGTCATTTGAACTAGGACTAGAACCACAATGAGGTGGACTGTATCACACCTATTACACATAAGGATGACTGTGTCAAAACACTGTTTTGAGAAAACTGCTCTGAAAATGATGTGTTGAAGGGAAAGAAAAGGGGACCAAATACAATATTTCTGAAAGGGTTTTGTATAGCTAAATGTGTAATGTAAACAAAACATATAACCATCATTATAAAAAACTCAGTCAAAAGACAAGCACTCTCTTTGGAAATGGACAGGGAATCAGAAAACTGAGGTCAACGTCATGAACAACTCTTGTCACCTCTTTTCAGTCTTATTGAGTGTAAATAGGGTTTGCGGCTCTTTCTCTCCTTCCTTCTCAAGACTATTTGGGAAATCGAATTGCTTTGAAAATTACAGTGGGTGGTGAACAACAAAAGATAAGTATGATGATATAAGTATTTAGAGTATGGGAAAAGAATCTTTACAGGAGTTGTTTTGACCACCTCACAGGACTATGATTTGTCAGAAAATGGTCTAGAAAAACTATGAAAATGGCATTATTTATATACACTTGGTAATCTCCTTTTCTCTCCTGATAATCTTAATTTTTTCAGTACTCTCTTCTACGCACACATACACACACACACACACGCACACAAGCATTCTTATTTAATCCATTTTCTACCATTCAGTAAAGTCTTTCCTACAAAAGAAAGCTTAAAATGTAAACCATTAGAAAAGCATGAATGGGACGTAATGCAAAACCTAATAAGAAACTGCCCTTGAGGACACTTTCATTGCAATATTAAAAATCCCCAAAGGGAAATACATTGATACTTAATGTTATTCTTTATTTTTCTTCAAACATCATGAAGCTGGTGGTAAAAAGCTGAGGATGAAGAGCCCTAAGCAAGACTTGTAATATTCCTCTCTAGCCCTGACTTAGCGCAGAGGCCTTCATTCACCATCCTCCATGGACCATGGCTCAAGATAATAAACACAGGCACGTAAAGGCAGCTTGGATTTTCCTGGTAAAAATAAAACTATTACATAAGTTTCTTAGGGCTACAGTAACAAATTACAAAAAAAAAAATTGATGACTTAAGAAAAACATTTATTCTCTCAAGTTTCTCGAGTCCAGAGGTCCAAAATGAAGGCATCATCAGGATCACTCTCTTTCTGATGACCCTGGGGGAACATCCTTCCTTGCCTCTTCTGGTATCTGATGGCTCCAGATGTTTGCTGGGGCTGCTATCACAAAGGACCATAGAATAGGTAGCTATAAAAACAGAAATGTATTTTCTCACAGTCTTGGGGCTAGAAGTGCATTGGCAGGGTTGGTTTTATTCTGAGGCCTCCCTCTTTGGCTTGTAGATGGCTGTTTTCTCCCTCTCCTTATAGGGTCTTACCACTGGATTTGTCTGTGTCCTAATTTCCTTTTCTTATTAATACAAGGATACCAATCCTTTTAGATTAGGACTCATCTTAATAACTTCAGTTAACTTCATTTATCCATTTCAAAGCCCAAACTTCAAGACCAGTTCTATTGTGAGACACTAGGGATTAGAAATTTCATGTATGAATTTGTGGGGGTCACAATTCAGCCTATAACAACTATAATCTGTTTCCATCTTCATATGGCCTTACCCTCTGTATGTCTCCTCCTCTTCTGTGTCAAACCTTCCTTTGCCTTTGTTTTATAAGACTAGTTTTTATTGGATTTGGGCTAATCTGGATAATACAGGATTATCTCCTCATCTCAAAATCCTTATTTATATCTGCAAAGGTTCATTTTCCAAATAACACCACATTTACAGCTTCTGAGGAATAGGGTGTGGACATGGCTTTTTAGAAACTATCATTAAAACCACTAAACTTATTTCACTAAGATATTGGTTACCCTAAGTCTTTCATTACATATTTTGTTCTTTTCAGTTGTACAAACCATCATATTTAAGTTTAAAGGGAGAGAATATTTCCTGGAAGAAGAGGAAGATGCCAGTATGCCACTAAATGAAGACAGTTATAGAATAAGAATAATCAGAAGTATTTTGGCTCGTCTGACATTTTTAATATTGTCTTTTACACCAAAGATTCAGAAAGCATGAAGACTTTTGGGTTTTGGCTAAGATTGAACAAGTCTTTCTGTATCTGTATTAAGAAAAAAAATAGCAGGAAAAAAATGCTGTTTCTAGGTAGTGAGCTTTATAACTATGACAGAAATACCATTCCTTTAGTTTTAATTCATTATGGAAAAACATATGTAAATGCTTAATATATATGTAGGTAATCTAAAATTCATAGATATTCTCTTGTTTAAACTACATATGCATTCAAGGTGAAAGGTCAGACTATAATAATCTATTTCATATATTATTTAACAAATATTTGTTGGGCAAATAACAGTTAGTGGCTATTAGAAAATCAATACTAGCTAGCTATTCTATGGGTTTTTATTGTGTTTAAAAGCAAAACCTTGTTTTGCATGAAAACTCACATAATCATGTATTCGTTCTTATAGGATAGGCACGAACAGATTTTCTAGGTTATAAACTGTGAGATTTAGGAAGCAGTGAAATATTAGGAAGCAGTTCAAAGTGGCCAGAGAAAAGGATTCTTGAGAGAGTATAATGAAAGAGAAAAGGTAGGGATATTTTAGAGTGGTCCTGGCACACTGTGCTTAAAAATTTGCATTGCATATGTTAGGCAGAAAGATAGCATTGGGAATGTTGCCCATTGATAAATATTATTGGGTATTCACAAAATGAAATATTGTAAAGCTGTGAAAAAATGATTTAGATAATAATATAGCAAATTTCCAAGACCTGGTTAGTTTTACACAGAAGAAACTATCGTAGTGAACAGGAAACGTACAGAATGGGAGAAAATTTTTGCAGTCTATCCATCTGAGAAAGATCTAATATCCAGAATCTACAAGGAACTTAAACAAATTTATGAGAAAAAAACAAACAGACCCATCAAAAAGTGGGTGAAGGATATGAACAGACATTTCTCAAAAGAAGACATTTATGCAGCAAACAAACATGGAAAAAAGCTCATCATTACTGGTCATTACATAAATGCAAATCAAAACCACAGTGAGATACAATCTCACGCCAGTTAGAATAGCAACCATTAAAAAGTCTGGAAAGAACAGATGCTGGAGAGGATGTGGAGCAATAGGAATGTTTTTACACTGTTGGTGGGAGTATAAATTAATTCAACCATTGTGGAAGACAGTGTGACGATTCCTCAAGGATCTAGAGCCAGAAATACCATTTGAGCCAGCAATCCCATTACTGGGTATATACCCAAAGGATTATAAATCAATCTACCATAAAGACATATGCACACATATGTTTATTGCAGCACAATTTACAATAGCAAAAACTTGGAACCAACCCAAATGCCCATAAATGATAGACTGGATAAATAAAATGTGGCACATATGCACCATGGAATACTATGCAGCCATAAAAGAGAATGAGTTCATGTCCTTTGCAGGGATATGGATGAAGCTGGAAACCATCATCCTCAGTGAACTAACACAGGAACAGAAAACCAAACACTGCATGTTCTCGCTCATAAGTGTGAGTTGAACAGTGAGAACACATGGACGCAGGGAGGGGAACATCACACATCAGGGCCTGTAGGGGGGTGGGGGAAGGGAAGGGAGAGTATTAGTACAAGTACCTAATGCATGCGGGGCTTAAAACCTAGATGATGGGTTGATAGGTGCAGCAAACTATCATGGCACATGTATACCTATATAACAAACCTGCACGTTCAGCACATGTAGCCCAGACCTTAAAGTCAAATTTTAAAAAAAGAAAATAAAAAGACCGATAATGTATACAATTATGGTTACATTCCTGCAAAAATATTGGAAATACCTACTCACACAAATAGTCACATGTGTATGCACACTTGTGTATGGAAAAAAAATTCTGAAAACATATGTATGAAATTTTGACCCTAATGCCAATGAGAAAGCTGACTAATAATGTAGACTTTAAAACCTTACTATTATTCTATACCCTTTTCTATTTTCAGTTAGATTTATTTTGGAATATGTTAATAACTATATGCTAAAATTAAAGAGAAGAATTTCAGGTTTAATGATGAGAATAAGTTGGAGAGGAACAGAAAAAAAGAACTCATTAGAAATCTTTTGAAATAATCCAGCATACGATTTGCAAAGGTCCAAATTAAGAAACAAGGATAAGCATAGGGAAAAGTGAAAGGATTAAAAAATATTTGAGGGTCACATTTTAGTATTTGATAACTGAATGGATGTGGGGAGTGGAGAAAGTGGTAAAGGAACTTTCAAGAAAAAGCTCGAGTTTCTACTTTGAGTGTGGTAATTTACAGGGCAATTGATAGATTTTTTTTTAAGGGCATAGAACAAGTGAATTTGGTGAATAGATGAGGAGACAATTTCGAATGTCTCTGGTTGGAGATACTTGTATCTAGAGGTAGAACTTTCTAAGTAATAGGTGAAAAGCATAATAGAAAATTGAAGCAAGACTGTTTGACCATTAAGTTCAGTGTTTTTCAGAAGTTGTTATATGTAGAAATGAGATAAAATAGTACTCTATCAAAGCTGCTTCCCCAACCTTCAACTTATTGGCAGTAATTGTTGGTCCATTTTACTCCCTGTCATTTTCCTTTTTCTCTCTTTTATTATTGGGATACAACATAAAGAATTTTACTATTTGAATAATCCATGGTGTTTAAGTTGGTAAAACGCTAGTCTTATCTTCTTGTTTATAAATATGAGAAAAATGAAGCAGAATGTTGCCTTTCACTCACCTACCAAGGAAAGATCTGAATGAGGTTTAACTGACTTCTAAGGTAGTGGTGGTTCTACAATCACATAATTGTGGAGGCAATTTTTACTTTGATTTCAGGTAAGTGAACTAGTAAAATCTGCTTAATGAAGAGAAGTCCAATCCATAAAAAAAAGTCAGAAACTGTGAATTACCTGATTTAACAAAGTAAATAAACTCCTTAAGATGGTTCAATGATCAGAGGATGGCTCATCCCTCTACAATTCCCAAAATTGATGAGTGTTGTTGGTTTTTGAGAGAATGCAGTTTATAGCTTTGGTCTCAGTTTATGCGTCTGATTTGCTTAGGTGGTTTTGGTTAGGGATGAGTAATCTCCGGCACTTATCATGTTCGGAATAAGTAGCTTTAAGCACTTTTTTAAAAACAAAATTTCAATTAGGTAAAACTCAAAACACTTCCTTTGGTCAGGCATTTTCTCTTAATTATGAAACCCATGTGAATGTTAATGGAAACTTAATCCATGTGTTTCTCATTCACTTGCATCCGATTCATCAAGTGCTGTTTTGTAACAGCCTTTGACATTAAAGAAGTATTCTGGGGCCTTTCTCTTAGAAACAGGAAGTGCTGTTCTGCCAAAAAGTAAATGAACTCTAACCTCCAAAGATTCAAATTCCATTTGAAATGCGGAGACTAAAGAAGAAGCACAGGATTTAACTTGAAAAAACATGTCTCCCAACCCTTTATTTGTTCAATTTTGGTTGTGGAAAATTACACTGTGAACACTTAACTGGGTTTGTTTTCTCTCCCCTGTTCCCGGAGAGCTGACTGTCAAGTCTATGGAGGGAGAGCTTTTGTTTTGAGTAAAGCTGATGTTTCTGAGCCCACAAACGTTTCAGAGGTTGTTAGGGAAATCCTCTTCACCATCAGGAGAGGCTGCATATCTGGAAAAGAGAAAGCATGCTTTCTGATTGAACCCTATTTTATTGCAACCATCAGAGGTTTTCTTCTCTCTTCTCTGGGTTGGGCAATCAGCTACATCAGAGAGGTAAATATGAGCAAAATGAGTGTAATTTGCTGTCATTCTCTGGGGATGGAATTTGGGCATGTTTTGTCTAATTTTATGTATTTATTTTTCATTTTCCAAAGTGATTACAATGTGCAGCCAAGTTTAAGAATTAGTCTCCGGTTCTCTTGGTACTCAGTGTAAAATCTCCATCCCCACCCCAAAAGTACTGAATCTGAATCTTCAGTTTCAAAAAGATCCCCAAATTTATGTCTAAAGTAATGTTTGAGAAGCAAGTTTTAAAAGTACAAATGCCTGAGTCCCACCAGTAGAGATTCTGATTTAACTGACTCTGATTACTAAGATTTTAAAAAAGGTTTTAAGAATGACTGCTCTAAATTACTTTGTAGAACCTCAGGTTCACTGAGTTTAGGAAATTAGCTGTCAGAATTTGATTATAACCTATCTATGACCCAGCAGTGTATAAAATGAGGGCCAATCATTTCATCACTGTCCATTTCTAGGTTAAGTGGATCATCACCAGGGTTAAGTTGATGAAAGTATTCCCAAACTATCACCTCCAAAAAAACTCATGTTACTGGAAAACCTGGCATTAGCATTTCATCGTTTGTCTTTCTACACTTTCTCTTCCCAAATGCAAAATTTATTTAAAGATAAATATCCTAATCACTGTGATATAAGTAAGAATGCTTGATCACTGTCTTCTGATTCACTGGAGAGGTTATTCTGAACTTGTGGCTTATGGTGCTGGGTAAAATAGTATTTGAGTAAATCTCCGGTTTAGAGAGGAGGGGAGAATGGCAGCCACTCACAGTCAGTGAAAGGGATCTAAAATGTCAGAAGAATAAAGCTCTTTGGTAACTTTTGTTTGAGGGATTAGCTGGCTAGAGCTTCAAAGGCTTGGGAGCATTTGCAGTTGTAAGGGATGCCAGAAGTGGGAAGTAGGGAAAAGAGGGATGACATGAGAATATCTGGGTTTTAAGATTAAGAAAATAAAAATAAATGAGAAACCTGGCAGGATGTTGTGATGGAGTCTGGACCACGGGAGGAGTTTCATTAAATTAATAAATAAAAGGGGTAGTAATGTTCCAAAGTAATACTGGGAAGAAACAGAAGGAGAAGAGGATGGTGAAAAATCAACAGCAAAACAATCAACTTGAAAAAGCTTGAACAGATGACCAAAATAATAATAATAATAATAATAAAAGTAAAATCAATGTTGGCTCAAAAACATAAGTATGTTTATAGAAAATATTTAAGGAAAAACAAATAACTGTTGTTTTTCTCTGTGACCCTCCACTTCTATTCAATCACCATGTTCCATTGAATTTACTCCCTAAATACTTTCAAATTCTCCCATTGGAATATTCCATCTCCCCTGATACTATCTAGGTTTTCCCTTGCAGGCTGGTTTCATTACTTATGATCTACATAGCAGCAAAAATGGTATGTTTGAAGTTCACAATCATTTAAAAGCCATTAATAAGAGAAAGTCTGAGTTCAAGCCCTAAAGACTTGAGTGCTATTTCTCCTGATTTGTGTGCACTAACACAGACTTCTGTGTTTGTGCTTCAACTGGGATGGCTGCCTGTCCATTTCTTATATCATTTTACTTTCTACCATGAAATAGAGGTTACTTGGAAGTCCTCTTCCATGCCATACATCTTGTTGACTACTGTATTTCACTTTCACCTCTTCTAAGGCTCAATAATATTGTACACTGTTTATGAACTCAGGCTTTAGAGTCAATCTGCAGGAACTTAATGACATGCTTTAATACCCACAGGCTCTGAATTGGGCAAATTGAACTATCTAAGCCTTAGTTTCCTCATGTCAAAATTAATAGGCACAGGTATCAGCACCAAATATATTGGCTTCTGTTATTTGTTGATTGGGTCATTGTGAAGATTAACTGAAATGAATTATTAACAGGTCAATAGGCCGGGCATGGTGGATCACGCCTATAATCCCAGCATTTTGGGAGGCCGATGTGGGCGGATCACGAGGTCAAGAGATCGAGACCATCCTGGCCAACATGGTGAAACCCTGTCTCTACTAAAAATAGAAAAATTAACTGGGCATGGTGGAGCATGCCTGTAGTCCCAGCTACTCGGGAGGCTGAGGCAGGAGAACCGCTTGAACCAGGGAGGCTGAGGTTGCAGTGATCTGAGATCACACCACTGCACTCCAGCCTGGTGACAGAGAGAGACTTCATCTCAAAACAAAAACAAAAACAAAAAACAACAAAAAACACACAACAAAAAAAAACAGCAGGTCAATAGTATAGTGTCTAGGATATAATGAGCCCCTAACAAATGTTTGCTATATATGCTATTGGCAACAATCACTGCTTTGAGAAAATTTTGGTAGACTCCCCAGATTTGGTCAGCTTTATTTGTTATTTATTCCTGTGGTACTGTGCTTATATGCTTTATGTCTGCCAAAACAAATCTAAATAAGTAATATCTCATGTGATTAATTATTTACTGGTTGTCTCTATTGGTAACATATAAGCTACAAGAGGACAGAAACCTTGTCTATCCTGGTACTTACCTTGGTTCTTTCACAATATTTTACACATAGCATAGACTCATCGGTAAATGAATGACCACTTCCTGTCACCATGTGAAGTGTTTTTCCAAATTTTCTTTTGATTTTCAGTAAAATCTTATTAATGATTTTACTGAAATGAGTATTAATATTGACAAAGAAACTGACAACTTGAAAAAGTAAATGATTTTTCAAAATAGATAATCAGGAATATAAACCGAGGATTTATGATTTTATATCAACTAAAGTTTGAATATACTAATCAATACATTTATTGAAACCAAAAATGCTAAATTAAAAGTAAAGCAATTTGAAATAAGGCCAATCCTGATTTTCTGATGTTTAATTATTGTCATATATTTCTGACTTATTCATTCCAAAATACTTATTGGACACCATTTTATATTAGAAGAGTTATGCTAGCTAGATATTAGTATTCGAGTAATGAAAAGGATTGAGGCAGTTTCTCTGTTCATGGACCTTATAATCTAATGGAGGAGACAGAAAAAAAATAAGTAGGTAAATAAATTGTACAGGTGCTGTTTCATGCATACTGGACTCAATAATTAAGACTAGTCCATACACAATGTATAACTAGGAAAACTGCACAAAATGTAAGAAAGAAAATGATTGAGAGTATCATCAAGTTAATATGTCAGCAAACTATTAACATGTGAGATTTCAGGGTAAGAAAGATAACCAGGAAAATAAATCTAATATTTATGGACACTATTCCTTTAGGTGAAAGAGGAAAGCTAAGAAACTAAGAGGCTAGGATGTGCTTTCAATAGTATAAATGGCCTAGATGTGCAGGTGTCTCAGTCCAGGTCTCTCCAAAATGAGATGACAATGGTGAACCTGTAGGTTTTAAGTCTGATTCTGATTTATTTTATCATAGGAGTAAGAGTGCACTAGAATTAGACAAAACTTCATGGGAATTTTAGTTCAATGTTGAATAATCTCACTCTCTGAAATTAGGATTGAAGTGATCCAGGAATGCTACTATACCCAAGTACCTGGAAGAAGCAAAGAAATACACTATCTTGAGTAAGAGTACAGCATTCTAGGCCTCAAATTATATCTTAAAACAATTTTTCAAACGAAATGTCAAGTACACTATCCAAAATAAACCACGACCACTAAAAGACAAAAAACATGGTAGTTGGGGGAGAGATGCTTACAAAAGAAATAACAAAAAGTAGGAAAAAAAAAGGACTTTAAATATTGAAGTTATCAGATTCATACTTTAAAATAATTATGCATGATATGTGCAGGTAAATAAGAGACAAAAGTGAAAATACTGGCAGGAAACTGGACATTCCATAAAGTCTATTGAAAATTTTAAAAATAAAAAATGTAAAAACAATAATTTAGAACTTAGTGGCTGAGTTTATATCTGAGTTTATAGCTAAAACTTGAATTAATAAACTGAAAGAGAAGACCAAAGAAAATATACATTGTGAAGACTATGAGAAAGAAATAGATTAAATATACAGAAGATAGAAAAAGGGACATAATGAGTAGTGTAAGATGGTCTGATATAAATGTCAATAAATTAATAAATAGCATCAATAAATATTAATAAATGAATTGATACCTTTGTAAATATCAATAAATGAGTAAAGAGCAAGCATATATTAATACAAAATTCAAGTACTATAATTGCAAAACTTGACCTAACTGGTATTTAACCAACAACGTCAAAATGCACAATTGTCAAAAATACATAGAAAGATTTGAAATAATTTAACCTTACATTGTGCCATACATTAGTCTCAGCAAATGTCAAAGCACTAAAATAATACTGAGTGGGTACTCTAACCACAATGCAATTCAGCTGGCAATAAGTAACAAAAATTAATCAGAATATACTGTTTAAAAAATAAAAAGTGAGCTTCAAAAATAAATCATTGATCAAAAAATAGGAGGAAAAATAATTTTTCAGTTAATTATATTAAAACGTATTAATAAAACAAATTCATATTTAGAGAAAAATGTGTAGAATTAAGCAATGTATTTTTTAAAAGAACAGCTGAACATAAAGAAATTAGAAATAGAACAAAAAAAATCCTAATAAAGTGTGAAGAAGGAAATGAAAATAATGGTAAAGATTAATAAAATAAAATACATACATACTAGGTAAATTATCTTCAAAGTTTAAAACTGGAAGGACACTTTAAACTCATACCCTCATACAAGAATAATCATGACCAAAAAAATTAAAGTTAGAAATAATAAAGTGGTCCTCAGCATAAATTTTATAAACAGTTAATAGATGATATGATGATAATATGGAAAACCTTACGCAAAATAATTTGAAATATTGAGGATTAAATTTGAAATAATTAAATGTATAGAAAAATATAAATTTCAAATCTAATCCCAAAAGGAATAGAAAATCAAAGTAGTTCTATAGGTACCACTGGTGAATTCTATTAAACATTTAGGAAAGAAACAATGCTAATATGCCACAAATTCTTTCAGAAAATTTTAAAAAAGAAACAATTTCAAACTACTTTATGAGGTATCCTTTAAATATAAACATGATAAGCATAGCAGCAAATAGAAAAAATTTAGCCAATATAGAAAAGATTAATAAAAATCTACAGAAAAATAAGTGTGTGTGTTTGTGTGTATAAGGTAGCATGACTAATTCAAAATTAGTCTGTATATTTGACTATTTCAAAATATTAATCAATGTAATTGACTGTATTAATATAAAAATTGATGACAATCATATGATCATCTTAAAGTGTCTTTTTTATTTTTAGTTTTTTAAATTAGTAGCTCTCATTTTAATTATTATTAGGCGCTTCAATTTTTACATGTTGATCATCTCAAACATACTATTTTCTTTTTTTTTAACCTTTTTTGTTTGTGAGACAGTCTCCCTCTGTCACCCAGGCTGGAGTGCAGTGGTGCGACCTCAGCTCACTGCAACCTTCGCTTTCCCAGCTCAAGCAATTCTCCTGCCTCAGCCTCCCGTTTAGCTGAGAATACAGGCACCTGCCATCACACCACACCTGGCTAATTTTTGTATTTTTAGTAGAGACAGGGTTTCACCATGTTGGTCAGGCTGGTCTCAAACTCCAGACCCCAAGTGATCCACCCACCTCAGCCTCCTGAAGTGCTGGAATTACAGGTGTGAGCCACTGCGCCCAGCCTAACCTTTTTATGTACTTAAAGTTCTAGGGTACATGTGCACAACGTGCAGATTTGATACATAGGTATACGTGTGCCATGTTGGTTTGCTGCACCCATCAACTCATCATTTACATTAGGTATTTCTCCTAATGCTATCCCTCCCCCAGCTCCCCACTCCACGACAGGCCCTGGTGTGTGATGTTCCCCTTCCTGTGTCCAAGTGATCTTATTGTTCAATTCCCACCCATAAGTGAGAACATGCGGTGTTTGGTTTTCTGTCCTTGTGTTAGTTTGCTGAGAATGATGGTTCACAGCTTCATCCATGTCCCTGCAAAGGACACGAACTCATCCTTTCTTATGGCTGCATAGTATTCCATGGTGTATATGTGCCACATTTTCTTAATCCAGCCTATCATTGGTGGACATTTGGGTTGGTTCCAAGTCTTTGCTATTGTGAATAGTGCTGCAATAAACATATGTGTGCATGTGTCTTTACAGTAGCATGATTTATAATCCTTTGGGTATACACCCAGTAATGGGATTGCTGGTTCAAATGGTAATTCTAGTTCTAGATCCTTGAGGAATCATCACACTGTCTTCCACAATGGTTGAACCAACTTGCACTTCCACCAACAGTGTAAAAGCATTCCTATTTCTGCACATCCTCTCCAGCATCTGTTGTTTCCTGACTTTTTAATGATTGCCATTCTAACTGGTGTGAGATGGTATCTCATTGTGGTTTTGATTTGCCTTTCTCTGATGAGCAGTGATGATGAGCATTTTTTCATGTGTCTGTTGGCTGCATAGATGCCTTCTTTTGAGAAGTGTCTGTTCATATCTTTTGCTTACTTTTTGATGGGGTTGTTTTTTTCTTGTAAATTTGTTTGAGTTCTTTGTAGATTCCAGATATGAGCCCTTTTGTCAGATGGGTAGGTTGATAAAATTTTCTCCCATTCTGTAGGTTGCCTGTTCACTCTGATGGTAGTTTCTTTTGCCGTGCAGAAGCTCTTTAGTTTAATTAGAACCCATTTGTCTATTTTGGCTTTTGTTGCCATTGTTTTAGGTGTTTAGTCATGAAGTCCTTGCCCATGCCTATGTCCTGAATGGTATTGCCCAGGTTTTCTTCCAGGGTTTTTATGGTTTTAGGTCTAATATATAAGTCTTTAATCCATCTTGAATTAATTTTTGTATAAGGTGTAAGGAAGGGATCCAGGTTGAGCTTTCTACATATGGCTAGCCAGTTTTCCCAACACCATTTATCAAATAGGGAATCCTTTCCCCATTTCTTGTTTTTGTCAGATTTGTCAAAGATCAGATGGTTCTAGATGTGTGGAGTTATTTGTGAGGCCTCTGTTCTGTTCCATTGGTCTATATATCTGTTTTGGTAACAGTACCATGCTGTGTTGGTTGCTGTAGCCTTGTAGTATAGTTTGAAGTCAGGTAGTGTGATGCCACCAGCTTTGTTCTTTTTGCTTAGAATTATCTTGGCAATGCGGTCTCTTTTTTGGGTTCCATATGAACTTTAATGTAGTTCTTTTCCAATTCTGTGAAGAAAGTCATTGGTAGCTTGATGGGGATGGCATTGAATCTATAAGTTACTTTGGGCAGTATGGCCATTTTCATGATATTGATTCTTCCTATCCATGAGCATGGAATAGTCTTACATTTGTTTGTGTCCTCTTTTATTTCGTTGACCAGTGGTTTGTAGTTCTCCTTGGAGAGGTTCTTCACATCCCTTGTAAGTTGGATTCCTAGGTATTTTATTCTCTTTGAAGCAATTGTGAATGGAAGTTCACTCATGATTTAGCTCTGTTTGTCTGTTAATGGTGTATAGGAATGCTTGTGATTTTTCACATTGATTTTGTATCCTGAGATTTTGCTGTAGTTTCTTATCAGCTTAAGCAGATTTTGGGCTGAGACGATGAGGCTTTCTAAATATACAATCATGTCATCTGCAAACAGGGACAATTTGACTTCCTCATTTCCTAATTGAATACCCTTTATTTCTTCTCTTGCCTGATTGCCCTGGCCAGAACTTCCAACACTATGTTGAATAGGAGCAGTGAGAGAGGGCATCCTTGTCTTGTGCTGGTTTTCAAAGGGAATGCTTCCAGTTTTTGCTCATTTAGTATGATATTGGCTGTGGGTTTGTCATAAATAGCTCTTATTATTTTGAGATATGTTCCATCAATACCTAGTTTATTGAGAGTTTTTAGCATGAAGGCTGTTGAATTTTGTCAAAGGCCTTTTCTGCATCTATTGAGATAATCATGTGGTTTTTGTTGTTGGTTCTGTTTATGAAATGGATTACGTTTATTGATTTGCATATGTTGAACCAACCTTGCATCCCAGGGATGAAGCCGATGTGATTATGGTGCATAAGCTTTTTGATGTGCTGCTGGATTCAGTTTGCCAGTATTTTATTGAGATTTTTGCATCAATGTTCATCAGGGATATTGGTCTAAAATTCTTTTTTTGGTTGTGTATCTGCCAGGCTTTGGTATCAGGATGATGTTGGCCTCATAAAATGAGTTAGGGAGGATTCCCTCTTTTTCTATTGATTGGAATAGGTTCAAAAGGAATGGTACCAGCTCCTCTTTGTACCTCTGGTAGAATTAGGCTGTGAATCCTTCTGGTCTTGCATTTTTTTTTTGGTTGGTAGGCTATTAATTATTGCCTCAATTTCAGAGCCTGTTATTAGTCTATTCAGAAATTCAATTTCTTCCTGGTTTAGTCTTGGGAGAGTGTATGTGTCCAGGAATTTATCCATTTCTTCTAGATTTTCTAGTTTATTTGAGTAGAGGTGTTTATAGTATTCTCTGATGGTAGTTTGTATTTCTGTGGGATCAGTGGTGATATCCCCTTTTTTGTTTTTTATTGCATCTATTTGATTCTTCTCTCTTCTCTTCTTTATTGGTCTTGCTAGCGGTCTATCAATCTTGTTGATCTTTTCAAAAACCAGATCCTGGATTCATTGATTTTTTGAAGGGTTTTTTGTGTCTCTATCTCCTTTAGTTCTGCTCTGATCTTAGTTATTTCTTGCCTTCTGCTAGCTTTTGAAATTGTTTGCTCTTGCTTCTCTAGTTCTTTTAATAGTGATGTTAGCCTGTCGATTTTAGATCTTTCCTTCTTTCTCTAGTGGGCATTTAGTGCTATAAATTTCCCTCTACACACTGCTTTAAATGTGTCCCAGAGATTCTGGTACATTGTGTCTTTGCTCTCATTGGTTTCAAAGAACATCTTTCTTTCTGCCTTCATTTCATTATTTACCCAGTAGTCATTCAGGAACAGTTGTTGAGTTTCCACGTAGTTGTGCAGTTTTGAGTGAGTTTCTTAATCCTGAATTCTAATTTGATTGCACTGTGGTCTGAGAGACAGTTTGTTGTGATTTCTATTCTTCTACATTTGCTGAGGAGTGCTTTACTTCCAACTATGTGGTCAATTTTGGAATAAGTGTGACGTGGTGCTGAGAAGAATGTATATTCTGTTGATTTGGGATGAAGAGTTCTGTAGATGTCTATTAGATCTGCTTGTTGCAGAGCTGAGTTCAGGTCCTGGCTATCCTTGTTAACCTTCTGTCTCATTGATCTGTCTAATATTGACAGTGGGGTGTTGAAGTCTCCCATTATTATTGTGTGGGAGTCTAAGTCTCTTTGTAGGACCTAAGAACTTGCTTTATAAATCTGGGTGCTGCTTTATTTGGTGCATATATATTTAGGATAGTTAGTTCTTCTTGTTGAATTGATCCCTTTACCATTATGCAATCGCCTTTTTTGTCTCTTTTGATCTTTGTTTGTTTAAAGTCTGTTTTATCAGAGACTAGGATTGCAACCCCTGCTTTTTTTTTTTTTTGATTTCCATTTGCTTTGCAGATCTTCCTCCATCCCTTTATTTTGAACCTATGTGCGTCTTTGCACGTGAGATGGGTGTCCTGAATACAGCACACTGATGGGTCCTGACTCTTTATCCAATTTGCCACTCTGTGTCCTTTAATTGGGGCACTTAGCCCATTTACATTTTAGGTTAATATTGTTATGTCTGAATTTGATCCTACCATTATTATTTTTTCTATTTTGCCCGTTAATTGATGCAGTTTCTTCATAGCATCGATGGTCTTTACAATTTGGCATGTTTTTGCAGTGACTGGTACTGGTTGTTTCTTTCCATGTTTAGTGCTTCCTTGAGGAGCTCTTGTAAGGCAGGTCTGGTGGTGACAAAATCTCTCATCAATTGCTTGTCTGTAAAGGATTTTATTTCTCCTTCACTTATGAAGCTTAGTTTCTTCATAAATTCAGGTTTGAAAATTCTTTTATTTAAGAATGTTGAATATTGGCCCCCACCCTCTTCTGGCTTGTAGAGTTTCTGCTGAGAGATCTGCTGTTAGTCTAATGGGAATCCCTTTGTGGGTAACTCGATCTTTCTCTCTGGCTGCCGTTAACACTTTTTCCTTCATTTCAACCTTGGTGAATCTGATAATTATGTGTCTTGGGGTTGCTCTTCTCGAGGGGTATCTTTGTGGTGTTCTCTGTATTTCCTGAATTTGAATGTTTGCCTGCCTTGCTAGGTTGGGGAAGTTCTCCTGGATAATATCCTGAAGAGTGTTTTCTAACTTGGTTCCATTCTCCCCATCACTTTCAGGTACACCAATCAAACATAGATTTGGTCTTTTCATGTATTCCCATATTTCTTGGAGGCTTTGTTCATTTCTTTTTACTCTTTTTTTCTCTAAACTTCTCATGTCGCTGTATTTCATTAATTTGATCTCCAATCACGGATATCCTTTCTTCCACTTGATTGAATCGGCTACTGAAACTTGTGTATGCATCACGAAGTTCTCGTGCCATGGTTTTCAGCTCCATCAGGTCATTTAAGGTCTTCTCTACACTGTTTATTCTAGTTAGCCATTCGTCTAATCTTTTTTCAAGGTTTTTAGCTTCCTTGCCATGGGTTCAAACATCCTCCTTTAGCTCGCAGAAGTTTGTTATTACTGACTTTCTGAAGCCTACTTCTGTCAACTTGTCAAATTCATTCTCCATCCAGCTTTGTTCCGTTGCTGGCGAGGAGCTGTGATCCTTTGGAGGAGAAGAAGCACTCTGATTTTTAGAATTTTCAGCTTTTCTGCTCTTGTTTCTCCCATCTTTGTGGTTTTATCTACCTTTGGTCTTTGATATTGGTGACCTACAGATGGGGTTTTGGTGTAGATGACCTTTTTGTTGATGTGGATGCCATCCCTTTCTGTTAGTTTTCCTTCTAACAGTCAAGTACCTCAGCTGCAGGTCTGTTGGAGTTTGCTGAAGTTCCACTCCAGACCCTGTTTGCCTGGGTATCACCAGCAGAGGCTGCATAACAGCAAATATTGCTGCCTAATCCTTCCTCTGGAAGTTCATTCCAGTGGGGCAGCCACCTATATGAAGTGTCTGTCAGCCCCTACTGGGAGGTGTCTCCCAGTTAGGCTACAAGGGTGTCAGGGACCCACTTAAGGAGGCAGTCTGTCCGTTCTCAGCACTCAAACGCCATGCTGGGAGAATGACTGCTCTCTTCAGAGCTGTCAGACAGGGATGTTTAAGTCTGCAGAAGTTGTTTGCTGCCTTTTGTTCAGCTATGTCCTGCCCACAGAGGTGGAGTCTAGAGGGAGTAGGCCTTGTTGAGTTGTGGTGGGCTCTGCCCAGTTCAGTTCCTGACTGCTTTGTTTACCTACTCAAGCCTCAGCAATGGTGGACACCCCTCCCCAAGCCAGGATGCCACCCTGTAGCCTTGCAGATCAATCTCAGTCTGCTGTGCTAGCAGTGAGCAAGGCTCCATGGGCGTGGGACCTGCTGAACCAGGTACAAGAGAGAATCACCTTGCCTGCCAGTTGCTAAGACCTTGGGAAAAGCACAGTATTTTGGCAGGATTGTCCCATTTTTCCAAGTACTCTGTCACAACTTCTCTTGGCTAGGAAAGGGAATCCCCTGACCCCTTGTGCTTCCTGGGTGAGGCGACGCCCCACCCCGCTTCAGCTCACCCTCTGTGGGCTGCACCCACTGTCCAATCAGTCCCAGTGAGATGAACAAAGTACCTCAGTTGGAAAGTCAGAAATCACCCATCTCCTGCATCAATCACACTGAGAGCTGCAGACTGGAGCTATTCCTATTCAGCCATCTTGGAACACCCCTAAAGTATTTTTTAAATAATTTCATCTCACAGTAATGATTAAAAAAATGCGCTAGCATCCTAAATTCAGAAGAACACTACATTAATCTGATAAAATATAAGTAGAAAAATCATTTACAACAACCATCATGTGTAATAATAAAATGTTGAATGACAAGAATTCCCAGTACAAATGCTTTCACTCACTATTGTTCTGGAAATCTTAGTTAAAAAAAAAAAAACAAAACAAAACAATAAATAACTTTTTCAGGATGAAAAAACCTAAATAAAAGCCAAAGAGTTTGAGACATGCCTGGGCAACATAGGGATACCTCATTTCAACAAAAAGAAAAAAAAAGTAAGTCAGGCGTAGCAATGCACACCAAAGTCCTAGCTACTTGAGGTGCTAAGCTGGGAGGATTGCTTGAGTCCAAAAGATCGAGGCTGCAGTGAGCCAAGATCATGCCACAGCACTCCAGCCTGGACGACATGGTGAGACTTTTTCTCAAAAAAAAAGTCATTATTTGTAGAAGATATAATCCACAAGAAAATTCACCAGAATCTACAGATAAGTTATCAGAACTGACACATTAGTATAGCAAGATTTGTAGTTACAAAGTCAATATTTTTTTAAAAAAATTGTATTTTTATATTCAAGCAATGAAAAATAAGAAAGCATGATCTTCAAAATGCCATTTATAATCAGAAAAAAATCAAATGCTTAGAAATAAATTTAACAGAATATATACAAGACTTCTAAACAGAAAACTATAAAAATATTATTGCCACAAACAAAAACTTTAATAAATAGGAGACAATCATAGTAAAAGGATGAAAAATGTGAATTATCTCTGAACCAATCTATGAATTTGATTCAATATCAATCAATATTGTGAAAGTTTGCTTTTTCTTCTGGGGGTTGTGTGTGTGTGTGTGTGTGTGTATCTTATAACTTAATGAACTGATTCTAAAATGTATGTGATAATGGAAAGAGCCAAGAAGAGTTGAAAAAGCCTTTAAAAAGGAAAAACTGAGTGAATGCATTTTATATTAGATATCAATACTTTTAAATCTACAGAAATTAGATCATCATACAGTTAAGCTAAGAATAACAAAAGGCCAAATAAATGGAGTCTAGAAACAGGACAATGATAATATGGACCTATGATGACAGTCGTGACACTGCAGCGAAGTATAAAATGAACAGTCTTTTAATGAATATGATTGGACAGTCAACTATTCCTATGAAAAAATAATAAAATTGACCCCTACTCATACATTCACAAATATCAAATACCGATTTATTGTCAATCTAAAGTGAAAAAGAAAAATAATGAAATTTCTTGAAGATAATATGGGAGAATACAGGGCACTAAAATAATCACAGAGGAAAAACTCATAAAATTAACTTTATCAGAATAAAGAATATTTATACATATATTCATCAGAGAAGATTTAATGACGGACAAGAGAAGCCACAAAAAGGGAAAAATATTAATAATGCTTTTAACCTACAATTCTGAAGGAATTTTCCAAGGGCAGCAGCTACTCCTAGCTGAAAAGTAACCTTAGTATATTTTAAGAATGTTAGTGACCTGAGCCATATGAAAGGGAACATGATATATAACAGGACTCTAGCTTAGATAAATGAATGGTAAAGGCCTACATTAGTATTTCTAAGGGCACGAACTAGAGATTTCCAGATAAAAGTAATATACAATGATGTCAGTGGGTGCAGACCTGAAACTGGAAGTGGTGGGAGATGTTGAGACAGTTAAAGTATTTCTGCCCCCAGAGGCTGATAATTAGAGAAGCCCCTAAATGCCCATTGCAGCAAGAACTTATGTAACAGGTGGTCAATCCCCAGAGCTTGTTTAGGGCAAGGAGTAAAGAAATAGAGTCTCACATACCAAAAAATATTTCTACAGGACGATTTTTCTAGATAGACTGTACCAGGACTCAACTCATCAGGAGTCGAATATGAACCAGGAGTCTGAATACCTCACTATTTAGGTCACTTGTCATCACAGAATCAGAAAACTGCAATTTGCTTTGATGTTTTCCTTTTATTATTTATTTTTCCATAGCATCTTAGCAAGTTTTATTTTAAATGCTTTTGCTTAAAAACAAAAAGAAAAAGAAAAATAATTTTTTATCAAATTTGGCTGATGATTAATGCGGGAATTTTGGGGAGAAGAAGAAAACAAATCCGCCTACATTTTTTCAGAAAAGCTACAGTAGGTACAGCACCCCGGAGACACAGTGAAGTCACGCCAGCTGGAGAAATGGGAAAGTAACAGAACCAAGGCTGTAAGTGGGATGAGTTCCCCACATCAAAGGAAGTCCTGGGAATAACTAAGATGGCTGTCTCTCTCTCTCTCTCTCTCTCTCTCTCTATATATATATATATGATTAGGAATCAGAATGTTAAAATTTTCCCAAGTGCTCCTTATGTCAGACCCAGAATTACTTTCAATCTCTTTCATGACTGTCATGTTTACCTGTTCATGGCATGTTCTACGCCTTGTCTGGAGAAGTGTTCTGGGAAGCTGGGAAGTATGGCTATTGTGTATCTAAAAGGCATATTCAAGGCTTAATCTTTGGTAAACAAGAGTGTTCAGATAAGACTGCAGCTGGGAAGAGGCACCACTGGAAGATAGGTGAGGTAAGAGGTTCTCAAGGCAACTCTAAAAACCATCTTTTGTCCAGTTAGGTCCCTGGCCTTTATGTTTTATATAGGTTATTGGCCTATGTATTTTTACAATATGATCATTAGGGTTGGGGAATAAGGTTGACCAAGATTTCCCAGACATTTGAGTATAGATGAGTCATAGCAGCTTGCAGAGGGTCTCTGAAGATACCCTAGATATTTTGGAGTATAAACAATTACTTTGTTAGCAACAGTGGATTATATTAAGCTGAAAGGATGATTTAGCCACAAAATTGAACTATGTGAAAAAAATTAAGGGATCTATTCAATTTACAATTGCATCAAACATAAATAAACCAATAAGCTACTGGGAGTAAACGTGACCAAGGAAGTGAAAGAGCCTTATACCAGAAACAATAAACACTGAGGAAATAAATTAAAGATTACACAAATATTAATAAATGGAAAGACATCTTGTTTTCATGGATTGAATTAATATTTAAATGTCCATACTACCCAAAGGGATCCAGAGATTCAGTGCAATCCTTATTAAAATTCTAATGTCATTTTTCATAGATATAGGGAAAAAATTCTAAAATTTTGCTTGCTTGGGCACCACATCTACTGAAATTGGAACAACATAGAAAAGATTAGCATGGCTCCTGTGCAAGGATGATATGCAAATTCATAAAGCATTGCACACTTTTTTTATAGTAATACTATTCACAATAGCAAAGACATAAAATCTACCCAGGTTTCCATCAACAGTGGATTGGATTTTTAAAAATGTGGTAAATATACACCATGGAATTCTATGCAGCTATAAAAAAGAACACAATCATATCCTTTGCAGGAACATGAATACAGCTGCAGGCCATTATCTTAAGTGAATTAACACAGAAACAGCAAACCAAAAACTGCATGTTTTTACTATAAATGGGAGCTAGACATTGGGTACACACAGACACAAAGATGGGAGCAATAAACACTAAGGATTCTAACAGTGGAGAGGGAGAGAAGGGGGAAAGATAGGAAAACCACCTATCAGATACTATGTTCACTGCTTGGATGTTAGGATCATTAGAAGCCCAAACCTCAGCATCAGGCAATATATCCATGGAAGAATCCTGCACATGTACCCTTTGAATGTAGAGTAAAATAAAAATTTTAATCCTAAAATTTGCACGGAACCACAAAAGACCCCAAATAGCCAATGAAATCTTGCCCAAAATGTGCATAGGTGGAGGCCTGTTCACCTAAACCTACTCATCTCAATGAAGAGCACAGGAAATTATGTCCATTTAATTTCACTTTCCTCTGTAAGCCCATTCTTGATCTCTGGGTTTTTGTTTTAATATTTGTATTTTAAATCAGAAATTGATTTTTCCACAGACATTTCTGATTTCTTTTTCTTAATCATTAATGAGGCAGTTTTACCCTACTGAGGTAAGTAAACCTACTAATAGAGTTATGCCATGGAGCTAAGATCTGTGAAGAAGTTCCAGCTGTTTATTTTTTCATCTCCCAGACAACTCCAGGAATGGGCATCCAATGCCTTTTGAGTTATACTTTCCATGTCTACATTGAAAATGGAACTAGAATTTGGGGGAAAAAAAAAGGCCTCCGTGTTTGAGCTGGCGGCCGGCGGCTGTGTAATTATCATTGCTCTTCTTTATTAACTGCTCGCCTTCGCCTTATGTGGTGCTTTGTTGATAGATGTAACCTCAATCTTGTTGCTATGGTGACAGTAACAGTCACTGAGAAGACTTTGTTTATGGTAAACAAATCCAGGCATATGCTTGAAGCCTGGTGGAACAGTTTTCCAGCTTCCCTTACACTGCTGTCCCTGAATGAAATCAAATAGCTCCAACTGAAAAACCCACAGCCTGGATTTGAAATATAAAAAATAGGAAACAGTCCTGAGATTACTGTTTCTTATGTGCGTGGGAATGGCCCCGTATATAGGTCTATGTTCACGAGTCAAGGCTCCCTGTTGAAGGGGACTCTCTGTGCAACACACGCAGAGGAATTGACCTGGGAGTGAGAGAAAACCTCCCATCCTGAGGGCTGTTGGCATCAATAGTGAAGCTGGGATGGTACATTAACATAATGACAAAAAATGCTTCTCTCTGCCCCTTACCAAATCCTCTCTGCTAGGCATGCTGAATTCTTATATATTGGAGAAAAAATTCCTTCCAGAACACTCTCATAAACATTGAAGTAAGACACATTCAGCCCCATTTCTTAGATGTTTTTATTATATGAACGTGAACCACCATTTGAAGGAGAACAGTTGTCATGTAGATAGATGGAATTGAGGGTCAGATTTACTTCTCCATGGTGAATGTATTTGTGGTTGGCCTGGCTTTAGTGGCCCAACACATTCCCTGGCTCTCTTTCCCTATCTCTCTCACCTACCTCCTCAAATGTTTTCTCTCCAAACTGACAACTGCTGTCTAAAATTAAAACACCAAATCTTTTCCCCTCACTCTTCTGCATTATAAGGCTTTGATGGCTCACTTAAGAATGAAAACTTAAAAATTTCAAAGAATGAAAATTTGAAAAGCATTATAATGAAATTGAAATGGTGTGTACAAACCATCAGCTATTTATGGCCAACAGTGTGCACAAATTAGAGACCATTTCTTGGTACCAAAACATGCAGGAAGAAAGTGGACTGCCTAGCTGCAACGGGATATCTTTCAGTAGAGAACAGAGGGCCAACAGCCTGAAATTCCAAGAACCATTTTTTTGGATTTCATAACAGCTCTTGAGAACTAGTAGAATCTTGCTTGTTCATTCTTTTCACCACCAACCAAAGGGCTTTACTTACCTTAGCTCTCAGGTCTCAGGGTCCCCAGGTGTGTGGCTCTACAGAACAGTTGAGCCTTAACACAGCGATTTTTAATCCCTCAGACAGAATTAAACTTCCTGCTAAATATTTTCTTGTTTTCACCTTTTACTTGGGTATTTGTCTCATAAGCCCACACTGAGAATACAATGTTGCAGGGTTTTATGTAGCTCATTAATTCGTGTTCTCCAGTGAGGGGGTCTGGGGATGCTAGGGTGAAGAGTTTAGGCCAACACTAAAGTGATTTATCTGCTAAGTACATGAATTAACATTTCATTGGTTGGAGGCAGGTATTTATTCTGATTTACCTTCGTAAAGTGGAAAAAACAAAAAGTATCTTCTTGATAAAGAACCTGGAAATTAATTAAACAGTAATAATAATAATAATAATAGTTAATAAAACAAAGTATAGTTTTTCAATTTAAAACAGAATTTTTTCTTTCATAAGGTCAAAGAAAGATGCCTTAACTGGGATTCCCAGCATGCTGCCCACTCTCTCAAATTTGGTTTGTACCCACTGATCTCCTACTTCCGTTTCTGGAAACTTCATCTATCATTTACCATCCTGCCTGTCAATCCCTAGGGTCCTCCTTTTCTTTTGTAATTGTTCAAACATCATTCATTCATACACACATGCAAACACACAAACACACTCCAGCTTTTCTCTGATTTCTTTTCTAACTCCTTAGGGAGGTTCGTCTTCTTTTTGCTAGCATATCATTCAGCAGCTCATTATTATGACCCTGCATTATGAATTAGTTTGCGAATTACATCATGTTGGTCAGTGGCTAGTAAGCCTCTTGGCAACTGCCCTCTCATTTTCTTCTTTACAATTCCCAGTTAAAATATAGGTACTGTTGGTCACACATCGGCTGGAGAAACTGGGATGTACAGACATCACACAGATCCAGGAGTCACAATTTGAATTCATGTCAGTCTCACCACAGAGGTCATGTTCTTAATCATGACACCGAAAGATGTTTTAGCAAGAACACTTTGTTCTTGAGCAAAACTTTGGGCCGTGGAACTTGTTTCCCTGCTTTTCCTGATTAAGCCAGTCTGAGAATTTTAGAAGGAAACTTCAAAGATTCATTTACCTTTTCCCTTTAGAGGCTGAAACCAAAAGTTGGCCATAAACATCAGTCCCTGAACCGTCCCTTTTTATCCCCACCATATGCCTCTAGATCTGCTTAGGGAATTTCAGTTATGCCCTCCCCCAGTTAAATACACCTCCAAATGTGTCTTCCCATCCTAAGAGCATTATAATCCTATTTATTTAAAAAAAATAATTTAAGGGTGGTGCTTGATCCTCATTTGAGCTGTAAGCACTTGGCTGTTACTTTTTGTCCTATCCTGAGAAACACCATGTAATGGTGGGGCAGGAGGAAAGAATTCAGGACTAGCATGCCACCACTATTCCATTATTAAATTGAACAATATTTCACTTTCAGCCTCTTCTATAAAGACTTGCTATGGCAGATTATAAGCTCTTTCTCACTTTATAGTTCTACAGATTTTTACATTTTAAGAAAGAAGCTCCGGCGCGGTGGCTCACGCCTGTAATCCCAGCACTTTGGGAGGCCGAGGTGGACAGATCACAAGGTCAGGAGTTCGAGACCAGCCTGGCCAATATGGGGAAACCCTGTCTCTACTAAAAATAAAAAAAAAAAATTAGCCGGGCGTGATGGTGGGCACCTGTAGTCCCAGCTACTTGGGAGGCTGAGGCAGGAGAATCACTTGAACCTGGGAGGCGGAGGTTGCAGTGAGCTGAGATCATGCCCCTGCAGTCCAGCCTGGGTGACAGAATGAGGATCTGTCTCAAAAAAAAAGAAGCATGAGAGGATTGAGGGATGAAGAGATGGAGCACGGGGGATTTTCAGGCACTGAAACTCTTTTGTATGACAATATATGGGTTGATACCTGGCATTATACATCTCTCAAAGCCCAAAGAACTATATAACACAAGACAGACTCCAGTGTAAACTACAAGCTTTAATTTATATAATTTCTTAATGTTTGCTCATCAAGTATGCAATAATAATGCAAGATATTAATTACAGAAAAAAATATGATGGGAGGTGTTGGGGCATGTGGACTTGTACTTTCTGCTCAATTTTTCTGTAAAAGTAAAACTGCTCTGAAAAATATAGTCTATTAATTAGTGTTAAAAGAGATAAGAAAAAATATATATGTCCAAATACTGGCAAAGAGAAATGAAAACTGAAGAGTGTCAGTGATGAAAAGTAAGGAAATTGGACTCTTCCAAGTCCTTAGTGATACTTCTACCTATTTCTGAAAATGTTTGAATTGTTATGTCCATCCATATACACAAGCCATATGGGCTATGAAGTGGATTGTATTCAAAGAGTCTTGTGAAGGTAAAAGAAAGTCGGACATCCCTCCTCCTCTCCCCAAAAAAACCAATTTGCCTATGCTTCGGTTTCTATAAAATGCACAGATGTGCTAGCATTTAGCTGCCTCCCTGGGGTGCACTAAAACTGTTGCTCTGAAGTGTTTCAAGACTAGAGCATCCCAGGGCCTGGCGCTGTGGTGGGACTCAAGGGAAGAGATAAAACACAAATTGAAAAGCAGTATTACTTGGGAAATTGTAGTTTAACACATGTGACAGCAGTCTCTCCCTGTCTACTAAGATTTCTTCCTTATTGCTTTCAGACAAAGTCTTCGTGATATCAGGGTCATATTATTCTCTTCCTTTTTCTACACCTTGATTCACTCTTCCATCTTCGGGTAAGAGGAAGAAAATTAGGTGAAGATCATATGTGTAGTTTTCGACAGAAATTTTGCGTGCACTTTAACTGTCAGCTCCAGCACTAGTGTTGTCTCCACTTTCCCACGTATAAAGCCTAGACATCCTTCAGAGCTGGGCTCAAATCCCCTTCCTAAACCTGCATTCTATTAGTGATCTTTACTCCTTCTTTCAGCTCCTCACTCAGCACTTCATCCCTGCAGTTTAGAACTTGACTACATGCTGCTGAATTATAAATTGTACATTCAATTTATAACTTGCCTAACTTGAAAGAAATCTACATGTACATATATATCTACCACTGTATCTATATGTCTATCTAATCTTAAAGATACAACTTTTTCCTTTTACATCTGTTGAATTTCCACTGCTAACCATCCTCAACTCCTGCCACTGTGTGTTCATTGAAGACAGCAATATTTGGAGGTTTTTAAAGAAAATATAAACCTATATGTCTTTCAGTCCTACCTATTTTTCTTCTTAATCAGGCCCTGAAACTTAAAATTTTCACTGTTACCCTCCCTAGGCCTAGTGGGTTGACTTTGACATTCTATTTGATATTTATGGGAGGAAATTTCTTTCAGTCATCGATTAAGACAGACGTTATTGTTTCATGCCGAGATTTTAGTAGAGCTAGGCATCCTGTTTAAATGAGGAACTTGAGTAGAGTTCTTCTTTAAGTAATGAAGAAGAACAGATAGCAAAGCTGTGGGACATAGGCTCAGTAATATCAGATCAGTTTGGAGAATCACCTACATTGTTAGCCCCTGAGAGAGAGCATGGCCCAGGGAAAGAAAAAAGTACCGGAGGTACAACTACCTGCCCCAACACATCAAAGCCTGTGGTAAGTTTCTTAACCTCCCTGAAACTGAACATCTGCAAAAGGACTTTGTTTCTGTATAACATGAACTTGTGAAGGCCATATAAGATAATACCCAAGAAAGAGGTTGCAAGCTGTAATATAAAGATATAGATTTGTTAGTGATAAACCAGAGGGGAACATGACAATATTTTCTGCCTTGGGAAGGTTAGAAGAGGGGCAGGGTGGGGAAGGTGAATTCTAGAAAAATAAGAGGTCACCAGTTACAAAGTTTCCCTACTTTAGTCCTTTAGGATTACCCTGTTTGAAGCCAAAGAATTTAAAATGGCTCAAACTAACGTTTGCGATTGTTCAGTTCAGTTCAGTTTCTTTGTTTCCTAGATAATGAACTTTTGTCACAGAGTAAATGCAAGCCCATGTCTCACTGCATGAAGAGTAACACACTCATCTGGGTGACTCTTGGCATATAAAGCCACCACCTGCAGAACTTGGACAAGTTGTTTGATGTCTCTGAGAATCTAGCTGAAGCATGTAAAATTCTTCAAATTATTAGACCTGACTTTGGGTAACTTTTTTTCTTTATTGATTTCCTTGGCCATAGTTTTTATTCTCATCATGGGAATCTTGCAGGCTATCTGGAAAAGACCTGTCAATGTACTTCTTTTCTCCCCAGTATTGATTCAATTTCTTTGCCTAATCTGAGCACTATATAACAGCAACAACATGTGTAGGTCACATGTATTTATGCTGAACTTTGCATTTATAAAGTTTTTGTTTTCTTTAAAAATGTTTGCATTTTTAAAGTTTTTGCACTACAGTGGCATTTTCTGCAAAGGAGAAGGAGAAATTTTCTCTTCTGAGGAAGATCTTTATTTGTTTTTGTTTTGAGATGGAGTCTCATCCTGTTGCCCAGGTTGGAGTGCAGTGGTGTGATCTCAGCTCACTGCAATCTCCTCTTCCCAGGTTCAAGTGATTCTCCTGCCTCAACCTCCCGAGTAGCTAGGACTATAGGCGTGTGCCACCACATCCAGCTAATTTTTTATTTTTAGTAGAGACAGGGTTTCACCATGTTGAGCATCCTGGTCTCAAATGAGGAAGACTTTTCTATTAACTCTTCTCAATCACTTTTATTTTCAAGGACTTATTCTCTCTTGTGAAATTCTGTAACAAACGACAGACTACTCAACCAAAGGCTTTTTTTTTTTTGTCACAAAACAGATCATTAGTCAATTACCTAGCATTTATTGAGGGCTTACCATGTGTTAGATAAAAGTTGTAAGAGGAGGCATAAGACCCTGCCCTATTCAGGGAGGCAAGCTGTATACTGCACAGAAACAAAAGGAAACTATGATGTCGGGCATACGAAACTCCAGCAATGACACAGGAAGTCCAGCAGACAGGTAATTGCACTGAATTTGGGAGCCCAGGGGAAGATGTGTGAAGCTGATTACATTAAGAATGTTCTGAGGAATATCAAGGTTTAAATCAGCAGAGCGGAGAACAGGAGAGTATTACAGGTGTGAAACCTGAAGGTCCAGAGGACACAGTAAGGCACAACAGATAACAAGGTCAGTGAGAAGACTGCCCCAGCTGGAATAGAGAATTGGTCTAGGGTGACGAACAAAGATGAGGCAGAAAAGCATTTTAGGATTAACTATGGAGCTCCTCTCCTGCCAACATGAAAAGCCAGGACTTGTGTTGTGAGCACTGAATGTGTGAACAGAGGTTGGAGTTTCAGAGTTTGAGCACGGAGCTAGAGATATCTGAATTTGACTCTTGGCATATAAAGCTACCACCTGCAGGACTTGGGCAAGTTGCTTGATTTCTTCAAGCCTTCACTTCTTCCAATATAAAATTGAATTAGTAAAATCTTATAGGTCTCTTATGAAAAGAGACTAGGTCTTTTAATGGAGTAGGTGCTAAAAATATATTTTGCTATTCTTTTTTGGTATTAGTTATGGTTTTTGTTTGTTTTTGGATAGCAATTGTGTTGATATGTAATTGTTTTTCTTCTGAGCTTCTTAGTAATTATCCAGGTCAGAATATGCCTTAGAATAATACATATTTTTGAACCTAGTCTTATCATCTTACTAGTTTTTGGAGCCTACAAATTTTCCCTGATTATGGGATCATGGGCTTTGAATTACAATTTATCTCTAGTCAGTGATTTTTAACATTTTGGGAGTTATAACCTTTTGGAATGGTTTGACATTGAGGAATTTTTAACAATTAAAAAAACATAAAACTTTACAATGAAAAATAGAAACATACAAATAATTTTATTTTTATACTTAAGGAGTATAGCTGACTCAATGGGTAGACGTAATTGGCAACTTTAAAAGAGTTTTCTCCTTCAACAAAAATATTCCCCTCATTGACCTCCTATGGTGCCTGAAATTCTACCATATGCTCTCCTCCTTAAGGAGCCATGGACCCAGCAGGAGAATATTGATACAATGATGGTTTTTACAGCATTATATTCCCTGGAAGGGGCAACACATTAACCAGTGAACACACCAAAAGGATGTCTATCATTTCATCTCTTATTGATCACACAGTCTATTACTCTTCTCTAATAGTATGGAGATCCTTCAAAAGTAGCCAATGACAAAATAGGAATAATAGCAAATACTTATAGTACTTGCTGCATGCCAGGTATGTACAATTCTCACAGCAGTTTTTTGAGGTAGGTGCTATCACTGCCCTCATTTTACAGTTGAGGAAACTGAAGTAGAGTGAGCTGCCTAACCTTCATATATTAAGTTACAGGTCTTGGATTTAAACTCAGGACCTCTGCCTCCAAGTCTGGTCCTTAACCATTATACAAACTGTCTTGTCCTTTGAAATGGTTACCTACTTCATTCTCCAAGACTAATGATGGTAACTTTTTGGGAGACATTAAGGAAATATAAGTAGATCTGATGTATCTATAGTGAATATCTTTCGTTGTATACATGTGTGTCCCCTCCGGGGATAGGAGTTGCCTGGGAAGGGCAGCTACACCTCTGAAAGGCTATGTAAGGCCAGCAAAGCCACAACCTAGATCAAGAGAAATAAAATAACCTGGCTTCTTATGCCTGGCCTTGTTCCAGGCATTAAAACTGAATGACTAAGGGCATTTTCTTGACATTTTCACACTATAAAACTAAGTTCTTTATAGCCATCCATAGCCAAAATATTAGCCAGTAATGAAAATTATGTGTTCATGTTGTACCACATATCCTGGGAACCTAATTTTATCAGCAGACACCTGCACAGAGATGCCAATACAGAAAATGAAAGTTAAACATCTCACATTACCCATAATTACCCAGCAGAGAAACTGATCCTGAAAAAGTGGAGCACAAAATAGGAGAGTTTTGATAGGGGAAAAGGCTGAAAAATGAGAATTAAGGGAACATGAGAGCCCAGAATATTTAAGGAGCAGAGCATATAATCAGAAAGAGCTCTAAAAGACAAGTAGAGAGGCTGTAAAATATGGAGGACTTGGCTAGTTCTTGGCATATGTTATCTAAAAGTTTAGCAACCCAAAGATTATATGCCAATAATTGTGGAAGAATACATTTTCAAAACGTGAGCAAAGCAATGTTTCCTGTTTCACACTCTTTTATAGTGTGATGTTGCTGCTCCTCCATCAAGTCTATTTCTTTACCCCTTTGAATCTGGGTGATCCAGGGCCAGTGACTATGTTGTCCAATATAATATGGCAGAAGTGACACTGTGAATCTAATGCCAACACTGAGAGCCCAACATTCATGTAGTAGCCATGTATAGGTGTTCCTGTAGATAGCCTCAGATCCCAGCTGATAGCGAGCATCAACTCCTAGCCCTGTTAGAGAGCTATCTTGGATATCTAGACCACTCCATCCTTCTGATGATACCAGCTCCAGCTATTGTCTGACTGCAACCACATGAGAGGCTTTCAGCAAGAACTGTCTAGGTAAGCTCAGTCAGCCCTCAGAACCATGAGGTTATTATTGGTTGGTGCAAAATTCATTGCAGTTTCAACTGCACCGTTAAAAGTAATGGCAGAAACAACAATTACTTTTGCACCAACCATATAATAAATTGTTATTTTAAGCTATTAACTTTTGGGGTGGCTTGGTACACAGAAATAGTTAACCAGAATCCTAATGCAATGAAAGAAGATAAAGCTTAATGCCATCTAAACGGTTCCCAACAGCTAAAAACTAAGCAGAAGAAATGTTAGGATATTAATACACCAGGATATAGCATTTATGAAGACACACTAGACATGCTTTCCCCTTGATGAGACCTTGAGTCTTCACTCTAGCAAGGACAATCATGTCTAATTCTTTAGAACAATAAAGGCTTACCTGCTTCATGAGATCTTTGGTTTTGTTCTTTTGAATCAATACACTACAGAATCAGGCTGGAGATCTTCAAAGCCTAACTGCAGCTTCTATGAGCTCTTCCTTCTCTAATTCCACCTGACTAGTCATGAAGTCCTATAAGGAGATACAGAATAACAGGCAGAGCATTTAAAAAATTTTTTTATTTCCGTAGGTTTTTGGGGAACAGGTGGTATTTGGTTACATGGGTAGGTTCTTTAATGATGATCTGTGAGATTTTGGTGCACCCATCATCTGAGCAGTATACACTGAACTCAATTTGTAGTCTTTTGCCTCTCACCCCCATCCCACCCTTTCCCCTTAGTGCCCAAAGTCCATTATATCATTCTTATGCCTTTGCATCTTCAACACTTAGCTCCCACTTTTGAGTAAGAACATACGGTGTTTGGTTTCCCATTCCTTAGATACTTCACTTAGAATAATAGTCTCCAGTTCCATCCAGGTTGCTGTGAATGCCATTAATTTGTTCCTTTTCATGGTTGAGTAGTATTCCATTGTATGTGCGTGTATATATATATATATATATATATATATATATATATATATATGTAACTGTATATATTATATATACATCTCATTGTGTGTGTGTATATATATATATACACACACACACATACACACACATCTAGTTGTCCATATATATAACGGGATATATATATATATATCTGGTTGTCCATATATATATATATATATATATATATATATATAGACACACACGATGGAATACTACCTATATACACACACCAAAATTTCTTTATCCACTCGTTGACGGATGGGCACTTGGGCTGGTTCTATATTTTTACAATTGCAAATTGCGCTGCTGTAAACATGCGTGCGCAATTATCTTTTTTGTATAATGACTTCTTTTCCTCTGGGTAGATACCCATTAGTTAGATTGCTGGATCAAATGGTAGTTCTACTTTTAATTTTTTAAGGAATCTCCACAGTGTTTTCCACAATGGTTGTACTAGTTTACATTCCCACCAGCAGTGTATAAGTGTTCCTTTTTCATTGCATCCACACCAACATCTATTATTTTTGATTTTTTGAATATGCATTGTTGCAGGACTAAGGTGGTATTGCATTGTGGTTTTCATTTGCATTTCCCTGATCATTAGTGATGTTGAGCATTTTTTCATATGTTTGTTGGCCATTAGTGTATCTTTTTTGAGAGTTGTCTATTCATGTCCTTAGCCTGCTTTTTTATGGCATTGTTTTTATGTTGCTAATTTGTTTGAGTTTTTTTGTAGATTCTGGATATTAGTCCTTTGTCAGATGTACAGATTTTGAAGGTTTTCTCCCACTCTGTGGGTTGTCTGTTTACTCTGCTGACTGTTCCTTTTGCTGTCCAGAAGCTCTTCAGTTTAATTAAGTCCCACATATTTACCTTTGTTTTTGTTGTATTTGCTTTTGGAGAGAACCTAGAAATAAATCCAAATACTTACAGCCAACTAATCTTCAACAAAGCAAACACGAACATAATGTAGGGAACAGACACCCTTTTCAACAAATGGTGCTGGGATAATTGGCAAGCCACAGTGTAGCAGAATGAAACTGGATCCTTATCTCTCACCTTATACAAAAATCAACTCAAGATGGATCAAGGACTCAAATCTAAGACCTGAAATTGTAAAAATTCTAGAAGATAACAGGCAGAACATTTGAAACTAAACAAAGGGGCTGAGAATTCCACTTCCATCTTTCATTCTTCAACTACTGGTGATCATTTTTTATGAAGACAATAAAAAATTAATACAGTATTGACCAAAAGGAGATCCACTGAGCCAGGGAATGATCTAGTGAGCTACTCTATTTTTATCTTCATCTCCTAAATTTCTGTCAAATATTCTTCAGGTGTGCCATAAAAAATCAAATTAGGAACATGTGAAATATAGCAGGCAGTTGCTATTATACTTGGGTCTGTGGTTATTAGCCGTGAAGTTGTTCTTCTTCTATTTCCTTCCCATCCTCCTTTTGTTTTGATGTGGCTACTTGCAGATTGTTATCTGTTTTCTCATCTCCCAGATGCCTTCTAAACATGTCTGATAATTTCCCTTGTTTAGTTCAATTTATATGTATTTGATCTTTTTCTTCTTTGATTAAAAGTCAGCAGCAATTCAGTTAGTAGCACAAACATTAGCAGTACCAGTAAGCTGAGGTCAAAAGCACATGTGTTTCATTTTTCAGCTTCCTAAACTCCCATTCCTATACATTATTTTGGAGAAGATTATACTGTAATTCTAATGCTACCTTTCTTGTTAAAATAAAGGCAAAAATATGTCCCATGAGGAGCAATAATGAATCTTTCTGGAACTCATCTATTAATGGAATTCAAAGCATTCCTGGACACCAGATCCCAAGGTGGCAAAATAAATCATATCATTTAGATATGTAAGGGCCTTTAGAAATGCTCTACTTGTGTATATGCTGTTTGGAAAGTCTACTGTGGAGTGGTCTAGAGGATTAGAATTCCTGAATAGAGCTTTATTTAGGCATGATGATTCAAAGTGCAGATGGGCAGTGACGATCAAAGATCTAGAGGGAGGGCTCTGGTGATAGACCAAGCCTGGAATAAAGACAGTTCAGGAGGGCAGGCAGGTTCCAGCTGAACCCTTTAACAGCAGCAGAATTGATAGCCCCCTGCTGTCTCATTGCTGTGGTGAAGATATGGACCTATGCTCATGTCCTCACAAAAAAGGTTGTCCTTTTTTTAAAAAGCTGATTCAAAAAAAAAAAAAAAAAACCTACTTTTTTTTTCCACACCCAACATCATTCAGGGTCTGTGTCCAACAAGAAGAGCATCTGCTCCATGCAGCTGAGAGGGCACATGGGGTGTTTCTATCTTGGCATAATTTGCCAGATCTGAGTTCCTAATGTCTTCATGGGACCTGATTTTTTTTTTTTTTATAAATAAGCTGCTTCAAAAACAAAAATAGAACCCACAAAACAGAAGATAAATTTATAAAATCAATCCAGGTCAGTAGCTCCAATACTAAATCTAGACATTAGATTGCCTGACTGCCAATGAACTGTTTTTCCCACTGCACATTTTAATTTTTGTTTGGTATGTGCCCATGTGCACATGTGTGGGTACGTGTGTTACTGTGCATATGTGTGTGTGTTACTGTGCATATGTATGTCTGGGCCATTATGATGTTTTTCTTTCACTTATACATTTACTTTTTATTTTTATTCATATGTTCAAGAAAAGTTTGTAGAGTACTATGTTCCATGCACTATTTTACACTCTGGGATATCAAATTGAATGACATAAATCTCATCTGTCCTTACAACCTGATCAGAGAGGCAAATAAATACAAACAATGGAGGGTAAGGGCTGTAAGAGAAGCATGGGTCATATGCTACTGGAGCACTTGGTGGGCGGGTGCCTTATCTTTCTGGAAAACTCAGGAAGTCTTCTCAGAGGAGTTGCTATTGAAAAAACAATTGCAGGCTCCATGCAAGCTAGAACTCTGGTTCTGTCGCTTGCTATGAGAACTTGAAGAAGCCTCTGACCTCTCGATGCTTCACTTTCCTCATCTGGCAATACTGTCTGGTAATAATAATGGTATCTTCCTCAAAAGATTGTACAACAGATTAATGAAGACTGCTCAGGTCAAGTGTTTAGAAAAGTACATGACTCCATACATGCTAGTTATTTTTATGGCTAATGTTAAGGGTTTGATTGGAAAAGAGACAGGGAATGAAAATATAAGTTAGGCAGAAAAAGAGCATAAACTTTGTAGACCATGATATGAAGTTTCAATGTTATTTTTATCCAAAAGTATGCCATGAAGAAGATCTTAAGCAGGATACTGGCCTGATTAAACATCCATCTATAATAAGATTCCTTGATGGTTATATGTACATAGGAAGAACAATTATGAGAGTCCTGCAGTAATGCAAATGAGATGAGTACTTGAACTAGAGACAGGGGAAGTGAAGGAGGAGTGTGAATAGAGAATATTATAAAGACATAACTTAGAGTATTTGGAGATAATAGATTGCGTAACAAATAGCATAAGACAATGGTATATTTTGCTTGCATAACTAGGTAGACAGCGAGGATATTCACTGACATAAGAAATTCAGGAAAACAGCAAGTTGAAAACAATATAGTAAGTTGGTTTTTAGATACGATGACATTGAGGCACTTACGGGCTCTCATAGCAGGTAGCTCTAAACAGATCTCAAGAGTCGAATTCTTATTCAACATGCACTTGGAAATAATAGAAATAGCAATCCTGAATTTAAGTATACTTAATCCATAAAATGTTTGAAATAATAAAATCAAAATTTACTGGTGATTACTATAGGCCAAGACATTTACTGATATATTTGTATGAATAATCCCACAAGTTACACAAAACAACCCCTGAGACAGGTACTATATGGTTCCCATTCCACATATTAGGGAAATGTTTTTAAAAGCTTAAGTAATTGCCCAAAGTCACTGTCTTAGTCCATTTTCTGTTGCTTATAACCAAATACCTGAAACTGGGTAAATTGTAAAGATAATAACTTTATTTCTTACAACTATGAAGGCTAAGAAGCCCAAGGTTGAGGAGTTGCATCTGGTGAGAGCCTTCTTGCTGATGGGGACTCTGAAGAGTCCTGAGGTGGTGCAGGGCATCACATGGCAAGAGAGCTGAGTGTGCTAACATGCTGTCCTCAGGTCATTTTTTCTCTTCTTATAAAGCTACCAATTTCCGTCCCGTGATAACTCACTAATCCATTTACCCATTAGTCTTTAGAAAAAGCCCTCATGACTCAATCACCTCTTAAAGGCCCCACCTTTTAATACTGCCACATAGGATTAAGCTTCAACATGAATTTTGGTGGGGACATTCAAACTATAGAAGTCACATAGATAATGAGTAGAAAATGGAAATGCATCAATTACTATTAGGTTCCTGTGAGGGACAGATCATTCAACATACTAGTAAATTAAATAAAGGTAATTTATTTCCTTTTTGTTTCAAATAAGTCTAGAGGGACCCAAGTTCACTCTAATTTCTTTTTCTGAAATATTTAGCATGTGGTTTTCTTCTCAGAATCCATAATGTCTGTATTTCAACTATCAGAAAAGATGAAAAAAGGAACTAGAGTATGCCTAGTATTAAAGTATACTTAAAATATACTTTATTTTAAGTATATTTCCTAGTATTTGAACACCATGATTCTGTTGACATCCCATTGTCAATACTTAGTTATAGGACAGGCCTAGCTGCAAGGGAGGCTGGGAAATGCAGTACTTTTCCCTTGGGAAGCTAGTATCCAGTTAAAAATTGGGGGTTCTATTACTAAGTAGGTAGTGGAAAATACATCCTGGGGACTGACAGTTTCTACTAGAGGGATTCACTAGAAAAGAAAAAAAAGTAAAGTTTAAAAAATCTTTAAAGACATCAGTTAAATTCCTGGAGTACCACAGCCTTGAATGAAGCACCTGGAGAAAATGAGTCCAAGGAGCACAATAGTTAGAATAGGTCAGAGACATTCATCATTACCATCATAAGAATGCTTCAATTGGGTAGATATCTAGGCCAAACAGTAGACAAAGTACTTCAAAAAATAATACTCCTGGTAGAAACTGGTGCACATAATATGGACAACTCTGTTGGAAAGAAGCATAAAAAAATCGGGAGAGAAGTTTTAACCAGGTAAACATAAAGAATCAATTCGGTGATACTCACACTTTAAGGATAGAGTAATAACAAGCCAAGGTAATGAAAGATGATTACTTCCTTACCAAATGTTTGTTCAAATTACAAAGGGTTCACCTCATGTTTTCTGTAAATAGTGAACTTCCCTGATGCACCTAAACTAGAATTCAGTTTAAAGACATTAAATTTACAGGCAATTCCAGAAACACCTTATGAGGAAAGTTAGATGTACTTGAGGTTCCTAAACCTTAGGCATAGAAAGAAATGGAATTACTGCACAGAAAATCATTGCACATAAATATTTAGATTTGAGAAGGTGGAATGAGTGTTTACTTTCGAAGGGAGTTCTTTTGGGGAGACAGGTTTTTTGTTGTTGTTTGTCTGTTTGAGACAGAGTCTGACTGTTGCCCAGGCTGGAGTACAGTGGTGGGATCTTGGCTCACTGCAACCTCTGCCTCTTGGGTTCAAGCAATTCTCGTGCCTCAGCCTCCCAAGTAGCTGGGACTACAGGTGCGCACCACCATACCTGGCTAATTTTTTGTATTTTTAGTAGAGACAGGGATTCACTATTTTGGCTAGGATAGTCTTGAACTCCTAACCTCAGGTGGTCTGCCCACCTTGGCCTCCCAAAGTGCTGGGATTACAGGCGTGAGCCACTGCTCCCAGCCTGGGTAGACAGGTTTTTGTTGTTGTTGTTGTTGTTGATTTGTTTTGTTTTGTTTTGTTTTGTTTTTTGTGAGATGGAGTCTCTCTCTGTCGTCCAGGCTGGAGTGCAGTGGTCTGATCTCAGCTCACTGCAAACTCTGCCTCCCAGGTTCACGCCATTCTCCTGCCTCAGCCTCCCGAGTAGCTGGGACTACAGGTGCCTGCCACCATGCCCGGCTAATTTTTGGTATTTTTAGTAGAGACGGGGTTTCACCGTGTTAGCCAAGTTGGTCTTGATCTCCTGATCTCATGATCTGCCTGCCTCGCCTCCCAAAGTTTGGGGATTACAGGTGTGAGCCACCACGCCGGGCCAAGACAGGTTTTTATATAAGACACTAAATAGCATATGTCAAGGGCTCCTAAACATAATCTCCAGATAAAAATCTCCTGAATGTTTTTATTAGTCAGGGTTCTGCAGAGAAACAGAACCAACACGATATATAAATTTATAGTTTATATAGACATCTATATATAAATATATAGGTATAGGCATGGAGATATAAATATGTAGATATAGATGTAGATATATAGATACATGTAGTAAAATATTTTTATAAGGTATTGCCACATGTGATAATGGAGGCTGAAAAATCCCAAGATCTTTCATCTACAAACTGGATACCCAGGAAAGTCAATGGTGTAGTTCAAAGGCCTGAGAACTAGAGGACCAATGGTGTAGGTTTCATTCTGTGTTCAAAGGCCTGAGAACCAGGAGCACTGAGGGCAAAAATTTGACATCCCATTTGGCATAGTGAGTCAGAATTAATAAACTCTCCTCTTTATTTTTGCTTTATTTAGGCCCTCAATAGATTGTATAATGCCCACTCACATTGGGAAGGTTTATCTACTTTACTCATCCCACCAATTCCATTGCTAATCTTTTCCAGAAACATCTACATGAATATACCTAAAAGTGATGTTTAATCAGCTCTCTGGGCATCATGACCCAGTCAAGTTCACACACAAAATTAACCATTATAATGCTCTTGTTCTATGCTGAGGCTATTTCTCATGAGTCTTTATATAATACTGAAAAATAGTTTGGGAATTATGTCAATGACTTATAAATAACTTCATAGACCTGAGATATATTAGAAAAAAAATAGAAAACCATACCATCCATATGCATATTTACAAACTATTCACCCAGAAATGTTTAAAGGTACAATCTGAAGGCCAACCACAGGCTTTGAGTCCTTGGGATGCATACCCCTGCCCTTGCCTTTATAAGTCAAACATGGTGCAGCATCTCCCCATTGCATTCTGCCCCAAAGGTGAGTTAGTCTCTTTCTAGATCTGGTTCTGTGATTAAAATGTTTGCTGATTCTAGGCACATTCTAGGCAAAGAAGGTTCTTTTACCACCTTCTCTCCCAAACCCCATCCTTCGTGTCTGCCTTTTTTAGCTTAGTGAAGCCTGAAATTTCACCCTTAGAAAATTATTGCTTTAGCTTAAATTCAATAACACATTTTCACCTCTGTTATATAAATGTTTCTAGTAGGAGAAAACAGAAATGTTGCCCCTTATTTATATTTCAAGCCCCAAAGAAAGAACTCACACAACTGAGGTTTGTGAATAAAGCATATAAAAATGCAAATTTTTGGTACATTTCTACTTCCCTGTTTCCATACTGTACTTGATACTTAGAAAATAAACCCCAACTTGTTTAAGAACCTCCTCAAAAGAGCTTCCTCTGGGAAATTTTTAGCAGGGAAATGAAATATTTTTTCTAAATAGCCTTTTCCATTTTTTCATCTGAGGTAATAATGGAAGTTAAATCTTTGGCTTCAAACTATCCTCACTATTTCTGGATAGGGCTGGTGCTTTTCTGCCCTCTTATCTTTACTAATGCTATTTTCTACATGAATAGCCCTCAATGCTTTTTTTCTGTCTTTCATGATTCAAATATACTTTTAGTGAAGTAAACCATACAAAATGTCATATGTATACATCTCCAAACATTTTTACTAAATAAGCACACTTTTGCAACCACCTTCTGGATCAATAAACAGATCATTAAAGTACCCTAGAAACCTCTCTGGTGCCCTTGTAGAACACTTCTCTTCTGTGTCTGGGTAATGCAAATTAAACTGACAAAAGACATTAACAGAATTTCTTTTTAAGTTTATTTACATGTGTAATTTGCATACACATGAGGAAACTGAGTGATGAGTGCTGTGGTCTGAATGTTGGTGTTCCCCAAAAATTTATGTGTTGGATCTTAATACCCAAAATGATAGCATTAATAGTTGGGGCTTTTTGAGAAGTGATTAAGTCATTAGAACTCCGCCCTCATGAGTAGGATTAGTGCCCTTAAAAAAGAGGTTGAAGGGAGCTTCCTTGCCTCTTCTGTAATGAGAAGACACACAAACGGTGCCATCTGTAAGAAATAGACCCTCACCAGACACCGAATCTGCTGGCTCCTTGATCTTAAATTTCACAGCCTCCAGAACTGTAAGCAATAAATGCATTTTTATTGTTTATAAATCTAGGGTATTTTGTTATTGCAGCTTGAATATATTAACACAAGGAGTAACTCATAAGATAATTAGACTTTGGAGCTTAAATATCTTAACATAGGGTAATAAATTATTAAAAAGTGGCGAAACAAAGAAAAAAGTGGTTTGGCTTCTAGGGATGATAAATTGTAGGAAAGTGACTTGGGGATGCATGGAAAATATGGTTTATTTAGTACAATTTTTATGCCAATTAGTTGTTCTCTTTTTTATACAGGAGAAGGAAACACCTCTATGAATGTAAAAAGGGAAATTTATGCCCTGATTTTAGGCAGAAAAGAAGAGGTCAGAGTGTTCTTCCTGTGTTTGCTGTTTTTCAATTACCTTAAGCTGAAAATAAGTTTTCTGCTAACTTGGCATATTCTGATCCCATTTCCCACTTTCCACTTACTAGAACCAACCCAGCTGCCTCCCACTAATGGGCAATCATTAGCTTGACATCTATCACCATTGTTTTTTTTTAAACTCCCTTTGAAATATATATTAAATGAAAAAATAAAATATATATGCTTTTGTGCTTGCAATATTCTCCGAATGTTGCATTATATTGTCTGTGATGTTCATCCAGGTTAATAGTTGTAGATTATATATTTTCATGACTTTATAGTGGTTTATTTTATAAAAATGCCACAACCTGTTTATCAAATCTACACTTAATAAATATTAGATGGTTTCCAGTTTGGGAATAACAGAAATGGTGCTACTGTAATCAAAACAGGTCCATTGCCCAGTGTACATGGTGAGTTAATACACCGAGACACTGGGTTGCAACAGAGAAAGAGGTTTACCTTTAGGACTGCTGAACAAAGAAACAGAAGGACACCTCAAATCCATCTCTCTGAGGAGTTTGGGGCTAAAGTTTTTAAGGATATTGGAGTGGACTGAAGTGTGGAGATCCTTGATTAATTAAAGAATGCAGGGTGAAGTCATGGGACAAGGAAATTTTCTCATGCTTATTCAATTCCTTGGTGGGGATCTTTAAACTAGTTGGCATTAGCATTTCCACTGAAATGCAGAATGTGCTTAAGCAATTCTTAAATGAAAATCTTATAATCCTAATTTCATTGTCTAAAAGGACAATGGGGATGCAAATGGTCAGTATCTAGTGTTGTATGGTTTTCAGTTACAAGGAAATGGGTCAAAGTGCAACCTTGATTAATGCTTAATTAAAACTATTTATGTCCAGAACTCTTGCGAACCCAGTGAGGATAGCCTCACTGCTATGAATATTATTAAACGCTATTTGGTAAATATGCATGTATTTTTGTTGGATATATAACCAGGAGAGAACTTGTTGAGTAATATGTATGTGTATAATATAATATGTTCTAGCAGATATGACCACACAGGTGCAATAAATAAGAGTTCTGAATGTTCCATTCACCCATAAACATTTGATTTTTTTTATTTTATCCATTCTAGTGTGTAGTGTTACTGCAATATATTATTAATTTGCCATTTTTAATGACCAAAGATGATGAATGTTTTTTCATAGTTTTGTTGACTATTTGGAAAACCATTTTTTGTAAAGTTTTACTCTTTGCTCATTTTACTGTTCACCTGTTGGCATTTTGGTTACAGTTTGGAGAGTTCTTTGTATATTATGATTCTTTTATGGGTATGTGTATTACAAATATCTTTTCTCACTTTGTGGTTTGAATTTCTAAATCTTAACAACGTATATTGATTTAATGAAGGGTTTAAAGTAGTCCGACTTATCATCTTTCTTATGATTAGTGTGTTTTCTTTCCAGTTTATAAAATATTTGCATATAGCCTGAAGGCCATATTTTTTCTCTTTGTTTATTGCTCTTTAGAAGTTTCCACTTTTTAAAAAAAAATGGCGGCTTTACTGAAATATAATTCACATACCATAAAATCTACCCATTTAATAGTTTGAGGTACAGTTAATTTTTTTTTTTTTTACTTACAGTTAAAGGTACAACTTGCTAGTTTTTAGTGTATTTACAGATAGAAAAAATCATTATCACAGTCAATTTTAGAACATTTTCATCATCTCCAAAAGAAACCCCATAGCCTTTAGCTATCATTCTCCTAACTCTCTGCACCTCCAAGCCCTAAGTAACCACTAAGTTACTGTCTGCTTCTATACGTTTGCATATTCGAGACATTTATTACAAATGGGCCTATATAACATGTAATTCCTTGTTTCTCTCACTCAACATAATATTGTCAAAATTCATCTATGTTTTATAGCATGTAACAAGATTTCATTTCTTTATATGGATGAATAATATTCAATATTATAAATACACTTGGCCATTTAAAAAAGATAGATTTGAACTGCACAGGTCTATTTATGCATGAATTTTCTTCTGCCTCTGCCACTCTTGATATAACAAGACCAACCCTTCCTCTTCTTTCTTGTCTTTAGGTTACTCAATGTGAAGATGACAACAAGGGTGAAGACTTTAATGATGATCCACTTCCACTTAAAAAATAATAAATATATTTTCTCCTCCTTATGATTTTTAACATTTTATTTTCTCTAATTTGCTGTAAGAATATAGTGTATAATACATATAACATGAAAAAATATGTTAATCAACTGTTTATGTTATCAGTAAGGTTGGCAGTACACTACTAGAAGTTAGGATTTTGGGGAGTCAAAATTTACATGTGAATTTTTGACTGCCTGGGGGGGTCAGACCCTATAATCCCCAAGTTCAAGAATCAACTGTGTACCTCCTTTTCTCCATCCATTCATCATCTGATGGACATGTAGAAGTTTTGCTTTTTTATCTTACCTTTTATTATATATTTATATTTACCATCTCTCTAAAATTGACTTATGTGTGCTTATGAATTTAAGATTCATTTTTCCTTTATGAATATTAAATTGACACAGACTTATTTAAAAAGCCATCTTTTTCCCACTGTATTAGAGTGTTTATAAATTATGCATTAGGTCTCATATATACGTGAGTTTCTGACCTTTCTATTTTGTTTTAGTTGCATATCTGATTAACCTTGTAACAAGTCCAGAAAATTTTAATTAGAATAGGGTGATAATTATAATCTAAGTTATCCAAATATTTTAGCTTTTGTTTCTTCTTAAGAATGCCTAGATTGTACTTGGCCCTTGCATTTCCATAAACTTATTTTTATTGAGCTTGTCAATTTCTTTTGAAAAATGACTGAGATTTTTATTGGATTTACAATGGATATATAGGTCACTTCATGGAGAAATATCTTTACATTGAATCTTCTATTCCATGATGTTTACAATGTACATTCCACTCCATTTATTTAGACCATCTTAATATTTTCAATAATTTGTAGTTTCCTTTGAAGAAATATTGTACATTTTTGAGAGATATTCAATATTTCAACGTTTTCTTGAAGATAGTGTAAATGGCTTGTTTTTTCTGTTTCTATATCTTTTTACTTGGGGTACATCTGAATTTGCCGGGAATTGTGACTACTCATTTTTAGATTTTCACTCCTAGTATAACTGAATGTCTAATCTCCATTGTATTAGTCCATTTTCATACTGCTATAAAGAAATACTTGAGACTGGGTAATTTATAAAGAAAAAGAGGTTTGGCCGGGTGCAGTGGCTCATACCTGTAATCCCAGCACTTTGGGAGGCCGAGGTAGGTGGATCACCTGAGGTTAGGTGTTCAAGACCAGCCTGGCCAATATGGCAAAACCCTGTCTCCACTAAAAATACAAAAACTAGCTGGGTGTGGTTGTGCATCCCTGTAGTCTCAGCTACTTGGGAGGCTGAGGCAGGAGAAATGCTTGAACCTGGGAGATGGAGGTGGCAGTGAGCCAAGATCATACCACTGCACTCCAGCCTGGGTGACAGAGCGATACCCTGTCCACCAAAAAAGTAAAAAAAAAAAAAAAAAAGGTTGGGCACGGTGGCTCACACCTGTAATCCCAACATTTTGGGTAGCCGAGGTGGGCAGATCACCTGAGGTCGGCAATTCGAGACCAGCCTGACCAAGGTGGAGAAACCCCATCTCCACTAAAAATACAAAATTAGCCGGGTGTGGTGGTGCATGCCTGTAATCCCAGCTGCTCGGGAGGCTGAAGCAGGAGACTTGCTTGAACCTGGGAGGCAGAGGCTGCAGTGAGCCAACATCATGCCATTGCACTCCAGCCTGGGCAACAAGAGTGAAACTCTGTCTCAAAAACAAAAAAAAAAAAAAGAAAGAAAGAAAGAAAGAAAAGAAAAAAGAAAGGAAGGTTTAATGGCCTCACAGTTCTACATGGCTGGGAAGCCTCACAATCATGGCAGAGGTGAAGGATGAGCAAAGGCATGTCTTACATGGTGGCAGGTGAGAGAGCGTGTGCAGGGGAATGGCTCTTTATAAAAACATAAGATCTTGTGAGCTTTATTCAGTATCATGAGAACAGCACAAGAAAAACCCACCCTCATGATTCAATTACCTTCCACCAAATCCCTCCCAGGACATGTGAGGATTATGGGAGCTACAATTCAAGATGCGATTTGGGTGGGGACACAGCCATACCATATCATCCATGAAACCTTAAATTCTTCTGTAAGCCAATATCTTCCATCTCTCTATAAATTCCCCCCCAATTAATTTGTCACCTTCAAATTTTTTACTACCTTTGGCATATCCTTCATTTCCAAGTATTATTTAGTAGTGTATCTAATAAAGTACAGTTTTCTTTAGTATCTTATTCATCATATAGTCCATGTAGCACAATTTCCTACCTAGAAAGCTTCAATAGAGCTTTGTTAATTGTCTAGAGAAGATAAATGAGAAGCTGAAAATAAAGAGATAGACTTGGCAATCGATGAAACTGGTACAATAATTTGTGTGTGTGTACTTCCTTCTCCTCTCTCCATTCTTCACTCTCTCACCCTGCCTGCCAGATAAACAATACTCATGAAAAGTCACTCTTCTCACCTGAACCCTTTAGCAAGGCCCCTTGTTCCATTTAGGGACTGATGTCTTGTAACAAACATCACTGTCTGCTGAGGGGAAGGATTTCTCCAAACTCTGATGGAGAACTGGTTGGGCAGACCACATTCACTTTGTGAGAAAGTTATGTATGATGTGGAGGCTCAGTTTCTTCATCTGGAAAATGTAAAGCAGTTATAAAATGTACTGAATTGACTTAAGTTCCTTCATGTTACTCATAAAAATGCATGGTAAATATTTTTAACCTAAGGTACTAAATGCTTATATTATCATTACTAAATTAGTATTAGATGCTTGCTTGCACCAGAATAGTACACCACAGAGATATTAAGCATAAAATAACATTTCATAGGCAACCTCTTATTCTGCCTTTGCATATCACCTTTCTTACACATGAGTGGGTTTAAACTCTAACATTTTTCCACTTTCGCAAAAAGATTGTATGCATCATAATAATAATTGAGGATCTTCTAAAAAGCACATATTTCTGCTTACCAGGGTTTGCTTATATGCTTTCTACTTAAACTGTGGAGACGTTACCAGGTTAAGAAAATAAAAATACAAGATGCCCAGTCAAATTTGAATTTTATATTGCATCATATCAAATTTACGTATATCAAACAATTTTGTTCATGCAATATTTGGGACATTGCTAAAAATGTATTGTTTATGTCATATTCAAATATAACTGCACATTCTGCATTTTATTGTCAATCTTAACTGATCTTTTGAAAAATCTATTTGGAGAATTCCCTGGCTTTCTTCAAGATCATCTCTAGGGAGGGATTTCAGGTGAGTTAACAGAAATCTTAGAAGCAATTACCGGAGGTATATATAATTTTCCCCTTTCCTTATCCCACAAGTGGGCAACCAACCTGCATCTGAACTCAGGTATTTCACCTGTCCTCTGGTTACTGTGACGTCTTCCTTCCTAAGCTCAGCCTGTCATTCAACTAGGGCACTTGCTCCTAAGGCTTCTCTTACTTAATGACTTGCTTTCACATTTATTCTTTCTTCTACATTGCTAATTTGTCCTTCTCTACTGGATTACTTTCATTATTTAAAAAATCCTCTTGATCTTATATCTTCCTTAATTGATACCTCAGTTATAAAAAATCTATCAAAGTACTGGGTACAATAGCAGTCTCCCCTCATTCACTTTCCATTCTCTCCTCTGATGACTCCAGATAGTATTATATTTTCCATTACAGTTGATCTCCTTTGCCAGATGGTAAAAAGGTGAGCTTTGTCAGTGGAAGGTGCTGAGGGACAGTACAGAACGTAAAGGGCTCTTCCTTGATTCCCTGTGTTTTGTTCCTATAGACCCTACTAAATAAAGACAGCTACAGGCAACCTTTATGTTACTTTTCTAAAAAAGTGTACTTTCTGAAGTGACGTAATTTACAAAACTCAGAGAAGAAAACAGAATAAGAAAGAAAAACAAACTACCACAACACCATAATTCAGAGATAATTTTTATTGACATTTGGGTAAATAAATACCCTTACAAAAAATTTCAAGCATAAATAATATATGGTATTAAAGATATAAATTTTAATGCTAAGTAACTTTTTTTAACTTACTGTCTCATAAAATAATGTCATTAATAAATACGACTTATAATATCATCTTCCTGTCTGCTTAATCTCTCAATATTTGAATTGCATAAATTATTTAAATAATTATTTTAAATGTATTTCTTAAATGACTAAACTCCTTATCTAGATTTTGATTTTAAGAAAATATAAAGAACAATTTTAAAAATATGCACACATATATAGGTAGAAATCCCTTGTTGTCCATGGGGAAATGATTTCAAGGCCCATGCAGATACCAAAATCCATGGATGCTCAAATATCTCATATAAAGTGGCATCAGGAGAAGAGATGGAGTGAGATGGCCAAATAAAAGGCTGCAGTAATTGTCCGCCCAACAGGGACACCAAATTTAACAACTATCTACACAAAAAAGCATCATCATAAGAACTAAAAATCGGGTGAGCACTCATAGTACCTGGTTTTAACTTTATATCACTGAATAAGGCACTGAAGACAGTCAAAAACACAGTCTTGAATTACCAATGCCACTTCTCCTCCATTGCCCAGTAGTAGGCTATATGGTGCAGAGAGAGAATCTGGGTACTTGGGAGAGGGACAGCACAGTGATTGAAAGACATTGCATTGAACTCAGTGCTGCCCTGGCACAGCAGAAAGCAAAACCTGGTTGAACTCAGCTGATGCCCGCCCACAGAGGGAGCATTTAGACCAGACCTAGCCAGAGAGGAATCACCCATCATAGTAGTCAGAGCTTGAGTTCCAGCAAGCCTCGCCACTGCGGGCCAAAGGGCTCTGGGGTCATAAATAAACTTAAAAGGCTGTCTAGGCCACAAGAACTGCAACTATTAGCAAGTACTAGTGCTGAGCTGGGCTCAGAGCCAGTGAATTTGACACCAGCTACGGTTGCTAAAGGAGCACTTATGCCACCCCTCCCCCAACCCTAGTTTGCACAGTTCGAGGCTCAAAAAGAGATCCCTTCCATCCACTTGAGGAGAGGAGAGGAAAGAGTAAGGAGAACTTTGTCTTGCAGTTTGGATACCAGTTCAAAAAGAGTAGGATAGGGCGCTGTTAGAGTTGTGAGTCCCACGTTCTAGATCCTAGCTCTCGGAAAACATTTCTAGATACAAGTTGCTTCAGAAGGGAACCCACTACCTTGAAGGGAAGGACACAGTCCTGGAAGGATCCACTACCTGCTGACTAAAGAGCCTTTGGTCCCTGAATAATCACTAGTGATACTCAGGTACTCCATAAGCCTTGGGTGAGACTCTGAAATGTGCTGGTTTCAGGTGAGTCCCAGAACATCACAAGTGTGGTGGCTACAGTGAGAGACTCCATCTGCTTGAGAAAAGCAGAGGGAAAAAAGGGGGACTTTGTCTTGTACCTTAAGTACCAGTTCATCTACAATGGGGTACAGCACCAAATGGGTTCATGGGGTACACAATTTTAGGCTTTGAATCTTGGACAGTATTTCCATTTTTGCCCTGGGTCAGAAAAGATCCAACTGCCATGAATGATGAGTCTCAGGCTTGGCAGCATTCACCACAAGCTGACCGAAGAACATTTGGGCTTTAAATAAAAATCAATGGTAGCCCAGCAGTTCTCCCCATGTGTCTGTTGTGGTGGTGGCCATGGGGTGAGGCTCCTCTGCCTGTGGAAAAGGAAGGAAAGAGTAAAAAGTACTGTGTCTCATGGTGTGAGTGCAATTCAGCCACAGTAGAATCAAAAATCAAGTATATTTCTGAAGTTTTTGACTCCCAGAATGTGAAGACCAAATAAATACTTAACTCTCTGATGCCCAGACGCCAACAAACACTCATGAGCATCAGTACCATCTAGGAAAATAGGATCTCATCAAACAAACTAAATAAAGCTTCAAGGACCAATCCTGGAGAAACAGAGATATGTGACCTTTCAGACAGAGAATTTAAAATAGCTGTTTTGAGGAAACTCAAAGAAATTCAAGATAACAAAGAGAAGCAATTCAAAATAATATCAGATAAATTTAACAAAGACATGGAAATAATTTTAAAAAATCAAGCAGAAATTCTGGAGTTGAAAAATGCAATTGACGTACTGAATAATGCACCAAAGACTCTTAATTGCAGAATTAATTAAGCAGAAGAAGGAATGAATGAGCTTGAAGGCAGCCTATTTGAAAATACAGAGTCAGAAGAGACTAAAGTAAAAAGAATAAAAAACAGTGAGATGTGTTTACATTATAGAAAATAGCCTTAAAAGGGCAAATCTAAGAGTTATTGGCCTTAAAGGGGAGATGGAGAAAGTGATAGAAGTAGTAAACTAATTCGAAGATGTGATAACCAAGAACTCTCCAAATCTAGAGAAAGATATCAATACCCATATAGAAGAAACTTATAGAACACCAAGCAAATTTAACCCAAAGAAAACTACCTCAAGGCATATAATAATCAAACTTTCAAAGGTCAAGGATAAAGACAGGATTCTAAAAACACAAGGGAAAAGAAAAGGAAGTAAAGAATGATATACAATGGAGCTCCAATATGTCTGATAGCAGACTTTTCAATAGAAACTTTACAGGACAGGAGAGAGTGGCATGTCATGTTTAAAGTACAGAAGGAAAAACAAACAAACACAAACAAAAAAGCCTTTTACCCTAGAATATCATATCCGGTGGAAATGTCTTTCAAACATGAACGAGAAATAAAGACCTTACCAAACAAACAAAAGCAGAGGGATTTTATCAACATCAGACCTGTCCTAAAAAAATAATGCTAAAGAGAGACTATATAATCAGAAAAAAAGGATGTTAAAGAGTGATAAGAAATCATCTGAAGGTACAAAACTCACTGGCAATAGTAAGTACACAGAAAAGCACAGAATATTATAATGCTGTAATGGTTGTGTACTCAAGTACAAAAACTAAAAGATGAACCAATCAAAAAGAATAACTACAACAGCTTTTCAAGACATAAACAGTAAAATAAGCTATAAATGGAAGCAACACAAAGTTAAAAAGCAGGGTGACAAAATTAAAGTGTAGAGTTTTTACTAATTTTCTTTTTGCTTGTTAGTTTATTTATGCAAGCAGTGCTAAGTTGTTATAGCTTAAAATAGTGGGTTATAAGATAATATTTGCAGCTTCATAGTAACCTCAAATCAAAAAACATACAACAGATACACCAAAAAAATAAAAAGCAAGAAATCAAATCACACCATCAGAAAATCATCTTCACTAAAAGGAAGACAGGAAGAAAGGAAAGAAGAAAGAGAAGACTACAAAACAACCAGAAAACAAATAACAATGGCAAGAGTAAATCCTTAAGTATGAATAATAATATTGAATGCAAATAAACTGAATTCTTCCAGAAAATTACAGAATGGCTGAAAAAATTTAAAAAAAAGACACAATGATCTGTTGCCTACAATAAATACACTTCACTTACAAAGATACATATAGACTAAAAATAAGAGGATAAAAATAGATCTTTCATGCCAATGGAAACCAAAAAAAAAAAAAAGCAAGAGTGGCTATCAGATAAAACTATAAAGAAGAAACAAAGAAGGTCATTATACAATGATAAAGGAGTCAATTCTGCAAGAGTATATAGAAATTGTAAACATATTTGCTCCCAACACTGGAGTACCCAGATATATAAAACAATATTATCAGAGACAGAGAGAGATACCTCAATAGAATAATAGCTGGAGACTTCAACACCCCACTTTGAGCATTAGACAGATCTTTCTGACAGGAAATCAACAAAGAAATGTTGAACATAATCTGCACTATAGAGCAAATGAACCTAAGAGATATTTACAGAACATTTCACCCAACAGCTGCAGAATATAGATGCTTTTCCCCAGCACATAGATCATTCTCAAAGATAAGCTGTGTTAGGTCACAAAACAAGTCTCTTGTATGTTGTGTGTACAACATACACAAAATTGAAATAATATCAAGCAACTTTTCTGACCACAGTGGAATAAAACTACAAATAAATAAGAGGAATTTTGCAAACTATACAAATCATGGAAATTAATTGCTTCTGAATGACTGGTTGGTCAATGAAGAAATTAAGAAGGAAATTTAAAATTTTCTTGAAACAAGTGATAATGGAAACCCAACATTCCAAAACCTAGGGGATACAGCAAAAGCAGTAATAAGAGGGAAATTTATAGCTATAAATATCTACATCAAAAAAAGAAAGAAAAAACTTCAAATAAAAAACTTAATGATGCATCTTTAAATAACTAGAAAAGTAAGAGTAAACCAAGCCTAAAATTACTAAAAGAAAATAAGTAACAAAGATCAAAACAGAATTACATGAAATTAAAAAGAATAAAATAATACAAAAAATTAACAAAACAAAAACTTGTTTTTTTTTTGAAAAGCTAAACAACATTGACAAACCTTTAGCCAGACTAAGGAAAAAAAAGAGACCAAAATAAATAAAATTAGAGACGAAAAAGGAGACATTACAACTGATACTGCATGAATTCAAAGGATCATTAGTGGCTGCTGTGAGCAACCATATGCAAATAAATTGAAAAATCTAGAAGCAAAGACAGTAAATTCCATTTCATTTAATCAAGAGAACTTCAGCAGAAGTGTAGTATAGCATCTTTGATAACTCAATAAGCCCCAAATCAATTTTCTTCTCTGTGTAATCAGAAAAGTTTTATTTATTCCAGAAAATTGACATTGTTAGGTGTGATCTGCCTCAACTTTTCAGTAACTACCAGTAATAAATCTGCAAACAACTCTCTCCCTCTCTCCACACACACACACACACACACACACACAAACACACACAGATCATTTCCTCCAGTATCAGAAATTTAGGTGCAGCTTCTCTTATTCATGGCCAACACTTCACCTTTGCTCTTAAATCAGACTCTTACATATTTTCTGATACTTTACTCCATCAGTAATTCCCATTCCCATTTAGTTGGTGCTTTTTACAGTTTAGACTGCTCCACTCCTGAAAATTAATTTCCAGTTCTAGAGTCCTGCTAGTCACCTTCCCATCTCTTCTTTCTTCTTTTCTTTGCAGCTGTACTTCCTGAAAGATTAACTAACCTTTCCTATTTCTTTCTTTCTTTTTTTTTTTTTTTTTTTTTGAGCTGGAGCCTCGGTCTGTCACCAGGCTGGAGTGCAGTGGCGCGATCTCGGCTCACTGCAACCTCCAACTGCCTAGTTCAAGTGATTCTCCTGCCTCAGCCTCCCAAGTAGCTGGGATTGCAGATACGTACCACCATGCCCAGCTAATTTTTGTATTTTTTCAGTAGTGACGCAGTTTCACCATGTAGGTCAGGATGGTTTCGATCTCCTGACCTTGTGATCTCCTGCCTCGGCCTCCCAAAATGCTGAGATTACAGGCGAGAGTCACCGTGCCCAGCCAACATTTCTTATTTGTAATTCCTCAACTACTATTCTCTTCTTACCTCCTTAGCTTTAGAATCTGATTTCATTCTCTACTGCTCTAGAGAAACTATTCTCACTAAAGTTGCCAATATCTTCCTAAATGCCCAAGTAGGCAATTTCTTATTTACTCGGAACTGTGGTGCATGTGACATTATTGGCTACTTATTCCTCAAGTTTCTCTCTTCTCTTAAATTATAAAACTCCTCCTTTTCCTCACACGTCTTATTTTAACTCAGAGTTTGATATTGTATCCTCTAGGAAATCTTCTTCCATTAAGCCATGTCTTCTACCCTGTGCTTTTCTCAATAAGCTCTCTTTAGAAAAATATTACTACTTTTGTATTTTTTAGTGAATATATTACTGATAGATAGCAAACATCCACAAACATAACAGTACATAACTGTACGACTTGATAGACTTTCAGAGTGAGCACACTCATTTAATCACCACTCAGGTGATGGATTGTAACATGACCACAAACCGGAAGTCTTTATCATGCACCTGTTCAGGCAATACCCAGTCCTAACTCGAAAAACCACTACTATGCAAATAGAAATACACTATCCCGTAACAGTACAGAGTAGTTTTGCCTTTATATAGACTGGCTCATTCAGTAGGTAGTCTTTTGTGTCTGGCTCTTTTGCAGTGTTAGATTTTTGAGACTCTTCTATGCTTATGTGTGTAATAGTTTTTGCTAATTCTAACACAAATGATTCTTCCATTCTACTGCTGATAAATGTTGATGATTTAGTTTTGGGCTACCATGAATTATGTTGCTTTGACCATTCTTATGCATATATTTCATTACCCGTAGGTACACCTATCTGCTAGATGTATCTCTATCAGTAAAATTTCTGGATGATAGGAAATGCAGATGTTTAGCTTAAGTAGACATGGCAAAGAGTACTTCAAGCTGGTTAAATGAATTTACACTCCCAACAGCAGTGAGAGTTCCAGTTGATCCACATCCTTGGAGCATTTGATATGATCTCCATTTTTTATTTTAGTCATTTTGGTAGATATGAAGTGCTATGTCATTGAGGTTTTAAGTTGCATTACTCATGATATCGAACATTTTGCATATGTTTATTAGTCTTTGGATAATGAAGCATAAGTTTAACGCTTTTGTTTACTTTTCAATTGAATTGTCTGTTTTTTAACAATTTTTAAGTCATTTTTATGTTCTGGTTGTCAATTATGCATGTGTGTATACATTGTGTATATATAGTTATATATAATTTTTATAAATATAAAAATACATATTTATATTTTCTATTATATTTACTTATATATAATTTATTTATATGTAATAGCAAATATAAATATGTATTTTTATATTTGAAAATATTTATATAAATATATCTACATAATTATAATATATAATATATAGCAAATACACAAATACAGCAAATGTTTTATCCCATTATGTGGCATACACTTTCATTTTCATTCCTTTAGTGATGTATTTTGATAAATAAAAGCTTTAAATGAGAATGTTGCTCAATTTATCAGTGTTTTCTTTAAGGCGCATGTATATTGTGTACTGTTTTGTCAGTGTTAATCAGTGTTGTCTTCTTTGCCTCATTCTGATTCTCAAGTTAAACGTTTCCAAAAAATTTACCACTACGTATTATTTGCATAGGTTTTTATAAATACTATTTATTGCATTAAGAGTCCCCTGTATTCCTACTTTGCTAAGAGTGTTTGATTATAAATGGGTGTTGAATATTTTTCTAATGCTTTCTATGCATCTATTAATATGATTGTATTTTTTCTCTTAATTTTTCTGATAATATATGAACTGTATTGATTTTACAATGTGAACTAAACCTTTTAATAAACTTGAGTGTCAATACTTTGCGCTTTTCATGTATTTCTGTGTCTTATTTGAGGTACATACTTAGATACTTGATTTCGAAGTTTTCTTCTTTTCAAATATATGCATTGCAGGCTTTACATTTCCCTTCATGCAGTTTTATTTGTATATCATCAGGATTTCATCAAGAGACAAAACCCCCATTGCAATTTGCACATAATTTTACTAAAGAACTATTACTTATAGCAAAGAATTACCTACCAAGATATAAAGAGAGTTCTAAAGAATAAATAGCAGATAAAGGGAGCAACTACTATGTCTGGGGCTAAGGTAGGGCTCTCGAGAAAGAAGAAAATCTGGAAGAGCAGTCTCCCTCCTCTACAGCTGTGATCCAGACTTCATCAGAGAGGGCGTAGCCATGGCCCATTGAATAGGAAGTGTTAGATTTGTGGAACTGACTGGGGAGCTGCCTTCTGAGATGCTGGGGAAGCTGCTCATACAAGGTATATGCTAACACACCCTGCACAGGGATGTGTCTGGAAATAACTTGCTAGGAAGCCTGAGGAAGCTGTTGACAAAGAGGTACCAATCACACTGTGACACTCACTGGAAATGAGCACCACTGGTATCCTGTGCAGAGGTAACTTCCACCTATCTCAGGAACAGAAACAGTCTAGAACCAGAAACAGGTCTCGATTTCTGCAGTGTATCTCCAGATCCTCCTACTAAATAAGCTTGATCCAGTGCCAGTTGACAAAAGAGAAATGCTATGAGGTCCAGAGAACCAAGGATGGCAGACCTGGAGCTGAAAGGCAATAAATTAGTTACTATCATAAGCGGCATCCTATAAATATTTATATGCCAGGTTTTATTTAAAAAATTTGCTTTCCAATTTGTATTATGACTTTGTCTTTGACTAATGAATTTTTAGAAATATAATGATTAATTTACAAACACTGGAGGAACTAGTAGTTATTTACATTTTCCTTATCGGCTTAATTTCATTGCTGTGAAGGAATATGTTTCGAATGATTTTAATTTTTTTAATGTGGAGACTTGTATTTTAGCCATACATATTATCAAATTGACAGCTGTTCCATGTAGATTTAAAAATAAGGTCTAGCCTGTTATTGTTTATTACAATCTTATTTATTAATGTTTCCAAATATATCAAAAATATCAACATATTTTTAAATTGGTCTATTTCTCATTTATTATTTTGCCAATACATCTAAAAAATTTTTGTACTTTCTATGGAAACAATCACATTCTCTGCAAAGAATAATAGTTGCATTTCTTTCTTTCCCATCCTCCTGCCTCTGTATTTTTTTTTCTTGTTTTAATTCACAGGATAGTACCTTTAATATAATATGAAGGTAACCTTTCTAGAGTTTCATTATTTACAGTAATCTTTACTCTAAAATTACATGAATAGTCTTCACCATATTATGGAAGACACCTTCTCCTACTAACTTACTAAGAGCTTTTCCTATAAGTGAGTATTAAAGTTGTTCAAGACTATATCAATTGAGATAATCATATAATTTTTCTCTGTTTTTCTGTTAATATGATTAATTTTACATATAAATATCTAATATTAAGCAATCTTCACGTCTTGGTTACATCTGACTTTGTCATGTATTACCTTTTTATACAATCTAGATTCAGTTTGTGAGAGCTACGTTTAGGATGCTTTTTTCTTCATCATGAATGAAATTAATTTTTTATTTAAGTTCTTATAATGTATTTTTCTGGTTTGATATCAGGGTTTTGATGACTTCTAGAATGTGTTGGGAAGTATTTATTCTTTTTTGCTTACTGTAAGAGTTTGTATAAAATTGGAATGATAGATCTCTTAAAAGTTCAATGACACTTTCCGGTAACCAATGCTTCAATCTCTTTAATAGCTACAAGTTTACACAAGTCTTTTTATTTCTTCTTGACTCATTCTAGGTAAACAGGTTTATGACAGAAATTTATTTGACTTAAGTTTTCAAAGTTGTTAGCATAGAGATGTTAATTTTATTATTACTTTTTAAATATCTCCTTGATCTGCAGCATGTTCCTCCTTTCAGTTATGCTGTGATTTAGCTGTGACTTTCTTCTTTCCTTAATCACCCTAAGAAATTAATTTTATCAAAGAAGCATATTTTGGCATTCTAGATCTTCTCCATTACATCTTTCTTTTGTTTTTTAAATGTCACTAATTTTTGCTTTTTTTTTTTTGAGACGGGGTCTTGCTCTGTTGCCTAGGCTGGAGCACAGTGGCGCAATCTCGGCTCACTGCAGCCTCCTTCTTGTGGGTTCAAGCAGTTCTCCTGCCTCAGCCTCCTGAGTAGCTGGGATTACAGGTGCTCGCCACCACTCCCAGCTAATTTTTGTACTTTTAGTAGAGATGGGGTTTCACCACGTTGACCAGGCTGGTCTCAAACTCCTGACATCAGGTGATCCATCTGCCTTGGCCTCCCAAAGTGCTGGGATTGCAGGCATGAGGCACGACACCCGGCCTTTTGCTCTTATTTTCTTATTATTTTTCTTCTACTTGTTTTTAAATATTTTTCCCTTTTTTAACTTCTGTTTTGATATAGAGCATTTACATTATCTTTTATTTCTAGGAATAATTTAAATTTTATTATAGTTTTTCTTTAACCCATAAGCTATTTAGCAGTATAAGCTGAAAATATTTTACCCAAAAATGCTTGGAACAAGAAGTGTTTCAGATTTCAGACTTTTTTGGAATGGAGGATATGTGTGTTTGTGTGTGTGTGTGTGTGTGTGTGTGCGTGCGCATGTGTGTCTATATATATATTTAGAGAGAGAGACAGAGAGAGAGAGAAATTGTGGGGATGAGACCCAAATCTATATATCAAATTCATTTATGTTTCATATATACCTTATACACATAGCCTGAAGGTAATTTTATGTAATATTTAAATAATTTTCTGCATGAAACAAAGTTTGAGTACACTGAACCATCAGGAAGCAAAGGTGTCACTATCTCGGCTACCCATGTGAACAATCTGTGGTTGTTTTTGTCACCACCATTTCTGACTCTGCATTTATATGCTGCTGGTAAGCAATTATATTCTTACACTTATTCACATATAAGTAATTAACAGTACAAAATATGGCATATCATTAATACAGTGAAAAAACAAAGTCTTCAGGGTAACTAAACAACACAGTAACATCACAAGAGTACCTGTGCAGGGTGAGCAAGCCTTATCCAAAAATCTGAAATTCAAATTGTCAACTGTGGAGTTTTCTACTTGTGATCATGTTGGTGGCCAAAAAGTTTCAGGTTTTGGAGCACTTTGAATTTCATATTTCCTGATTAGAGATGCTTAATCTGTATATATTTTAATTTAGAAACATGGTAATTTTGAACTTATCTTTTAATTATTAACTTCTAACTTAGTTGCACTGTGATTGATACATCATTGTCTATAAGATCTTGTTTTTAGAAATATATTGAGCATTTATTTAATATAATTTTTGTAAAAATTTAATGTGTGTTAAAAATATGTATCCTCTAATGTCAGAAGAAAATTTGTATACATGTTTTTAGGAAAGGTCTGTTCATTTTGTTTTTTCATTCTTCTATATTTTCAGGCGTTCTCTCTTCTTTACTCTTCAATTCACCTGAAACCTCCCACTAATATTGGATTTTCCTTCTTTAGTGATAACATTTTTGCTTCATATATTATAAGACTATTTTGTTAGGAGTACATGTATTTAAATGTTTATATCTTGTATGTTCTCACTTATAAGTGGGAGCTAAGCTATGAGAATGCAAAAGCATAAGAATGATAATAGATTTTGGGAACTTAGAGGGTAAGGGTTCAACAGGGATGAGAGATAAAAGACTACATATTGGGAATAGTGTATGCTGCTCGGGTGATGGACACACAAAATCTCAGAAATCACCACTAAAGAACTTATCCATGTAACCTAAAAACCACTGGACCCCCAAAATTATTGAAATAAAAATAAATGTTTATATATTTTAGTTGAAAATATTATTAGGTAATTATCCTCATTGTCCAATATTAACATAATATTTTGTGTGCTGACATATGTATACCAGTTTTATTTTGGATAGTATTTGCTTGATGTTGCTTTTAAAACAAATCCTTTTACCTTTAGTCTTTCAGTATTTTAAACAGAAAGTACCTAGAATTTTTGTAATCTAATCAATCATTTTTTTGTCTTTTAATGGGTAATGTTAGTCCATTTATACTTATTGTGATTTTTAATTTATGGGACCATTTTCTACCATTGCTATTTATTTCGGTTAGTTGAATTTGTTTTATGTTCCCCTATAGTCTGTCCTTATAATTTAAAGTTTAACACTTGTATCTTAGACTACTCTAACAGAAACTTTGGGATACTCAAATCCCTTGATGTTCCCCAAATTCCACTCCCTGTTCTTATCTAGACTTTGATAATTCAGGTCAATGTGAGCATAGTTTTCTACTTCTTCTTTTGCCTTGGCTGTGTTTCAACAACCACAAAGTTTAGAAAGTATTTGACTGCCTTCACTTTGTATATATATATATATAATATATAATATAAACATACACACACACATATATATACTTACACACACATAAAGTGTTAAAATAAGGGAAGACTTAACCAGAAAAATTGCAGATAATGCTATAATATAGATTTTTAAGAATCATCTAGAACATATGAGCATAAAAAGTGTCCAGTGAGCAAAATATAAGAAGAGCTGAGGTAGATACAGTAAAGTTATGTTCAATTAACACCCACTCATACAACTTTAAAGACTAATTAACACCAATCTGGTTAAAAAGAAACATAACTATCAGCTGCCAAAGCTCAGAGGCTGATGCCTGAGAGAGTGGAAAATTGTGAGTTAAGAGAGGCAGTGAAGATGACGAGTAAAAATAACTAGACGAACTAAGAGCCACTTGAGGGTTTTTATTGTTCAAACTGATAAGTTAAAAATAGGGTAGTGAGAATTTTGTCCTTTGTACTCTTATCAGCATCTAAGTAGAAACCAAAGAGTGTTAAAAATTATAAATATTATCTGGACTGGACTTTTATGGAAGAAAGGAAACCCAAAAAAGCTTAAGGACAGTGCTTGTGTGTCCTACCTGGTATATTTTGCTAGTAAAATAACTACCACTGTTAGAAAAATACACAAATGTTTACACCAAGTAGCACCTGTGGAAACTAGTTTTGCTAATTTTTCTTTCTCAAATTAGTTTGACTGTTATAACTCTACAAGTCTACTTATTATTACATAAATAAACTCCACTTACTATTTATAAATAGGTTCCATTTACTATTTAGTACTCAGTCACTGGCAGAAATATAAATAGCTCTGAAGACCTTCTGGCATAAGAAATATGACAATGAAGAGTGATAACAACGTGGGGGCCATTGTAGTAGCAGTATTGTAACTGGCTGCAGAACCAAACTAGAAAATGGCCAACATGGTGTGATTCACCAAAGTCTTCTGAAATAATATATCCATTCATTCACTAAGTATTTTTTAAATATATATTATGTGCAAGGCAAGGTGAGGCATGAATGCCACAGTAGCTGAGACTGACCTCATTCTTAAACTATAAAATACTATCTGGCATTTATCTCAAGAAAAGAGGTCATACTAAGTTATTATAAGTATTTTACTTACTATCAGTATGCCAAACAGAAAGTATCTGGAATTTTGTAATCTAAGCCAACATTCTTTTCTTTTAATGGGTAAGTTTAGTCCATTTATACTTATTAGAATTTTTAATTTATCTGAACCTTTTCTACCATTATTTTTATCTGTTAGTTGTACTTTTTTATGTTCCTTTATAATATATTCTTACTTTTTAAAGTTTGATACTTATATCTTGCACTAATCTCAAGGAAACTATAAGTCATTTATATCTTTTCATAAAATAAGCCTATTAGATCAGTGCCTCTCAAACATTAATGTGTATACAAATTATCTGGGAATCTTTCTAAAACCCATACTTTGATTCAGTAAGTCTGGGGATGGGAGCTAAGATTCTGCATTTCTTAAGTAGTTTGTTTTCTATATGTTTCAACATATCTATATGTACCCTGATGAAACCCAAGAAATGTGGAAAATTAAGCACCATATATAAGGAAATTCCTCAGGAGAGTACTCCTGGATGGGGGCTGTCAGGGGTCAGTCTGCGGGATCCTAAAATCCTGAAGAACAGTTTTTTGTCTCTTTTTAAAGACAGCTAAAAACAAACAGGGCTGAAAAATCTGGGTATACGTTTTGTCTAATTTTAATTTTTTTCTGGAACGAGCCTGAATTGTACCATATTTAGATCTGGGGAAATGGGACTTATGTCCTGGGAGCTATAGTTTAAAAGACTCAGATCTGGCCCTTCTGTGGCTGTGACTCTTCCCGTGGTGTAAGATAACTTTAGGGCAAAGAAGATGTGCTTTCTGAAGCCCAAAACTCTCTCTTCTGTATCACATGCATTCTTCTCTTTCCAAATGTCCTGCATCCACCTCTAGGAACTATATGGGCTTCACTCTCAGAATGTTCTTCCCGGAACAAACCATGCCACCCATGTGAAACAGCCAGGAGTAGATTGTCTAGAAGCTGGAGGGATTAACAATGGGGGGGAAGGTGCTTGGTATATCCACACAGCTGAAACACCTTGCACTGTAGGACAAAATGGGAATTAGTGGGAAAGGAAAACATTGTGAGTGGGCTACGGTCTTCCACTTGCACTTTTGCCCCGGGCCTTGCAAATGTTAGAGCCAGGCCTGGATCTGTGTGGAAATTTTCAATGTTTTTGATTGCTTTGATTTTGTTTGGTATATGTGGGACTGCTGTTGAAACAGATAAAACCTTGAATTGCTTCCATGTTTAGTTTCTGGAAGCAGTCTTTGTCCCAAAAGATCTCCATATTTATGTCTGAAACAACTTATTATAAATTAATTTCTGTATGTTTATGTATGATTTTGAGAAAGACCTATGGTAGAAAGAATCAGAGGGCTCTGAACATGAAGGCAGAAACCATGAAGATTTTTGGAACATATGGAGAATAAAAGCAAATGACTTGTCTTATTTTCTTTGAATTGTATAAGACAAGCACAGAGTGGCACACAGTTTATGGCCAATAAACATTGCTCATCTTTTGATAATGAATGGATGAGAAAGAAACTCCTAAAACAAAATTTCTTGGTTTTCCTCACCATTCTACCTTCCACACCCACCATCAGAATAAAAGCTTAGCTTTCACAGCACCAGCTGATGGTGAAGTCCCTATGTTAGTATTCGGTCAGACTATTCTGACTGGAAAAGTAACAGTAAGACCCCTTAGTTTGGTAGGTATAGTGAGAGAACCTCTCAAGGACTTTGGAGTTAGGCTGGGACTCAGAATGAGATTAGGGATTCTAGCCCTGGCTCTGCCACAAATTAGGTCTAAGATCTTGGTAAATCATTAGATTTCACATTCCTTAGTTAGAAAATCAGAACTATAATAATTCATCAGTGTACTTAGATAAAATAAATAGAAAACAATGTCTTGAAACAATTCAGTGCTATAAACTGCTAGATAGTAATTTAGTTATATTTAGTGCACAAGTAAAGTCTTCTGCTTCTCCGTGTCTACAGTTGAATAGGATATTTCAGATAAAAGTATATCCTGGAATGATATTGTCATGTGGAACATCACAGATATAAATAAGAACTATAAATTTTCTTTAATTTTGTCTGATTTGATGTATTTAAAATAGGACCATACAAACTTTGCAGGCAGTTTTATGACTTGTGGATCCATTTTTTTAATAGACACTAGGCTCTGAAATCAAGCTAGATGTAAGTGAAATTAAGTCAAACCAGCCCTAGGAATACTGCTGAAGAATTCCAGAGAATTTTATCCCAAAATATGGCACCCTGGTATGCTAATTATTTTAAATTACAGGCTCTTGAAAGTCAGCAGATTTTGGAAAAGGCTCTTCTCTGCTATTCCCTTATCTACCTTAAGACTGGACCCACCAAAGAGAACAAAATTACCTTCCCTCTCCTTCCTGATATTTCATTATCTATCATGGAAAAGAAGACTAAAGAATGAAACCACATCTGGATGAAGTTTTTCACAAGATAATGTCTGCCTCTTGGGATCATTTAAATTCCATAACCATATAATTTTGATCTCCAAGTTCATTCATTCTCCCTCATAATCATCTACCACCCCCTCAAAAGGATTGTCTAAATTTTCCATCTCCTCCACCATGAATAAGGGTATATATGCATCTGTAGTCCATTGAGTTAATAGGTAATCTTGTAATTCCCCCATGCTGTGCAGATTAAATAAATCTGTATGCCTCTTCTCTAATTAATTTGTCTATTGTCAGTTCATTTTCAGGGACTCTTCAGAGGGCAGAGGGAATCTTTCCCTTGGCCCATACACTGCCATTATAAGGGGACACTTTTTTTGTAGATATAGATTCATACATTTTATGATGTGTTTCTGCGTTTGGTGGATATGTTGAATTTCTACGCATTCGGCCAGATCATGACTGTGATGTTTAAAGAATACTGCTCAAAATATCAGGACACTGACATTAAAATTCTGACCTTCGCTTTTACTAGTTTCTCAATCTTTGTTTAAGCAAATTAATTATTTATTTATATTTTCATTTCCCATCAACAAGGCAAAGTAATTAGTTCCTTATATTTTCATTTACCCATCAACAATTATAATAAAGACAGCTATTTTTTTTTTTCTACAAAGCTATTGCAAGAAAAAGAGAGAGAGACAGAGACTAGTAAATATGCTTTGGAACATACAAGTTCTTACCCAGATGTTAGCCATCAGTGTTACTATTTTTTAAATTCTAGGCTCAGGAGTAGTTATCCTTTTGCTCCATATGCTTTCATCTGGTTTCCTGTGAGAACAGTGGACTACAAGAACCAGATGATTAGCTGACGATTGAGAGCATCTCCAGAAGAAATCAAAGATGGCTGGTGTAAAGGGGCCAATCCCATTATTGCTACATGACTATAGTTCCTAAAAAGACTGAGAGTTATATGTATCAAGTTAATTTGATACATACAACTTCTTTGGGAAGTCAGCATGTTACTTTGTCTTGCATGGACTTCTTTGTAGTCTTTTTTGTACCTCAGAAACAGTGCCTAGCTGAGACTATGGTTTGTCTAATAATAGCAGCCAAATTTAAAGACTTTATACATCCGAGTGAAACACTGAATCAATTTGATAAGCGACAATTTCTTCTGAAACTAACAAATGCCAAAACTATGAATAGGTACAAGTTTTAAACTAGAAAGTGTGCCATTGATTCTGCTTCTCTGATGCAGAATATACTACATATATTTAATTATCTAAATTCCTGAACAGCATTTGGGATAGAAATTTAGAAGCTTGTGTGATATAGTTCCAGCAATTATATCCAGAAATAAATATCCGGGTGAGTTAAATTAATGTCTTTGTGCATGTACACATGCATACACAGACACAGACACACAGATTTACACATGGCTATGTCTATAGACAGCAAGCTCACATTTATTTATACTTAAATATTTGAATATACCTTATACAATTTTATCTTTCTATCATCAAATTATATTTTTCTCCTTGCAAACCCTGGTATCCTAAAAGATTTGTATTTCTACAATGACATATTTACAAAGATGGAAAGATAATCCAAAGTAATCCGTAATCTCTCATTCCTTGCCCTCCTTCTGCCAGTTTAGCTAAGGAACATAAACAAGAACAGTGACCCAAGAGCCAAAGGGAGATTCTGCCATCACCATCATTTCTTTGTATCCTGCATGCTAACTGTGTTCTTTCTGTGGTTTGATAATTTGGGATCTCAGATTTAGGGATGAAAATTATTACAACTGCATTAAGGCTTGGCTCCCACTTTTCACTGTCTTTTTACTTTCATGGTCATTTAAAAGACATGCCTAGAGTTTGATAAAGCATTGACGACTCTCAATAAGAATAATGTGCACAAATGGATCCAGGCTTCCCAATAAATCTGAATCCAGGCTGAGCGGTTGTCTGAGCATTTCCCCCAGATTTGCTGCAGAATACTGCCATCAAGTGTGGAGTTACAATGGCAGTTTCTAGAGGTAGTTTCAGTGTAGATATGGTAGTGCATGGGTTTTCCAGAGCTCTGATACTTAGATATGATTTCTTTTTCAATTTTTTGACAAGTTCTCAGTAGACACCAAATGCCTTTTAAAATGTTTCAGAGAATCTTGCCTTGATACAGCCCTTTTAACCTTTATAGCAAAGGAGAAATATGTCACATGAAGAACAGGAAAGACCTGTAGACTATGACTCTGCTGTTTATTCAGGCTTTGAAGCAGGGAATGAACAGACATGGATGGCCACCTACTGCCTTTTATGAGTGCCCCAAATTATTCTGCTCAATTTTGTATTATGAGGAAACCTCTACTTAGCTTCTCAACTAAACATGGATTAATTAAAAAATAAATGCACAATCAAACAAAAACTTTCTTTGTTATTTTTAAGCAAGTAATTTGTGTATATAAATGAACCCAAATTATTTACCAAAATGTCCTGAGTAGATTGCCTGGCACAGAGTAAACACTTAAAATCTATATATTGAATGAATGTAAAATTAGGTAATAAAACTCAGTGTGTCATTCAAAATGCATCAAAGTATTCCTCCAGCACAGCACCTTTCCAACCATACATTTTGTACTCCCCTGACCAAATAAAGTTTCTACTCCAACTAATATTGAAAAATCAACAAAAAATTATGTTTTCTTATATCACTGACTTTTTAAAATGTCATTTCTTTTATATACTATATTCTACAGCCCTAACTTTACCAGTAAATATCCTTGGAAATATGCCTCAGAATTCTTTTTTTTTTTTTTTTTTTTTGAGACGGAGTCTCGCTCTGTCGCCCAGGCTGGAGTGCAGTGGCGCGATCTCGGCTCACTACAAGCTCCGCCTCCCGGGTTCACGCCATTCTCCTGCCTCAGCCTCCCGCGTAGCTGGGACTACAGGCGCCCGCCACCACGCCCAGCTAATTTTTTTGTGTTTTTTAGTAGAGACGGGGTTTCACTGTGTTAGCCAGGATGGTCTCGATCTCCTGACCTCGTGATCCGCCCGCCTCGGCCTCCCAAAGTGCTGGGATTACAGGCGTGAGCCACCGCGCCCGGCCTATGCCTCAGAATTCTAATCACTTTTTTATGTCTAATTCAATTGTGTTGGTACTGAGTCTGAATTAATCCTCCTCATCTCTGATCACCTTTAGCACTGAGTCTCAATCTCACATCTGAAATAATTTCTCATCTTTATAAATATCAATGAATATACTTCTAAAGTTAATAAGCTATTTGAGACAGGGTTTGTATTTCTTATTTGAATTGGTCAAGTCCAATTGGCTATCCTGGAGAAGTGATGGCAGTCTGTAACCCTAGTGTGATGGTTAATATTGAGTGTCAACTTGATTGGATTGAAGAATGCAAAATATTGTTCCTGGGTGTGTCTGTGAGGGTGCTGCCAAAGGAGATTTCCATCTGAGTCAGTGGACTGGGAGGGGCAGGTTCACCCTCAGTCTGTGTGGGCACTGTCTAATCAGCTGCCAGTGCAGCTAGAATAAAGCAGGCAGAAGAAGTTGGAAAGAGCAGACTTGCTGAGTCTTCTGGCCTTCATCTTTCTCCTGTGCAGGATGCTTCCTGCCCTCAAACTTCAGACTCCAAGTTCTCCAGCTTTTGGTTTCTTGGACTTACACCAGTGATTTGCCAGGGACTCTCGGGCCTACTACCACAGACTGAAGGCTGCACTGTTGGCTTCCCTACTTTTGAAGTTTGGGGGCTGGCTTCCTAGTTCCTCAGCTTGTGGATGACCTACTGTGGGACTTCACCTCGTGATAGGTGAGTCAATTCTCCTAATAAACTTAAGTCAACTCTCCCTGTCATTTATACTTATATCCTATTAGTTCTATCCCTTTTGAGAACCCTAATACACCTAGACATGTACAGCCCCATCCAATTCACCCAGTGTACTCCACCTCTCTTTCAATGGCACAAAACTTTCAAATTCCACCAATTTTTAGCAAGATATCTTAGACTCCTAGAAGTCTGTGGTGATATGACAAAAGGGAGGTGACTGAAATCTGCACAAGATCTTCTTTTGAACCAAGACCAAGCACCCTCACTTTTATGTTATAGTCATTAATCCATTCAATCTTATAGAAATGTCACTTTTATAAAGTCTTCTATATGTCTGTAAGCAGGGCATACATAAACAAGTCGTTTGCCCTACAAAGCGCTTAGTTAAATGACATAGACATTTTAATTTTGTTAAGAAGAAAACTCACGGGAAATAAGTCAGTGGAAAATGAGAGCAACTAGGGTATATGTCACGTGATATAAAATATTTTAAAATAAAAATATAGACTTTGAGCTCAGAGAAGGCACTTGCCATGAGGCAAATTAGAACATTAGTTAATATACCATGTGTCTAGTATTATCTAATGATGGCACATGTTCAAAAAGTTGGAAGTTTGCAAAATTCAATTAAATTTCAGTCTGGCATTGTAAGCACTTTATATAAAAGGAACAAAAAGTCTTATCCCTATTTCCAACAGACAATAGTATTACATATATTCAGATGATAGCATAGAGCCATAATGACAGGCCCTATGCTCAGTATTTCACATACACTACAGTCCAGTAATAAATATTTATGTGATTTAATGTCTTTGTGTGCACACACATGCATATAAAGACACAGGCACACAGATTTACACATGGTTGTGTCTATAGACAGCAAGCTCACATTTTTTTATACTTAAATATTTACTTATACCTTAGACAATTTTATCTTTCTATCACCAAATTATTTTGATAGGTAGGTAAAATTATTCACATACTATAAAGGAGGTCAAATAGTTTTAGCTACTTAACACATTAAATGTTAGAATAGCCATGATTCGAACTTAGGCCTATGTGATTCTACTCCGTAAACTTTAAAGATTTTATATAATAATATAAAGAATCACTAAAGTCATTCAGTATAAGTTGAGTTGTTTGGTTTGCTGTTAGGGTGATAATTATTAAATAGTTTCTATTGATTTGGGCACAGAATTTGCTAATCATGGTTTCTTCTTTTCTTCCATTGGTGTGAAATGCATATACATGTAATACTCTAAATCGAAATCTTGAACGCCCTTTGAAATACAGCTCAAATATTTGTTTTTAGAAATTACCTGTACTAATTCATCTCATACCATTTTGACTATTCTGATACTTCATATTTTATCAGTGCTTAGATTATCTATTTATATTTACATTTTTACATTTATTGTAAAATGTTTCGTAGTTGGTTCATGAATATCAGTCTAACTTGGTTGCAAGTTCCTCGAGTAAAGGAATCAAGTCTCATTGAAATTTCCATCCACTATTCATTCCTACCTAGAACCCAATATACTAGCTCATAGCATTGCTGTTGGAGAGTTTCCTGTGTTGATTAATATTTAAGTCCAAAAGACTGAGAATGTTTTATGAGTGAAAGAACAGATCACAAAGCTATGAATTCTAAGCCATATTCAGCCTGATGAACCACATTTAGGTAAATAGTTGAATGTTTTGGGTTATAAAAAGGGGTTTGTCATGTAAGGATTATAATATTTAAAAATGTGTTCCTATGTGCTATTGATTTGGTAGATAAGAAAAGGTCAAAAACTGACATAGTAACTAAGGAATGAATTTAGATCCCAACATCATTGAGACAACGTGGCAAGCAGTGTCTTTCAATAGGAAGACAGTATATCTAGGAGGTAAGGGATGTGGGTTGTATTTTCTATTCTTAGATTTACAAAGTGAAATGTAAAGCATACCTCTTAATCTCCTGACCATAGTTTTCTCACCTGTAAAATAAAGATATAATGTTATATATGTCCATAAAATCTCATGGGTGGTGAAGAATAAATGGGATATAAGATAAATGGTATTGTAAGTTTTGTACTAACAAAAAGGATTAATCACTGTAAAAGCACACTTTGTTGGATAGCAAGAATAACTGGCTTTTGTTCTCTTTCTGGAGTATGCATGCTACCTTGTCACTCAGCAGCTGGTCTAGGTTGTGGCACAGCTATTTTAAAGGAATCTCAGTCTGTAGCACTGCCAGTGTACTATCCACTGATTAAGACGCTCTTGAGCTCTGTGGGCTAAGAATTGCTCTTCTATTGTATCCTATCAGTTGTCTAGCATGCATCTAGTAAAAAATGTTTGCAGCAAAGATCTTCATAGATAGGCTGAGTGGAAAAGGCTTGGAAAATAACAAAGTTAATTACTTTGAGGATGGCTTAGAAATGTCATTTTGCCCATTTGCCCAATATAAGAGATGCTATGACTCATTTTTTATGTATATGTATATACATATATATGTGTGTGTATGTGTGTGTATATGTATATGGTGTGTGTGTTTAATTCGGACAATCTTCTATAAGGTGCTAATAGTATTGGGTCTACAGTGGGATTGATCTCTAGAATTAACATCTGCATCTATTCTGCAGAATCAATATGATTTTGAGGATCAAATTTAGAGGTTTATACTAACTGCTGCTTTGAACTAACCTTAGGTCTATTTTGACTAGGAACCAGAGAGTCACTTCCAGCAGTGAAGGAGAAAACTTTCAAATAGCCCCTCTGCATCTCCTACCTGATGGTTAATGCTGGCTGAGGATTTCAGTGACAATTCCTAATTAAGCAGCTATAACTGCAAGTGGACAACACTTGTAAATTCAGCTCTTCTTTTCCTCAAGCCTTACTTTCCTGGATGCACAAAAGACCAACAAAACACTGGGATCAAGGAGAGACGCAGCTTTTGTATAAATGAAAACCAAATATAGCAATATATCAGAGGTCACAATCATGACTGACACAAGTTAGTGAACTACCAATATCCAGTGAGACTGGAATGCTCTCCAGTGGCATCCATGAGACCCTAGTCTGTATGGGTAGAGGCTGCTCACTTCCCCTTCTGCAGTCTCATGGATTGGAATCCTTCCCCGCCCTGTGGCCCCACCACCCTCTGCCTCTGTGCCTAATCTTGTTTTTCACTTCTTCAAACTGCTGGCCAGAATTCTTTTTCAACCTGGATAGATCATCCTATAACCACAACTCTGTGGTTCAACATGGATAATACCTGCTGCTAAGTCTTGCATTTAAGGTTAGTTAATTTGGGTACTGACGCCAACATTGCAAGTAAGTGTAGCTATTCCTCATTTTCGTGATCTCAGACCAATTGCGTAAGTTACTCACATTGTTTATATATTTTTTTATTTTTTTCCGAGACAAGGTCTTGCTCTGTTGCCCAGGATGGAGTGCAATGACACGCTCGCAACTCACTGCAACTTCCACCTACTAGGTTGAAGCGATCCTCCCATCTCAGCCTCCCAAGTAGCTGGGAATACAAGTGCAAGCAGCTAATTTTTTTGTATTTTTTGTTAAGATGGGGTTTCGCCATGTTGTCCAGGCTGGTCTCAAACTCCTGAGCTCAAGCAATTCACCAGCGTCAGCCTCCCAAAGTGTTAGGACTACAGGTGTGAGCCACTGCACCCGGAGAGTAACTCTAACCTTAAATCATTTTTTCAACTTACCCCCACTTCCCAGACAACTCCCTCTTTTGGTGCCAGTATCTTTCGGTATGAAGTATACATAGGAAATAATGTAAACTTCATTATCTTTGCTGGGTGATTTTATACTTGTTTGCTCACAGCCAGGCTCTGCTCTGAGACCTTCTCTGACTTCCCGGCTCTTAATGATTATTTCCCTTCTCTGAACTCCTTTACCATCCATCTATACCATTCACTTGAGACATAACAAATATTCCATTTGTGATTATTAAGTGCTTGCAGAAGTCCATGACCTCGGTGTTATAGGCTTCTAAAGTGCAAGTACTATACTTCATAATTCTTTCTGTACCACATTATGCTCTGCAATACCTTGCTCAATTTATGTGTAGCAAATATGTTGATGTTGAACATTGTATTTTTCTCTTAAGAACTTAATTCTGCCTCTCCTTTTAAATGTTTTATCGTAGTTGTTATATTTCTTGTCTGTTGCTTCATTTCTTTTCCATTCTTCCCTTCAAACCAACGTGGTTTGGATTGAATAATCTTTTTCTTTCTTTCTTTTTTTTTTTTTTTTTTTTTTGAGACAGATTCTTGCTCTGTCACCCAGGCTGGAGTGCAGTGGTGCAATCTCAGCTCACTGCAACCTCCGACTCCTGGGTTCAAGCAATTCTCCTGCCTCAGCCTCCTGAGTAGCTGGGACTACAGGCACACGCCACCACGCCCAGCTAATTTTTGTATTTTTAGTAGAGACAGGGTTTCACCATATTGGCCAGGATGGTCTCAATCTCTTGACCTTGTGATCTGCCAGCCTCGGCCTCCCAAAGTGCTGAGATTACAGGCATGAGCCTCCACACCCAGCCCGGACTGAATAATTTTAATGAAAACCCAAATTACTAACAAAGTTGAGAATGGAAATGATTAGAATCTAGTTTGGGTCAGATATTTTGGTCATTTGATTACCCAAATCAGATTCACTACATGGCTAATTTCACCATCTTGATAACATCAGTCTTCGAACTGCAGTGCTGACTTTCACAGCACTAAATAAACATAATCACAACTGCTGGATTTGGGAACTGATGTGAGCTCAGCCTCTTTTCTCACTTAAGACATGTCTCTACAAACAAAACCAAGTAAGCAATTTGAAACAATCCTTTAATTATGTATGGTAGCCTGGGGGTGATGGGGGATACGCAAAATAATTTTAACTTCCTTTATCTTTTGTAAGTATCGTCAAAAATATTCCAGGTAAAACCCAATTTTTATTGCTGTGATCTATATCAGACACATGGAGAAACTGAAGCCCAAAGAAGATAAGGGAGTTTGCTAAAGGTATACAAATAGTGATTCAAATAGTTAAGACTAGAATTCTTGCCAACATGATTCCAATTGCACCAGGTCACCTCTTACACCTCAATTATCAGGCCACAGAAATGAAGATCTTTCTATGTTATTATGGTAGGATTCCTCTCTTTCAAACTCCATTGATGATTTAGTCCTTGCTTCAATCTGTCTGTGGAAGGGGGGACAAAAAAAAGTTTGGGCTAGTTTCCTCTCTTCCAAAATGATTTCCTAAAATTTTGACATCTGCCAAAAGTTTGGACTCAGAAGAGACCTTTGAAATCTCTAAACCTTAATTTCAAATATTTTTTGGAGACATAGCTGTGACATGATTCCTCAGGAGTCCTAGCCACCTGCCAAGTTCGAAGGGTTTTTGTTCAGCTGTTTTTAACTTACTGCCCAAAGAGTTCTTAATTTTAATAAGATGGAGAATTGTTTTTTTTTCCATTGGCCTATAACTCCAAAACAATTAAATGGGTGGACTACATGAAAAAAAAGAAAGAAAGAAAAGGCAAAAGCAAAATACAGCATGATTATTGTTTGAGTAATTTGATAAATAAATTATGTATTTGGAAAAGTGACATAAATGTTGGACAAAACACAGAGACCACTGTCTCTCAATCAACCCTAAATGATTTACTGAGTGTCAACAAAATATCTGGTCAGTATTTGGTGCTATTTAGGAAACAACGTGGGAAAATATTGCCCATGCCTTAAGAGGACACTCAACTCAGCCTGCTAATTAGTATAATTATATATTTGAGTAAGATATTTTAAATCAAAAAAGTAAAACATCCAACAGCTGTAACATTTTTAAAAACATTGTCTCATATATAGCCATTGCCTATGTATGCTAGAAGGTAGGAGCCAATAAAATATTCACTAATGCAATTTCTTGTTGTTTACTAAGTGGCCTTAAAAACTAGAACCAGTAGTTGTGAACTTGCATAACCCTTATGGCTGTTGAGAAAGACACAAGTTAATAAATCATTTTCCTCTTTTCTGTAAGTTTATTTTTCAATTTTCTAACAGAATAGCCAATTTCAGTCTTGCCAATTAGAAAGACATAATTGTAAAGACAGCAAAATTATATTATATCAGCCCGTAGCTATGATCTCAGTTGAAAGCATAAGGCTGTATAGGTACCAAAGTTTGTTAAAACACCCAGAGAGAAGACGATGCTTGAGTAAATGTCTTGCTTTCTTGAACCCTCAATCAACACATTTAAGCCATTTGGTATATGGAGAACTGCCATAGTGCCAGACAATTGAATAATTCTGCTGGATTCTGTTGGAACACTGTCTTGTCTTCAAGAGAAGACTGAAGATTTCTGAAGTCATGAATCACCTTTATTGCTTGTCCTCTCGAAAATTATACATTCTTCCCCTCTGACTTAACCAAATAGAATGTTGTCACGTGACTTTTTTCCTACATTTCACAAATAAATGTTGCAAATCACAGACAGTTCTCTAGAAAGTGAAAGACATGTATTTTGCAATAATACAGTGATTTTTGTCTCTATTATTCAGGATGATTGATGTAAATGTAATCAGTCTGTCTCTTAGATATTGGTAAAATAAAGTGATGGTTGTTGGCTCTGCAATGAGAGACCATCTGTACTGGGATGCCTTGAGGAATTGAAAGGTTGGCATTTTCACAGCATGAGATAAAAGATCATAATTATTCAGTTAGTTTATAAAGGATATGACTAAACCAGAAAACTCAGGTCTAATATTTTCTTCAAATAATGAATTATATAAATTGGTTTCTAGAATTAGAAAAGATCAACTTTAAAAATATTGAAGTGCTGTATCCATGAGGTTTCAGTGTTTTCATCTCTTTGTATACTTACATTGCCTAGATTCACTTCTCACTTCATGGTCTCCCACCTAATTTCTACACTATGCTTTTAGATCTGGGTTAAAACCTACTTCCTCCAGTGCAACCTGAGCTAGGACCAAGACAGCCTATAATCCTATTACCTTCTCATCCCCTTACTCATCAAAGAAACATGTGATAGACATATATTTTTTGCCAAGGAATATGCTAGATAATGAGAACCCAAACTTAAAGTAAAACATGCCCATGTTTTCCAGAAAGGCACAAAAATAATATCCAATAAATGAATAAATAATAAACCCATGTCAAAATGGTTGTAAAATAAACATTTTGTTAATCCCTGAATTCCTCCATGAGTTCACACATTGAAGACTTTTACCATTACCCCTTTCCTCTTACAGCCATACCAGAAGAGGAAGTGTTTTCCTCCTGTTTATTCTTTACTTCCTGAAAGTCACGGGAAGTCATTAATAATATAGGAGCCTACCATGCTGTATAATTCTTGATCAGAGTCAATCAAGGTGTCATTTAACACAGCCTGTGCTTGACTTCTGCATATGTGTACTCTTTCAATTTCTCTCTTTCTCTCTCCTTCCTTTTCTTTTCCTTCCTGTTATTGGAAGCATGATTCCATCCCTGTCTGTTTTAGAGTTGAGTTTTAAATGAACATTCTTCCAGTAGAAGGTTAAAATGTATAGAACATTTTTACTACATTCCTTTTTCTACAGAGAGAAATACTATCCAGTAACAACATTTTACTTCCAAAGAAGCTGTAGCAGTTTAGTGCATAGTTTAGTAGCAAGTAGTTTAGAAAGCTATCTTTTTCAGATATAAAATTAATCCCAAGTCTCTCAGTAGTTTTAAGTGAATTTGAGAAGACAGATGAAGCAAGCATCACTTAGCAGATATGAAAGAGAAAAGGGGAATTAAAAATCAAAAGTTAGATTTTGAATAGGTAGAAAGAAAATAAATTCTGGACAAGAATAATAAAAGTTATAAATTCAGGAGATAGTAAATTGTATTCTCTTTTTTTTTTTTTTTAATCAATGTTGACCAGGTTGGCGCCGAACATGTAGCCTTCCCTCCCCGAGTGCCAGGGCAACTGGCCTGAGCCACGGCGGCTCCCAGTAAATTGTATTCTTTATTAAATAGCTACACTGCTTTGGGGTAATGGTTTTTGTCATTATTATTTCATAATCATCATTAATACACATCTACATTAATGTAAATTGAAGAGTAGGCAAATTATCTTTATTAGGTTACTTTTTGGTCTCTCTTACTAAATTTATTTTTAACAGGGTTGTATACCTGCCATTTTTCTGTCTTCCTGTGACCCTTCTTCATCTGGAATAGAGAAAATCAGGTAATTGAAATACCAAACTTTCAGCTTACTGTCTTCTCCTTACTCTGAAGTCTGAAAAGCCACCCTAAAATAATGATGTATTTGTTTGCTCACCTGAACAAACGATTCTCTTCCTTTTCCACTCACTCAAATTTTAGTCTTAGTCTTCCATTTTCTGTGGACCCTTTTAAATGTAGTTTGAAACATATCTCTTTTAAAATTATGGAATTCAGTTTTATGAGAAACTTTTTTCAATAGCTCCTTTTTCTCTTTTCTTGATTCTGTGAACATTCTTAATATGCTCAAAGCCAGAATCTGAGGGGCACCAGTTACTATCCTAACATTTAGAAATATCAGGGTGAGGTTTCCCTGGAAACCACATGCACATAAAAACCATGCAGAGAAGACCTAGTTTCATCTCTGGTTACATTTTCTATTGAAGAGAGAAATCACCCTGGCCTGTGTGTTTTCTCTGGAGGTGAGATTCAGGGCAAAAAGCTATGGTGGTGATTTTATCATGTTTTGACCTCTATCAGACCAATAAAGTAGTTATAGTTATTGGAAAAAAAATAAAACTAAGCCATATATAAGCCTGTAAATGAATTTAAAGCCCAGTCTTGGCTTTTCTCTTTCCTTATGTGGTGGAAATGACAATTGACAGCATGGCAAGATGTCCTGGGTATCCTACCTGTCTCTGGTGAAGGAGGAGAAAATGGTGATTCCTACAGGGGTGAAGAAAAGATCAATTATCTGCAGCACACACCAGGGTGGTCAGATTGGAAGAAGGTGCCCACCAAGTGTCTTTTACTGCTGAGAGAATGAACAAAAGCACACTTTATATTATACTGATTTTCCATGAAGGTACTATAATCAGAAGATAATAATGTGTTTTTATTAACTCATATCATAAATATAAGCGTTTTGCCCTATAACTTCTTAGAATTGCTATGCAGTGATGATAAGTCTTTAGACAGGTTCATATTGTCCTGTCATCTGAATTTCTCATCACAGAGTCTATGATCCTATATAATACATTATGCAGATGTTTCATACACTATATTAGTTAGCATGTGCTTTCATTTAAAAGTGGGGCCAATGTTTCCCTTTCCTGCATAAAACATTTGGGCCTAACTCAAATGGATATTTTCTAAGCCAACCTGGTGACATGGTAATGCATGAAATTGTGAAGAGTAAAGTACATAGTAATTTATGAAAAGCTTAGAATTTATATTCCCTTTCCTGGAGTACAACAATAACCCTAAAAAGAAACAAGAAAACTCATCTTTTCCTCTAGCAAATTGCAAGTTCTTGGCAAGAGGAATATGCACATTAAAGAAACACAGGGATAAAGGTCATCTCCAGTCTGAAATTACTTAATAGTCCTGTTTTCCCAAAACAAACAAGAACTCACCCTGCAGAAGGGCTATGGGAAAGAAGAAAAAACAATTATCCCCATCTTCTATAGACTTATCTACAGAGCAGATGCCAGGTTCCGTCTCAAGCTCTTTCTTCTGCTGGTCCAAACCTAGCCATTTGTTAGCAATTTGAAAAGAAGATTGTAAAGCCAAATGACAGACAGACACTGTTCGTACTCTGTATTTAGAATGGCCCATTGTTAGTACTATCCCATTATAAGAAATAAGTTGTCTTTGTGTCCACTTGAATTAACTAGTTTAACCTCATTACCTACTTACTTGTTTTTAGACCTTTTGTTCAATCACTTCCTAAGCTATTTACTTGTAACACTGAATAAAAATAAGACTACACCAATCGTGCATGCAAACTTTTTAAAATATATGAGGTTAAACATTGGAAGCTAGGAAAACCCTTTTCTATGATTTTAAAAATGGAAAGTGTGGGTACTAGGATGTTAAATAATTTGTCCTGGAGGCCCATAATCACCAAGTGATCTGAGTCAAAATAGATGTCCTAATCTGTTATCTGGTTATCTTGAAAACAATTTGTAAATAATGAGTACATTTAAACTCGAGATCTTAAATGCCTTTATGTAACGTTAAGTTACAATTTGTTAGGCAATACACCTACCTATTAGTCTTTATTGAAAGAGTGGATGTTTAATTCCCATTAATTCATACTTCTATAACAAGTCAGCCAATGTTTAGAGGAATTTCAGTGGAGAAGAAATAGCTTTATGAGGTGGTGGCTGAGAAAGTCAACATTGACTTTTCACTTGTTTCCTTCCTAAGTGACATTTTGGCAGGAGTAATGAATGAGAAAATTCCCTGTTATATTTAAAAGTTGACATTTTTAGGGCAATTTGAGTTTTCTATATATTATGCATGTTTATTTCTTATAATGTCTTACAATTTTAATAGAAGAAGTTAAAAAGTATGATAGGCTACAAGTATATTACTGAATTACCACCACCCGTAGAAGAGACTATATAGACCACTTCAAGATCCTGGTCTAAACCATTGGGCTTAGCCTTTTTTCTCTGTCCTTGCTTCTGTCTTCCCTTCTAGAAGAGTTTCCACTACGATTTGAATATATGGCATATGTTTAGCAATCTCTCTGTCTGTATTGGTCTGGTTTAATCCCTAGATGCTTCCTTTGGAAGCATAACTACATGCAGCACACAGGCCAACACCACATCACCCTTGAACTCACCCCAAAACTCATCCAGAATCTCAGCTTATGTATAGCACCTCAAGCCTATGATGTTACAAAAGGGTCTTTCTGAGATAGATTAGGAAAAGGAATGAAGTGAGACTGGCATGAAAAAATACCTGAAACATGGCATTCATATTAAAAAAAATGACTAACCAAATTGACTTAAAAACTCAGTTTGAGGCCATTGGAAAGACATCAGAAATACCAAGAGGAAAGAATTATTTAATTTTTTAGTTTTAGTACAGTTTTATTATATGTCTACCTATGTGGGAGATAAATATGTATAAAATATGGATATCTAGAAGCTATTGAATGAAAAATAAATTTCTGAAAGAATTGATTCAATTATGTACTTTATTTGAATACTGTTATATAAGAGGTCATAGATTCATAAGAAGGGACTAAAAAGCTAAAGTTATAATTGGAAACCAAAGGAATTTGTAGAGATTTTCTGTAAAATTCCACTTATAACTAAATTCTTTCCAGTTCTCACTATATTGGGAGGTGGAATAATCACTGAAACCTGAGAGCTTAATTCTAGGCTCTGTTCAATTTTAACTTGTGCAGAAAACTTGGAAAAGTTAATTTGCTCTCTGGGCCTCATATCGTCATCATTTGGGTGAGAATACTGGACTAAATGGTGTGAAAGTTTCCTTTTAGATCTAAGTTAGAGAAGTCTTTTCTTCTCAGCATCAAATCTACTTAAATGCGTCAAGGGAGTCAGATCAAAGTAGAATCCTCCTTTAGCTATTTTATTGACATTTTGGGTGTGGCTCCCTGTTTCTCTTGGGTAACAGGTAGCCCCACTCAGAAATGCTACATATTCGTAAAAGACCTTGCATTTTTATTATTATTATAGTTTACAAGAGTGTGGACTATTCTTATTTTGTAAGAATTCCAAGGCCAGCTGCATCTTATTTGGGTCACTACACTGGACTCCACACATAGACATAGATAGCCTTAAAAATGAGTTTTGTAAAAATACTTACTGGTTCATGCCAGAGAAAGAGGCTGATTCCCAAGATATCTTAGTCAGGAGTTACCCTGACTCTAAGAGCAGAACAATCTGATGAGCGTGATCAAGGCATGAGTCTTGTAGCTCTTTACTCCAAGCTCAGGTGGATAAGACATCTTTTGAAAAACCACCTAGGCCAGGTCAGAAGAAACTTTCCCAGGACACACAGGGCCATTAATTTGCTGAGTGAGATGTGTCTCTAACCGTGCCCTCCTAATGTAGGAAATGAAGAGGTTTTATTAGAGCAATGGTTACTGAGGCCCATTGTCTAAGTTAGATTAACCTAGGCTCTCTGTATAGTCCTGTAAGTTTTCAGGCTTCAGAAAAATGTTTCCTCTGACTGCTTTAATTAAGAATAGACAGAAAAGACAAGGATCTAAGCGGAAAAGCAGTTTTGAGGCTCATGTAGGAGACAGGAAAGGACAGTAGTAGTGGAGATATTAAAGTGAGATCAGATCCCAGCAATATTTTAAATGCAGTGACAATGATATTCTTTCATGGTTTGAATGAAGAGAATTAAAGATAGGGCAAAGGAAAGGTGACTTCAAGTGTTGGGCCTAAAAACCTGAAGGACAGAGCTGTAATTAACTTAGGGAGAAGACTGTGGGAAAATAGATTCCATTTTTAGATAATTCATATAACATATTATACCATAAAAGATGGTATTATTTAATAATGATATCATTTATATAATTTGTTGATTTAACTATGCTTATATTTGTGTGTGTATATATATATGAGAAAGGTTTTGAAAACTCAAATTTGAACACTTTAAGTTTCAGATAACTGGCATGTTCATGAATCCGCTAGTGTGTTTTTCTCCGCATATATAATATTATGTATACATCTGTAATCATACTCTACATGTCACTGAAAGGAGGTAGCCAGCTTGCTTTAGGCAGACAGTAAGGGAAGGGTCCCTGTAGAACCTCCGATAAGGGAACCTGCATAGGGGGCTTGCCTAAACATGCCCGCAGGGGACAAAGGGCCTTCAAGAACACTGGGAGAATGGGGTGGAGCCACCAGGAATTTGCGCTCTATACAAACAGGGAACCCAGCCTTAACAGCTTTTATGTAAAAGCCCTTGTATTCAACTGTGAAGGGGGCAACTGACAACCTGCTTTCAAGAAACTTTTTTCTGCTGAGAGCTTTTCCTTTTCACGTAATGAGTTCTACTCCACTGACTCTTCAATGTCTGCATGCCTATTTCTTTGGTGGTGAGAAAAGAACCTGAACCTAACTGAGCTAGGGAACAAAAAATCCTGCATCATTGTTTTATAACATTCTTCTTTCTTTGGACCCAGGTGAGTAAGGAAGATCTTTGAGAAACTCTACATGCTGCTGCTTCTTATAATATGCTTCTTCTCCAGCAGGTCTCAAAGCGATAGGACACTTGGCCTCTGATAAATAATGCGAATTTATATCTTAATGTAATTCACCTGAAGGATGGGTACTTTTTATTTTCTGAAGTTGGCAAGAAAATGTGGTATATTGTGATAAATTAAGCCCCTCAGGCCAAGGTGATGTATGGTAAGCTTTGTTGGAAAGATAGGCAAGTCTCTGAGGGTGTTACAGTGACAGTGTATGGAAAGCACATGGATAGATTTTTGCCCAATGTTGAGATTCTCCAGTACTTCACTAAGCCCAGAATCACAAAAACGATTTGGTCCCATGGCACCTTTCCGTTTAAACACAAAATGTGCCTTATATTAACCCTTGAGCAATTGACCACAGGATTCTGAGGGAGATTGCTCTACACCCATGAATAAATTTGGATATGAATGTTTTCATTCCAGCTCAGATAACTCATTATTGAATTCCTTAGAGAGAACTTTGCTCCCTACATAAAAAACAAACAAACAAAACCCAAAACAAACATGAATTTCCTTTGGAGACAACGTAGGACAATTCTCTATGGAAGAACTAATATCAGTATGGCTTACAAGGTTACTTGCTTATCCTTTAGGAAAAATAGGCCTCTTATTCCTGTACCTCCCTCTACTCTTTTCCACATTATGGTGCTTAAATGCTCTTGGCTTTCTCCTGCCCACTTAAGGCCTGCCTGCAATTACAAGAGAAACCATTCATACTGGAAATGGTTGCTCTTTGCTGCTCAGAATTAATACTGCCAGGTCTCTTTTTTTTTTAATCTCCCTCTGAACAAAGATGACGAAGAGAGGGGTTACTGATTTGTCCCATTCATGCAACATATGGTTTAACAATCATTTATGGGTTATATTTCTACCTTCAGATCCCAAGCACAGTGCTTCTGTTTTAACAGGTGCAAATAATTTTAATAAGTTATGTGGCCTATGGGAAAAAGGAAGAAAATGAAAGGATACCAGGGAAAAAAAGTAGTTGCAAAATGGGGCAAATTAGCAAAAACAAAAAATGAAAAGTAATCAAGGAAAAAATTGCTAATTGTCCAAGTTTGCTGCTGGCTGACTGAATGCAGTATATTCAGGGAGTACACTTCAGACCCAGAAAAGTCCCTGTGATGACAGGAGGAGTGAAGGGTGTTCTAAACATCAGCCTGATACAAACCAGCTTCTTCTTTCTGTTCCAAGTTTCCAGCTCTTGGCCCACAAGCAAAGTGACATTTGGCCCAGAATCCCCACAGCTGTCAGTTCTAACAGGGGCCAGAGTAATTTTGTCCACTGGTGTGGAATGTTCCGTGAAGTGACCAACAGTACACATTCCAGGCTCTAGGTGACAACAAGCCTTACATTAGGTATTCTGGGAAACAGAAAATTTACCTGCAAATTGGGAGCAGCTTTTAGACAATAGTCATTGTTTGGAGGAATTTATATAAGCAGCAGCTATACGTGAACACAGAGACTGGAAGCTTGTCCAGAACAAGTAACAGAATTGTATCAGATTGTCCTGGAGAAAATTACCCACCTTTGCTGATAAACCCATATCAGTGATTTCAACAGTATTTCTTTATACACATAGCATGTTCTAATAAATATTTAATGCATCTATCAATGAAGAGTCCTTAGTTCATTTTATTAAGTCATGCTCCTTGGTGCCTGCAAGTAGGATGGTAAGATTGGTCTTCTATGTGCCTGAAATAAAGTGATTGTTCTTGGTAAATGATTAGTGTGATATGAGCTACTCTTTTATAATCAAATCATCTCATTATATTTTCCTTTTGAAACTTGAGTTCTTATTGAAGTATAATTCACTGACATATGTCAGATTACCTAGAAAATTTAAGACTAAGATTTGTGTGTAGTTGACTGTCTTCATTTGTTTCTGCTTCCATAATGAAATACCTGAGACTGGGTAATTTACAAAGAACAGAAATTTGTTTCTCACAGTTCTGGAGAATGAGCAGTTCAATATCACGGCATTGGTAAGGTCACTCTCTGGTGAGGGCTTGGTCTCTGCTTCCAAGATGGCATCGTGTTGCTGCATCCATCCTCCAGAAAAAAAAGAATGCTGTGCCGTCACATGGGACCTAGCTAGTTCCCTCCAGCCCTTCTATAAGGTTGTTAAAGCCATTCATGAAGGTGGAAACCTCTCTTAATCACCACCCAAAGGCTTCATCTCTTAATACTATCACATTTGGGATTATGTGTCAAAATCTGAATTTGGGAGGAACACATACAATCAAACGATAGCAGTGACTTTTGGGATTGTGTTAGAGAAAAAGGGCTGCTCATCAGAAGAAGGTGAATTGTGATGAAGTCACATCAGCAGCATTAGTCAATCCCATAAGAATAGCACTGCAGAGACAGCCTGAACTGAGATGAGAGTCTAGGCCTACGTACCAAGTATTAACCAATGGTAGGGTAAAGCCTGTCTTAAAGGAGAATATGCAATCTTAGGAGAAGCAATTCCATTTGGATGAGGGCAATTTCCAGAAAGGGATGCTCCATGTGCCTTTAGAAGCCACCTCTCTCAGTAGCTAAGAAATGAGCATGTCAGTCCTGAGAGCATATCTGGTCAGCCCAGGGAGGCTTACCACAGTCATTGACTACAGTCTACTCCTTACACTCTAATTCCTTACTTGATCATTTAAATTTATTTCTTTTGGAAACAGCTGCTCTAGGATTCCTGTTGATTTTGTTTCTGGGAGGGCTAGTAGGGAACCATATAGTCCCTGTCACTACAAATGGTCATGAGCTTCTAATAAATACTCTTGATCTCCCACCCTACTACCCATTCTAGATTCCCCTAATCTTGTCTAACATCTCTTCTAGTCTAGATAGCTTAGCTTGGTAGGGTGCTCCGAACCCTCATTACAGGCAAACCTCAGAGATATTATGTGTTTGATTCTAGACTAATGCAATAAAGTAAACATCACAATGAAGTGAGTCTCACAAAGTTTTTGATTTCCAAGTGCATATAAAAGTTGTTTACATTATACTATAGTCCATTAAGTGTGCAATAGCACTATGTCTTAAAAAAATCTACCTACTTTAATGAAAAAATACTTTATTGCTAAAAAATGCTACAGAACATCTGGTGGCAGAGTTTTGCCTCCATTTTGAGGGATGCTGATTGATTAGGGTGGTGTTTGCTGGAGGTGACTGGCAATTTCTTAACATAAGACAATGAAGTTTGTCACATTTATTAACTCTTCCTTTCACAAAAAATTTCTCTGTAGCATGCAATGCTCTTTGATAGCATTTGACCCACAAAAAAACTTCTTTCAAAATTGGAGTCAATTTTCTCAAGCTCTGCTACTGCTTTATTGACTAAGTTTACGTAATATTCTAAACCCTTTGTTTGTCATTTCAACAATGTCCATAGCATCTTCACCAGGTAGATTTCATTTCAAGAAACCACTTTCTTTGCTCATTCTTAAGAAGCAACTCTTCATCTATTCAAGTTAAATCATGAGGTTGCAGCAATTTAATAACATCTTCAGGCTTCCCTCCTAATTCTCTTCCTATTTTTCCACATCTGCAGCTACTTCTTCCACTAACATGTTTCTTGTTTTTTCTAACATTGGAAGTTTTGAGTTTTGACTAAGTTTCTTTTAGCACGCCTCTATATTAAAAATTTTCTAATGCTTTTTATCATTATTAAACTGGGGTTATAGTTGGGAAACGAAGATCACAGAGTAAAGTGCCATTTTTATCACATATCAAGGGTACAAACAATATCACTTATGACTATTGATATTGACCATGGTCCTGACTGAAGTAATTTTTGTCAGATGTCTCCACTGTAAAATTATGCTGCCCCCCACACACTTTTCATACTGCAGTCATTGGCAGGAAGTCACTATGTTAGCTCACACTTAAGGAGTGGGATGTTATGCTCCCCCTTTCTTAGGGTGAAACATCTACATAATTTATTTGGAATTCAACATGAGAGATTTATCTCTTCTCCCCCATTTATTAATTTGTTAATTCATTTGTTAATATGAAATCATAAAGATTTATTTTATACTTTAGGTTAAAATCCAACACTACTTTATTTTGATACTCAAACTGTTCCGTCTTTGGACATCAAAAGCTTTTAGTTGACTCCTGTGTCACTTTGATGTACCCTTATTATTGTGGATTATTGTTACTATTGTATTGCTTCCTTATTTTATGGTACTACAAGATTCCCTAGGTTCATCTTAAGTATTTCCTCTTCCAGTCCCCAAATCAGATGTTTCTTTAGGAAACTCTATTTTCTTTAACTGGAGATGAGATAGAAACCAAGATCTAGGTATTAGGTGTGCTCATTGCTATTGGGGTGACATTTTTTAGTTGCTGCCATCTAATAGTAAAAAGCAATACTAACCCACATATATATTAGGGACGCATATTAAGTTAAACATGGTTTCTTACTGATGTCTCCCATTCTAATCTGATACCACATAGATCATGTTAGTCATTTTCTTTGTTGTTTATTTACAAATTTCTACTCAAACATTAAGAATATAGTTCCCATCATATGCCATCCATTTACTTAATTGTTCAGTTATAGTATACATGTATTGTAGCACATTTTTTGACCTTTATCCTCATGAGAAACAATTTTGCCAACTATTGCTTATTGTGGCATTCATTTTGCCTTTAATGTTGCAGATTCCATTTATCTCCAAAATCACTTAGACTGGTACCTCTTCTCATATCCCTTTCAGTGAGATTGTTTTATACGTTGGTGTACATTGGTCAGCTTATCTTGTCACAAACGGCATTCTTTCCCAGGGTCCTTGACCTTCTAAGTTTTTTCTTTTTAATTTGTAAATATTAAGATTAACTATTTTCCTAGGGATGAAGCCAACTTGATCATAGTGGATAAGCTTTTTCACGTGCTTCTGGATTCAGTTTGCCAGTATTTTATTGAGGATTTTTACATCAATGTTCATCAAGGATGTTGGCCTGAAGTTTTCTTTCTTTGTAATATCTCTGCCAGGTTTTGCTATCAGGATGATGCTGGCTTAATAGAATGAGTTAGAGAGGAGTCCTTCTTTTTCAATTTTTTGGAATAGTTTCAGTAGAAATGGTACCAGCTCTTCTTTCTACCTCTGGTAGAATTCAGCTGTTAATTGTCTGATCCTGGGCTTTTTTTGGTTGTTAGGCTATTTATTACTACCTTAATATCAGAACTCATTATTGGTCTATGCAAGAATTCAATTTCTCACTGGTTCAGTCTTGGGAGGGTGTATATGTTCAGGAATTTATCCATTTTTTCTACATTTTCTAGTTTATGTGCATAGAGGTGTTTATACTATTCTCTCATGGTTGTTTGTATTTCTGTGGGATCAGTGGTGATATCCCCCTTATCATTTCTGATTGTGTTTATTTGATTCTCTCTTTTCTCTGTTAGTCTAACTAGCATTCTATCTATTTTACTAATTTTTTCAAAAAAAAAAAATCCAGCTCCTGGATTTGTTGATATTTTGAAGGGTTTTGTGTGTCTCTATCTCTGTCAGTTCATCTCTGATTTTGGTTATTTCTTCTCTTCTGCTAGGTTTGGGCTTTGTTTTCTCTTGTTTCTCTAGTTCTTTTAGATCATGTTAGATTGTTAGGTTGTTAACTTGAGATATTTCTAGTTTTTTGATGTAAACATTTAGTGCAATAAATTTCCCTCTTACACAGCTTTAGTTGCATCTCAGAGATTCTGGTACATTATCTCCTTGTTCTCATTAGTTTCAAATAATTTATTGATTTCTGCCTTAATTTCATTATTTACCCAAGAGTCATTCAGGAGGAGGTTGTTTAATTTCCACATAGTCATGTGGTTTTGAGTGAATTTCTTAATCTTTAGTTCTAATTTGATTATGCTGTGGTCTGAGATACTGTTTGTCATGATTTCACTTCTTTTGGATTCACTGAGGGGTATTTTATTTCCAATTATCTGATCGATTTTAGAGTAAGTGCCAGGATGCAAAGGTGGTTCAACATAAAAATGTGATTCATCACATAAACATAACTAAAGTCAAAAAAACACATGATTATATCAATAGATGCAGAAAAGGCCTTCAATATAATTCAACATTTCTTCATGTTAAAAACTCTCAATAAACTAGGTATTGAAGGAACTTACCTCAAAATAATATGAGCCATCTATGACAAACCCACAGCCAATACCATACTAAATAGACAAAAGCTTGGAAACATTCTCCGTGAAAACCAGCACAAGGAAAGGATGCCCTTTCTCATTACTCCTATTTAACAGAGTATTGGAAGATCTTGCCAGGGCAATTAGGAAAGAGAAAGAAATAAGGGGTATTCAAATGGGCAGAGAGGAAGTCAAATTATTTTTGTTTGCAGGTGACATGGTCCTATATCAAGAAAATCCCATTGTCTCAGCTTCAGTTTCTTAATCTGATAAGCAACTGCAGCAAAGTCTCAGGATACAAAATGAATGTGCAAAAATTGCTAGCATTCCTAAATACAAACAACAGGCAAGCTGAGAGCCAAACCATGAATGAACTCCCATTCACAATTGCTACAAGGAGAACAAAATACCTAGGAATACAGGTAACAAGGGATATGAAGGAACACTTAAAGGAGAACTACCAACCACTGCTCAAGGAAATCAGAGAGAACACAAACAAATGGAAAAACATTCTACGCTCATAGACAGAAAAAATTAATATCGTGAAAGTGGCCATACTGCCCGAAGTAATTTATATGTTCAATGCTATTCCCATTAAACTAACATTGACATCCTTCACAGAATCAGAAAAAAAAACTATTTTAAAATTTATATGAAACCAAAGAATGCTCATATAGCCAAGACAATACTAAGCAAAATGAACAAGCCGGAGACATCACGCAACCCAACTTCAAACTATACTACAAGCCTACAGTAACAAAAACAGCATGGTACCATTACAAGAACAGACATATAGACTAATGGAACACAATCAAGAACTCAGAAATAAGACTGCACATCTACAACCATCACATCTTTAACAAACCCGACAAAAACAAGCAATGGAAAAAGGATTCCCTATTTAACAAATGATGCTAGAACTGGCTATCCATATGCAGAAAATTAAAATTGGACCCCTTCCTTCTACCATATACAAAAATTAGCTCAATATGGATTAAACACTTCAATGTGAAACCCAAAACTATAAAAACCCTAGAAGAAAATCTACGCAATACCATTTAGGACATAGGCACAAGGGAAAATTTCAAAATGAAAATGCCAAAAGCAATTGCAACAAAAGCAAAAAATGACCAATGAGATCTAACTAAACTAAAGAGCTTCTACACAGCCAAAGAAACTATCATCAGAGTCAACAGACAACCTATAGAATGGGAGAAAATTTTTGAAATCTACCCATCTGATAAGGGAACTTAAACAAAATCTACAAGGAATTTAAACAAAAATAAGAAAGAAACAAATGATCCCATTAAAAAGTGGGCAGAGAACATGAACAGTCACTTCTCAAAAGAAAAGATATATGTGGCCAACAGACATAGGAAGAAAAGCTCAACATCACTGATTATTAGAAAAATGCAAATTAAAACCACAATGAGATACCATCTCAGTCCAGTTATAATGGCTATTATTAAAAAGTAGGCCAGGTGTGGTGGCTAATGCTGTAATCCCAGCGCTATGGGAGGTTGAGGCAAGTGGATCATGAGGTCAGGAGCTCGAGACCATCCTGGCTAATATGGTGAAACCCTGTCTCTACTAAAAATAAAAAAATTAGCTGGGCATGGTGGTGCGTGCCTGAAGTCCCACCTACTCAGGAGGCTGAGGCAGGAGAATCGCTTGAACCCAGGAGGTGGAGGTTGCAGTGAGCCGGGATAGTGCCACTGCACTCCAGTCTGGGGAGAGAGCAAGACTTCATCAAAAAAAAAAAAAAAAAAAAAGTCAAAAAAACACAGATGCTGGTGAGGTTGCAGTGAAAAACGAAGGCTTTTACATTGTTGGTGGGAGTGTAAATTAGTTCAACTATTGTGGAAGACAGTGTGACAATTCATCAAAGACCTAGAGGCAGAAATACCATTTGTCCCAGAAATCTCATTCCTGGGTATATACCCAGAAGAATATAAATCATTGTATTATAAAGACACATGCATATGTATGTTCATTGCAGCACTATTCATAATAGCAAAGACATGGAATCAATCTAAATGTCCATCAGCAATAAAGTGCATAAAGAAAATGCGGTATATATCTACCATGAAATACTATGCAGCCACAAAAAGGAATAAGATCATGTCGTTTGCAGAGACAATGGATGGAGTCCATGTGGAAGTCATTATTCTCAGCAAACAAATGCAGGAACAGACAACCTAACACCACATATTCTCACTTGTAAGTGGGAGATGAATGATGAGAACACATGGACATAAGCAGGGAATAACACACACTGGGGCCTGTCAGAGGGGTGGGGGTGGGTGAGGAAGAACATCAAGAATAATAGCTAACGTATGCTGGGCTTATTACATAGATTATGCGATGATCTGTGCAGAAAACCACCGTGGAACATGTTTACATATGTAACAAACCTGCATATCCTACACATGTACCCCTGAGCTTAAGATAGAAGTTGAAGAAAAAAAAAAGATTAACTGTGTTGTGCAGTACTATAGGTTTTGACAAATACAAAATATTATGTATCCATGATTACAATATCACACAGAATAGATTCACTGCTCTAAAATTTCCCTGTGATTCTATATCTGTAGCTTCTTCTCCTCCTGAACCCCCGACACATATAAATCTTTATAGTACAAATTTATCTTTATCTATTTTTTCTTTTTTTTTTTTTTTGCTAGATAACAGTTCATTGTATGAATGTAACGTAATTTGTTTACTAATCATCTATTAAGTGACATCTTGGATGTTTTCAGTTTTATTCAATTATGAATAAAGCTGCCATAACCATTCATGTATAAGTTTTTTTTTTGTGGACATACTTTTCAACTAAACTGAATAAATATCTAAGAGCACAACAACTGAATCACATGGTAAAATTATATTTAGATTTATAAGAAATTGCCAAATATTTTTCCAAAGTGGCTGCATCATTTTTCATTTTCACCAGCAGTGAAAAGAATGAGAATTGCTCTTGGTCAGCAACTTTGCCAGGATTTGGTATTGTTTTTTTGGAATTTTACCCATTCTGATAGTTGTGTAGTTGCATCTTGTTTTTCTATTACTTGAAATTCCTTAAGGACATATAATGGTGAATATTTTTATATGCTTATTTCTCATCAGTATATCTTCGTTTATTGTCACTAACTTTGGACAGAGAATGTCCATATATTTTATATGGTGAGGTATCTGTTCAAATCTTTTGCCCATTTAGAAAATTGCATTATTTTCTTAAGGCTGAGTTTTAGAATTTTTAAAATATTTTAGATACAAGCACTTCATCAGATATATGTTTTGCAAATATTTCCTCCCAAATGGTTCATTGCTGTTATATGGGAAAGCAATTCTCTTGTATATTAATCTAATCTTGTGAACTTTGTTAAAAATCACTTATTCGTTCTAGGAGATTTTTATTAATTCAATGAAATTTTACTGCATAGATAATCATGCCTCATGGAAACAAATATATTTATTCTTTTTAACATATATACTTTTAACTAACTTTTCTTGTCTTATTGCACTAGCTAGGACTTCCAGTACAATGTTGAATAGAAGCAGTAAAAGTAAACATTCTTACCTAACTCATAAACTTAAGGTATATGTAGTTTTTGCCATCAAATATAATGCTAGCAGTAGATTTTTTGCAGATATTCTTTACCAAGTTGAGAAAGTTTCTTCTAATCCTAGTTTGCCAAGAGTTTTTATTATGAATGATGCTGAATTTGGTCAAATTATTTTTCTGCATCAATTGAAATGCTCATATAATTTTTCTTTTATAGCATTCTGATTTATTAAATTAAGTGCCTTTAAAATGTTGAACTAGTCTTGCTTGGAGCAAATTTTACTTGGTCATTGTGTATAATTCTTTTTGTACATTGTTGGTATAATTTGTTAATATTGTGTTGATAATTTATTCATCTCTGTTCAGGAGAAATATTGCTTTGTAGATTTTCTTTCTTGAAAGGTATTTATTGGGTTTTGATATCAAGTTTTCGTAAGGGTGACCTCATGGAATGAGTTAAAACATGTTTTATCTGCTTTTATTCTCTGCAATAGAAGAGAATATAGATAATTGATATCACTTCCCTAAAATATTTGTTAGATTTCACCAGTGAAACAATATGAGCTTGATGTCTCGTTTGGAAGGCTATTAATTATGATTTTTTAAATTAATATATACTTACTCAATTAAATTAATATATACTTATTCAGTTTTTTAAGTTTTGGTAGTTTATGTCTTTCAAGTAATTGGTCCATTTCATCTAGGTTATCACATTTGTAGGTGTAAGGCTCAGCTGTTCTCAGTATTCTTTAATTATACTTTTAATGCCTGTGAGATCAATAGCCATGACACCACTTTCATTTATCAATTTCGTTGATCTTTTATTTTATTGATATTATGATCATTTTTCAAAATAAAAAGCTTTTGTTTCATTATTTTCTCTATGGATATCTTGTTCTATTTTCATTGATTTCTTTTCTATTTTTTATTATTGCTGATTTTCTGCTTCCTTTAGGATTAAATTACTTCTATTTCTATAGTTTCCTAGGGCAGAAACAGATTATTGATTTTACAGCTTTCTTCTATTCTAATTCTATGCCATAAATTTCTCTCTAAGCACTGCTTTTACACCATTCCACAAATTGATAAGCTGTACTTTCATTTTTGTTTACTTCAAAATACATTTAAATTAATTTCGAGCCATTTTATTTTTGTGTTATTTGGAAATATGTTGTTTAATCCCTAAATATTTTGAACTTTCCACCTTTCTTTATGTTATTGATTTCTAGTTCAATTCCATTGCAGTCTGAGAACACAGCTTGTGTAACTTATATTCCTTTAAATGTGTTTAGGTGTAAGGATTTCCTCCCCCAGAATATAGTCTATACTGATGAATCTTACATGTGAGCTTCAGAAAAATGTGTATTTTGCTGTTGTTGGATAAAGTAGTCTGCAAATTTCAGTTAGATCCAATTAATTAATGGTGGTATATCATTACTGATTATTTGCCTGCTATGTCTATCAGTAACTTAACAAAGAGGTGCAGGAAGTTTTGTGGTTTTTGTTTTATTTGTTTGTTTGTTTTTTGGACACAGGTCTGTAGGCAGTAATTCAAGACTACTAGGTAGAATTTCTGGAATTGTAATGCCAGGATATATGTATTTTTCCTTCTTCTTTTTTTTTTTTTTTTTTTTTTTTTTGGAAACGGAGTCTTGCTCTGTAGCCCAGGCTGGAATGCAGTGGTGCGATCGCGGCTCACAACAGCCTCCACCTCCCAGGTTCTGGTTCAAGCAATTCTCCTCCCTCAGCCTCCCGAGTAGCTGGGATTACAAGCCTGTGCCACCATGCCCAGCTAATTTTTGTATTTTTAGTAGAGATGGGGTTTCACCATATTGGCCAGGCTGGTCTCAAACTCCTGATCTCGTGATCCACTCACCTTGGCCTCCCAAAATGCTGAGATTACAGGTGTGAGCCACCGCACCCGGCCAGGATATGTGTATTTTTAAAGCACCATGAGTGGTTTTCTTGTGGATAGTGCAGTTAGAGTAGTCAAGGACTACCTCCATGAGAATTAATTTGATACATTTTCTCCCAAAAGTGAAAATGAATTTAGTTTTATAAGTGGTGAAATTTTTATATCAGACCTGTCAAACACCAAAATTTCAACAAATTTAGTTTAAGATTAATTGACTTTTATTAGTGATTCATGAACTGGGCAGCACCACATCTATGAAATAGAACAGGTACTCTCATGAGCTGAGCAGAAGAGCTGAGTCCTATAGACAGAAAAGGCTGAGCAAAGCAGAAACAACGAACAAAAACCGAATTGGTATTTCAAACTTTCTTTCCTTTTAAAGTTACAACAGAGGGAACTTCCTTATCATGCCAGCTTGAGTACACTGGGCTTCTTTCTATCGGCTTCTGTAAATTTTCTGTTTCTTAGAAAATTAGTCCATCTTAAAGTTCAGTTTAATTACATGACACCTAGCACAAGTGACACCATTCTGACTTGGTCTGGTCTGTTGGGATTAAGTGCATAAAGTCAGTCCAAAACAAAGGCTTCCAGTAAGTTTTATTTAACAGAGCATAAGGCATTCTTTGGAAGGCTTCCTTTTAGAAAGTACAGTGCTTTGGGACCATGGGCTGCTGAAGAACACATTTAGATAGATATGTTTATTACCAGACCTAAACATTCCATGTGTTACCTTGACAGCTTTGGGTTTCATGGAGCTATAGACATCTAGTCATGAGTTTCCCTGCTCTTGCCAGATCATTCCCAAACATTGGGAAAAGTTATCCACTCAACTATCAGGTGGACTAGCTGCCCCATTCCTCTGGTTACTACAAAGCCTGCCTACCATAGCCCCTGCTGGTTCACTGTATTTCTAAATAAATAACCCTGCCAATGTGACCCTGTATGGAGTGTAGTGTTCCCCTCCCCAAGTCTGTGAGGATCTGTGACTAATAAACGGCTGCAAATCTTATCTGTCCAGTTTTGGGTGTCACATATTTAGCTATCTCACACTATTTAGGGTGAGATATCCCTCTTTTCCCAGTGGGTAAGTAGGAGGTAATCAGAATAATATGGAGTATCTAAAAGGAAGGGGAATGAAGCAGGAACAAGAAAGGAGAATATTAAAGAAGAACTATAGAGAAACTGCATAAAAACAAAAAAGTATCTAGTCCTTTAGGCAATAATAGAATTAATTTGAAAACTAAATTAAAAAACTGGCACAACTGAGGAAAAAATACTATTTTCTATAAATTGCATGCTTTTATTATAAAATTTGAATATAAATAACATTTTTATAACAATTTTAATACATCAATAAGCATTTTCTTAAATGAAATATTTTAAGAAAGATAGAGATGTCAATTTTTATAGGAACATCATAGACTTTCTAAAGATGTTGTAACTTCAATATTCACCCTTATCTTTAGAAATATGGAATCAGAACTGTGAGCAGTTTTTCCTGCTTGTTCTGTTGAATTTCCCTTAAACCAACAATCACCAAAGGTATGCCAGTGTGAATAGAAGTACTTCTCTAAAATGAAACCAATAGGGGGCTTGTTCCAAGAAATGCTTTACTAGGTAAGCAGGCTAAATGTGCTGAGCAGCAGTTTGGAGGCACTCTGCTATGTTTCCTTTTTATTTATTTTTATTTGTTTTTGTTTTCAGAAAACACAGTCTCTGAAGTCCAGGCTAGTGATAATTATTCAGATCCTCTCAAAAGCACAGTTGCTTTACCCAAAGGCACTGCCTTTGCAGAATTGAAGTCTTTGCACTGAAGTACTCTTGGTATAAATTCCTTCTTTAGATTAAAAAATAAAAAGGCAAATATTAAATTTATTATGACTTCTGTTTGATAAAAAATGAAGAACTTTATACCAGTTAAAAGATTCCATAGTCTATTATTTTTTATAATGCTCACCCTCATTTTAATGTAAGATGTCAGCTTATACCTTCTTTGAATAAGAGAAGGAAGAAAGTGAGAAACGTAAGCAATAATGAAACTCTTCTAAGGAAATGAGAGTATGATGAGGCTTATACTAGATGTCATAATTTTTTGATACCTTTCCTAAAACTCTCTTTTATTCATTCCCATTCCTCTGAAGCAACCTATTATTTTGTTCTCCTATAATGTTTTATTTAAAGCTCCTCTAAAAACATGTATTAGATTGAAACACAGTGAATTATCCATGTGGTGTTTTTTTCTGATTTTATACTTACCCATCTTTATATCTCTAGCATGGTGGCAGGTTTTAAGTAGATATTCAAAAATATTTATTGAATTTTATTGACTGTGCTGTTTGCATTGTTAATTACTGCCAGTGGTGTTCAGGGTCTTTTGTCTCTTTCTTGTTTTCCACTAAACACAAGTGGCAGTCATTAGCATCTTCAACTACAGCCCCACTCAAAGATCACAGGACCAACAAGAGCAACACTACAGGAAAAAAAAAACTATTTGGCTCAAGAGGAAGTCATCTCTAATCTAAAAGGGAAAGAAGAAAAGACCCTTGTCATTTAAATGATCATGATGTTAACTGGTTCAGAGCCTCAGTTCCCTCTTGGGTTTAGAACATGTTCTCAACTTGGCCCTTGACTTTCATCTGACTTTTAGAATGCCTGAACACAAACTGACCTTATTACCCATCCTTTTTTTTTTGTGCCACACTCACCCTGCAAGTCCAATTAGGTATGTTTCACTTTGCCAAGCCACTCTCTGGGCTGAGAATGAAGATTCCAAAACAATAAAATAAGAGATGTGTTGTTGGATTGAGCCTTCTTTGTCAAAACCAGCAGCCATATCACTTCCCAGCAGTCTTGCTTTTCAACTCTTTTCCTCCTGTTTCATTTAACTATGTCAGTACTCAGTAATGTCTTACTGAGTCCTATTACCACTTTGCTTAATTCCCCAATTTTCTCTTCCCTAATTGTGCCTAGACATGCTTTGCATTCAGTCACTCTTTAGTTCATGGGACCCTATTTTCAGCAAAGAAAAGTCTTTAAATCTGGGAAGAGGCCTTGAGGGGCTGTGGTCATTGAATTCACTTAGCCCAGTCAAATCTAAAATGAATCTCTTAGAAACAGAAATGGGAGCAGAGCAAGCATGACATGGAGGAAAAGAGGACATGGAGATGTTAGTGAAATTTCATATATAGGTGCCATAGACAAGTTCTACCTAATGGTTTCCATCTGAATCCCTCCATTAAAGTTTTACTCCTCAGCCTTACAAAGCTTTTCCACCTAGTAAAATACTGTTTACACAAATTTTGATCAGCTACATCTCAATGTGAATGTCTTTAGCACAGTATTTCCCCAAAGCACATTTTAATAGTGGAGAGGGACTATTTCTCACAGGTAGCTGCATACCTGAGGTATCTGGGGAGGATTCCCCAGAGATGAGATAAGTAGAGCAGAAAGGAATAGCAGGGAACTCTGGAAAATAAAACTTAAGGTTTTCAGGAAGAATTGCCTTGCATTTTCATGTTGCTTAATCTCCCTATCTTGGACCTGTATGGAAACAATAGCAATGTCTACGATCAAAAAGGTTAATTTACTCTAAGTAAATTATTTATAATAATGGAAAAGGTTTTTGGAAATTACCATGCAATTCTTAAGAATGCTAGAGTTTCCTACTGATTATCCTACCTGAGGAAGCATACTCTAGGCAGTTGGTATTTTAAGCAGCCAGTGCTTTCCAAAAGACACAAAATGTCATTGTCTTAGTTCTGTGTTGCTCTCCACAAATAACTAACTTAGACCTGGTACTCTTATCCTCCACTTAATCATTCTTTGTAGATTGGCTGCCCTTCACTGAGGTCTTTCTTGTTCAATCTATCAAAGGTTTTTTTAATATGTATATATATTTGTGTGTGTGTGTGTGTGTTTTACCTTAGAGTTCAGCACTTTTTTGATTTACTAAACCTTCACAGGAATTTTTAACTCAAATTTATTAACCCTAGAAGTAAGCATTTATTTTTTTTCTTCATCTAATAAAAAACTCCCCTAAATCAATATCTAAATGACTCATACATTCTTTTACCATGATCGGTCACTAAGGTTTTTTGTGTTCCCCCTTCTACGATTTAACTGATTCTTATTCTTTGACATTTTCGAAGCAAGAACAGCCTTTTTGAATTCATTAGCAGGGTCCTTAGCTGGATTCTTGCCCCCTGTGAATTCAGGCCCTTCACAGTTCAACTTTCTCCAGCATGTAATTGCAAGTTCTACATCGCGCCCCTCTGATTATTACTTTTAAAAATTGCCTCTGTTGATTACCTGCCTTCTTTCAGTGAGGCCCTGTGAGAGTCCTCTAATTTTTGAAGCTTTGCTGGATTCCAGTTCACCATCAGGATAGAAGGAAATGAGAACATTTTTGTTCCTTGCTATAAGGAAGTAGCTTAAAGCAATCTCTCTCCAAATGTCCTTCTGCCTCTCATTTCCCACCTGCACCCCAACACACAGGCACCAGGAAATCTCAGCAGGACAGCCAAGTGCTTCATGCAGAAGCAATTAGACAAGGTTATAAGATTCTCTTCACCTTCTCCTCCATGTTCCCCGCAGCTTATGCAGCCTTCGGGGTAAGCAGGAAGCAGTAGAGAATCCACCAAGCTCACAGAACCTCTCCCAGCAAGCAAATCATTTCAATGTATCACATTTAAAGTAATTCACCAGTTAGAATTCAGGCCTGCCAACATACCGAATCTTTCTCCCTATGTTGTTCAATACATAACACTTAATAGACACTTTACCTATAAACTCCTACTTTGGGAGGGGGTGTGTTTTAGGCTCCAAATGACTGGGAGTTAATTCTTCATCGAAAAATTAATGGAATTGCAGTGAGACAACCTTATTTTTGCAAAAAAAAAAAAACCTTGTAATATTAATATTATATTGAGTCAATCTTATTTACTTATAAACTAAGTTTGAGCACCAGTTTGCAATTTGTCCAGCAGGGTGGTCTATTTAGTACTGACAAATGGCTACAAACAATAACTAAGAAATTTAGAATGTGATGCCATAATTTCTCCTGGGACATCCACATCAGCAGTCTTTAAACTGCAAGAAAGTTAAGAAAATTAAAAAAAAAAGAGGAAGAAGAAGAAGAAGAGAAAGTCTGGCAGTTAGCAGCTAGAAGCTGAGAGCCAAAGAAGCCAGGCTGGGCTGTTAGCAACTGAACATGAACCAAAAACACAAAACGAAACTTTCACAGACAAACCCACTGTGTGACCTTGGAGGAACATAACAGTGACCCAGAGACTCTATGATGAAACTAGCTGGAAAAGACACCATGGACCCACAAAAATATGTATCTCCTCTTCCAGCCAACATGAATGATCACTATTTGTTCACCAGTAACAGCTCTAATTTCACATTAATCCTCTCACCTCTAGCTAAAAGTTACAAAGATACCCTATCACAACATTACCCCTGCTTCCTGACAGCCTGCAATTCCGAAATGGCCACTGCTTTCTGTACAACCTCCTTAGAATCATCTTGTACATATTCGAGTTCCATAATAACCTATTCATAACTCTCTTTTACCAAGATGCTGTTTGTTTCCTCTTATGTATATTCTTCTTTGCTGCTGGAAGCTAAATAAACCCAACTTTGTTTGAGTGCAGGCCTGCATCTAGAGGTCATTGGCAGATGTGTTTAAAAATGTTAACACTTGTTATAAACTGAATACTTTTGTACTTCCAATAATTCATATGCTGAAACTATACCCTCTACTGTAACAGTGTTAGAAGGTGGGGTCTTTGGGAGGTAATAAGGATTAGATGAGGTCATGAGAATTGAGCCCTCATGAATGGAATTTTTGTCCTTACAGCAATCCCAGGAGAGCTTGCTTTCTCTCTCTGCCATTTGAGGACACCAGTAGGAGACAAGCATCTAAGAACCAGGAGAGTATTAGGCCATTCTTGCATTGCTATAAAGAAATACCTGAGACTGTGTAATTTATTTTTTAAAGAAGAGGTTTAATTGGCTCATGTTTTTTCAGGCTATGCAGCAAGCATGGCACTGGCATCTGCCCAGCTCCTGGGGACCCTTAAGGAACTTTGACTCATGTCAGAAGGTGAAGTGGGAACAGGCACTTCACATGCCAAAAGCAGGAGCAAAGAGGGGCTGTGGAAGGTGCCATATACTTTTAAATTGACAGATCTCATGTAGACTCAGAGGGAGAGCTCACTTATCACCAAGGGTATGGCCCAAGCCATTCACGAGAAATCCACTCCCATGATCTCTACACCTCCCACCAGGCCACACTTCCGACATTGGGGATTACATTTCAACATGAGATTTGGGTGGGGACAAATATACAAACTATATCAATGCCAGACGTTAAATCTACTTGCCCCCTGATCTTGGACTCCTCAGCCTCCAGAACTGACTGTGAGGAATATATTGGATTGTTTATAAGCCATCCAGTTTATGATATTTTGTTATAGCAGCCTAAGTGGAATAAGACAGCACTTTTTACAGATGATTAACTATAAGGACTTTATCTATATATTCTAAAAATATTTTTAAATTGAATTCATTAATTTTTTCCAAATTAGTACAGTTTGACCACTGTAGGAAATTTGGAAAACACATAATTACATTTTTAAAAAACATCTTTTTTAGCCATGCCATTATCCACACTGGTACTACTTTTACAGATATTAATGCTACCACCATCATTTATTGATACTTATAGAGTATCAGTGACATAAATAAACAAGTTATATGCAATAATGTAGTAAGATAGAGTTTTTAATCCTTATTTCACAGATTAGGAATCTGCAACTGAGAAAGTTCACAAACCTAGTAAGTGGCAGAGCTAGTATTTAATCCCCTCTGTATTTTAAGAACAATTTTTTACATGAGTTCACTTTGTCTTATCTACTTTCTTAAAGTTTCTAACTCCAAATACAGTCATATTTTAAAATACTAGGGGTTAGGAGTTTAACATGTGAATTTAGAGGGACACAATTCAGCTCATAATATTAATACATGGTCTCATTTTCTTCCTTTCTTTTAAAATATATGAAAACTTTGGATTATGTTGCATATATTGTAGAGTTCTTTTTATATACAATTATCATGAGTATTTATAACTTTAAATATTTTATAAATATAATTTTTAATGCCATTAAATTATTTCTTAATGTAGACACCTATATATGTTATCTCATAGTCTCTTGGGATAATAAATTGCTAAAGTATTCTATCTATTTAGAGAATAGTCTTGCTTTTTATTTAAAATTTTATTAAAGAGTGAACCTCACAGGGGTGCTGGCTCCAAGGGACTCCTTTATAACATCATAGAACTTACTAAAAAATATCTCACATATAGTTAACAATATTGGTCTTGATTCAAAATATATTTAAATTTACTCTATCAAAACCTTTCAATATTTGATAAACACACATAAGAGATTAAAAAGCTTGTTATATCTAAGTCAGCCTAAGGAATTACTAGTTTACAAACCTCGTGCTACAAAAAGAAAATTGAAACACTGTTAAGAGAAATTACTTGCTAAGTTCTGTTGTAGGTAGACTCAACATTTAAACCAGGCTTCTGTACTTCACATAACCATTTCTCAGAGCTTTTGATTTTTAGTGGAAATACTGGAAGGGTTTTTTAAATTGAGTATCATTGAAATTCACTGACATACTCTTTTTTTTTTTTTTTTGGAAATGTTGTAAGTAGGGTCATCATATAATGTAGAGTCTAAACCAGGACTCTCTCTCTTTTCCTTTTTTTAATGTGCTTTTTGACAGCCACAACCAGATATAGGTGTAAATCAGAATGGAATCAGGCAAATCAGGACTTATTTTCAACATACTCATAAGCAAAAATGTCAATAGTGCTCAAGGGACTATGAGGTCAAATCATAAGCATGGAGTCCAAATATGCGATTGCTAACCACCAATATTTTTATCTTATCTTTTCCAAAAGGTAGGCAAAAATGTTCAAATACTATACTAATGGGCGAAAGGGTACATGATCAAAATAGGTTTAAATAATGAGTGAAGCACAGTACAATTTATCATGAAATATAAAGTGCAGTTTTTAAAAAATCCACACACACATATAATTATGTATGTATACATACATATAGGTACAATTTATTTATACAAATAAAATATAGAAATAATAATTTACTTTTTTTGTAATTTAGCAAAAACAAAAAAAAAATGAAGCAATGTCAACCAAAAAAGTAAAGTAAAGAACTTCAAATTCTTCCCTTCCATTAAAAAAATATTAAAAAGCAGATAAAAACTGTTGGAATCAATTTTCTTTGTTGTTGTTGAAATTCTAGGTATTACCCAAAGGCTTGTGAAAGCTTTGTTGGGAACTCTTATTCAAGAAAAACTAGGGACCATTTATTGAAGGAAAAAAATAGCTGATTCTTGGTAATAATAGCAAACTCTGTGGCATTTTAAATTGCCCCTAGCCATTGTTTACTCCCAAGCTTGGTACCCATGAAAATAACAGGCTGAGGATGGGCATGGTAGCTTATGCCTGTACTTCCAGCACTTTGCAAGGCTGAGGTGGGAGGATTGCTTGAACCAAGGAGTTTGAGACCAGCCAAGGCAACAGAGAGAGACCTTGTCTCTTCCAAAAATTAGAAAATTGGCTGGGTGTGGTGACACACACTTGTAGCTTTGGCTATGTGGGAGGCTAAAGTGGGAGGATTGCTTGAGCCTGGGAGATAGAGGCTACTGTGAGCCATGATCAAACCACCACACTCCCACCTGGGCAACAGAGTGAGAGCCTGGAGGAGGAGCAGAAGGAGGAGGAGGAGAAAACAGGCTATATTCCAGTACCAAAATGTATAAAAGAGGAATTACTTGTAAAAAACTGTAATTAGTTATTTGATTTGACCTGTTCCCAGTTGCTTGCTGAAAGAACAGTTTAAAAGGCTTGTGCTTATTTGAACAAACTTTAAGCTAGTTTAGTACTAAAGCTGCTTCCCTGGTGGTATGGCGAAAATATTTATAAACTAATATCTTAGGTTGCCACTGCCTGAGGTACTAGATAGCAATTGGAACAGATAAAAAGCTAACCAAAAAGCTTGAGAAGAAAGGCTCAGGAACGAAATGTTGTTAAGGGTTTTGAAAAACCCCAAGATATTCCTGGAATCTAAAATCCCACCTACATGTTCAGGGCTGTATGTGTGTTCAGGAAAGATATAAGAAGACTTTACTAAGATCTCATCTCCTGCTGACCCTGAAGCTTAATGAAAGCAGGAAGTGAAGGCTAAGGCAAAGTTGTTAACTGCCTTGATAAATGTGGAAAATGTGCCCCAAATAGACACAGAATCCCTCAGCAGAGACTAGGAGATTTTTTGGTTCTAGTCACTTAAAGAAAAAATGACCATTAGCTGATCATGAAGAAAACATAACAGAAACTGCAGGAGACATTTATAAGAAATAATACAGACTTTATGGACTAAGTTCACGATAGTACCAAAGAAGCCAACAATAAGTATAATAGAATGAACAACAAATCTTGACAAATCCCTGGGAAGGAGATAGAATCTGATTTCTAAAGTTGGTGCATTGTAATAGTCAAGTGTCCAGTTTACAGAAACAAAAAGTATGGCAATAGGCAGAAAACAAAATACATGATATGAACTATGCCTGAGAAAGCTCAGGTTTACTAAGAATTTCTAGGATTGCCATTCAAGATCTACAATTTTAATAACTTTATTGCATGATTCTAGGTTTAGATCACATTGGTACCTAACTATATTAGCAGTTTTTTTTTTCAAATTTAATTTTAGGTTTGAGGGTTCTTGTGCAGGTTTGTTATACAGGTAAATTCCATGTCCTGGGGGTTTGGTGCACAGATTATATCACCACTCAGGTAGTAAGCATAGTACACATTTGCTGGTGTTCATTGACATAAAGTATTTCTAAATGATCAAATTATAGAATTCCATAATTTTAAATGGCCTCAGTGGCCGTAAAGTTAAACTTATCTTGACTGAATGTTTATAGTAATAAGAAAAAGGGCTCATTACTCACACCAGTTACAATGGGAATCTCATAAGATTTTGTATTTCTAAAGATTGAAGAATTTCACATATATACTCATTTTTTGAGGAATGTAAAATTAATATAACTATGTTCATTCTCCAGTTACAGAAAGTTATTTTCATAAAGGTTAAACATAGAGTCACTTGTCTAGTTAGCGACATTACTAAGATTAAAAGAAAAATATACCATTTTGTTTCATTTATAAACATACAACACACATACACATGTACATCTATACAAATCATGTGCATAGAAAAGATATTCACCAAGGTCATCTTGGTGAATAAAACATTATTTTGGAGCAGTTTATTTTTGTGTGATTTTAATTTATTTAAAACCACCAAGAAATTCCAATATGTCCTTTATCCATTTTCACTAATTGTCTATATTTTGCTCCATTTGCCTTACTTTCTCTTTCTTCTTCATATATATTAAATATGTGCATATATGTGTATGTCTCTCTCAGCTTAAACAATTTCCTTTAGCATTTATTATAATGCAATTCTATGAGCAATTAATTACCTCAGTTTTTGTTTACTGAAAATATTTTTACTTGACACTCATTTTTGAAGGACATTTTTGCTGGTTATAGTATTCTGGGTTGACGGAATTTATGTCTCTTTCTTCATGTAATCTCATTTTTTCTTGATTTTCAGAGTTAGTTATAAATAGTAAGTTATACATATTGCTGTTTCAATAAGGTATTTTTTTAATTCGGAATTTTTTTTAAGACATCTTTAGCTTTTGTCAGTTTAATTATGTGCCTAAGCATGGTTCTTTTTTTGCATTTATCCTGCTTGAGGTTTACTGAGCCACTTGGAACTGTACATATTGTTTATTTTCAACATTTTGGAAAATTTGAACTCATATATTGCCAAATATGTTTTTCAGCTCTATTAAGTTTCTCCTCTCTCTGCAACTCCAGTTACTATTGTCCTATGGTTTACAAGTCTCTATATAATTTAAACAGTTTTCTCTATTTTTTCCTTCAGAATAGATAATTCCTATTGACTTGATTTTCTTGTGCAGTATCTAATAAAATGTTAAGTCAATTGAGTAAAGTTTTTATTTCAGATCTGGTCATTTTCAGCTCTACAATTTCATTTCAGTTCTTTTTATATAGTCTGTCTTTATCTTCTACTATTTCCTGTCTGTGCAGTCATAATCCATACTTCAAATTCTTAAACATATTTACAATAACTACTTTTAAGTCCTTACTTAATACAAATATCTGGGTCATTTCACTTTTTTTCCTTGACTGATTTCTCCTGAGACTATGAGTCACATTTTCTGCTTCTTTGTGTATTTTAAAAATTTCTGATGGCATGTTTGACATTGATGATGATTCATGAGATTATGTCACCATTTTTTTAAAAATGGTTTTGAGTTTTGTTCAATTGTAAGCTAAATTATTGGAAAATTATCTTGTCCCTGTTAGGTATACTTTTATTCCTTATTAAAACAGGCCCATTTTAGTCTAGAACCTTGTCCTAAATCATGCCTTTGACTTTAAGTCAGGGTTAAGCAAATTATGACCCATAGCCCAAATCTGGCCTGTTGCTTGTTTTCATGAAAAGATATTATTGGAACACAGTCATGCTTATTCATTTATGTCTAGTCTATGGCCGCTTTCACATTATGATGGTAGATTTGAGCAGTTGTGACAGAAATTGTATGTCTCACAAAGCTTAAAATATTTACTATTTAGCCTTCTACAGTAAAAGTTTTCTTTTGTGTGTGTGTATTTTTTATTTTTTATTTATTTATTTGTTTATTTTTTAATCTGTCAGAATTCTTTTTTTTAATTTTATTATTATTATAAGTTTTAGGGTACATGTGCACAACGTGCAGGTTTGTTACATATGTATACATGTGTCATGTTAGTGTGCTGCACCCATTAACTTGTCATTTAGCATTAGGTATATCTCATAATGCTATCCTTTCCCCCTCCCCCACCCCACGATCACTGGCCATCAGAGAAATGCAAATCAAAACCACAGTGAGATACCATCTCACACCAGTTAGAATGGCGATCATTAAAAAGTCAGGAAACAACAGGTGCTGGAGAGGATGTGGAGAAATGGGAACACTTTTACACTGTTGGTGGGACTGTAAACTAGTTCAACCATTGTGGAAGTCAGTGTGGCGATTCCTCAGGGATCTAGAACTAGAAATACATTTGATCCAGCCATCCCCTTACTGGGTATATACCCAAAGGATTATAAATCATGCTGCTATAAAGACACATGCACATGTATGTTTATTGCAGCACTATTCACAATAGCAAAGACTTGGAACCAACCCAAATGTCCAACAACAATAGACTGGATTAAGAAAATGTGGCACATATACACCATGGAATACCATGCAGCCATAAAAAATGATGAGTTCATGTCCTTTGTAGGGACATGGATGAAACTGGAAACCATCATTCTCAGCAAACTATCGCAAGGACAAAAAACCAAACACCACATGTTCTCACTCATAGGTGGGAATTGAACAATGAGAACACATGGACAAGGAAAGTAAAAGTTTTCTAACCTTTATTCTGGAGCATGGTCCTTACTCTTCACTCACAGCCTTTAATGTGCTACTTATAAATGCCTGGGATGCTCAATAAGGTCTTTCTATTATGGCAGGGTCAGCATTTCAATATTTTAAGGATCACTTTTTAAAACTCTTGTGTGTGAATGTGAGGGAATGTAAAGAGTCTTTTCATGGCCTTTGCCCATTTTTCTATCTAATTCTTGGTCCTTTTATCTTAACTTTGTAGATTTTAAAAAATATGTTAGGGTTACTACCTTTTTATTTTTTATATATCTTGCAAAAATTTTCTCACAGTTTTTTTGACTTTGAATATTGTTGACAAGCAAAAGATGCATTTTAATGTAGTAAAATGTATTTACCATTTCCCTTGTTTTAAGAGTTCTCAGCTGCAGCATGATGGCTAGTTTGAACAATGAAATGTTTTGTTCTGGGAATTGACCTGTGCAATGTAGGATGTACAGTCTCATTCTTGACCTCTACCTACATGATACCAGTAACACACACCTCATTTTCTTTTCAGTTGCAACCAAACTATCCACAGACGTTTCTAGATGTTACCTGTACAACAAAATCATATCTAATTGAGAACTACTATTTTATTGCATTTGAGTTTTAAATTATAAATATAAAAGCTTTTTCTACACCAATGCTGAAGTGGAATTTCTTCTAATATTCCTATGGTTTTATTCATTCATTCATTTTTACATTTAGATATTGAAGTCATTTGGAGCTTTTTATTGTGTATGTTATAGAGTATGGATATATTTTCTTGTTCTATATAGTTACATGGTTGTTCCATCATTACTTATTAAAAAGTGCATATTTGCCCTAAAGATTTGAGATAGATGTAATGCGCTAATTTTCATATATATTAGAATTTATTTCTGGACCTTCTAGTCTACTCTTAACTCTTTCTGGCTATTTAAATTATGTAAAGACTGTATGGTATATTTAATACCTGATAGGGCTAATATACCATTGTAGCTTTTTTATGTTTTTCTACATATTTGTTTATAATTATTTTATGTCAAATTTACTATTAATTTGTCTAGCTTCATAAAAATATTATTTGTATTCCTTTTGAGAAGTTTTAAACTTTAAAAAGCAACTGACCTGCTTATGATGTCTATGAATCATTTATCCAAGTAAAAAGAAATATATTTCCATTTAACTATATCTGTTTTTGTATCTTTCAGGGTGTTTACAATTTTTTCTTATATAGCTTTCCCAATTATTTAAGTTCATTTTATGCATTTTTGTCTTCATGGTTGTTACTATACATTAGTTTGTAACAACCATTATTTTTTCAAACTGGCTATTTGTGCATACAAAGTCTACTAATTCTGGGGAGTAATTGTATATCCTGATGCCTTACTGATTTATCTTATTGTGTGAGACAGTTTTATGTATTGATTTCATGATTTTGCAAGTACACTATTTTATCATCAGCTAATAAAGCTAATTTCACTTTGTTGTTTCAATTATTATTTTTCTAACACATTTTCCATGACTTCTCACATTGATTGATGTCACTAGTTTAATTTCATGTAGTAGTGGAAATAGTGAGCATCTGTAATGGTTTCCTGAACTGGAAAACCTAGAGTAAGTATTTTCCTAATAGATGTAATGCTTCTTTTAGGATTAAGTTATATTCAAGCAAAGACATACACACACACATTCACCTATGCACAAATACAAAAACACACATATACAATTTTGAGAAGATATTTATACATTCTATATATATATATTTTTTTTTCTGAGATGGAGTCTTGCTCAGTCACCCAGGCTGGAGTGCAGTGGCTTGATCTCAGCTCACTGCAAGCCTCGCCTCCCTCGGTTCATGCCATTCTCCTGCCTCAGCCTCCCGAGTAGCTGGGACTACAGGCAACCTTCTTGACTATTTATATCAGAAATGTATATTGGATTTTGGAAAAAAGCTTTTTCAGCATTGAGATAATCATAAAAGTTTTCTGTTTATATCTATTACTAGGGTTCATTATTTTAATGGAGTTTTAAACATTGATTTGGTATTAGTATTATAAAATAAATCCCACTTATTTATTGTTGGCAATTTTAAAAGTGGTATTAAATTCTGTTTACTGATATTTTATTTAGTATTTTTGCATTGATATCCATAATTGATATGATATTACAGTGGTTTTATTTACTTATTTAGTACTGTATCAGGTTTAGTAAATAATATTATCCTTGTCCCATAAAATAATTAAATAATTTATATATTTTCCTTTAATTTTTATGATCTGTAAATAATGTATGCATTTTCAGGATTATCTGGCCTTTGTAAGTTAAACATCTGAGCCTAGAACTTTTGCTAGAATTGTTTCTTGAAAACTTTCTATATTTTTATCTAATTTATTCTCTTTAAGCTTTCTCTATTTAATTGGGTCAATTTTTACAAATCCAAGCCCCCTAGGACTTTTTCCAGTTCTTCAAAAATTTCAAATTCATTTTTATAGAGGCTTGCAAAATATTATCTTCAATTGTTATATTCCTTCTATTTCAATGGTTATTTTTTCTTTGTGAGTTCCTATGTTTTATCTTTATGACTACCCTTTAATTTTTTGTTTACTTTTATTAAAGGTCTGGACGTACATGTGAAAGTTTGTTACATAGGTAAACATGTGTCATGAGGATTTGTTGCATATATTATATCATCACCCAGGCATTAAGCCCAGTACTATTAGTTATCATTTCTTCTCCTTTTCCTCCTCCCACCTTCCCCTGTCAAGTAGACTTTGGTGTCTGAAGTTTTCTTATTTATTTTCATAAGTTATTATTATTTAGCTCCCACTTATAAGTAAAAACCTGCTGTATTTGGGTTTCTGTTTCCGAGTTAGTTTGCTAAAGATAATAGCCTCCAGCTCCATCCATGTTCCTGCAAAAGGCATGATCTTATTCTTTTTTATGCTGCATAGTGTTCCATGGGGTATATATACCATATTTTCTTTAATCTGTCATTGTTGGGCATTTAGGTTGATTCTATGTCTTTGCTATTGTCAGTAGTGCTGCAATGAATATTCGTGTACATGTGTCTTTATAGTAGAGTGATTTATATACCTCTGGGTATATACCCAGTAATGGGATTGCTGGGCCGAATTGTGGTTCTGCTTTTGGCTCTTTGAGGAATCACCATATGGCTTTCCACAATCATTGAACTAATTTGCACTCCCACTAAGTGTATGTCTTCCATTATTTTCACAGCCTCATGAACATGTGTTATTTTTTGACTTTTTAATGATAGCCATTCTGACCGGTGAGGTGATATCTCATTGTGGTTTTGATTTGCATTTCTCTAATGATCAGTAATACTGAGCTTTTTTTCATGTGCTTGTTGGCCACATGTATGTCTTCTTTTGAGAAGTGTCTGTTGATGTCCTTTGCCCACTTTTAAATGGTGTTGTTTTTCTCTTGTAAATTTGTTTAAGTTTCTTATAGATGTTGGATATTAGACTTTTGTTAGATGAATTGTTTGCAAATACTTTCTCCCATTCTGTAGGTTCTCTGCCTACTCTGTTGATAGTTTCTTTTGCCGTGCAGAAGTTCTTTAATTAGATCCCTTTTGTCAATTTTTGCTTTCGTTGAAGTTGCTTCTGGGGTCTTTGTCATGAAATCTTTGCCAGTTCCTATGTCTAGTATAATATTGCCTAGACTGTTTTCCAGGGTTTTTATAGTTTTGGGTTTTACCTTTGTCTTTAATCTATCTTGAGTTGATTTTTGTATATGGTATAAGAAAGCAGTCCAGCTTTAATCTTCTGCATATAACTAGCCAGTTATCAGATGGTCATAAATCAGATGGTTATAGATATGTGACCTTATTTCTGAGCTCTCTATTCTGTTCCATTGGTCAATGTGCGTTTTTCTTTTTTTTCTTTTTTTTTCCCCAATACCTTGCTGTTTTGGTTACCGTAGCCTTGTGGTATAGTTTGAAGTCACGTAACGTGATGCCTCCAGCTTTGTTCTTTTTGCTTAGGATTGCCTTGGCTAGTCAGGCTCTTTTTTGAGTTCTGTATGCATTTTTAATTCCCCAACAAAATACTTGCAAACTGAATCCAGCAGCACATCAAAAAGCTAATCCACAATGACCAAGTTGGCTTCATCTCCAGGATGCAAGATTGGTTCAACATACACAAATAAATAAATGTGATTCATTACGTAAACAGAACTAAAGACAAATACCACAAAATTATTTCAATAGATTTTTATTTTGTTTTAGGGTTCTCCAGAGAAACAGACCAGTAATATATAGTAGATAGATAGATAGATAGATAGATAGATAGATAGATAGATAGATTAGATAGATATAGGGAGTTGGCTCATGTGATTATGGAGGCTGAGAAATCTCAAGATCCACTCTTGGCAGGCTAGATACCCAAAAGAACCATGCGTGTATTTCTTGACTTCACCTGAAGGCAGACAAAGATGGATGTCCCAGCTTAAAGGCAGAGTGAAATCTCTCTTACTCAGACTTCTTTTCTGGTCAGTCTTTTAACAAATTGGATGTGTCATCCACAGAAATGTGCTTTACTCAATCTACTGACTGAAATATTAATCTCATTCAGAAACACTCTCACAGACTTATTATGGATAATGTTTAACTAAATAGCTAGACATGCTGCAGCCCAGTCAAGTCAACATGTAAAACTAATCATCTCACCTTTGATCACTGTTGTTTTTTTAATTGTGGTAAAATATACATAACAACATTTACCCTTTTAAGCATTCTTGAGTATACAGTTCTGTGATATTTATTACATTCACACTGAATTACAGCCATCACCACTGAAAACCAAAAATGAAATTCTAAGTCCTCTGACTAACTGAATGGGCCCCTCTTCTCATCCAGGGCACTCTAAAGCAAACCTGAAACACTCTTCAGGCCATGATGGGAATGGGTGGTCAGACATGAACATGCCTTATTTTACCCTCCTCCCTTTGGAATTCGGAGAATGCTGACCAGTATTATCATTAAAACAGAGATTAAGACAGATAACAGACATTTTGTAACAATAAAACACCAAATTCTACCTTGACTTTAATATAGCATCAGATGACAGATAGCAGGCCCTGAAAGAAACAGAAGTATTTTACCCCAAAATATATTTCTTTGACATATTTTGAAATAGCCCTGTAAAGCTGTCTCTTATGGGGAAAATCTACATTCTATAGAGAATCTCCATACCTTTCCAGGTCTTTTCCCTGATCCAGGAGAGAATTAACTGAGTCTAGAGCTTTCTTTGTTGTTTTGTTTTTGTTTTTGTTGTTTTGAGATGGAGTCTTGCTCTGTTGCCCAGACTGGAGTGCAGTGGCGCAATCTGGGCTCACTGCAACCTCCAACTCCTGGGTTCACGCCATTCTCCTCCCTCAGCCTCCTGAGTAGCTGGGATTATAGGTGCCTGCTACCACGCCCAGCTAACTTTTTTGTATTTTTAGTAGAGATGGGGTTTCACCATATTAGCCAGGGTGGTCTTGATCTCCTGACCTTGTAATCTGCCTGCCTCAGCCTCCCAAAGTGCTGGGATTACAGGCATGAGCCACCGCGCCCAGCCGAGTCTAGAACATTTTTAAATCTGGTAAGAGCTCTGAAGCCTGGAGACTTCATATGCATGATAAAACCTTGGTCTCCACAACCCCTTATCTTAACCCAGGCATTCTTTTCTATTGATTCCAGCTCTTTAGAGGATAACTTTTTAAACCAATCACAAATCACAAAGTCTTTGAATCTGCCTATGACCAGGAAGCCCCCACTTCAAGTTGTGCCACCTTCCCGGACCAAACTAATGTACATCTTACATGTATTAATTGATGTCTTATGTCTCCCTAAAATGTATAAAACCAAGCTATAGCCTGTCTACCATGGGCACATGTTCTCAGGATTTTCGGGAACTGTGTCACAGGCCATGGTCATTCACTCATTTTTTTTAAAATCTCTTCCCTGTCCCACAAAAATAATGTCTTTATTAGATGTCATTTTGACTCTCAGGAACATTTATGTTCCCTCCCTGTCAATGTTCTGATTTATTAGGATTCCTTGTTAATGTGTCTTCACATAGGTTGGACTTTTTCTTTCATTTATTTTTTAATTAATTAATCAATTAATTATTTTGAGGCAAGGCCTCACTTACATCACCCAGGCTGGAGTGCAATGGAGTGATCACAGATCACTGCAGCCTTGACCTCCAGGGCTAAGGTGGTTCTCCCACCTCAGTCTCCTGAGTAGATGTGACTATAAGTACACGCCATTATGCCTGGCTAATTTTTGTACTGTTTTAGAGATGGGGTCTCACTATGTTGCCCAGGCTGGTCTTGAACTCCTGGTCCCAAGCAGTCCACCTACCTCATCTTCCCAAACTGTTGGGATTACAGGCATCAGCCACAGCATCTGACCTTTTATTTATTAATTTATTTTTTCTTTCAATTTGTGTTTTAGGTTTGGGGATACATATGCATGTTTGTTACATGGGTAAATTGTGTGTTGCTGGGGTTTGGTGTAAAAATGATTTTGTCACCCAGGTAATGAGCTACTACTCAATATGTAGTCTTTCCATCTTCATCCTCCTCCCATGACTCACCCTCAAGTAAATCCCAGTGTTGATTATTTCCCTCTTTTTGTCCACATTAGCTCTATGTTTAGCTCTCAATTATAAGTGAGAACATGTGGTATTTGATTTTCTGTTCCTGTCTAAATTCATTTATGATATTAGCCTCCAGCTCTATCCACATTGCTGCAAAAAAACATAATTTCATTCTTTTTTATGACTGCATAGTATGCCATGGTGTATATGTACCATATTTTCTTTATCCATGGGCAACATTTTAAGTGGATGTTTTTAAACTCTTTTACGTTGTTACTTTCCACCTATTCTCTTTTCTGCAAAGTTATCCACCCACTTACTCCCTGCCCCAGTAGCACACCAATAAAGCCTATGCCAAAAGTCTAGTAGATAACCTTGCTAAAATTGTTTGGGTGTTCTTTGCTTTCTAGTTAAGCTGAAGATGTGGAATTTATATTGTAGGTTATTTCCTTCTTGATTTGTGTAATTTATAGAAAATATAAATTTTCTATAAATTTGGGAAAATATCGTGCAAATATTTGGATTTAAATAGCCACCACACCAACTTTCCAGATGTTTAACCAAAACAAAACTTTTAAAAAAGGTTAAGTTTAAAATAAAAACTGGGTCTTGATCTCAAGTCCAGTTTGCTTTCTATTATAGCAATTAGAGTAGCATAATTTATCTTTCTGCTCCAATTGTTAGTCTACCTTATATATCCTTTGATGATGTAATTTTCAGAAAACCTACAAAATTTAGGAAGGTATGAAAAGTATGGAAGATTTAGATAAGTGCTTTTCAAACTCATTGCATCAAGGTGATAGATTATTTTCCCAATATTAGTGGAATAATACTTTTGTGAAAAAAAAAAGATTGTAAATCATTAGAAAAGTAAATGAAAAAGAGCTACGTGAAATACGAACCATATTTAGAACTTTATATTTTATAGTCACAAAATCACTGTATCAAATTGTTATATTTTCTACATACTTATCCTTAATTTCTGTACTTATTATTTACTTAATTCCTGTACATCACAGGCCAGTAAAAATTACTTTATATATAGTTCTATGGATTACACTTTGAGGTAGAATTGCCTTAAGGTAATTTCAGTGAGATTTGAGTTTTTATTTCAGAGAGAGAGATAAATTCAAGAGAATCAAAGCACTCGTTGCGATGATTTCTGCTATCAACTTGAATGTCAGTGACCACTGGTTGCATTGTGGGATTCTAAAGGTTGCATTTTTTTTTAATTTTCCATAGCTTTCAATTACATCTGTTTTTCTATAGGTACTGAGCATTTTTTAAAATGTTGGTAGAAAATGCACTAATTAAAAATATTCTTCTGCATCAAAGGTAAACCAGGAAAGCCATATGTCAAAATAAAAAAATTTTGATTGAGAGTGAAAATGAGATTAGCAACCCTGGAAAACACAGTGACAATATCTAATAAGCACCTGTATATTGCTCACGGATATTTGAACAATTATCTCTAAAAAATTCCAGATGCTTAAAAAACCCAAGAGATTTTATGTGCCTTGCATACCAGCAGACAGAAGATTTCATATTTTTCATGTTTCATATTTATTGAACCAATTATTTACATATCAAAGACCCATTATGTAAGCTTAACAGCTAACCTGCTGTGTTCTATTGGCCATGTATAAGAATTGTTCTTTACTCTGTTGGTTGCCTATCCAAGATCCTTTTTTTTATTCTGTCCTCGTTCCCACAAGACTTTATTATGGTTAGTTATTTTTCCCCTTCTTCAAGTGGCTTACATACCCAAGTGAAAGCTGAGTTTAGAGAAAGAATATTTCCTTTATTTCTGTCAAGATTTGGTTTAGGAATGTTATTATGACTCAAAACTCACTAGTAACATTTAAGAAGTTGTTTCTTGGGAATTTCTGGTAAGATTCTTCCTGTTCTTATAAAAAGTCACATGGAGCTACAAATTGTCTCTCCTGATAGATTTTAAGAATACATATATGAACTGCTACTGGAGATCATCTTACAAATGTGAGAACAAGCCTTGGAATGAAACCAACTCTGGAGGGACATATTTGCTGAGATAAAAGTGAAAATAAATAAACATGCATTTTTATTGTATAATTGGAATATTGAATTACCTAACACTGAAGACTGCCTACCTATAGGTTTCCTGCTTTTGAGCAAAATAAGTAAATCATTGCTTAAACAATTTTGAGTTGGATATTTTCTACATTCAAAACTAAGAGAAGTCTACCAGATAGAGTGGCATACATCTGAAAGCATATCCTGCTGCATTAACCTATTATTCCTCATTTGTCACTTTTTTTGATTAATCAGGAGATTAAAGTACAAAGAAGAGCAACAGAATATTAAGAAATGGTGTCATAGGGCTGGAAACTTTATAGTCTGAAGAAGGAGGAATGGCACATAAGACCTAGATTCTTCTGCTTTGGCATGTTTTCATGTTAGATAGAAATGCTCAAGATAATACCTGCACAGGGTGATGCAGTAATGACAATTGGGAAAAACAGAGACAGCCATTAGAAATCAATCCACAAAACTCTAACTATTTAACAGAGATCAATGACAATTATGTTTATAGGATGAAGGTGTTCACTATTAATAATCAAAACCTTTATTTATTTATTTATTTAGAGACAGAGCCTCACTCTGTCCCCCAGGCTGGAGTGCAGTGGTGCAATCTCAACTCACCGCAACCTCTGCCTCCTGGGTTCAAGCAATTCTCCTGCATCAGTCTCCCAAGTAGCTGGGATTACAGGTGTGAGCGACCAAACCTGGCTAATTTTTGTATTTTTAGTAGAGATGCGGTTTTACCAGGTTGGCCTGTCTGGTCTCAAACTCCTGACCTCAGCCTTCTTATTAATTTTAATAACCAATAATTTGCCTGTGGTTCTTTTGAATATTCTGTGTGAACATCATGTCATTTGATAAGAAAGGCAGTTTTTTTTAATGTTCTTATAACTTTTATCTATTTTCTTGTCATATTACATTGGCTAAAATACTGCTTATTGAATATAATCAATAAAGATGCTTGTAAGCATCCTTGAGTTTTTCTGATTTTGAAGAAAATGTTTTAAATATTCCAGAGTTAGAAATAAAATTAGCTATTGTATCTTGATAGATAATCTTTACAATTTAAGTTTGTTATTTTATATTTCTAATTACAGGTGTTTTTCACATGAAATCCATACAAAGAAGTTTAGTAGCAAAAAAGTATTCTTTGATAGTGTATTTAAACACACACACACACACACACACTTAACAATAATATAAAGTAAATCAACACATTGCATATGTAAAGTCTTGCAGCTATACATTCTCGTGAGTGTTGATAATATGAAAATATAAATGATTGTATGATGTTTTAGCTGCTTATGAAGTATTAGGCATTGTGATAACTTTGGACTCATTGTCATACAAATTTCATAACAACATTATGAGATGGCTAAAAAAAGACTATTTTACTGATGGAACCTGGAACAAAGAATGGCTTATTTGTTTTTCCAAGTTTCTAAGAATCCTCTCAGTAGAGCAGAAATTTATATTCAGACTGAATAACAGCAGTGTTAATCTGCTTAGCCATTATGCAATTGCATTATAAAATTATGGAATATAAGTCTTTGGACTGCAGAGCTTACTTATATTTCAGGTACTATCTTAGTAATAGTTTATAGAAGTAAAGAAATGCCTCATTCTGAGAGACTGTAACCTTTTTCTATCAAATGCCTTCATCTTAAATATACAAAAAACAAACAAGATTCTGTTATTTCTCTCAATCTCACAAACAATCATAAAAACAACATTTTTGACTCTATACTAACTGTCTTATTACTTTATTCTTTGTTATTCTTGACTGCAAATCTTCTTGGAAAAGTTTATCGCACTTTCTCCAAATTATTTTTTCCAATTGTCTCTTAATTTTCTTCTAATCAATCTCTCATCTGTACCTCAGCAATAAAATTGTTCTTTTCATAGTTGTAAGTTATGACCATATCGCTAAATTCCGGGTCAGTTCTCAGCCCTCATTGAACTCATAAAGTGACCACTGATTTCTCTTTTTGTCACCTCAGATTTTTTCCTTTTCACTTTCTTCACTTGGATTTTATAACTCCATAGTAACTTAGTGCTTTTCTTACCTCTCCAGTCACTTTATTCTTTCCTCCTTTTTTATTGATCTTTTTAAGTAAAATCAGTTCTTGGTGCTTTCCTTCTCTATCTTCAAACACTATGCTTGGTCTCATAAAGACTCAGAGCTTTAAATACTATATAATATGCTCTTAATTCCAAAATGTATCCATAGTCCAGTCTGCCCCTACATATCATACCCATATATTCAATGCCATGCCAAGAGTGAAGGAAAAGTCGTGTCGGGTGGTGTCATAATTTGCAGAGAATATATTAAGTCTGATTAAAAGTGGGTCTGCTTTTTATGATCACCATGGCAATTCTAGCATAGGCCATTGTTAAACATGTCTCCAGATCTGAGATCCAAAGAGTAGTTTGCACATTTGATGGATGCTCCCATCACCCAGCAATTGATGTGCTATGGTTTATAGCCAGCTACCTACCAGACCTCTCCATATGCATATTTACTGAAAATTAATCACAACATGCCTAAAACTTGTTTCCCTTAAATTTGCTCTGTTTTTAAACTTTTTCATTTCCACTGAAAGGCAGCCAACTGAGGTAAAAAAACTGCAGTCATCTGGGGCACTTCTGTTTTTCCCACAACCCTCATTGAATTGAGTAGGAAATTCTGTTATTCCTCTACTGAAGGAATATGCCTTATCTGAATGGCAGAGATCTTTGCGTGTTTGTTTTATTTTGTTTATTTTTTTCCTTCTGATATATCTTAAGCTCAGTAAAATTTTTAAACAAATCAATAAAATATCTATGAAAAGATTTTGATCATTTTTTTAAAAAAACTTTCACTCCTTAGCAATTATTCTATCACATTTTGAGCAATCTGTGCTATTTGTATTTTTGACAGTTTTATGTAGTTACTATCTTGTTCTTTGAAAAATCACTTGCCAAAACTACCTATTTTTACAACATGTTTCGCCAAGTTAAGGATTCCAAATATTGGCTTGTTTCCTCCACTGCTATACCTAACATCCCTTTAACAGTATCTCACGTGGGAAAATAATATAAATTTTCATAAGCTAATCAATTAAATATTGTATATTTGCTGGATAAGACAGATATATAAAAATTTCCAAAACAGAGCATCAGGAGATAAATGAGGTAGTTTTAAGAATGGAGACATATTAATGGTGTCACTCATGAAAAACTTAACAGAGGAGATAGCACATGATCTGGGTCTTGGAAGTATTTTAACCAGTTGACAATAGGCCATTAAAGTTGTGGTAATGGCAAAAGTTCCTCATGAGGGTGGCAATTAGTTGGCACATTGCAGAGTAGCAAGTGATATAGTTTTGCTGGTAACAAGAAGAAGCACGGAAGAGAATGGGAGAAAATATTTTACAGAAAATATTTTACATGTTATAATTAGTAACTCAGAATCACTCAGAGATGTGTGTGTATGTATAAATATGTATGAATATATATGTATATATATGTGTGTATGTGTGTATACATATATAGATCCATGGGTTAAAAGGAAGCATTTCAAAATTATTTTAGGATGAGATTGAGAAACTAGAGGGTTGTGATGAAGACACCAAGTAAAGAGCACTGTGCCAATGAAAGTGAAACGGACTGATAATAATTTTGGAACTACACATTTGTATGCTATTGATAGTGTGCACAATCCAAATCCAGATCACTGATTCAGACATTTCTCATTAACTAAGACTGTTACTTTTGGCTGGGTGCAATGGTGTGCACCTGTAGTCCCATCTACTCAGGAGGCTGAGGCAAGAGTATTTCTTGAGCCCAGAAGTTCAAGGCTATAGTGTAACATAATCACTATTGTGAATAGCCAATGTCCAGCCTGGATAATATAGTGAGACCCTGTCTCTTTTTAAGAAAATGATTATTTTTAATTATGCATTGTGCTACCATACAGCCACTTCCATTTTCATAAATCCAGAACCAGACATTATTTTTTATTCAAGTCTATTTTTAGCTGTATTCCTAAGTCTTGTGAATAACTATTCAATTAGTTGAAACAGAAATCTAGAACTCTGCAGATTATTTCTTCTCTCTCTCACTTAGCATATAATGAATCAATCAAAAACACTTACAGCTTTGATCTCGTGTCTTAATATGTTTCTTTATCTTCATCTTCCTGTAACTGTCCATTCTCAATCTTCACTTTAATTGAGCAAGGAGGTACAATTGCTTCCTCTTTTACCTGTCCTCAAACCATATTTCAACGTGCTGTCAAAGCTTTATTATTAAAAAAATTATGCTTTGTCTTCCCTGCTTAAATTCTTATGCTGGTTTCCTACTGCTTCTAGGTAGAATGTCAATCTCCTTTACGTGATATTCCAGCTCATCCATGGAAATAATAATAAATCTAGCACTGATAGTAGTAATGATACTGATAGTAGTTACAATGAGCACTAAGTAGAATGCTTATTATGTGTCAGGCATTGTTTTATGCATTTTAAATGGTGTAGTTCCTTTTACTCCTCACGTAATTCTAAAAAGTGGGTGATAATGTTATCACCTGATTTTATAGACAAGGAGAGTGAGGAACAGAGCACCAAAGTAGCATATCCAAAATTACAAGGCAAGAAAGTAGCAGAGCTGAAATACACATGCATGTTGTAGATTACATATTAATTATTTCCTGGATGCTTTACCTCAGTTCACATTGCCCAACCACAATCAAACTTTGTTTCAACTATACAGGAATACTAAGAGTTCCTAAAGCATTGTGTTATGTGGTGTAATAGTCAGATTGCTATTTTTTAGCAGACTGTGAGCCCCCTGAGGGCAGAGGCTGTTTTACACTTCCTTCTCTCATCCAACCTCAGCAGAGCACTTTACATATTATGGATGTTTGATTGAATTATGTTCATGTAGAGTCAGTTCTGCTGTAACTGACAATTTAAGTATCACATAAATTTCACGCTTGTGTATGGGCAATTTTGTCCTTGAGAAACACTAGGTGAACATAGAAAACCATATTTAAAAGAAGCAAGTGATATTGGAATATGCAAAATGCATACATCTCACACTCCCACCAGCTATCTTAATTCTCTGTGTGGATTACAAGCCAGCCCCTACCAAATTTGGTGTCATAACTTTCCCTTTCATATAAATCTTGTTTCAGATAAATCTTTTACCACTTCACAATAATTCCCAAGCTGCAGCCTTTCCAATACCCATTTCCACAAATGCTTTCAGGTCTTTCTCAAAATAAATTGTCATATTTATTGTAGTATTTACATATTTTCAAACATATATAATGTGTAGAACTGTTTTGCCATTTTTGCTAGGTTCCTATCTCTTTTTATATGTGTTACTGATAAAGTATTTGAGTGTTGTGTCTCAACCCTACTTTCCTCATAAGCCCTGTAGCTTTTATTGTGCCAAGTTTTCAGAGAATAGTGAGGCTTCAGAATACACATTTCTCATTATAGCAGAACCAACTGTACTTGAATGAATTAAAGAAAGGCTGAAACTCACCCAATTATCATCTGCGGCTGAATAGCATTCTCTCAAAATTCCTATGTTGAAGCCCTCACCCCTAGTACCTCAGCATGTGACTGCATTGGGAGAGAGAGGATTTAAAGAGGTGATTAAGTGAAAATTACGTCATTAGCATGGACCCTAATTCAATATGGCTAATGTCCTTATAAGGAGAGGAAATTTGAACACACAGAGACACCACATATACACAAGCACAGAAGATAGGCCATATAAGAACATGTAAGAAGGCAGCAGTCTACAAGCCAAACAGAGTGACATCAGGAGAAACTAAACCTGCTGACATCTTGATCTTGGAGTTCTTAGCTTCCAGAAGGGTGAAAGTATAAATTACTAATATTTAAGCCACCCAGTCTGCGGTACTTTATTATGGCAGTACTAGAAGGTAGTTACATCAACTATTTTCTATGCAGCTTTCAAGACTGAGCTAAGGGATATAGCTATTACTTACTTGAAACATAACCCTCATCCTGAATGGGCATTTTTATCCCCAGCCTATCCATGGCTTCATCCCAGTATATTTTTTATTTTAATTTTTTATCAAACGATGTTATAATAATTTATACTTTCTGTATCTGATATAGGCAATACCTTCCATAGACCAATCTATCTGTTTTTTAACCCTATGCCAACAACTTCAAACATGGCATGTGTAACATTGCAGACTCTGAATATATCACTGTTAAATATATTGTGGCATAAAATAAAAAGAATTTTTCGATGAATTTAATGAAGAAAACCAAGAAGTAATGCATTTTATGTGAATACAATGTGGGGATGGCACATATCTACAGCTGTCCATGGTTCAGATGATCAATTCTGTTTCATTTGTGGGTACATTATTCCTCTTCTGTCCATGTTCCCCTGCACCATATTAATGAAAAAATCACCCAAGACTTCTAGCGTGGGTGGCATTGAAAGACTTTATAAAACAATCTGAAGGTGACTCTATTGCTTTGCCAAACACTATGAATGCTGTAATGAAGGAAAATAAGTGTTCAGTGCCTAATAATTGAAAGGTAAACAATAACTGCAGTAACATAACTATAGTATTTATATACATGTAGGAAGGGTAACTTTAATATTAATGATAATATTTAACTTTTTTCTTTTTTTGAGACAGAGTTTCTTGTTGCCCAGGTTAGAGTACAATGGCGCAATCTCAGCTCACTGCAACGTCCACCTCTCCGGTTCAAGTGATTCTCCTGCCTCAGCCTCCCGAGTAGCTGGGATTACAAGCGCGCACCATCACGCCTGGCTAATTTTTGCATTTTTAGTAGAGATGAGGCATGTTCGCCAGGCTGGTCTCGAACACCTGATCTCAGGTGATCCACCCACCTCGACCTCCAAAAGTGCTGGGATTACAGGCTAGAGCCAACGCACCCGGCCCAATATTTAACATTTCTTTACAGCTTACTTTGTGTAAATCCTTCTATTTCTTAAAACTAAAATATTTAATTGTATTTAAAAGAGATGAGCCCTAGGAGGTGGAGATCATCATCATTCTACTTTATGAACAAGAAAACTGTAACTCATTACAGTTAATTAACTTGTCCTAGGTAAAATAACTCATTGGTGGACAATTGGGATGCAAAATCTGTTTCTGTTTGTACTTGTTTTCTATTAGGCTCACTGCTGGTATTAGAAAGTTCTCAAGGCTACCTTATCCTTCTTGGTTCCTCTCTCGTCTCCTTCTCCCCAGCTCAACCAGGTAAGTAAAAGCATCAGTACCACATAACACCTCTGATATTGTATTTCTCCTCCATTTGTTTTAACTAAGAAAACTGGCATTTATTTAATGGCCCTAATATAGTTTGGAACTATCTTTCCTATCTATGTTTTTTTAAATTTAATTTAAGTTCTGGGATACATGTACAGGACATGCAAGTTTGTTACATAGGCAAACACATGCCATGGTGGTTTGAATCTCTCACTTTTCTTTGAGGTCGATATGAATTTAAATTTTTTTGTATGTATTCATTATACTTGGATGTATTCAGGCAGAATATTTTCATGTTACCTGCCTTTCAGTGTTGCTAAGTCATAACGTATATTTTATTAAAAAGCATATCTAATCTTATATATCCATAAAGCAAAATTGTTGAAATTATTTTCTTCTCAATAATTATCCCAGTTGTGGTGTATAATAGCGGCTCAATATATAAACACAGATTGAATGAATATAGGACACCTAGACTTATTAATGTTAGGAAGAATTGTGAGGGTGTACTTCTTCCTAGCTGTTTATATAGCCCTCTTTTTCAGTGGTACTATAATACTATAATACTGACTCCTATGACAACCTCAGAAAGGGAGGTGAATTAGATTCAGGGAGCCTCATGGAATACAATAAAGGTCAATGAACATCAGCAATTTTATCAGCTGAGCATCAGCCAATCAGCAAAAGTGACCAATAAGCCAAACTTCAAAACATAACGAAGCCCCACCCCAGAAAAAAAGCCCGTGGCATATCTCTATTGATTTTCGGACAGAATACATCCTTTCAGAAAAGATACATATTTCCTGCTGCATTTCCTGCCAATGTTTTGCTTCATGCCTAAGGTAGTCTAGTTATCCTTGTTTTTGATTATGCAGTTCACACATATGCAATAACTTATCTTTCCTTGTGCCTTTATATTCATTGATTTGTAAATGTTATTCAGCCTTTTCCCTTACTCTTTTAGCTAGAAGAACAAACGTTTTAAATTATTGAAAGTCTTTGAAGTATTTCTGTTGACTGTTTTCATTTACTCTCCATGTTTCTCAATAAATACCACTGGGACTTGTAGATTCTTCTTACAACTAAAATCTTAACCATGACTAAATATGTTTGGGATAGAAACTAAAAATTACTTTCATAGAATATGATAGCTTCTAATTGCTCTAATATGTTCTATATTATTGTATGAATATATTTGGGAATCAATTCAGTTTGGACATAAAAATAGTTTTAAAATTTATTTACTATATAGAAGCCTGAAAACATAGTACACAGAAACATAATATCAAATGATTCTTAATCTTATGAAAAACTACTCAATCTGGCTCAAAATAACATAAATGCTGACTAAACTACACTGTAGTACTATTTCTCATATATTGAATTAATAAAAAATACAAAAATTAACTGCAGTCTCTATTGGTAAATCTGTAAAATAAATAGGCATTCTGACATCATAGCTAGTGGAAATACAAAATGATACAACTTCTGTGAAAGGGAATTTGGAAAAAAAATCTCTATCCTAAATATATGATAAGAATTTACTGTTAGTCTCAGAAATATAAATTCTAGGGTTCTATTCCTAAGATTCTGTGGCAAAACCACAAAATATTAAAGTGACATATGCACAAGATTATTTTTATTGTGGCATATTAGTAATAATGAGAAACTAGAAATAGGCCTTTTGTCCACTCTAGGACACTAGTTGAATAAAATATGGTAGATCTATCTGATAACAAAAATAAAGAAGATTAAGTATCTCTTGGATACACGGTAAGGTTTTTTAAAAACTAAGCCAAAGGAGAATATTGTCAAGCTAAAAAAAAAAAGTAGATATAGAAACATCTTTATAATAAATTACTTTTTCTAGAAAAGGGATGTTGGCAATATAAGCATTATATACACTCATGCTTATATTTTCAAGATGAAACTATTAAAGAATAAAGCCAGACTGAACCAAACATAATTACCTTATATGAGGAAAGAGGGAACTGGGAGAGAATATAGAAACAGAGGTGAGACTTCTAACAATACATTTACTTGTATAGTTTTGATTTTGAAACCAAGAATATTCAGTTAAAAAGACACAAGCCATATAAATAGAAAGCGAACTAAAATTGATACGCTAAACCCTATATCAAGGAAGTACTATAACCTCCAATAGAAGTTAACTGGGTCCTGTGACTTTAAACATTATATTTTGACTGAGTATCCTTGACAGAAATTATTTTAATGACAGAAAAAAAATCTTAAACTTTGAACAATGTAGCAGAAGTGTATATGAACTAAAAGGGGTAGAGGAACAAGATAACCAACAACAGTCAGAAAAGTTTAGGTGAAATCAAATCTGTGTTCCATCATCTACAGGATAAATGATGTGGCTTTTCGGACTCATCCAATGATATCAGGGCAAAAAAGAATTGTTATTAAATAAAAGACACAAGAGATGTTCAAATCCTGATCTGAATAAACCAATTCTAAAAATGTATATCATTAAGGTCTGTTGAGAAAACTTTAGTACAGACAGGCTATTCTACATAGTTAAAAAGTTTCTGTTTGACAGTGATATTAACTTGGTGGTTATTTTTAAAAATACTCTTATAGAATATGCTTAATAATAAAGATACATAACCTATCTACAGAAAAATGAGATGATGATATCTGCAATTAGCTTTAATATGCTCCAGAATTATTTTAAAAGAAACATTTAGGGCAGATATAATAAGATTAGCAAAATGTTATTCATTGTTGAAGGTGGGTGATAGATATATAGGGGTCCGTTATATTAGGTTGGTGCAAAAACATTAAAGTAACGGCAAAAACCGTAATTGTTTATGCACCAATCTAATAATATCCCCTATAAGTTAGAATCTGCAAATAAAATAACAAACTGTATCTTTAAATGTCTCCTTGAGTGTTTTTGATATCTATCCAGGATTAGAAAATGTTGTTACCTAGCAAACAAAAAATATGGTTATGGAATCTTTATGTATCTAAGTCAAGTGCCCAAAATTCAATTGTTTGGCTAATAGATTCTACTATTCTTTATTCTTGTCCTTTAGTTTGGTTGTAGGAGGGCCATATCTTTATTCTTCTCCTTTGCTTCTCACTTCTACTCTTCTTTTCGTTTCAATAATGCAGGATAATTTAAAGAAATTTAAAGTTGTTATTGAGCAAAAAGTGCTAGCTGCCCGATGCGCTAGAATCCAATACTATGGCGCTGGAATTTTTAAGAAAAGCTTTATATTGAAATTTTACTTTCAAGGAGAGAGAAACCAAACTCAAATCTGTCTCCCTGTGCTGCCTTCAACCCTTAGAAAAGGTTTAAGGGGTGGATACTGGAATTAGCAAGTGATTGGTCAATAAATGTGACTATTTAGATAAAATAGATTCCATGAAAGATGCAAACTAAAGAAGCTTATTTAAAAAAAACCTAATAACCTGAATGGTCCTAAAATCTACTTCTGAAATTGAATTCATAATTTTTAAAACCCTCCCACAAAGAAACTTCAGGCTGAGATGAATCATATGAAACATTAAGAAAGAAAAACATTTTCAAACATACATTTGAAGGGGTGAAAATATATTCTGATATATTCCGATTTACCTGGAGGCCAGCATTAACCTGATACCAAAACTGCACAAAGACATTACAATTTAAAAAACAACAACAGAACAATATTCCTTATCAACTTCAATGCAAAAATGCTAAGCACAAGTGTCTGAAAATGCCAATACATCATGGATAAGTAGGATATATGTTAGAAGTGCAAGGTTATTGTTTAACATTTGAAAATCAATAAATGTTATTCTTCATTAAAAATAAAACTTTTAAAGAAGTAATTTCTCATTAGATGCAGAAAAGGCATTTTATAAAATTTAATACTTATTTCTAATAAAAACTAGCACGCTAGGAATAAAAACAAACTTTCTCAATCTGATAAAGGGCATGTATCAAAAATTAAAGCTAACATTGTAGTTAATGATAAAGGACTACATGCTTTTTCTCTGAGATCAGTACAAAGTCCAGGATGCCTGCTCTCCTCCTTTTTTTACTCAGCATTTTACTGGAGGTTCAAGCCAAGGCAATAAGGCAAGCAATGAATATAGAAGTCATCTAAATTGAAAAAGAAGTAGTAAAAAGAACTTATAGCCATTTAATTTCTTAATTATATATGCTTTTCTCTTTCTCTCTGTTCACCCTACCATATGGTTTTATTCTAAGTTATGTATACATATACCTTTACTATATATTTGTATATATTGCTCATTGTAAAATAATGAAAATTAAACCATGGAATTGTCTAGAAATACACTAGTATAGTAGGTTGGTTAAACTGTACAATTAACTCAATTATCCTATGCTGTAAATTGAATATGATTTACTGCATAATTTAAGAAAAATATTAATAGTGAAGAAAATATTAATCAAATATAAAACAGGTTTAAATTTTATTTTTGAGGAAAAGCATTGAGTTTAATCAGCAAAATTCATGAAGGTTAATCCAAAAATTCATTGGAATCTATTTAGGAATAAATTACTTCACTTGAAATGTATCACTAAAAATATTTTTTGATCTAATGGAGTGATAATTGAATACTTTTCTAATCTGAGGCAGGGGAGGTAGTAGCACCACAATGTAATTACTTGTCTAGTTAAATACAGTCCTTTTTTGTGGAAATTATTTGCTTTCAGATTCATGCTGAGAAGTGACCAGCTTCTCTTTGTCGTAATACAATTTAACAAAATGTAGCATTCCTTCTAGATCAAATTAAGGCAATTTGGAAAATTAAAGTCTTTGGGTCTTAGCTCTTCAATCATCCTCCATTGTTCCTATCAACTGAGAAAAAATAACTGTGAAAAAAAATCTTGAAGGACTTAATTTCCTTCTATGTTACTAAGCTGAGAGAAGTGATGCCCCTAAAAATGGTAATGACTCAGAGGCTAATGCCAGCAGTGTCCTTCTTTACGCACCTTTTCTGGGCCAAGTCAACTTCTTCCAGGCTCTCACAGGATAATTTACAGGTATATTTGCATGATCACAGAAATAACAAGTCTAGGATGAATAGCACTAAAATGTCTAAGATATATATAATATTGACCAAGATTTCTCTCTTTTTTTCCTCTCTCTCACCTCTCGTGTTCTTCTCCTCCCACCACATACTCATCAACACAACCATCAATCAATGACACTAACAGAATCACTTCTTTATCAGAACTTAAACCACAAAAGAGGTATCCTGTAATTCCATAATCTGTTCTGCTCATTAAATCCTGGGTTTTAAGTGAGTAAATAAATTATTTGATGAGAAGTATTTCGACCTGAAGTAATACTATTTAAGAAGTATTTAAAAAAAGATTTGCACGCTCTGAAATGGCAGTTACAAAGGCATTTGGAAAGGCAGCTATAAAGATACTAAAGGAAGGATATTGGTTATAAAACTAATTCAAAAATATGCTTTCTGAAGTATTTTTGGGACTATCATCTTTTAATGATTATGAAAGGATGCAATAGCATGTTATTTATATTAACTTAAAAATGAAAAAAATCACAAAAAATCTGGAAGCATGAAAAAAAATTACCCTTTTTCTTACTTGAGTGACACCATCAATGTGAGAAGTCTGGTCGTCTGTCTCTGTTTTGAGTGTATATATGCATGTGTGTTCCATAGCTGTAAAAAAATTTGTACAATATGTCATATGCAATTTTCACTTATAGTATGGATAATTAGTTTTAGAAATCTATAAATAATTGATCAAGTATGAATTTACTTGTCCAGGTGTGGTGGCTCATGCACTTTGGGAGGCCAAGGCGGGCAGATCACTGGAGGTCACGTTTGAGACCAGCCTGGCCAACATGGTGAAACCCCATCTCTACCAAAAATACAAAAATTAGCCAGGCGTGGTGGCCCGTGCCTGTAATCCCAGCTACTTGGGAGGCTGAGGCATGAGAATCACTTGAACATGGGAGGTGGAGGTTGCAGTGAGCGGAGATCTGCCACTGCGCTCCAGCCTGGGCAACAGAGCGAGATTCCAACTCAAAAAAAAAAAAAAAAGAAGAAGAAGAAGAAGACTGTGAATTAACTCATAATTCCAGTGCTCTGAATCTTTGCAGAATAAAAATACTTTTATTTTAAATTTTGTGTACATTTGATATGTTCTGTACAAATCATTGTTCACTTTTCTAGGGTTTTATTATGGAAAATTTCAAACATATATAAAGGTTAAGAAAATAGACCCCCAGGTAGCTAAATCCAGATGTAGAACTCATCCCTTTCTTTCATCTTGACACCTATTCACCTCCCATCTCCAAATGGATTATCTTGAAGCAAATTTCCAACATCATATCATCTCTAAATATTTTAGTATGATTTCTAAAAGATGACTTTTAAACATAACCACAGTACCTGCAATATTTTACTCAGCTTTTAAATGTATATTTATATTAATACATAATAATACATGATATTTTAACTGTTTTAAAGCACTCCAAGAAATCAGCACACAATAACTTATTTACTAATACTAAATCTCCTAATAATATTTTTTTCCCAATCCTTATGCCATAGAAACAAGGCTGCAGTGAAGGGTAGAACTTCTCATGTTACTAAATGTTGCCAAATTCCTTCTCCAGACAGCTTCCCAACCTATATTCCTACACATAGTAAAAGAAAGCATTTATCCCTGTGTTTTCTAACACTGATAGTGACAGATATTTTCATTCTTGCCAATGGAAGGGGTCTGAAATGGAATCGCATTATATCTGTTATTTGCATTTCCATTCTTGAGAATGCGTAAGTCACGTTTCCCAATGATAATGGATCATTTGGTTTTCTAATCATTAAATTGCCTATTCCTATATCTGATTTATTTTTTCTATTGTGACATTTAAAAAATTTATAGCCTAGTTGAAAATGCCAAAATAATCCTCCCAGTTTGTGGCTGGCCTCTTCACTATGTTTGTTGTTATTTCCTGAACAATAATAATATCAACAACAACAAAATTAACTTCAAATCTTTCAAACATGTCCCTCTTTTCCTTCAAGGTTGGATTTCTCCATCCTTTCTTGTCTTTTATATATAAAATATTGTTTTATCACAAAGACATAATTATATTATTTAAATATTTTAATTTAAATGTTCCTGCTTTTAAACTTATCAATTATTATTTCCTAGAATTTGCTTTTTTTTCACATATTTTGAAGTAAGGCTCCAATATTTTTCATACATATGGCCAAAAGTCCCAGCACCATTTTTTGTTTAATTCTTTCTTACCTCGTGATTAATAATGCCACATGCCATTTAACATTCTCTTGTGTGTATAGGACTGCTCTGAGTCTCTAGTCTGGCCCATTGGCTTATGTAATGTGTTCCTATTTAAGTAGCACAACAGTTTGTTGCCGAATTCTGTAAAATTTTGAATCTTTTAAAGCAAATCTTTCTATAACTCACTTATTCTTTTGTTTTCAAACTGGCTTTGCTGCTTGGTGCCCACCAAATTTTCATAATAATTTTAGTATTGCTTTTTCAATTATGTAAATTATTGAAAAAATTATTATGTAAAAGTATTTACTTTTTAAACACTATATATATATATTTTTGAGATGGAGTTTCACTCTGTCACCCAGGCTGGTGTGCAGTGGTGCAATCTCAACTCACTGCAACCTCTGCCTCCTAGATTCAAGCAATTCTCCTGCCTCAGCCTCCTGAGCAGCTGGAATTACAGGTGTGTGCCACCATGGACGGCTAATTTTTGTATTTTTAGTAGAGATGGGGTTTCATCATGTTGGCCAGGATGGTCTTGAACTCCTGACCTCAGGTGATCCACCCACCTGGGCCTCCCAAAGTGCTGGGATTACAGGCACGAGCCACAGTGCCTAACTAAAACACTGTATTGTTACTACTCTATCTCAAGTATTGTTCTAGGTCCAAAATATTTTCCAATATTAACTTACAAAATCTTTATAGCAATAATAGTAATATCTCATATCCCCAAGGCCACAGAGATTGTTAACCTGGTACTAGGGAAGCTGAACTATAAATCCAGGCAATGCAGATTCATATCATATTTACAAATTGATTTGTACAGCATTGCCTGCCATCTTCATGATATGGAGAGACATTTGTCCAACAGAGTGCCATGAGGCACATGTGGCTATTGAGAACATTAAGCCACTAGAAATATGGCTTAATATAAAATAAAAATCTGATTTGGATTTCAATATCATTGCTAATTTTTTTTTTTTTTTTTTGGTGACGATGTCTCACTCTGTTGCCCAGGCTGGAGTACAGTGGCGCGATCTCGGCTCACTGCAACCTCCGTCCCCCAGGTTCAAGCGATTCTCCTGCCTCAGCCTCCCAGGTAGCTGGGATTACAGGTGCCTGCCACCATGCCCGCCAATTTTTGTATTTTTGGTAGAGACAGGGTTTCACCATCTTGGCCAGGCTAGTCTTGAACTCCTGACCTCATGATCCACCCGCCTCGGCCTCCCAAAGTGCCGGGATTACAGGCATGAGCCACCGCGCCTGGCCTAAAAATTTTTTTCTAAAATATGTCACTACTATATTTCATGCTGATTATATATTGAAATCATAATATTGTGAACATAATTTTAATGAAATATTAAAATTATCTTCACCTATTATTTTTGGTCTTTAAAAATGGCCATTGAAAATTCAAAATTACACATGAATATCTCCTTACATTTTTAAGAACAATACTGATATAGAGTATTCCATTCATGGATATACTACATTTATTTAAAGATTCCATTACATCCCTTAGTACTGCTTATAATTTCTGTATAAAATTCCTATATAATTATTATAAATTTATTTATAGCTATCATAGTAGTTTTTATTATTGTAATAACAATTATCTTAAAATTAAACTTCTGAATTCATTGTACTGCTTATAATTTCTGTATAAAATTCTTGCAGCTTATTATACATTTATTTATAGGAATCACAGATGGCTTTTGTTATTGTAATAGCATTTTTTTGTTTTTTATTTTCTGGGATACATGTGCAGGATATGCAGCTTTGTTACATAGGTAAACGTGTGCCATGGTGGTTTGCTGCACCTGTCAACCCATCACCTAGGTATTAAGCCCAGTATGCATTAGCTATTTTTCCTGATGCTCTTCATCACGCTGCACTCACTGCTGACAGGCCCCAGTGTAAGTTGTTCCCCTCCTTGTATCTGTGTGTTCTCATCATTCAACTCCCACTTATAAGGAAGAACATGTGGTGTTTGGTTTTCTGTTCCTGCATTAGTTTGCTGAGAATAATGGCTTCCAGCTCCATCCAGATCCCTGCAAATGACGTGATCTTATTCCTTTTTATGGCTGCATAGTATTCCACGGTGGATATGTACCACACTTCCTTTATCCAGTCTATCACTGTTGGGCATGTGGGTTGACTCCATGTCTTCACTTTTGTGAATAGTGCTGCAATGAACATATGGGTGTATATATCTTCATAGTAGAATAATTTATAATCATTTGGGTATATACCTAGTAATGGGATTGTTAGGTCAAATGGTATTTCTGGTTCTAGGCCCTTCAGGAATCACCACACTGTCTTCATAATGGTTGAACTAATATATAGTCCCACCAACAGTGTGAAATCATTCTTATTTCTCCACAGCCTCATCAGCATCTGTTGTTTTTTAACTTTTTAAAAAGCACCATTCTTACAGGTGTGAGATGGTATCTCATTGTGGCTTTAATTTGCATTTCTCTAATGATCAATGATGTTGAGCTCTTTTTCATATGTTTGCTGGCTGCACAAATTGCTTCTTTTGAAAAGTGTCTGTTCATATTTTTTGCCCACTTTTCTTGTAAATTTGTTTAAGTTCCTTGTAGATTCTGGATATTAGACCTTGTCAGATGGGTAGATTGCAAAAATTTCCTCCCATTCTGTAGGTTGCCTGTTCACTCTGATGACAGTTTCTTGTGCTGTGCAGAAGCTCCTTAATTAGGTCTCATTTGTCAATTTTTGCTTTTGTTGCAATTGCTTTCGATGTTTTTGTTATAACATCTTTTCCCATACCTATGTCCTGAATAGTATTGCCTATATTTTCTTCCAGGATTTTTATGGTTTTGAGTTTTACATTTAAGTCTTTAATCCATCTTGAGTTAATTTTTGTAAAAGGTGTAAGGAATGGGTCTAGGTTGAATTTTCTACATATGACTAGCCAGTTTTCCCAGCACCATTTATTAAACAGGGAATCCTTTCCCCATTGCTTGTTTTTGTCAGGTTTGTCAAAGATCAGATGGTTGTAGATGTGTGGTCCTATTTCTGAGATCTCTATACTGTTCCATTAGTCTGTGTCTGTTTTGGTACCAGTATCATGCTGTTTTGGTTACTGTAGCCTGGTAGTGTAGTTTGAAGTCGAGTTGTGTGATGTCTCCAGCTTTGTTCTTTTTGCTTAGGATTATCTTGGCTATGTGAGCTCCTTTTTCATTCCATATGAATTTTAAAGTACTTTTTTTAGTTCTGTGAAGAATGTCAATGGTAGTTTAATGGGAATAGCATCTAATCTATAAATTACTTTGGGCAGTATGGCAATTTTCATGATATTGCTTCTTCCTATTCATTGGCATGAAATGCTTTTCCATTTGTTTATGTTATCTCTGATTTTCTTGAGCAGTGGTTTGTAGTTCTAATTGAAGAGGTCCTTCACATTCCTTGTTAGCTGCATTCCTAGGTATTTAGCTCTCTTTATAGCAATTGTGAATGGAAGTTCATTCATGATTTGGCTCTCCTTGTCTATTTTGGTGTATAGAAATATTTGTGATTTTTGCACATAGATTTTGTATCCTGAGACTTTGCTGAAGTTGCTTATCAGCTTAAGAAGCTTTTGGGCTGAGACAATGGGGTTTTCTGGATATAGGATCATGTCATCTGCAAACAGAGACAACTTGACTTCCACTCTTCCTATTTAAATATCCTTTATTTCCTTCTTTTGCCTGATTTCCCTGGCCAGAAGTTCCAATACTATATTGAATAGGAGTGGTGAGAGAGCACATCCTTGTCTTGTGCTGGTTTTCAAAGGGAATGCTTCCAGCTTTTGCCCATTCAGTATGATATTGGTTGTGAGTTTGTCATATATGGCTCTTATGATTTTGAGATATGTTCCATCGATACCTAGTTTATTGAGAGTTTTTAACATGAAGGGATTCTGAATTTTATTGAGTGCCTTTTCTGCATCTATCGAGATAATCATATGGTTTTTGTCGTTAGTTCTGTTTATGTGATTATGTTTATTGATTTGTGTATGTTGAACCAGCCTTGCATTCCAGGGATCAAGTTGACTTGATTGTGCTGCTTTTAATGTGCTGCTGAATTATGTTTGCCAATATTTTATTGAGGATTTTCACATAGATGTTCATCAGGGATATTGGCCTGAAATTTTTTTTTTTTGTTGTATCTCTGCCAGGTTTTGGTATCAGATTGATGCTGGCCTCATAATGTGAGTTAGAGAAAATCCCTCCCTTTCAATTGTTTGGAATAATTTCAGAAGGAATGGTACCATCTCCTCTTTGTATCTGTGATAGAACTTGGCTGTAAACAAATGTGGTCCTGGGCTTTTTTTGGTTGATATGCTGTTTATTACTGCCTCAATTTCAGAGATTGTTGTTGATCTATTCATGGATTTGACTTCTTCCTGGTTTAGTGTTGGGAGGGTGTATGTGTCCAGGGATTTATCTGTTTCTTCTAGATTTTCTTGTTTATTTGCATAGAGGTTTTTATAGTATTTTCTGATGGTTGTTTGTATTTCTGTTAGGTCAGTTGTGATATCACCTTTATTTTTTTAATTGTACCAATTTGATTCTTCTCTCTTTTCTTCTTTATTGGTCTAGCTACCGGTCTATCTAATTTATTAAATTTTTCAAAAAACAAGCTCCTGGTTTCATTGATTTTTTGAAGGGTTTTTCATGTCTCTATCTCCTTCAGTTCCTATCTGATCTTGGTTATTTCTTGCCTTCTGCTAGCTTTGGGGCTTGTTTGCTCTTGGTTCTCTAGTTCTTTTGGTTGTGATGTTAGGGTGTCTATTTGAGATCTTTCTAGATTTTTGAAGTGGACATTTCATGCTATAAATTTCCCTCTTAACACTGCTTTAGCTGTATCCCAGAGATTCTAGTACCTTGCCTCTTTGTTCTCAATTGTTTCAAATAACTTCTTGATTTCTGCCTTATTTCATTATTTATCCAGGAGTCAATCAGAAACAAGTTGTTCAATTTCCATGTAGTTGTTTGGTTTTGAGTGAGTTTCTTAATCTTGAGTTCTAATTTGATTACGTTGTGGTCTGAGAGACTGTTTGTTATTATTTCAGTTCTTTTGCATTTGCTGGGACTTTTAATTATGTGATCAATTTTAGAGTAAGTGCCATGTGGCACCGAGAGGAATGTATATTCTCTTTTGGGAGGGGGGTTGAGAATTTGGTAGATATCTATTAGGTCCACTTGATCCAGAGCTGAATTCAAGTCCTGATTAACTTTGTCAATTTTCTGTCTCAATGATCTAATATTGAAAATGTGGTATTAAAATCTCCCAACATTATTGTGTGGGAGAGTAGGTCTTTTCATAGGTTTCTAAGAACCTGTTTTAAGAATCTGGGGGCTCCTTTATTGGGTTCATATATATTTAGGGTAGTTAGCTCTTCTTGTTGAACACTTTATCATTATGTAATGCCTTTGTCTTTTTTATCTTGTTGGTTTAAAGCCTGTTTTGTCAGAAACTAAGATTGCAACTCCTGCTTTTTCCTGATTTCCATTTGCTTGGTAGATTTTCCTCCATCCCTTTATTTTGAGCCTATGTGTATCTTTGCACGTGAGATAGGTCTCTTGAATACAGGACATGCATGGGTCTTGTCTCTATCCAGCTTGCCATTCTGTGTCTTTTTATTGGCACATTTAGCCCATTTACTTTTAAGGTTAATATTATTATGTGAATTTGTTCCTGTCATCATGATGCTACCTGATTATTGCACAGACCTCTTGATGTAGTTGCTTCATAGTGTCATTGATCTGTGTACTTCAGTGTGTTTTTGTAGTGGCTGGTAATAGTTTTTCCCTTCCATATTTAGTGCTTCCTTCAGGAGCTCTTGCCAGGCAGTCCTGGTGGTGATGAATTCTCTCATCATTTGCTTGTCTGAAAAGGATTTTATTTCTCCTTTGCTTATGTAGCTTAGTTTGGGCAAATATGAAATTCTGGATTGGAAATTTTTTTGTTTAAGAATGTTGAATATTGGCCCCCAATCTCTTCTGGCTTGTAGAATTTCTGCTGAGAGGTCCACTGTTATTTTAATGGGTTTCTTTGTAGGTGACCTAGCTTTTCTCTCTGACTGCCCTTAACATTTTTTGCTTCATTTCAAACTTGGAGAATCTGAGGATTATGTGTCTTGGGGTTGATCTTCTCATGGAGTGTCTTATTGGGGTTCTCTGGATTTCCTGAATTTGAATGTTGGCTTGGCTTGCTAGGTTGGGGAAGTTCTTCTGGATGATATCCTGAAGTGTGTTTTCCAACTTGGTTCCATTCTCCATAGCTCTTTTAGGTACCCCAATCAGTTGTAGGTTTGGTCTTTTTACGTAACCTCATAGTTCTTGGAGATTTTGTTCATTCCTTTTCATTCTTTTTTCTCTAATATTGTCTGCTTGTGTTATTTCAGCAAGATAGTCTTCAAGCTCTAAAATTCTTTCCTCCACTTGGTCTATTTGGCTATTGATACTTGTGGTTTCATTGTGAAGTTCTCATGTTATTTTTCAGCTCGATCATTATTTTCCTGTCTAAACTGGTTGTTCTGATTAACAGCTTCTGTAATGTTTTTAACATGGTTCTCAGCTTCTTTGCCTTGGGATAGAACATGTTCCTTTAGCTCAGCAAAGTTTGTTATTACACACATTCCGATGCCTACTTCTGTCAGTTAATCCATCTCAACCTCAGCCCAGTTCTGTGCCCTTGCTGGAGAGATGTTGCAATCACTTGGAGGAGATGAGAAGCACTCTGGCTTTTTGAGTTTTCATAATTTCTTCATTGATTCTTTCTCATCTTCCTGAGTTTATCTGTCTTTGATCACTGAGGCTGCTGACCTTTGGATGGGGTTTTTGTGGGGACTTTTTCATTGATGTTGTTGTAGTTGTTGCTTTCTGTTTTTTTGGTTTTGTTTTTACAGTTAAGACCCTCTTCTGTAGGGTTGTTGTGGTTTGCCAGGGGTCCACTCCAGACCCTCTTCTCCTGGGTTTCTCCTGCTCCTGGAGGTATGGGGGCTGCAGAAAATCAAAGATGTCTGCCTCCTCCTTCCTGTGGGAGCTCCATCCCAGAGGGGCACTGACCTGATGCCAGCCAGAATGCTCCCATGTAAGGTGTCTGGCGACTCCTGTTGGGGGAATCTCACCCCATCAGGAGGCATGAGATCAGGGACCCACTTAAGGAAGCACTCTGGCTGCCCATTGGCAGAGTGGGTGTGCTGTGCTGGTGAGAATCTCACTTATCTGGACTGCCTGGATTCCTCAGAGCCAGCAGGGGAAAAGACTAATTCTGTTGACCCATGGAAACCACAGCCACTCCTCACCCCAGGGGCTTTGTCCCAGGGAGATAAGAATTCTGTCCCTAACCTTCTGGGGCGAGTTGCTGAAATTCCCACAGGGAGGCCCTGCCCCATGAGGAGGGATGGGTTCCACTAGGTCTAAAGAGGCAGTGTGGTGACTATCTGCCACACCCACTGTGCTGTGCTATGTGGAATTCTTCCTGAGTCCAAACTGCTCAGTCTCCCCAGTGCTGGAAGGGGAAAATGACAGACTGGAACTGTAGTAATGTATTGAACAGCAGCATTATTCTTAAAATTAAACTTTTGAATTCATTAAACTTTTGAATTCAAACTTTTCAATTCATTCATGGATTTTTAAAGTATCCACCATGAATCCAGCAATTTGGCTAAGCTCTCTAATGAATTCAGTTTGTCTTTAGTTTCTGTTGAATTTCTTATTTAGAAAACTATGCCATCTTCAATTAATAAAAATTGTGCTTATCTGTTTATGCTTGCTTCAATCAATTTCCTAGGACCTGAAGAACAGAATATAGAGTGATTGTAGCAGGCATTCTTATATTTAATTCTGATTTTACAGAAAATCATGTTTCATAATCCAGTATGATGTTTGCTATAGATTTGTGGAAGATAATTTTTTTAAGTGAAGTAAGTTACTCTATAATACTGGTTTGTTAAAATATTTTCTGTATGCTTAATATTATCAACTTTTGTTCATTGATCGAATTTATACTGTTTTGTCTTATTTGTTCATGCTATAACAAATAAATTTCCTATTTTTAAACCTCTGCATTTTATGATAAACATTACATGTTCATGGCTTTAAAAAACATATTGTTAGGCTGACTTGTATGTATATACATAAAAGTTATGCATTTTTGTGTTTTTGCATATATGTTCTCAAGTGATGTTATGGTTTGAGAATCCCCAATGTGGCAGCATTGAAAGCTAGAGCCTTAGGTGATTGTGTCATGAGGGCAGAGACCTCATGAACAGATTAATTTATTTATGGATTAATAGATGAATTGATTAATCAGTTATCATGGAAATGAGACTAACTGCTTCATAAAGAAGAGGAAGAGACCTGAGAAACACACTTGGCCCCCTCGCCATGTGTGACCCTGTGTTGCTTAGAAACTTTGCAAAGAGTCTTCACCAGCAAGAAAGTTTTCAACAAATGTGGACCCTGGAACTTGGACTTCTCAGCCTTCATAACTGTAAGAAATAAATTACTTTTTAAAAGGAATTTAAGATATCTTCAAATAGTCTGTTATAAGCAACAGAAAACAGGCCAATACAAATGAGATTTATCTATATTTTTCTTTTTATTTTGCTATTGTTTTGTTTAGATACTATGATTCTAGCTTAACAGAAATAGGCACCTGTTCCTTCAAGGAGGGTAAAACATGCCTAGAGATTGTAAATAGATTTTTGAATAACAATTCAATTCACTTAAAGTACATGTTTTGTTTTGTTTTTTTAGACAGAGTCTTGCTACCCCAGGCTGGAGTTCAGTGGTACAATCTCAGCTCACTGCAACCTCCGCCTCCTGGGTCCCAGTTCAATCAATTCTCCTGCCTCAGCCTCCCAAGTAGCTGGGAATACAGGCACACACCACCATGCCTAGCTAATTTTTTTTTTTTTTTAGTAGAGACAGGGTTTCACCTTGTTGGCCAGGCTGGTCTTGAACTCCTGACCTCATAATCCACCTAACTTGGCCTCCCAAGGTGCTGGGATTACAGGCGTGAGCCACCGTGCCCTGCCCTTTTTTATCCTTTTAGTAAATTTAGCTAGTTTATAATTTTTCCAAAAAAGTTCGCCATTTCAATATTCAAGTATGTTGACATAAAATCGTACATATTTTTTATGATTTTTTTCAAAAGCATCTTTTTTTGACATTATGCCTTTACCTTCCTTATTTCTAATATTGTTAGTTTGTGCCTTCTCTTTAAAATTTTATCAATTTTGGTAGAACTTAGTTGTTTTGCTAGTCTTTTGCAAGAATAATCTCTAAAGACTTGTTCCTCTTTTTTACGGGTATATATTTTTTCACAAAACTCTAACTTTTATACTTGAAACATCTTTCTTTTTCACTTAAATATATCTAGGAGATATTTAAGTTTTGTTTGTTTTGGACAATATCGTTATTATTCCAATAAAAGATGCATAGTATATTATTTAATTGGTTTACTAGTAGTAGACATTTATATTATTTACCAATTTTGTACATTTAATTCTGTGTTGAATACTTTTTAGCATATCTATTTTGCAAAACTGCATATATTAGTAGAATATGTTCCTAAAAATAGAATTTCAGGAATAAAACCTACATTATTCAAATTTTGTTTTTACCATCAAAATTTATTCATGGACATTGTTCCCATCAACAGATCAAAAATAAGTGTACGTATTTCCTCACCATTTTCCACCATAATGTGTTATCAAACTTTTCATTATTTACTAATTTGATACTTGAACATTGGTATATCAATAAACCCTTAATTAGGATATCTCTCATATGTGAAAGATTGAACACAACTAATACTTAAGAAAACATGCATTTTCCTTTTTGTAAAATCTCTCTTTACATATTTTGCCCACTTTTTATTTGACTGTTGGTGGTTGTCAATGTACATCTCTGAATGTCGTGTACATGAAATAAATTATTCTATTTTCTGAATTATGATGATCAGTTTGATACTGTATTTGAAATTTGTTCATTATATTTAATTTAAAAAAATTTTCATGTACTCAAATTTGTTTAGTATTTCCCATAAGGCTTCTTAGTTATGTGGAATACTTATGAAGACTTTCTTTAACAAGCTTTTTTGATAACATCTATTCTGACATGTATTGTTCCAGTCCATTTTTTTATACTTTTATTCTTCATACTTAAATATGTCGCATTTGTAATTCACTTTGGTGTAGCTATTAAATACAGAATCACATTTTTTCCAAAAGTCTATCCAATTGCCTCCATATCATTTCTGAAAGAATTATTTCACCCAATAGATTATCATGTTCTAGATTCAAAAGATATGTTCCTCTATTTCTAGTCTTTCTAATCTCTTTACTTCCTCATTATGCCAAAATGTAGCCTAGTAATGTTCTGTATTACACATTGTAGTTTTACAATTTGCTTTTACTGTAAGTTGCTTTTTTTCTAAAATTTTCTATTATTATTTGTGTCTTATAGCTCAGGTATATATAAAATAATGGTTTTATTTCTTGGGAAATAGTATTCTTTTTACTCTTCTGTTGTAGAAAAATGACATCTTTGTGATGTTTAGTATTTCTATCCAAGAAGATGGCATACTTTTTCACTTGTTCTATTATTTGTATATGTGTTCGTGTGTCTTAATATAATTTTAAAAACTTTTTATTTAAATCATGCACCTTTCTCATTAAATTTATAACTATATATTTTATTCTTTTTTGTTGCCATGGTAAATTAAGTATTTGATTTTTTCTATTATATTTTCAAACTCATAGTCTGTAATACATCTTTATTCTAATATCTGTAATTTTCAGTCATTTTTCTTATCTAATAGTATTTTTTACCCCTTCCACAAAATGTTTCATAATGCAATATTGGGTATCCTTGAATTGCTTCTTACTTTCATGACCATCTTTCTAGCATTTCTCCATTGAGAAAGATTTTGGCATTTGTAATATGATAAAGCTGTCTACTCATAGCTGCCAAGATTTGTCTGAATAAGAGTAGATAAAAGCAGAAGCAGGTATTTGGAACCTACTGCAAATATCCAATCAAGAGGTAATGGTGACTTAAAGACAGTGATCTTGGCAGTGATGAAAGGTGCTCAGTTTTGTAGGCAGAACCAACAAGACTTCCCAGATGACATTGGTCCAAGCACTGAAAGAATGGAATTACTATTAATTAAGGTGAATCATGGAAAGAGTAGGTGGGAAATGAGACAGAAATACCAATAACTGAGTTTTTGACATTCATTTCAGGAATAACAATATGTATTAGTATTAGGAGAATTATAATCTATCATATTAATAGGTTAAAAGAAAATATTAACTTTGATTTATGTGGGAAACAGCATTTGATAGAACTCAGTATCCTTTTTTCATAAAACTCCTTAGCAAAGAATAAATAGAATAATAATTCTTAATATATTTAAATATAAATTTTACAAACAAATGGCCAGCATCATCCTTATGAGTAAAATATAAAAAGCATTATTATTAAATCTAAAAAACATTGTATGCTCTAACCACTGCCATTAGACAATTAAAAAAAAAGTATGAACATTTGAAAGGAAACCACAATGTGATTTGTAAATAATATAGTGTAAAACTGAAAAGAAAATTGAAAAACAATATTTAAAAATTATTAAAATAATATGAGAGCTTGGGAAAATGATAAATTATAAAATAAACATGCAAAGTACAATATATTTATGATATATTAAAATACAAGTTTCAAGACATATTTTAAAACATCTTTAGTTAAAAGTATGAATAGGAAAGACAAATGTACAGAAATTATATTAATAAAACTATAAAATTATCAAACTCTATTCAAGGAAATAGAAAATATATAAGAAGCATGTAAATATCACTTACTGTTTGCCAGACACTGGTCTAAGTTCTCTACCCTTTAATCATCACCAAAAATCTTTTTAATAGATGTTATTATTAACATTATTTTACATTGGATAAAACTTAGGAAAGGAAGGGCTTAAATCATTTACCTAAAATCAAGCAGGTAGTAAATAGCAGAGCCAAGTGGAAGACTGAACATACAAATGGACAATAACCAGACCATAAATAAAAATAGAACTCTGACCCTCAAACTCCAGCAACCAGCCCAGCTAGCCAACCCATTCATTATTTATAGTAAATTGTTCCCAGAAGCCAGACTACTAATTCTAATAACAATTCTGAGAAGTCAAACTAAACCCCTATAACAATTAGCCCCAAATGACTAGGAATTGATTAATATCTGACAGCTTTCCTAATTTTCACTCCTGTAATGTAAGGCCAATCTGCGAACGCTACACAGGCATCCTTAACCAATAACATAAAGTAGTCTGCTTCTAGTTAGCCTAGTTTCAGCTTCCCCATGCCAACAGCCTACAATGAGGGCATAATGAAGTCTTCAATTCATTGTGAAGCTTTTACACTTTTCTCTTCGCCTTTGAGTCTTTGTCAAATGCAAGTGATGACAGCTGATTGCCTTGCTGTAGCAAGCATTGAATAAATAGCCATTGCTTATTCTCATTTGGGTGGTCTTATTTGTTTTCACACAGAATTCAAATTCAGAATATCTGAATCCAGACTCTGAGAAAAATCTTTCTCCTTGATGAAAAGATCAATTTACTACAATCTATTGCAAAAATTAATTTGGCTAAATTTGGAACTTCATAGAATTATTCTAATTTTACCTTTATATAGACATAAAAGAAGCAGAAAAATATGAAAAAATAATTAAAAGGATACATGCCTTATCAAATATTAAAATGCATTTTAAAGTCATAATAATCTAAATAGTATGGCAATGTTATAGAATAGCCAATTATAGCAATAAAACAGAAAAGAGAGTCCAGAAATTTTACTAGTATATATAAGACATTATGTGGGGAAAAAAAACATAAAATTATTTCAAATAATTGCTAAAATGACATTTTTAAAATTATTTGAATTGCGTAATGTATATACATATCCTCATATGAAAATAAATTGTAGATTTTAACTCAAAAGGTTAATCATTCATATAAAAATAAAGCATATCATTCAAAATAGTAAAACTATGTCTTGAACTTTCATCAGATTTTTACATCAAACCTATAAAGCACTAAATACTTGAAAATAAAGAAAAAATGACAGAAAATACTAATAGCAGTAGCTAAACATATTTTCATCTGATCAAAAAAGATCAAGCATTTAAACAGTAGTAGGAACAAAGAAGAAATAAATAACATAAAGAATTACATATTTATTTAATCAGCAAATAAAAAATATACTCTCTTATCAAATAACTGTGACATACTTTAAAAGACAGACACAAGCACGTAATTTGATCACAAAAATGTAATAAATTCCAAAAATCAGAGGTAGCATAAAGTTCAATCTCTTGATCCAGTGTGTAGACATATTAATTAAGAGCAAACAGAAACAACAATAATAACAATGACAAAAATTTCTGAAACATTTAGGAGTATAATGACATAAGTTTTAAATCAAAAAAATATTTAGGACTGCAATTAAGTGAGGCATTATGTATCATAAAAGATGGGACAAGTTCTAAATGGTACCAGGAAGAAAATTTAGTCTGTTAGGTTCCAGAAAATAATACCTGAAGTGTGATGTTTAGACACATTGAGTATTTGAACTAAAAGAGACTGGAAAATCTCAGAAGCAAGTTCTTTCTGACCTTCTCCTATCTTCCTGTTTCCTATTCCTCTTTCTCCCCTGAAGTGAGTCATAGAAATAAAAATTCCTCTTCCCCAAGACAGGCAATAGAAACTAAAACCCCTCTCCCTCAAAGTAAGCCATAAAACCTACAAGAGTCACTCTCTCCCTTCTTCCTTCTTCCTTGAAGACCTTCTTTCTAGAGGGGTCTAGCCCCATACCCATAAGGAAGGAATGCTACATAGGAAGTCTAAGAAAAATATGAGTAGATAGACCTTGCTGGGTTTCTCCACTTAGTCTATTATCTTTAGATCATACCTGTTTGCCCAATTACATTTGTATGTGGCTATTCATTCTTCATCAAACCTAAGCATAAAAATGGAGTTTTCTCTGGGTCTTTGGGCCTCATTTCTGAAGGTTTTCGTGTTTAATAAAACTAAATAAATTTATTATGTATATTTTGTGTCAACCTGTCTTTTGCTATAAGAGTGTTAGCCATGACCCTCAGGAGGGGTGAGAAAAGGTATCAAAACCTTTCCATCCCTACAAGTCTTAAGCATGAAAATAAATGACTTAAGTATCATACATAATACATTAGAAGAAGAGCACTATGTCACAGTTAAGGAAAGCAGTCCAGGCATGGGGGCTCACACTTGTAATTTCAGCACTTAGGGAGTCTGAGGCAGAAGGATCATTTGAGGCCAAGAGTTTGAGACCACCCTGGGCAACATATAGCAAGACCCCATCTCTATAAAAAAATAATAATAATGAAAAGGAAAGTAAGGTTAAAGGGCTCCTGAAAATGGGCTCCTGCTATCTTTTTTTTAACTCTACTTCTTATTTTATGTTTTACTCTAGACATGCTGATACACAAAAAGAAAATATTCTTTTCCCTCTACTCTTCTAAGTTCGTAGCTGGGGACTCTGTAACAGAAGACAGATTAGACAAGAAAAAACAAATAGAAGTTTATCAACATGCATGAGAGGTCTTCAAAATGTTCATGGAAAATGCATGTTATAAAAAAGCTATGCATGGATTTCAAAATCTTTATGCTAAAATAAAGGTATACTAACTTTTTAAAACATATCTGAACAGCATCTAGTTTGAAACATTAAGAATGATAAGACATTAGTTTGAATAGGGTCTCTATCAGAAGAACATAAATTCTGCTAAAACTAAAGCAAGAACAAACATCAAACTTATGCTGAAGCTTGAGTAGAAGAATGGTGAAATTATTATTGATGCTTAACAAAAGTTTATAGGGAATATGACCCAAATAAATCAGTAGTTTACAAATGGATAACTCCTATTAAGTAGAGATGAGACAATATTAAAGATGAAGCTCGCAGCAGTAGACCATCCACATCAATGTGCAAGGAAAAAATTAATTTTATGGTGCCCTAATTGAAGATGAACAATGATTAATAGCAGAATCAATAGAGAACAGCATAGCCATCTCAACTGGTTCAGCTTACACAATTCTGACTAACAAATTAAAGTTGAGCAAATTTCCACTGAATGAGTGTAAAAACCATTATGCCCAGGTCAAGAGCAGAGGTTTCTTTTTCTTTCTGTTTTTTTTTTTTTTTTTTTTTTTTTTCTGAGACAGAGTGTCCCTCAGTCAATGAGGCTGGAGTGTGGTTGTCCAATCTTGGCTCACTGCAGCCTCTACCTCCCGGGTTCCAGTGATTCTCATGCCTCAGCCTCCTGAGTATGGGATTACAGGCATGTGCCACCATGCCCAGCTAGATTTTTGTATTTTTAGTAGATACAGGCTTTTGCTATGTTGGCCAGGCTGGTCTCAAACTCCTGGTCTCAAGTGATCTGCCTGCTTTGGCCTCCCAAAGTGCTGGGAATACAGGCTGGAGCCATAATGGCCAATCAAGAGCAGATCTTTCAATGGATGCTGAAGGTTTTCTGTTGTTTTTTTTTTTTTTTTTTTTTTTTTAGAATTGTAACAGGGCATGTAACATAGCTTAACTAGTACAATCCTGAAGACAAGCACAATCAAACCAATGGCTACTAAGATGTAAATGTGGTCCAGTCAAAGCAAAACAGAACCAGTTTAGAGCAAAGGTCATGGTAACAATTTTTTGGGATGCTCAAGGCATTTTGCTTGTTGACTTTCTGGAGGGTCAAAGAACCATAACAGGCCAGGTGCAGTGGCTCATGCCTGTAATCCCAGGACTTTGGGAGGCCAAGGCAGGTGGATCACCTGAGGTCAGGAGTTCAAGACCAGCCTGGCCAACATGGTGAAACCCCATCTCTACTAAAAATACAAAAACTAGCCAGGTGTGGTGTCAGGCACCTGTAATCCCAACTACTCAGGGGGCTGAGGCAGGAGAATTGCTTGAATCCAGGAGGTGGATGTTGCAGTGAGCCTAGATTACACCATTACACTCCAGCTTGAGGGACAAGAGTGAGACTTCATCTCAAAAAAAAAAAAAAAAAAAAAAAAAAGAACCATAACATCTGGTTATGGGTGTGGTTTCAGAAACTTAGCAAGCACTTTAGCAGAAAAACGCCCAAGAAATTGTCGCCAGGTAGACCTTTTCCACTGTGACAATGATTTTGCTCATTCCTCTTGTTAAACAAGGGCAATGCTGCAAGAGTTTCAATAGGAAATTAGTAGGCATTCACGTTACACCTAATGTAGCTCCTATTAGGCATTTGCCATTCACCTGATTAGGCTTCTGACTTCTTTTTGTTTTCAAATCTTAAAAAAATATTTTAAGAGCACCTATTTTTCTTAAGTTAATAATATAAAAAGATGACATTGAAATGGTTACATTTCCAGGACCCTCAGTTTTTTAGGGATAGGCTAAATAGCTGGTATCATCCCTTACAAAAGTGTCTTAAACTTAACGAAGCTTAGAGAATGTGAGACACCTTTACATTACAAACGGACATTCCCTTTATAATGTAAATTTGTCTTACAAAAGGGTAACTCTTCATCTGTTTACAGAGGTTTGCCTATGTCTGTGGTTTCTTAAAAATAATCACCCCAATATAATTCCTGTGCCAAAAAGGCATACTTCAGGTGGCATATTCTAGTCTCTTATACGGGCTCCTCTCAATTTTCCAGCAACACTTCGTGGAATTATCCAGAATGTCCACCACTCTATTTCTGAGCATTGTATCATCCTTCAAAGACTCATTAAATCTATCTTCTTTTGTAAGATATTCTTCAACAATAATCAAGCCACAGTAAAAAAAAAAAATAAAAAATAAAAAATAAAAAATAAAAAATTATATCATAGACCAATCTCAGAGTATATTTAAAAATCAATATTTAATTATGTCCACTCAGTGTATGTGTGTCATTCTCTAACCACCAGATTAGTAGCTCCCCATAGCCTTATCTTGATTGTTTCCCACACACAGGTTATAAAGTGACTGATAAAGAGTTTACTTTTGGAAGAGCACTAATACTTTTGTGATATGTCAAGGATAATATGTTACAGTAATTTAAAGATGGGAAATAAGAGATAGAGAAGTGTACTAAAAGTCAGAGATAAGGCAATGATTTCGCCCATAGGCCAGAGATTTTCTGATGATTTTTCCAGATAAGGAGTGGACCTTTGGCCCCATCACTTAAACTGATTCTGTTGTTGCCATTCGGTATTTCTTTGAGCCCTTTTCTCATCACCACAGTCTGTGATCGCTTTCTATCTATTTTGCTACTTTACGATTTACTGTCAAGGATCTTTGGCTCTGGCAAATACAACTCATGCTAAATGATTTTCAGTAATACTTCAAAATGGGAGCTAGCATAGCCACATTTGTGCATTTGTGACTCAAAAATCTCCTTCTCTCTCATCCCTCTTCTTGTCTTTTCCATTTTCCCCCCTCTTCTACTGACTGATAAAATAATCTGATTATATAGCAAAATTGAGAAGTTATTTTCCAATGAAAATTTTGGGAATAACTGCATCCCCATGCCCACTCAAAAGATATAGTAAGCAATAAGAACATGCATTCAGGAAAAATCAGTAGAATAGTTCATGGGACAGATAATTACTACTTGCATTTCATTTAAGTAATGTATTGATACTTATATTTCAATGGAGCCACCTGTCCTGAGCTAATGGGAATTGGCTGTCAGATAATAAACTGGATAGACTGCCTGGTTGTCATATCAAAAGCTTTTTGTTTTATTCTAAAGATAAGAAGCAATGCAGATTTCCCTGTGATGGAGTTAAGCTATTCTGAGAATTTTTAAACTGCAAAATTGTCAAATGAAAAGATGATTGCAAAAGGAAAAAAAAAGATTTTCAATAAAGAGAGAGGGACTATTGCACCAGGAAGACTACTTAGGTCATAAGATCTGCAAGCATCTCAAAGGTAAGGCAGAAAAGAGCTTTTCTTTAGTAGGGAGAAATGAACAAGTCTAGAAAGAACTGAGCACGGAGAAGTGGGGCCAAACCAGAGTTAATTAGGAAAGATTATTCCCTGAAGTTAGACTATGTTCAGCTGTATGCTGGTTGAAGATTAATGTGGGTAAAATTCAGGGGCCTGGGAGAAGAAGAGAAGCTTAAGTATTAGGTTGATGCAAAGGTAATTGAGTTTAATATTGTCAAAAAAATCTGCATTAATAAAGGGATTATCTGATAAGTCTGAGTGACTGAATGAATATATAAATGATGATAATAAATACAGATGACAACAAAACTCTGATCTGCAACATCTAAAGCAACCAGCCAGGAAGCCAAATCACAACCTCTGTAGCAACTGGGCCGTAATGGTGAGAACTTAGTCAACAATATCCAGCTTTCCTGTTTACTTCTGATCTCAATGCAGGATAAGCCAAAGAAAACCAAAAATACTTCCCAAACAACTCACATAGGATTCTCTTCAACTTCCCCATATCAATCATCTCCAATTAGAGCATTTCCGAATCCTTCCCTTGCTTTTAAGTTTGTTCATTCCCTTGCGTGACTGTGAGTCTCCACCAAATGCAAGTGATGGTAGCTGGTACCCATGATATCATAAGCTCTGAATAAATAGTGTTTGTTCTTATTTGGGTGGTCTTCATTTATTTCCACAGTTTTCTAGAGGCTCCATTGAGACACAGTTGCACTGCCTGCCACTGTGGACCCCAGCCTTCTGCCAAGTGAGGTACTCACAATGGCTCCTTGTGCCTTGCTGCTGAGGGCTTCTTGAGTCCATGCTAACGTGGTAAGTCAACATTACATCAGAACTCAACCATCCTTTACGTATCTCTGCTATTTATTCTTAAGTATATTACCTGAGTTTTGTTATAATTCCTCATTGTTTGCCATTCTTGGTGAGATCAGGACATTCATTTTCATTCATTTTTGCTCTCTTTTGTGCTTCTGTTTTGTGTTATGCTATCTAAAATTGTGGTAGTGTTGCTTGTCATAGGAAAGAGAGCCACAGGATAGAACACAAGCATGGACACTGTAAGCTTGTGGTTTAAGGAGGCCTCGCAAACCACTGAGTTTATATAACATATAGGTACAGCCTCAGACGAACTTTGCTGTGGGTCACAGTTAAAATCTTTCTCCCTCTATCTCTTTTGTTTTGTCCTGAGATCTTTGCTTTAATGAATAAAAAGTATTTTCTTTGATCATTTGCTTGCCTGGTGGCATAGATTGTCAGGTCTGCATTTGGAGGCAACAAACTATCAGATTGGGGTGCCCAAGATCTGAAGTGCACATATATCACTTCAACCAGCCATTTCCAGCTCTTATAAGCATTTTAAGGCTAAATATTATCCTCCTTCGTGGAAAAAAAAAAATCCTGCCTCTGTATGTATTCTGAATATAATGTTAACTATTATATTATCTTTCCAAATGTCATAACTTTACCAAGGATCATTTGGACCTTCAGTGGATCCTGTGTGCACATTTGACTCTAAAATGTTGTTCTTTTAAGAGACATAATAGAAACAAACAAACAGAGAACAAGATCACTCAACCTCAATGGAAAGCATTTTTTAGTTGGTATGCAGAAAACCCAGAATGAAATTCTGATTCAAAAATCGCTTCTCTAAATGATTGTTTGGTCAAAGCTAATGAGCAATTTGACAAACTTAAGCACCAGAAAACAGACTTACATTTTAGTTAATGCCCCCATTCCTTGTTTTCAAGTTGCCTTCCTATATTCAATTCTCTCTCTTCCTCAAGTCAGTTGCCCACAAAAATCCATCCCATTCATGAATCAGGTACTCAGGCAACTGTAGAATTTAAACCTCAGATCTGAGTTAAATTAAGAGTCATTATTAAATATTTCCATAATAAAATGTCAACTTAAAATGCTGTATTTCAGAAAAGTAAAAATTTATATTTCCATAAAGTTGGGCAAGGCCAGCAACTATTTATAAAATAATTTATAATTCTTTTAGGTTCATACAACAGAGTTACCTGATGTATTAGTTTTTTTATTGCAGCTGGAACAACTTACCATGGATACAGTGGTTTTAATCAATAAAAATTTATTAACTTAACCTCCTGTAGGTTAGAACCCTAATCAGGCCTAAAACCAAGGTATTGGCAGAGCTGTGTTCTTTTCTGGAGACTGTAAGGAAGAATTCATTTATTTATCTTTTCTAAAATCTAGAGGCCACCTATATTCTTTGACTCATGGCCCCTTTCTCCATCTTCAAAGCCAGCCAAGGTTGGTCCAGTCTTTCTCATGCTGTCATTTCTCTGGTTCTTTTCTTCTATAATGACATCTCTCCCTCTGACCACAGTCCAGAAAAGTTTTCCACTTTTAAGAACTCATGTGATTTGGTGCAGTTAACCTGGATAATCCAGGATAGCCTCCCCATTTCATGATTCTTACCTTAATCACATCTGCAAACCTTGTGCTGTGTAAAGTAACAAAATTACTGGTTCCAGAAATCAGGATCTTCCTATAACTGGTATCTGGGAGGCTCACACGTTTAAGAATGTTGTCTGTGGTACTAGTCTCTATCCTGTATAATGCAGATATGATAAATATTGCAATGACCCATGTGCTACACTCAGACCCACCACTCCACCGCTGATATATTAAGGCCATTTCTCACATCTTTTTAAATAGCCTCATCATGATCTTCAACCAGATTTCATCTATTGGAAGAGACACCAGAGAAAAACTGCTCTTAAACCGTGTTAAAAAGAACCTAATTAGGTACTGCTGACAGCAAATACAACTGTGAAACTCCAGGGGGTTAATTGCTAGGTTCCGATTTCACAACCTGAGAAAGCAATGCAGAATGCAAGAAACCATTAATAGACCTCAAACTATGATGCTCAGATATTTTCTAGAAGTAATCAATCAGAAGTAAACCCTGACCAAGACCTTTGAACAAGCAGATTATCTCAGGTACAGGACAGTTTCTACACCAGTATCTGAGCTGCGTCAAGACCCCTGTCTAATTCCTATTTTGTTTTTCATTTGTTTATTGTAATTCTCATTTTCTATAAATACCTGGTTGTAATCTACAAATAGTATCCCTTTTCCTCATTTCTCTCCTTTTTATAATTGTTAGGTCAGAACATACTCATTCTAGTGCCATTTTTAGATTATTTCAAAATAGAAACCACTGTCCTCAATCTTGCTGATTCCTAGATATGCCATGCGGCTCTGAGTCCTCATGATAAAAAAACCTCTGGACAATTTTAGTCTCATCAAATGAGGTCTTAGAAAATTACAGTCAATGGTGCTTTCAGGTACCTACATGAACAAATGAATTTTAAAAAACACTCAAATTATGACTTTCCTAGTGGTCCTTTCTTTCAAAAAAAAAAATATTTTTAATTTTCTAGAAAATTCTTAATTTGTAATCAACAACCATCCTAGAATTACAAGCCAAATACTTGACACCTGAAAGAGACTAACTGAAATTCAAAACTGTAACTCAGATAATGTAAGACCTTGGGTGTAACTTCACATCATGAATGATTCCTTTGTTTCCTAGATCTCCATGTTTCTCTATTGGATACTATTTCCTTTGTGGCCAGGGTACCTGTTATTTTTTGCTTGTACTAAAACCTCATGAAATTTAGGAATAATATTTCAAGACTTGGCTATACACCAAGACTCTAATTATATAAATCCCCAAAGCTAAAAATCTTAACTTAGACACAAGGTCCAAAATGAAGTTAACTTTGGTTATTTAGGCACTCTAACTGAAGGAATTACTGATTCATTGTTTATACAACAATCAGAACAATGTTCCCAATGGTAAAAATCATCCAAAAAAAAAGGCTATAAGAAACATACGAATTCTGGCAGCAATAATTAATGATATCACTTCTGCCCTAGAAGGAAGACAGATCATTCTCAACACTTTGGCATGAGTAGTGATATACAATTGCATTGCTCTGGAATTCTTGTTGACTGATCTTGTGTATCTGTGCCATTGCTAATATTTTCCTTTGCAGTTATATCAATTAAACAGGTAAAGTAGAACCTTAATATATCACCTTAAGAAAAAAGCTATTTGGCTTTCTAAAATTAATCTTCACAGCCTATGGCATTTGTTCTCTTGATCTGTCTTTAGAAATTATAGTTCCTTGTTCTAAAGCATCTTATGAGGACAATTAATTGTTTTATTTTTATCACAGTGGGCATAATGCTGGTCTGTTGCATTCTATTCAGTGTTTTAAGTGCTTCTGCCTAGTGACTGTCTCATAAGATGAGTGCCATGAAGATACAAGAAAAGGTCAAGAAGACTTTGCAATATAGTTGACTATGGAGACAATAGGATTATCTGTGAGTGGTGAAGATCTGGATTTCTAATCTTCCCTCATTTGGTCAACCTGTTAGAAGTGAGAAAATGACCAAAAAGAGGAAAGGAGAGATTGAATATACGAACAGACAATGGCCAGTCCATATATGAAAATAGAACTCTGAACAAAAACTTCTGCAGCAACCATCCCAGGGAGCTGAACCACAGCTTCTCCAGCAAATAGTCCAGGGAATGAAACTACAACCTCTATAGCAATTGTTTCAGAACAGTAATCACTTCTTCAATCACTAAGACGTGATATCTTTCCTCACCCATCATAAGGGACACAGCTGACAGTCCTATAACAAAAGACAGCAAGAGGAAGCATAAAGGATTTATTTAATCAAAGTTTACATGACATGGAGGCCTTCAGAAATGAAGACTCAAAGACTCAGGGAAAACTGTCTATTTTTATGCTTAGCTTCAATAAGGAATTGGCAGCCATGTGGAAATATAATTGGACAAAAGGGTATGATCTAATAGTGAAAGACTAAAGGGGAAAACCTGGGAAGGCCTATTTGTTCAGATTCTTACTGCCTCTTTGTGTAGCATGTCTTCTTTCTGGATATGAGACTGGACCCATTTGGAATGAGGGTCTTCAAGGGAGAAGGGAGAAAGGAGGGAGGGACATTTATAGATTTTACGGGTTGCTTTAGGGGAGAGGGGTTCTAGTTTCTATGACCTGCCTTGGGGAAGAGGAATTCTGCTTTCTATGACTTGCTTCAGGAGAATGAGGAGTAGGAGAAAGAGGAGAGAAAAAGGTCAGAAAGACCTTGCCTCTTAAACCTTTCCAGTTTCCTTCAGTTGAAAGTATTCAGTGTGTCATGGGTCCATACTTTGGGATATTGTTTCTGAATCTTTTATCCCTGCTTTGAGCTCCAGAATAACCAGAGAAAGTCAAATGTGTTCCCAAATATTCTTTATCTGAAATGCTTAGGACCAGAAGCCTTTCGGGTTTTAGATTTTTTTGAATTTGGAATACCATCATGTACATAATAAACTCTCTTGGGGATGGGACCCAAGTCTAAACATAAAACTTATTTATGATTCATATACACCCTGTACACATACCCTGAAGGTAATTTAATGCATTATTTTAAATAATTTTATTCATGAAACAAAGTTTTGACTGCATTGAATTTTCTACTTGTGGCATGATGTCAGCACTCAAAAAATTTTGAGTTCTGGAGTGTTTCAAATATCAGATTTTCAGATTAGGTATGCTCCACCCGTTTATGGTATGTCCTGCTTTTATTTGGCCTGCCTCTAGCATCACCATACCAACAATCTCCACTAAGAGAGTTCCTGAAGTCTTCCTTTTTTTTTTTCACAATGAAGTTCCCTCACTCCCCTACCTGTGTTGCCATATGCCAAATGATGAATGCAAGTAATAAAGATTTATTCCTTTGCAACAGGCGGCACTGAATACCTACCTTTTGTTTGTTCTCATTTGGGTGATCTTCCAAATCATATTTTTTACATACAAGTTTTTATCTGATTTGAAATTTTCTTCTCAAAGTGCTTCCCACATTAGAAGGTAGTAAGATTCATGTGGAATGAATTAGAAGGCTACTCAGTTTTAACAGCTTTGTATTGACATCTCTTTCTTCCCTGTCAGGATTGGGAAATTCTCAAACCAGGTTTTTCAGCACCCTGAACACTCAATTGCTATAATGTATTTTTTTAGTTTCTCAAGATGGGATTTACTGGAACATTTTTCTTTACCTTAAATACATATAGGATACTGCTGTCACAGGACATTTTAAAACAACAAAAATGAGCTGTTTTGTAAGAGAATTTAGAAATATCAAAACATGTCTTAGGCATATCCAATGGAAAACTGGACTGTTTTGAGCACATCCTTCTGGGTGTTAATTTTCACCTTTCATTGGCTTTGGGCTATTTTACAACTTTGTAAATAGATTATTGTAGCAATGCAAAATAATTCTCATACATGGACATGCAAATGAATTCAGTCTTGTGAAGGTTCAATTGACTGCCGCCCATTGAAAAGGCATTGCTATTTTTAACTCTAACACGTATAAAATTGTGCTTCTTTGACTTCACCTTTAAACTAGTAGAAAGATGTGCCCTGTTTTTATCAGTAATATTGAGCTTAAAAAGTACTTACCAGGTGTTCAGCTTACATCTGTATTAAGTCATAATTTTAGCTTTTTTTAAAAAATTATCCTTTCATATTTTTAAGTCTGTAAAATCACTGACAAAATTAAAACCATTACCTGTTAACTACGTGAAATGACAGTATATTTTAAAAGCAATTATTTAGGTTTGTTATTCACTATTCTTTCAGATTCTAATGTTTAAAAATAAAAATTCTGAATATTTAGACATGAAGAGAAATTATTAGGTAATTGTATATAATACAATTCCACAGATTTTTAAAGTCTTGTCTAAAATAGACAGAACTGAAAAGAAAAACTCTCCAAAAAATTTCTACTTTTTCTTATTACCAAGTATGGCATTCATTTTAGTTCTTCAATGTCATCTGTACAAAAAAATGTTGAAGATAATATACATAGCTACTTATTAATTTTGATGTGAAAAACTGTCAGCAGCCTTGTCATATTCTAAGTTGCCTTTAAAATATCCCGTTCTCACTTTAAAAAAAATTTTTTTGGTTATGTAATCTGAAGCAACACACACAACTGCCTAAATCTCCATCATTGCTGCACTATTTCTTTCAGTTTGACAGAGTTTTTGGTTATATACCAATTAAAATAAAAATACCTCTGTAAAGAATCAAACATAATTAGGGTTGAAGCCCATGACAGAAGCTTATTAAGTGTTAGCAGATTCAGATACATCATATACCAGTTTGAAGTTTTCCCTGAATAGGGAGAAGTGGTCAAATTGGCAAAAAGGGGGCTGGAATGGGATGTTTGAGTTTTTTGACCTTTCTCATGTTTTTAGACTTTAGTGAAATTTTAAATGTTAACTTCTGGCCAGTAAATTCTTTGGAGTCTGGGACCACCCATGGAACACCATTCAGTGGGCATTTTCTCTTTCTCAGGCATATCTAGCCTTTTTGTGTTGTTTTATTTTGTTGTGCTGTTGTTGCCATTTTATTTTATTTCAGCCTGTCTCTCATCATCCTTCTCCAGATGTCTCGGTGTCTTTCTTAGTCATTTCGGGTCCTGGCATTCTTCAAATGTCCCATTAAAGTTGGCAAATAGAAAATGATGGTTTCATTATTCACAGACAAAACAAATCAGCAATTGAAATAGTGGCCACAGTAATAAATGGGTGCTTGATGCCTGAGAAATTTGAACAGAAACAGTTCATTTACATTTACGGTCTCCAAAGTTCTAATTTAGTGTAGCCAGGGCTAAGGAAATAGGAAAAGGAAGGAGAGAAATAGCTTGGTTGAGAATAATGAGAGAGTCTTCATTTGATGGGAAGTTAAGATGGGCCTGAATTAGCAATGGTAAGCACACTAGATAATTATGCATTAAAGGTAAATCAATAAAGTGGCAGAAAGCAAATAAAGTGGTAAGTGCTGGTGGGATAATAGTTATTTTTCTGGGCCATTTAAGTGCAATGCAGGCTGGGGGAAGAGATCTTTATAAATTGAGAAAACTTTTTTTTTTTTTAAACGAGGCTCCTTTTACATTTTTCTCTTCTCAAAACTGAATGATCATTTCCATTTTGTACCAGGAATTAGATGAGATCACTAAGAGCTGATTCACATACAGATCTAAGACCTTTACCTCCTTCAAGAACCTGAATACATCTCCTCTTCCACTCATGGAAACTTTCCTTCATTCTAAGCATTTACTTTGTGTAAGTTCTATATCTGCAAGGGGTCATAGGTGACTGGTAAGATAAATTAAAATTGTATTCTGTGCCTCTTCTCTTATTTAAGCTTTAAAATAATTCAAGGAGATATTGTTTTTATTCTTATCGTACAAACATGAAATTTGAGGCAAACAAAGGTTATATATCACACACAGTCTTAAAAGTTGTAAGTAATTAAGCAAGCATTTCATCTTGATATAACTGATTCTAGAGCTTGTGCTCTTAACCACTTGTTTATTCTCTCCTCCAAAAACACCTTTTAAAAGAGTAAAGGGCACATTGCTAGGATTTAGTCTGCACTGAGAGGTGACCATTAAGTTTAAGAGTGATTCTAGTTTGCTAACTGTACCTCAGCACTTTGGTCTCTCAATGCTGACAGGCAAAGTATGATTTTAACAGCACAGACTGTGGAGCTAGACTTCATATATGTAAAATCCAGCTCTACTGCATCCTAGCTTTGTAACTTGGGGAAATTTACTATGTCTCTTGATGCCTCAGTCTCCTCTGCTGTAAAATGGGAAAATATTGATAACCACCTGATATAGTTTGGATATTTGTCCCACCCAAATCTCATCCTGAAAAGTAATCCCCGATATTGGAGGTGGGGCCTTGTGTGAGGTGTCTGGATCATGGGGGCAGATCTCTCATGAATGGCTTAGCCCATCCTCTTGGTGATAAGTAAGCTCTCTCTGAGTTTTCCCGAGATCTGGTCATTTAAAAGTGTGTGGCACCTCCTTCAGATGCTCTCCCTCTTTCTTGCTCCTGCTCTGGCCATGTGATGTGCCTGCTCCCCCTTCACCTTATGCCATAGTTCCTGCGGCCTCCCCAGAACCTGAGCAGATGACAGTGATATGGACAGGAGGCAGCAAAATACTGGGGTGAAGACGATGGGATCCTTGGCAAGTTCTCCAACCTCAAGCCTGGACCTGCGACTCTAAATGAGAAAAATCCATTTCTGTTTTCCCGCCCAAATGTTACCTTTTCCAAAACCATCCTGGCCTGCCATGCCCCCCATCCAGTACCCATAAACAGCCCAACCTCCACTGGCAGAGGAGCTGAGTGGGGTGGCAAAGAAGGAGAGAAGAGAAGAAGTATCTGAACAATGAGAGGAGAAAAGGCAGCTGGACCTTAGAGACTATGGTCAGAGAGGAGTTCCACCAGGAAAAGCCAAATTCCAGGGGAAGATTATCTTCCCGCTCCATCTCCTTTCATATATATATACACATATATATATATACATATATATATACACATATATATATATACATATATATATATACACACATATATATACACATATATATATATACACACATATATATATACATATATATATACACATATATATATACACATATATATATATACACATATATATATACATATATATATACACATATATATATACATATATATATACACATATATATATACATATATATATACACATATATATATACATATATATATACATATATATATATACTTTTATTATACTTTAAGTTCTAGGGTACATGTGCACAACGTGTGGGTTTGTTACATGTGTATACATGTGCCACATTGGTCACAATAGCAAAGACTTGGAACCAACCCAAATATCCAACAATGATAGACTGGATTAAGAAAATGTGGCACATATACACCATGGAATACTATCCATCGCCTTTCTAGCTCCCCGTCTTGCTGAGAGCCACTTTCACTGGCAATAAAATTTTCTGCATACACCACCCTTCAATCCATTCATGTGACCTGATTCTTCCTGGATGCTGGAAAAGAATTGGGGATACACTGGGTGTGGGAATCCAAAAAGACTGTCACGCTGACTCTTCACTGAGCTGTTTAACACTTAAGCGATCTATGGACAGCAAAGCTAAAAGAGCACATCTGAGGCTCCAGAGGTCCTGAGCAACCCTTAAACACTGCTGCAGGCAGGTACAGCGTTCGTTCCTGCTGGTGCCCAAAGGCACTCGCCCCAGATCCTGCACCCACTCACCTGTGGCTCCCCTTCCAGCCAGGGGTGTGAGCTCAGCAGCCCAGTAAAGGAGCCACACCACTGTCACAAGTCCCATGAAAGGGTCAAGGGAATTCTCCCATCTCACCAGCATCATATTTCCTGTAAAGCTTCAAAACTGTGAGCCAACTAAACCTCTTTTCTTTGTAAATTACCTAGTCTCAGGTATTTCTTTATAGCAATGGAGGAATGGCCTAATACACTACCCGATAGAGTTGTAAGATTTAAATGTACTTATATATGAATATATGTAAATTTAATATTCATATGTAAAATATTATATATAATATATAAATAATTATATATGTTACAAATATTTATGTGTTTGCTACTACTTCTTTTTCAGAGATAGACAATTTTTCAATTGGATACTTTTATGATGTACCCCAATTAAATTACTATTTGATTTTACTTGCATGCATATAATCCTTATAACATCTGAGACTTTAAAGTTCCATGAGAAACAAGTTCAATCTCATATTTCTAGATTCTTCAAAAATTTGTACATGAAAAATGTTCTAGATATTAAAAAATCTTAATTGGTTAGATTTACTTTATATTTAAGAATACCAGTAATTATGGCCAAGTGCGGTGGCTCATGCCTGTCATCCCAGCATTTTGGAAGGCCGAGGCGGTTCACCTGAGGTAAGAGTTCGAGACTAGGCTGGCCAACATGGTGAAACCTTGTCTCTAATAAAAATACAAAAATTAGCTGGGTGTGGTTGCATGTGCCTGTAATCCCAGCTGCTCAGGAGGCTGAGGCAGGAGAATCACTTGAATCCAGGAGGTGGAGTTGCAGTGAGCTGAGATTATGCCACTGCACTCCAGCCTGGACAACAGAGCAAGACTCCATCTCAAAAAAAAAAAAAAAAGGAATACCAATAATTAAAATATTTGGTGTCTTATGTACCAAATTTAAATGAGAGAAAATAAGGCTGGAATGAGAAGATTAAGTTAGAGTAGTGGGCTGCCTAATATAAAAGACCTTGGCTTTGATCTTTGACTTTGGAACTTACTAGCCACATGAACTTGGACTATATGTTTTACCTTTTGGAATTTTAGTTTTCCTACTTGTGCTATGGTGATAATAGTGTGAAATTAATAGGGCTATAGTAAGAATTAATGAATTTATACGTTGGCAGTGTTCTCAATAAATGCCAGCTACTATTTTTTGCTGCTGCCTTGGCTGCTATTAAATTTTCAAAGATTAGACAATAGGGCAGGGTAAGCCCTTATGGCTTTCATCTTGAAACTAAAGTTACTAATATCCTTTGTGAATTTTATCTGAGCATATTTAGTTCCTTTGAGAAGCTAAATAACTAAGCGGTGATCACTCATGACAATAATACACATTTCAGCACCAGTTCTACTGTATTATCTTAGGAATCAAAGGTCCATTCACTTTCCTTGTCTCAGACCTTTATTTTGAATTAATCTGGTTTTTTTTTTTTTTTTTTTTTTTTTTTTTTTTGCTTTTGTTCACTCTAGCTCTCTCTCTTTCCTAGAAAACAAATTCTCTGAAACAGTATACAGTAAGATAGTATCTGAAGGGTAAGTAGAAGTTAACTAGTCAAACTAAGGATGAAAAAAACAGTCAACTCAGAGAAAGTGTGTGCCAAAAGCCTGTGGTTCAAGACAAAATTGTAAGTAGGAGTATCTAAAAATTTGGCGCTGTAAGACTGGTAAAACTACATCAAAATTTTGAATAAAAATAAATGCTGAATTGAAATTATTAAAATAATTTTGAATTGAATAATAATAAGTGATACAAAGATGCAAAGGGGATAACTGAATAAAAGAATCAAACAACCTAAATATATTTATTATCAATATAACTGGCAAAGAGTTAATGTTCTCACTACTGACACCACTTATTCAAGAACATGTTATATTTTTTAATTAATTTTATTTTTTCAGATTATTTTATGTCTTTCAATAAGGCCTTATATTCTTTTCACATGGGTTTTATCATTTTTTCAACATATTCTTTAGGAATTTTATAACTTGTGGAGCAATTTCTAAATTTTTTTTGCATTTTAATTTCTGGGTGACTAATTCATATTATAATGGCAATAAAGTATAATTTTTTACATTCATATTATGTCTAATTACCTTGAACTCTCAGAAATTCTAATGTACTTTAAATTATCAGTCTTTACAGGATATAATTATAAGTGCGAGCCAAAATATATAAGCATATTTGTACTATTAATTTTTTTTGTTATCTTATTGCACCTACACTATGAATACAAATAGGATTTTTAAATTGGATTATATTGCCCTAAAGTTTACATAAAAAATGTCAAATAATACCCATGACAGGTATATTAAAAATAAGAATTTCAAAAGAAGTTTTACTCAGCTGAATATTAGTAGAGCCATGTAATAAAATCAGTTTTACATTGGTAAAAAATATAAAAATAAATGATGGAAAATAATATGCAACATCCAGAATGCATATACCTGATAGCAAAAAAATGAGGTTATTCAAACCAAAACTCATTCATATTAAGTACAAAACCCATTCAAAATATTAAATATATATCATCAATGTTATCAAATAAAGACAATACAATGAAGAATAGAGGTCAAAATTCATAAGAAGGAGAAATACAGAAGGCAGTCTGGCACTTGGAATCAATTTCTCTCTAGAAGAAAGCTATTAATTTTTAAAATCGACATATGATAATTGTATGTGTTTACGGGGTACATAATGATATTTTGATACATATAATATATAGTAATCAGATCAGGGTAATTAGCATATCCATCATTTCAAACATTTATCATTTCTTAGTGGAGAACAGTTAATATCTTCCATCTAGCTATTTAATATTATATAAGATATTATTACCTATAGTTAAACTGCAGTGGTATAGATCACTAGAACTTATTTCTACCATCTAGCTATAATTTTGACTGCCTTAACAAATATATCCCTTTCTAGTATTTCCACCCTCTAGTATCTTTTGTTTTACTTTTTACTTCTATGAGATTAACTTTTTTTTTTTTTTACCTTGTATATATGAGTGAGAACTAACAGTGTTTAACTTTCTCTTCCTGCATTATTTCACCTAACATACTGTCCTCCAGTTCCATAAATGTAGTCATGAATGGCAAGATTTAATTATTTTCTATGACTTAATAGTATTCTATGGTGTATGTATACCACATTTTCTTTATTCATTTATCTCCTGTTGGATACCTAGGTTGATTTCATAGCTTGGCTATTGTGAATAGTGTTAAAATAATCATGGAGGTTCAGATATCTCTTTTATGTACTGATTTCTCTTTCTTTGGATAAATCCTCAGTAATGGGATTGCTAGATCATATGGTAGTTTCATTTATAGCTTTTGAGGACTTCCATACTTTTATTTACAGTGACTTTACTAGCTTACATTCCTACCAACAGTATATAAGCGTTTCCTTTATTTTCATCTTCGTCAGCATTTGTTATTTTTTTGACATTTTGATAATAGTCATCCTAACTGGGGTGAAGTGATACCTCATTGTGGTTTTGATTTGCATTTTCTGATGATTAGTGATGTTGACCATTTTGTTCATATGTTTTTGGTCCATTTGTATGTCTCTCTTTGACAAATGTATGTTCAAATCATTTTCTAATTTAATTTTAAAAAATTGTATAAATTTATGGCATAGAAGTGCAATATTATGCAGTGGTGGTATTATTTTGTTTTTACACTGCTATAAAGAACTTCCTGAGACTGGGTAATTTATAAAAGAAAGAGGTTTAATTGACTTACAGTTCTGCATGGCTAGGGAGGCCTCAGGAAACTTATAATAATGGCAGAAGGTGAAGCAGACATGTCTTACATGGCGGTAGGCAAGAGAGAGAGCATGAGAGAGTGCAGAAAAAACTGCCATTTATAAAACCATTAGATCTTGTGAGAATTCACTCATTATCATGAGAACAGCATGGAGGAAACTACCCACATAATCCAATCGCTTTCCTCCCTCAACATTTACAATTCAAGATAAGATTTGGGTGGGGACAGAGAGTCAAACCATATCAGTGCTCAAGTCAGGACTTCTAGAGTATCTATCACCCAGATAAGATACACCGTACCTACTAAGTACTTTATCAGCATTCACCCACTCATTCTGCTAAATCTTCATTGTGATCATTCCAATCTCTAAGTCCAAGTGTATACCATTTTTCTCACCCACTTATAAGCAAGATCATGTGATATTGACTTTCTGTGTCTTACTTGTTTCACTTAATGACCTCCAGTTCCATCTATGTTGTTGCAAATGACAAAATGTTATCATTTTTTATGGCTGGATAGTATTCCATTATTAATATATACCACCACATCTTCTTTTTCCAGTTACCCATTGGAATCAACTTAGGTTGATTTCATATTTTTGCTATTGTGAATAGTGCTGTGATTAACATATGAGTGCACATTTCTTTTATATACATTGAGTTATTTTTCTTACTCCCACTGGTGTGGTTGTTGAATCAAATGGTAGTTGTTTTTGTTTTTGTTTTAAGATAGAGTCTTGCTCTGTCCCTAGGCTGGAGTGCAGTGGCACAATTTTGGCTCACTGCAGCCTCCGTCTCCCAGGTTCTGGTGATTCTCCTGCCTCAGCCTCCCAAGTAGCTGGAACTACAGGCATGTGCCACCACATCTGGCTAATTTTTTTATTATTAGTAGAGACGTGGTTTCCCCATGTTGGCCAGGCTGGTCTCAAACTCCTGATCTCAAGAGATCTGCCCACCTTGGCCTATCAAAGTGCTGGGATCACAGGTGTGAGCTACCACGCATGGCCAAATCAAATGTTAGTTCTATTTTCAGTTTTTTGAAATATTTCCACACTGTTTTCTATATTGGCTGTACTAATTTACATTCATACAAACTTTTTCCATGCTATTAGTTTCAAAAAGTTTAATTTCCATTTTAATCCTCTGTTGACTCAATGATTGGTCTGGTGCATGTTGTTTAATTTCCATGTATTCATACATTTTCTGAATTTCTTGGTATTGATTTCTGGTTTTATTCCACTGTGGTCAGATAAGACGCTTGACACTCTTGAGCTTTTAAACATTTTTGGAAACTTGTTTTGTGTCCTAACATGTGGTCAATCTTAGAGAATGTTTCATGTGCTGATAAAAAAAAAAATGTATATTCTGTACTTGTTGGGCAGAAATTTCTGTAAATGCCTATTAGGTCCAATTGGTCTGAAGTTTAATTTCAGTCCAGTGTTTTTAGTTGCTTTTCTCTCTAGAAGATATGTTTACTGAGTGTGAGGTATTGCAGTACCTCACTGTTATTGTCTTGCTGGCTATCTCTTTCTTTCTCTTCAGGTCTAGCAATATTTTTTTTTTTTTTTTTTTTTTTTTTTTTTTTTTATGAATGCGAACCCAATTCCAGCATTGGGTGCATATGTATTTAGAATTGTTATATCCTCTTGCTGAAGTGATCCCTTTGTCATTCTAGAATGTCCCTATTTGTTTTTGTTTGTTTGTTTTACTATTTTTGGCCTAAATTCTATTTTATCTAAGTATAGCCAATCCTGCTCACTTTTGTTTTCTGTTTGCATGAAATATTTTTTCTACCCCCTTACTTCCAGTCTCTATGTGTCTTTTCAGGTAAGGAGTTTCTTGTAGGTAATATGTAGTTAAATCATGTTTTTTTTTTAAATCAATTCAACAAATTTATAGTTTTATGTGGAGCATTTAATCCATTTGTGTTCGATGTTAATATTGACATGTAAAGTTTGTTCCTGTCATATTATTAGTTATTTTCTAGTTTTAAAATTCTTTCTTTTTCTTCATTTGTCATTTTGGTTTGGTGAAATTCTGTAATGATGCCATTTGTTTCCTTCTCTTCCTTATATGAGCCATTTAAAATACAAAATAGGGTATTTTTACCCAGCCCTGTCCTACTTAGCAGGCATTTGGGCTCTGTTTTGTCACCCTAACTGTAAAAAGTTACTATATTCTTTAATGAACATCTTAACCTTCACCCAAACCCTCAAACATCTCAAAAAACAAAAAAAAAAAAAAACCCACAAGCAGTCCAAGGAATAAATGGACATATGCAGGAATGATGTCTGACTAGAAGCATTTCAAGCATGACACATCCACTTAGAAGAACCAAATAGTACGTAGACGACCTCACACTTTGAATACATTATCCAAGAGGGAACATAGAAGCTCAACAGAAAATAGACAAGAAACACCACATTCTAGAAAGGAGAAGGAAAACAGGGATCGTGTTTGGCCAGAACTGGCTGGAAACCAGGAGTGACTCCCAAACATGGCAGAGTGAGTGAGTTACTGGGGAATTATATAATTTAGGCCACATGAGGGCATCTTGATCCCCCCCAAATCCCTGAATCTAACTAAGAGAGTGGCGAGGAGGCTGTGAGAAGAAACTGCTCAGAGAAGGAACACATCCTGGGTCCCACACACTTTATGAGATCTAAGTGACTACAGTAAGATTCCATTCTTGATTCTAGTTCTCAACAAGTAAGCAAATGCTAAGGGAATTTATCACCACTAGAGCAGCCCTATAAGAAGTGATTAAGATAATCCTAAACTTGGAAGCAAAACGATGACATACTTTAGGCAGATTGAAAATAATTTCTAAGATAAGTTTGGATCTGCAATAAAAATGAGAAATGGGAAAAGCAAAATGCCTATTAATTGTATAAGTCAATAATAGTGAAATGTGGGTTTATACACATATGTGTTGTGTGTGTGTATGTATGTGTGGGTATAAACTCCATGACAATAAGTGAATATAATTTGGAAGGGTAGTAAATTAATCCAAAGTATTTTAATTTTTGTGTGTCTGTGTCTGCCTGGGAAGAAGTAAAAGTATGTACTGACTTTTGATGAGACCCAGATGAGTTTTATAATCTTGAGGCTAGTAAAAAGTTTGTTTTATAAGAACTAATGTGTTTTATGATCATTTGGATTTCTGTACGTTGCCCCATCCCCTAAATTTTTTTTCCCCTTTTATCGATATAGTAAGCTCCCACTTTTTCTTTACAGTGACACTCAAATCTTAATTATTTGGTTAAGATAACTCTGACATTCACAACTTGATCTGATACATTTCTTTGATAATCACTGAAATATATACATTCCATTTTCATTGTTATATTACAGATGTCTTTGAGACTAAAAGATTATGAATCAATTGACCAAGGCTACATGAATAATCAACTGCAGATGCTGGAGGAAAATTCTGAACTCTTTCTTGGTTCTCACTACCACACATTTCTCATGTTACATTTTAAATATTACATTTTATTATTTTTCTATAAAGACTCTAAACTTCTGTAATCATTTCTTTTGCTAAACTATTAATTCCCAGTGTCACATTCATTAGCTTTCCTTTATTTGTTTTCTAATCCCTTCTATTATTAATATAGACCCTTTTAAAGGCAAAAATCAAATGCCCCAATTAGAGCCAACCATTGTGATTGAAGTGTTTTAGTGTGTACGTATTTACCACCATTTTTTTTTGTTTCAGTTTATGTATGTGGGTGAAGAAAAAAGTTATATATGATAAATATAAAAGTTTCATGTTTTTAGTGATACTTTTAAAATATTATGTGGTGAAAATGAAATAATAAATGTTACCTATTTTTCTGTAGTGAAATATAAAAGTTTTTTGTTACCTACCCACATAATAAAAGATCATAGAAAATAATATTTCTAAAAATATTTAAGTTATAAATATATTACTTCAAGCTAACTTTTTTTCTGAAAGGAACAGAAGAAAATCCTAGATTTAGAAATCTATGAAAAGATATTATGGTCTAAATGAGTTTAGTTTTATAATATAGCTCATGAATTAAGAGAGTCATAGAACTAGCTAGTATGCAGATTTCATAGTTTACCTATCAGTTAAGATTTTTAAAAGAAAAATAGTTTTAAAAGAAAGGGTAATATTTTTTGAGTTAATCTAAAATAATTTTCTCCGAAGGACGAAATCATTGTGAAGATCTTCTTGAATGATTGAAGAGCCATTTTTGAACATTGGCTTAAGATTTAGACTACTGAAAAACAATTATCAAGCAGGGTGAAGTAGAGTAGTTCATGCACAGGAAAATTATTTTGAGGGAAAAGGCACCAGCAGTATTGATAAAATGAATGCTAACTGATATTCATTAGGAATTATTTAAGTTTACATCAGACTATTTATATTTGATCTAGATTCCTTACTCTCCTTCAGTGGGTCAGGTCTTCTACCATACTTTCATAACTTTGCTCTGATATTGATGCTAAACTAGAATATTTTGATTTCTTTAAATATTCTTTTTATTAGAATTATTGTTTCAAAAAATTTATTTTAGAGCCCAATAAGGCATTAATTACCATTTCAGTTTGTTTTCTGCTGATACAACAGAATAACTGAGACTGGGTAATTTATTAAAAATGAAGAAATTCATTTAGCTCATGGTTCTGGAGGCTGGGAAGTCCAAGAGCATGGCAACAGCATCTGGTGAGGGCCTTCATGCTGCATCATACCAAAGCAGAAGGTAGAAAAGCAAGAGAGCAACAGTGAGAGTGAGAGAAAGAAGGAAGAACTTACCTTTTACCAGAAACCCACTCCTGTGATAACTAACCCAATCTTTTAATAATGGTGTTAATCCATTCATGAGGGCAGAGCCCTAATGACCTAGTCACTTTTTAACAGTCTTATTTCTTAAAACTGTTCATTGGGCATTAAGTTTCCAATACACATTCAAACTTTAGAAGCTACTCCCCTTTTCTTCCACCTTTAATGAATAAATATGCTGCCAAATCTATTTTAGGTGGCTTTAAATTCCAGATAATCTCGTTGTACCCTCACGAGTGAACCAGGTTCTTCAATCAACTCATTAAACCCTTCAATATAGTAAGACTGGTATCAGTATTAATGATCCTATTTATCAATTCCCAAATCTAGGTAATTAAAATATTATTTTTTCTTGCTTGATCCTCTTATCTGGCAAATGTGAGCAGTGATGACAAAGAAGATTTGGAAAGATTTGTTAGGTTTAAACAATTATTACCACTACTGGAAACATTATTCAAAGACATACCAGACTAATACATTGCACTCTTAATTTCTACCAATAATAACATGAACATATTGTGGCCATCCCTCCTATGTTATCCTATTTATCATCAAATTTAATAATGTGAGAGTCACTGTATAATTTTTAACATTCGTCATATGTTGCATTAATACATACATTTTCTGTCAAATTTTTAAGAAGAAATTAATAATCTGTGTTCTCTTTACTTGCTAATTAAATTAAGCTGAAAATTTCTATTTGATTAGAAGGGCACTTCCTTCAACATTAACTAATTTATTAAATTTAAGTTTTTTTGACCCAGGAAAAAATGCTTTGATATGTGGTACGTCCAATATAATAAATAGTAAATATATTTCTAAAATATCATATGGATAAAGCATCTTAAATGATGCTAAGATTATTAATGAAATTAAAACTCTAATATTGTCTCATAATTTTAAAGGTGATACTGTGTTTAAACATTGCTTGTTTGTTTTTATGTGGGTCTCTGTGTTTGTATGCGTGCATTCCGTTCTTTTGAACAGTGCTAACTGTGGGTAAAATTGTGAATAAGGCACATTTAACTCTAGGACTTTCCTCAGACTTTACCAAAAACTTACTTTCTTTTTTGTTTTCTGGAAATATTCTGATAACCATCAGAGTGATAGTCATTTACAGGATTCTTTTCTCCAGGAAATTCTAACTTTCACTTTCATTCTTGTTCATTAAATGAAAATCATATCCTGGCAAAGAAATATTATTGCTTTTGTTGAGAAGTGTTTTAGAGATGAGAAGAAGCATAAAAGATGAAAGAGGAAAAAGAGTGAGATGAGGAGGATAGAGGAAAAAAAGGAAAGAACAAAAGAAAGGAGACTATCTCATGAAGCTTGGTAGGGAAGACCTGGAAGGAAAGAAACCAGAAGTATCAAAGCAGCACTTGGAATTTTGATCCAGGAAGCAAAATTATATTCAATGAGGTGACAATTTCCTGTAGAAGGATAAATATTGTCTTCTGTTCATAAAAAAAGAAAAAGTGGAAAAAATGAATATATTTGAAAGAGATTTCTTCAAAATGATTGTAGAAACTTGTGATTTGTTTACTTAATTAGTATATGCTATGGTCTGATTGTTTTTGTCCTCCCAAAATTAATATGCTTAAATTCTCACCCAGGAGGTAGTGGTATTAAGAAATGGGACTTTGGGGACTTTGGCAGAGCCCTCATGAATAGAATTGTTGTTCTTATAAAAGAGACCACAGATGACTAGTTAGCCCCTTCCACCACATGAAGAAATAGTGAGGAAGTACCATCTATGAACAAGTAATGAACCCTTAGTGGACATTGGATCTGTCAGCACCATGATCTTAGACTTTCCAGTTTTCAGAACAGTATGAAATAAACTTCTGTTGTTTATAAGCCAGCCTATGGTACCTTGTTATGGTAGCCCAAATGGACTATGACAGTATAAGACATGGAAATAATAGGAATTTTAAGCAATTATAAATCATGTATTTATTCTTTATATATTCTGAATCCATTCAATCAATATAAAATAAATGTGGCAGCTAAGTGCTATGTAATGCATTTTGCAGAAGATAAGGTGTCTAAATTTATATTTTCATGAAGAGACTTTGTTTTCTAAACTGTCTTTGGTTTACAAAAATAATTGAGCAGAAAGTACAAAGTTCCTATATGCCCCCTCATTTTATTTTTTTCTCATTCCCCCCATTATTAACATTTTGCATCAGTATGGTATATTTGTTATAATTAGTGAGCTAATATTAATATATTAATATTCACTAAGTCCTAGTTTACTTTTTATTATTAACTAGTCCACGTGTCAGAATTTATTCTTTATGTTGAATGTTCTATAGGTTTTAAATGTGTAATGATATATGTCAACCATTACAGTATTACACATAATAGGCATGCCCTAAAACTCTCTTACTCATCCCTTATTTATCCCTTATCCCTAAAACTCCTCTATTCATCCCTTATTTACTCTCTTATTCATTCCTTAAAACTCCCTTATTTATTTGCCCTAAAACTCCCCTTATCCTTTTCTCCCTCTCTTCTCTGCTCTCCTGATGACCACTGATCTTTTTACTGTCTCCATAGTTTTACCTTTTTGAGAATGTCATGTGGTTGAAATCATACAGAATATAGTCTTTTCAGATTGACATTTTTTACTTACCAATGTACATTTAACTTTCCTCTATATCTTTTGATGGTTTGCTGGCTCATTTGTTTTTAGCACTGAGGAATATTCCATTGTATAAATGTATCACATTTGTCCATCATCTACTGAAAGACATTCTATTAGTTTATTAAGGCTGCCATAACAAAATACTAGATTGGGTGGCTCAAACAGTAGAAATGTATTTTCCCACAGTTCTGGAGGTTTGGTTTCTTTCCTCTCTTCTTGGTTTGTAGGAGGGTGCATTCTTGCTGTGACCTCCATGGTGTGTGTGTGTGTGTGTGTGTGTGTGTGTGTGTGCACATCCCTAATGTCTCTTAGTGTGTCCAAATTTCTTCTTTTAAGGACATCAACTATAATAGATTAGGGCCTACCCTAAGGATCTCCTTTTAACTTAATCACCTCTCAAAAGGTCTATGTGCAAATACAGTCACATTCTAATGTTCTGGGCCTAAGGGCTTCAACATACAAATCTGGCGGGAACACAATTCAGTCCAGAATAGATACCTCACATGCTTCCAAGTTTTGACATTTATGAATAAAGATGCTATAAATATTCATTTGCAAGTTTCTGTGTGGACATAAGTTTTCAACTCATTTGGATAAATATCCAGGAGCACAATTGCTGGATCATATGGTAGGTGTATATTTAGTTTTGTGAAAAACTCCCAAACTCTCTTCCAAAGTGGCTGTGTCATTCCTACATTTCCACCAAGAATGAATGAGAGTTCTTGTTGTTTGGCAACCTTGCCAGAATTTTATGTCGTTATTTTTTAATATTTTTGCTATTCTTATAGATATGTAGGGATATCTTTTAGTATTATTTGAAATTATCAGATGGCGTGATGTTTAGCATATTTTTATATGCTTATATGCCGTCTGGGTGTCTTCTTTGGTGTGATATCTGCCCAGATCCTTCACCCATTTTTTAATTGACTTATATGCTTTTCTATTGTTGAGATATAAGAGTTGTTTGTATATTTTTGATACCAGTCCTTTATGTTTTGCAAATATTTTCTCCCAGTGTTTAGCTTGTCTTTTTTCTCTCAATATAATTTTTTTTCTGACATTTTAATTAGTGCTCATTTGTAGATGTGTATAGACTGGCATTTGGCACCCAAAGGCCCTTGGATTAATGCAATATAATAAAACAATATTTCTAGTAATTAAAAGAACCTCAAACCATTTAATGCAGACTATATATTTCATTGTCAAAAATAATCTTAATTCTAACCTAAACTTTTACCTAAAGATTTTATTCAGTTTCATATGTTCTGCAGCATATCAAGAGCCAAAGCTAAGTGAACAGAGACTCAACCGTTCTCATGGACAATACACAGGGAGATAAACTAGTTGTTATCTAGTTTTCTGTCTGCTGCAGAGTTTTCATACAAATGCATGTGCAGAGGACACAGATATCTATTAACAGCCTGTGCCTATAAATATGTGCTCATCTTTTAAGCAATAGCGTTTATCCCAAACTATCCTGTGAATACTGACATTTACATAAAACATATCTCAACACATTTATCTAATATTTACTTTGTTGAACACATTTTATTTTAAAATAATTCTAGATTCATAGAAACTTGCAAAGAAATTCAGAGAGCTTCCATATGACCTTCACTAAGTTCTCCTTATTAGTTACATCTTACATTAATTACAGCACAATATCAAAATCAGGACATTGTCTAGTTCTGCGTCATTTTATTGTATGTGTAGAATGATGTAACCATAATGACAATAAAAGTAAAGAACTAGTCTACCTCACAAAAATCTTCCTCATGCTGTCACTTTATAGTGACACTCACTCTCTTCTTTTTCATCATCCTCTATCCTGGCTATCACTAACCTGTTCCTAATTTTCATAATTTTGCTATTTTGAGAATGTGACATAAATAGAAGCATATAACATGAAAATTTTTGAGATTAGTACTATTTTTACTCAAAAGAATGTTCTTTATGTCCATACAAGTTGTTAAATTACCAACAGTTTTTTCCATTCCATTGCTGATTATTATTATATGATATGGATGTATCATAGTTGGTTTAAACATTCCCCTATTGAAGGATGCTTTGATTGTTTCTAGCTTTTGGTAAAATAATACACTGTTTAATTTCAATTCTTTTAAATTTGTTGAAATCTATTTTATGGTCTTTGATATAGTGTATATTGGTGAATGTTCTATGGCACTTGGAAAGAATATGTATAGCATTGTAGTTGGGTGGAGTATTTTATAAATGTAGAGTAGATCCCATGGTTGATTATAGGATTGAGTTCTGCATCCTTGCTAATTTTCTGTTTAGTTCCATCAATAGGTGAGAGAGATGTTTAAATTTTCAAAAATATGTATGAATTTTTGCATTTTTTTCAGTTCTAACAGTTATCCTTCATATAACTGACAGTTCTATTACTTGGTAGATATGTTTAGGACTACTGTATGTTCTTGTTAAATTGAAGCTTTAATCATTAGTAGAACATCTGTTTGCCTCTTGATATTCTTTGCTCTGATCACTGTATCATGTAATATTTTTTAAATTATATTCTTTCTTATTGAAAAAAATAATTATATGTATTCATGGGGTACATAGTGATGTTTCAATATATATAAGTATAGTGACCAGATCACAGTAATTAGTAATCCATCATCCCATTTATTATTTCTTTGTGTGGGGAACATTCGGTAACTTCCTTCTAGCTATTCAAAATTTTATATTATATTATTGTTAACTACAGTTTAATACTACAATTGTATAAGACACTAAAACTTATTCCTCCCATCTAGTTGTAATTTTGTATCTTCTAACAAACCTTATTCCTTTCTTCCCCAATCCTTCCCAACCTCTAGTTTCTTCTGTTCTACTTTTTACTTCTATGAGATCAACCTGTTTTAGCTTCCACATATAAATGAGAACATGTGGCATTTAACTTATTTCCTAGCTTATTTCACTTCACATGATATCATCCAGTTCTATCCATGTTGTCATGAATGAAGAATTTCACTCTTTTTTAAGGCTGAATAATATTCTATCATATATATATGCTATGTTTTCTTTATTCACTCATCTGTTGTTGGACACCAAAGTTGATTCCATATCTTGGCTATTGGGTATAGTGCTGAAATAACCATGGAGGTGCAGGGGTCTTTTTGATATACTGATTTCCTTTCCTTTGAATAAGTGCCCAGTAGTGGGATTGCCAGATCCTATAGTAGTTCCACTTGTAATTTTTTGAGGAGACTCCATGCTGTTCTCCACAGTGGTTGTATTATACTAGTTTACATTTCCACCAACAGTATATAAAAGTTCTCTTTTCTCTATGTCCTCATCAGCATTTATTATTTACTGTGTTTTTGATAATAGCCACCTTAACTGTGGTAAGATAATACTTTGCTGTATTTTTGATTTGCATTTTCCTGATAATTAGTGATGGTGAGCATTTTTTCATGTATTTCTTGGTTATTTGTATGTCTTCTTTTGAGAAATGTCTGTTCAGATAATTTTCACATTTTTTAATGACTTCTTTTGCTGTTGAGACTTTTTAGTTCCTTGTGTATTCTAGATATAAGCCTCCTGTTGGATAAGTAGTTTGCACATTTTTTTTCAGTCTTTAGGTTTTTTTCACTCTGTTGATTGATTATTTTGCTGTGCTGTTTTTTAGTTTGATACAATGCCATTTGTTTTGTTTCTTTTGTTGCCTGTGCTTTTGAGGTCTTATTCATAAAATTCTTTCTCAAACCAATGTTCTGAAGCATTTCCTCTATGTTTTTTTCTAGTAGTTTTTCTCATTTTAGGTCTAATTTAGGTATTTGATGCACTTTTGAGGCAGGAAAACAGGATCTGCAGGCAGGGAACATAAGGCCAATTCACACTTCAGCTGTGACAGGAAATTTCCTCTCCATAGGGCATAGGCCAAGTAAATGACTTTGTAACTTTACTTCATCCTCTTCATTTACATAGGGTGTACCCCAAGTAGAGAATATTTAAACTCACAAAAATTCTGTAATGGGACTTTTGAGCCCCTAAGCTCGGGCCCACTCCCACTCTGCGGAATGTACTTTTATTTTCAATAAATCTTTTCATTCCTTCCTTGCTTTGTTTGTGCATTTTGTCCAATTATTTGTTCAAGATGTGAAGAACCTGGACACCCTCCACCATTAACATATTTTGACGAACCAGCCAGGAGGAAGAGGTAAGCCCAAAGTTTGAGATTCATTTTTCTCCCTTTCCTTTCTGCTCCATACAGGGACTCTCTCTCTCTTTTCTTTTCCAAGTTGGGACCCTTGGTGGGTAGCACCTAAACATGGAGACAACTGCAGGTTTCTGGCCATGGCCAATGAAACTTAGGGGTTTCCACTGAAATGCCTAACCTTGTTTTTACTCTAACTCGCTACTTGGAATTTTATCCTGCTTGTCTCTTTAATCACCTAGCCTTGCTTCCCGTGTAAATAAGACTCTCTCTAGCTGGGAAAGCCGGACAAACTCCAGTTGACCCCTTAATTTACAAGACACTAAGGGCTCCTTACCCAACCCCCTTCCGCGAGGAGTTGACCTGTGTAAGCAGATCCTCAGTATTTCAAAGGAGCCCAGTTAACTGATAAGGTACTAGCACCAACAATGTATGAAGTTCCCAGGATTTTTCTTAAAGAGATAACAACATAAAGCCTTGAGTTCGGGTCCCGCATACTCCCTATATCTAATTATAATGAAAGATTTAGAGCTTTGCGCCTGGTACCGTTGCTCTTTTTGTAACCATTTGTCTTTTAAATTGTTTATCTCTCTGTAACCATTTTGCTTCTTTTGATTCTTGCATGTTTTTACTTCTGTAGAATTATTGCATTTGAGTCCCCCTCCCCTTCCTAAACCTAGGTATAAAAGTTAATCAAGCCCCTTCCTCTGGGCCGAGAGATTTTTGAGCATTAGCTGTCTCTTTGGCCGCCTGCTTAATAAAGGACTCTTAATTCATCTCAAAGTGTGGTGTTCTCACTAACTTGCTTGGGTACAACACCACGTGGAGAAACCTGACCGCCACCACCTGGCTCACTGAAGGAAACTGGGTTTTTTTCATTTTTTTCGTTTCTTTCTTTTTCAGTCTTTCAGCAGCTGTTTATAGTTGCTCTGCCCCAAAGGGGCAAGGACTTCTTTTTGTTTAATCTTTTCTGCACATGGTCCCTGATCCTTACATGCGGAGCAGCTCAGGGCAAATCACACATGTTTCGGGGGACTTAAACCTTGTCTTCGTATGCTAACTTCTTCCCTTATCAGACTCAACAGGCTAGGGATGAAAAACACCCAGCTGGCATCTAGTTCTCATTACAGTTCATGGCTATTCTTATAAAGCTCATAGTATGCTCTGGAGGGGAACACCTGCGTGTGGTGCCCACCTAAGGACAGAGACGTCTGACACTCTAAGATTGGACCCCACAGGAGGACGCTCTGTGGATCCTGCAGACCTCAACCTGCCCAAGGGAGACGCTCTCGGTAGAGGTTCTGAGGTCTAGGAGTCAACCCTCCTTGGAATTTTCTCTCAGTTGCAATGATGTCTGGCCCCAACATTGCTTGGAATCTGGAGTTTACTGTTGAATGGGAAAGAGGAATGGCATTGCATGTATCCAGGCTTTTGTTCTGCGGTTTCTAAGCAGGGGGCCTGGTTAACATGTGACACCCTCCTTTGGTACTGTTTGGCCCCAGGGCTCTTTGGAGTCTGGGGAGGTCTGGCCTTTAAATATCAAACTTCCATGGAGACTGCTTTACTCAAAATTTTGGTTCACAACTTTCATTGGATTATCTACTGGGGCAAAGTAAAACCAGCAAGCTTGTATTTCTATCTTATGGCTAAGGTTCCAAACTATTGGATCTTCGTTTATGTGTGTATGCATGTTTAGATGTGTAGCCCTGATTAAAGTAAAATAAGAAGTATTGTAAAGAAATGCATCCGCAGTTTGGCGATTCTTTTAGATAGATAGATAGATAGATAGATAGATAGATAGATAGATAGATAGAGTTAAGCATAAAGCTGAAATTTAGCGTAAAGCCAAATTTCACATACATGCTTGCATTGCTTCACACTGTGTTTGCTGTTTTGCATGGATAGTGCTAGAGTACTTATTGGTCAACTACCTAAAGTGAAATTTCTTGATTGCACAGAATAAATAATAATATTGGTGAACTTAAAGATATTAAATTTGTGTATCAGGGATAAACTATTCATTATGTGGGGTTTTTTGGGGGGCGGGCGTGGGGGGTGGCCCTAGGTAACACTGTAACCTCCAGGGTAAATTAAGTTGGAAAATTTAGGGTTGGTTTCCTGTTTATTTTTGCTTCTAGTTTTCATTTGTTTGTTGTTTCTTCTCCTCTGGCTTCACTTGTGTATCCATATATACAAAACCATGATACTTTTTAGTTTCTAATGGAAGGCTTTTACTTGGTTCTGTGAATAGTTATTTTGTTTTGTATGCATTTCTAGCAAGTCATCATTTGTTCCATTTATCCAGAATTCCTAAGCTACATTTGTTGGGCCACAGGAATGGGAGCACACCAGCTTTTTATCCTCATAAACTAACTTTTTGCATTTTAGGCTTCCTAACACTTTAAGTGTGTTGAATATACTTTCATAAATAGAATTTGAGGCAGATTCCCACCTAATATCTCCAAAACTTGTAAACTATTTGTGAATATTCTTAAGTAATGGCCATGTGTTTGTTTGCTTCCAGTCAAGCAGGGTCTCTAAAGCCACTCAGGGAGAGGGAATCCAGAAACCTAGCATGCCAGCAACACGGTTAAAATTTCGTACCAATCAGTCTCTGTCCTCTTTCTCTCTGTTCAAATTGGTAAAATATAAAGTAAAAGTCACTGTATATATTCTGTAAAGTTTTTAATTAATTGATTTAATAATAATAAGAGCTTAAATCAAATATTTTGTCAGAAAAGTGAAAAACGTAATGCCTTTTATTTAGTTCATATGACTTCAATAATCTTTGAGAAATAAAGACAGTTTTAAAGATTACTGGTAAAATACAAATGTCTTAAAAATGTAAACATGTGGTCTAAATTATGTTCAAATACTAGGTTTGCTAAATGCTCTAAGGTCATAAACTGCTTCTTTGGCTTTTGAAAATTGTTTAACTTGCCTGCTTTCCAGCTAGTGAAGGCCTTGGGATATGTGGAGCTGGCCACGCCCTAGCTATGCTGAAAATAGTCAAACTTGTCAGAACAGACTTACCAGGTTTTAAACTATAGTTAAAATTCTAAGAGTCGCCATTGTAACATGCAGTTAAAACTACTAGGAACAGTTTTACATGCAAGGTGTGTAAAACAGTAGAATATGTTTTGTTTGTTTGTTTTTGTTAAAGGTTATAAAAGGCTTTTGTTTCTGAGCATCATTTTGGCAAAATAAATAATTTATAGTAATCTGGAATTCCAAAATCAAACTTCAGTTTCAAAATTGTCTTTCCTAAGGCATTGCTTTCTGGATGGGTCAGAGGGCCCCTGAAAACATCCAGAAAAGAGACAAACAGGATTATTTCACATGTATAGGTGCGTGGGATTGCCAAAATGATGTTCAATTTTCTTTGGGTTATATTTTTGTGAATAATATATGTTTTTAAATTGTATAGGATTCATAAAATAGTATATGCTATCAATTATAACTATGGTTATTATGTTATTATAAACCACAGAAACTAACCAAATTTCCTTTTATGAAGCTACTAACCCAAGTAAAACAAAAATTAATTAAATACCAAGAAAATATTTTGTCAGATTTTCATGTTAAACCAGCTGACACTGAACTTGTTTAAAATAGTTTATAACCAATGCTTGGTCCTATATTCCTGGGAAGACAAAGCTTCACATACATTTGGTCACCTGGTGGACCATTTAAACATTTTATAAAGGGATTTCATTCCATTGTTATTTTCAATTATATTTTCTGGTTGTATATAAGCTTTCCCATGCAAGATGTTAAAACAGCAGATTATTATACTACAGTGTATTTTCACTAGGTAAATAAAGCTTTTTATTGTTTCGATCTTCTGAGAACTTCAGAGAAAGACCGTCCTTGCCATCCACACTACAACAAGACTTCAAGACCTTGGGGCTTTGAGTTCATGGCCTCGCAACTAAGAAGGGTCCCTCCACACTTTTGCAATTGTGCAACCATTAGAACACTTGAGGTAAAGCTAACCATGAAAATTTCTCCCAAGAAGATGGCATCCTTGATGTGAACAGCTTTCCCATGTTCACAAATTAAGACTTCTGCTATCATGAAACTCTTATCTTTGATTTTTTTTTCTTGCTTAGGCCTCTACAAACAATAGAAGTGGAATAGAATAGAAGGGTCTGTTATGCACACTTATGGGGTACACTTTTATTTGTGAAGGAGTTTGCAGCCAGCTTTATACATGGATAACCTTATACTTTGATAGATAAAAGATGAAGGCCCAATGTAGGTAAGAAATTTAAATGGTACATATGTTGCCTCATAATCAGTCAAAAAATGAAACATTGTTTCATTCGTCTTAACCCACATCACGGGTTAAAAAGAACATTGCCAGGAGGCCTTCAGTCTTCTAGAAGGGCATCATTTGTTAGGTCCCTTTTCCATGGTTTAAAGTAAAAGAAGCAATGATTAGAAATGTATCCCTCATGATAGGCTCTATAGCAAATTCTATCTTAAAGCCTATCATTACATAACAGACTTTAAATTTTCTTGTGAAAGTTATGCTAAATAATAGAATTGGCTAAACAGAAAAGTACCTGTGCAGCTGCTGACACTTGTGGCCTATGGAGAAATAGATTAAATGCAGATTTTAAAAATTCAGTTTTAGGGGATTAATGAAAAGACCACTTAGTCAAGTGAGTAGACTCTTCATCTAGCTCATTCTTGAATCTATTTAATTTTAGGTGGCTTGGTTTATGGGGACCCTGAGTAAGGAGCATACTCTGAACTCTTGGTATTATCCTCCCAAAATTATAATAATAGTCTCCCTGGCATGCTGTATTCTCTCAAAGATTTTACATGCTTTCTTGTAGCCATCTCTAGAATGTCATATGGTCTCTCTTCAACTGGAATGATAAGAATTGAAAGAAATGTGCAACAAGGAGGACACCGTAACCCTATAAATAATGTGCTAAGACCAGAAATCCAAAATGATCATAACTAAGAGTGTCGCTAAGGCCCTAAGTTTTGGTTACACTCTCACCTAAGTGAGAACCTGACCAAAAAGGGGGAATTTTTTAAACAAGATTCTGGGAGGCCATTGTTTTGGACTAAGCTCATGCACTATGTCCCGACAAACAAAACCAAACCAAAATGCAGTCATTTCTGTTAAGGCTTTAAGGAAACACAGAGATTTGTAGAACAGAACAGGTTTTGTTTTTTTCTTCTGCAAATCACTGTAACAAACATTCCTAACCGTATAGGTATCCACCCACTAAAGTTCCCATTAAATCTTTTAACCAAATTCATTTCCTCTGGCCTAGAGACCATGAAGCTTCAGATGATCACGCAACAGAGGCTCCAGCCAGTTCCAGGTGATGACACCACCCATGGCCATCAAGAAGCTACCCTGCCTCCACTAGATAGAACAAGGAGAGTTCCATGATCCCCAGTAGGTAGGGACTATGCCCCAAGCCACCATGATGCAGTTATAGAAAAAAGACCGTTGATCCCTCTGCCTCCCATAAAGATTTATGGGGATCACATCTCTCAGGCGGAAGATAAGACAGGAAAATAGTGTCTGGAGGCAGGGAACATAAGGCCAATTCACACTTCAGCTATGACAGGAAATATCCTCTCCATAGGGCATAGGCCAAGTAAATAACTTTGTAACTTTACTTCATCTTCTTCATTTACATAGGGCGTATCCCAAGTAGAGGGTATTTAAACTCCCAAAAATTCGGTAACAGGGCCTTTGAGCCCCTATGCTTCGGCCTACTCTCACACTGTGGAGTGTACTTTCATTTTCAATAAATCTCTTCTTTCCATCCTTCCTTTGTGCGTTTTGTCCAATTTTTTGTTCACCACACCAAGAACCTGGACACCCTCCACCGCTGACAGTTTGACAACTCAAAGTTGTCAAACTTTTTTTGTATAGGGTGAGAGGCAGGAGTCTAGTTTTATTCTTCTGCATTTGAATATCTAGTTTTCCCAGAAGCATATTTTGAAGAGACTATCTTTTCCCCAGGGAGTGTTCTTGAGACCTTTCTAAAAAATCAGTGGGTTGCAGTTATGTGGATTAATTTCTGGGGCCTCTATTCTGTTCCATTGTTTTATGCATCTGTTTTTATGTCAGTGCCATGCTACTTGGTTACTACAGGTTCATAGTGTATTTTGAGGTCTGATAGTGTGATACCTCTAGCTTTGTTATTTTTGCTCAGGATTGCTTTAGATATTCGAGGTTTTTTGTGGTTCCATATAAATTTTAGATATTTTTGTTTTCTGTGAAAAATGCCATTGGTATTTTGAAAAGAATCATGCTGACTCTGTAGACTGCTTTGGTAGTATTTTCATTTTGACAATATGAATTATTCTAATTTATGAGCATGAGATATCTTTCCACTTCTTTGTTTCTTCTTCCCTTTTAAAAATCAATATATGTCATTGTCCTTATAAAGATCTTTTAACTCGTTGATTAAATGTATTCCTAGGTATTTTATTATATTTCATAGCTATTATAAATGGGATTTCCTTCTGGATTTTACTTTTAGCTAGCTCGTTGTTCATGCATGAAAACACCACTGATTTTTGTTTATTAATTTGTATCTTGTAACCTTACTGAATTTGTTTATCACTTCTAAGAGTTTTTTGGTAGAGTCTTTAACTTTTTCTCTATATAAGATTATGTTATCAGGCAACGGGAACAATTTGACTTCCTTCTTTCCACTTTGGATGCATTTTATTTTTCTCTTGACCAATTGCTGTGGCTAGGACTTCTAACACTATGTTGAATAAGAGTGATGAAAGTAGGCATCCTTGTGTTGTTTCAGTTCTTACAGGAAAAGCTTTCAGCTTTCCCCTATTCAGTAATGTGTTAGCTGTGGATGATCAGATATTAATGTAACTGTCTCTGCTTTCTATTAATGAATATTTGCATGGCATATATATATATATATATATATATATATATATATATACATATTTTCTCCTTTTACTGTCAATCTATGATAATATTTAAAGGGAGTTTCTTGTTGATGGCTTATAGTTAGGTCATTTTATAAAATCTCTGCCATTTCTGTCTGTTAATTGGTATATTTAGATAATTTACATTTCATTAATAAATATTGATATGTCAGGGCTTATCTGTCATTTTACTTTTTGCTTTCTGGTTGTTCCATGTTTTTTTTTTTTAAATCTTTTTGTTAACTCTTATTTTTTTCTGCGTTTCTTTGGGTTAAATTTCTTAAAATTCTACTTTTAGCTATCTATATAAAAGTAGAATTTCTTAAAATTCTACTTTTAGTTATCTATATAAAATTCTCTTTTTATATAGATTTTAAAGTTGTTGCTATAGATTTTACTTGGGACATACATAACTTATCACAGTCTACTAATGTTGACATTTTACCAGCTTGAGTGACATGTAGAACTATTACTTCTCTTTTTACCTTTCTCCATGCATAATTGTCAAAATATTCTATCTGCCTATTTGAAACAATGTTATTCTTTTGCCTTCAACCATTAAATATAGTTTAGTAATCTCAAGAGGAAATGAGTCTACTTTATTTACCTATGTTTTGCTCTTTCCATTGTTCTTTTTTTCTTTTAATATTCGGAGCTTCTTTTGTTATCCTTTTTTCCTTCTTTCTTGACATTTATTTTCTTTATTTCTTTGTTTTTATTGTCTTTTTCTCTCTCTCTCCTTTTTTGGTTCAAGCAATTTTCATAATTGCTTCCTTCATAGATTTTTTTAGAGTAGATCTAAATGCTACAAATTTCCTTATTTTCTTGATCTAAGAATACATTTGTTTGCCCCTTTATTCCCTTATTCTAGATAGTTTTGCCAGATAGTAATTACAGTTGACATTTCCTTTCTTTTTTTCAGCACATGGAAATTGTGCTACTTCCTTCTGGCATAAATGATTTTTGATGAGAAATCACCTGTGATTTGAAATGGTTTTCTTTTATAGGCAAGGTGTTGCTTATCTCCTGTGGCTTTTAAGATGTTTTCTTTGTTTTCATTTTCCAGAAGATTGATCATAATTTATTTTGGAGTACAATCTTTTTGAGTTTATTCTGTTTGGGGTTCATTCAGTTCTTGAATTTGTAGGCATGTATCTTTTAACAAATTTGGGAAAATTTCAGCCATTATTTCTTCAGATAGTTTTTTCAGCCCCACTGTTGTGACTTTTTTAGCTTCTCTTCTGAGTCTTTAATAACATGACCATTAATTTATTTGTTGTACTCTCAAAAGTCCCTGAGGTTCTACTCTTTTTTTTCTTCTTTTGGTCTATCTTTCACTAAGATTTCTATTGTTTTATCTTCAAATTCACTGATTATTTTTTCTGTCCCCTCCAGTCTGCTATGGAGCCAATTCACTGAGGTTTTTGTTTTCTTTTTTCTGATATTATATTTCCTAGCAGCCTAAGATGGCTGCTTCTAGAATAAAATAGCTGAGATTTTACAAATCAATCAAATTTCACAGATTTCTAATTAAGTAGTACAAAATACTAATTATTTTCCTGCAACTTAAAAGTCTGAAAATATTTGAAAGACAGACTTGAAGTTTGACCCTGAAAATTTCATTCTTCCTAGGTCTAAAATTACCTTTTGGTTCTACTTTATGTCTTCTATTATTTTGCCAGTACGTATTTTATTCATTTGTTTCAAGTATTTTCATAATTGCTCATTAAAGACATATATTGGCTGCTTTAAAATTCTTGTCAGATAATTCTAGCAACTAGGATGTTTGAAGCAAAAAGAAAACTCAGGAAACACCATCGTGTTTTTTTTTAGCCTCAAGGTTCTAGCCAGTCAGTCTTTTTATTGCTACCTTTCAGAGTCTTCTAAATTATTTATATTAACATATAAATATATCTACATATAATATTTATATTATATCTATATTTCCAAGACTGTTAGTTGTGTTTAGCATAATGAATACAAAGAAGGGTATTTACATCTGGAATGTTGAGGAAAAAGAAATAAAGTAAAAGAGAAGTAAAGGCAGTATTCTTCTTTCTCTTTTAAGTAAAAAAATGTGGGAAATCTGAGACTTTCTTTCCTAGCTGGGATAAAAAAATAGCGACTATTTTATTAATTTTTAAAAATGGGAATCTACCATCTCAATATATATAGGGCAAAAAAGAATGTGTGATTTATCAGCTATGTTCACATGTAATCAAAGGTCCATTAAGTTAGGGTTCGGAGTGCTAGTATGCTGAACAATACAAGAGATTTGAGTAATTCAATGGGATCAAAGTAAGATGGCTGCTTCTAGAATAAAATAGCTGAGATTTTACAAATCAATCAAATTTCACAGATTTCTAATTAAGCAGTATAAAATACTAATTATTTTCCTGCAACTTAAAAGCCTGAAAATATTTGAAAGACAGACTTGAAGTTTGATCCTGAAAATTTCCTTCTTACATTATTTATGTACACAGATTTGGGAACAGACGAGAAAAATAGCCAAGTTCTGAAAACTGTAATAGAGACATAAAGTAGAATTTAGAAGACTTCATATTCCATGAGCCATCAGCCTTTAGTGGGTTCCTCCTCCCTTTGTCTATGAAGTTATTTTTCACTAACTGGTAAAGGTGCAGAAATTATTATTCTGAGCCTTTATACCTTAACAAAATAGGCTAGTTTTCTGCATGCTTTGCTGTCAGTCCTCATCCAAATATAAAACTAGAATCAGATTCCAGCATTTCCAGCTGATAGGGGATGACCCATACAAAGTCAAACCTAGGAAGAGAAGCTTTACAAAGCCAGAAGAGCAGGACTTTGCTATTTTAAGTCTGGGAAATAATGTAGGAAATGATTTTGAGACATTGAGTACAAGAAGAAGTTTAATGTCTTCACACTGCTGAATATACCAGAGATTCTGAAGTCCTTGGGCTGACAAATGAATAAAGTGATTTTTATGATTCCTTGATTAGCAAACAGAAATATAGATTCAACACAAAATCATCGAGTACATTTATCATTTATACTCCATCATACTATCTCATACAATGTATACCATTATAGGGATACTCTTGTCAATATATTCTTACATGGAAAATAAATTCTCAACATGTTTGAAAAGCATCTCAATGTTTGTTACCAGAATTATGTGGATTCTCTGTTACATTGTATGTAAACTCTAACATGTCTAAAGGGATCTCTCAATGACAGAGACTAAGTGGGAGCATATAAGAAGCAAAGTCATTATGGTTAGTATCATTGAAGGAGTGTGAGAGTAATGATAAGAATTATCTATTCTGTAGATATTTTTGAAGGCTATTATTTGATTGTGTGGGGTTACTAGGAACACAATAGGAGGGCAGTCCACCAGGTCCTTTTTAAAATGTTTATGCCGCAAAATGGAGAGTCACAGCATCGAACTTGTTTCATAAACCTGACTCTGTACACAAACTTAAAGTTCCTTAAAAGAAGAGGAGTCCATATACTCTTGTAAAAAGACAATCTAAGACCAACAGAGATTACACTCTAAGACTTCTTCCTCCATTTCCCACAATCCCTAGACTAATGGAATACAAGAAAATGTTAAATCACCAAAAATATCAAGATTTTTAGAACTCTGGCTCTAAGAACACTTGTTCCTATCTGAAATAATTAATAGAATAACTAAACTGATTCTCTTACTTCATGGAGGAAGAACTTATAGAACTGGTGAAATGTGAACCATAGGAGATTTACTGCTCCCAAAATAGTAAATCTCAAAGTATATCATAAGCCTGTGGGAGTTTCAGTGGTGAGTGCAACTGTTAAGACTTGTAAGATGTAGGGTAGATAATTACTGTACATCCTCATTACATCTCCATGTGTCCAAATACAAAAAAAAAAAAATACCTGTGACATTGAAGAATAACAATGAATTACATGATAAACACCAGTTGCACAAATGAATTTCTCACTAGAGCAAATTTGCATTGCCCCGGCACCTAGTGACAAATGTTTTGTCATTAGTCTGATAAACAGAAAACAGAGGGAACAGTTAACTTGCACAACACAAGTGTAAAATTTCACTCTTACCAACATGCTCCAGTGTTCCTCATACTACTACATAAAGAGATGAAAAACAAGGGCCATTGTGTCAATTGGGGTGATTGATTTTGACTGTTAGGAAAATATAGGTTCTTCAACCCAATTTCGCCAGGGAGAAGTTACAAATAGAACTCAGGGGAGCTATTGGAGCAATCTCTAATAGTACATGGGCTAATAATAAAAGTTAATTAAAGAATAATAGGCAAAGTAATCCATACTGTTATTAATCAGGATAGTGGAATAGTGGACATCTTTGAAAGGAGTCGTGACTTGAAGAAAATTCAAGGAAGACTTCTAGAGAGCTAGTAAGTGTTTATTTTAGGTTCAGGGGATACATGTGCAGGTTTGTTACGTGGCAAATTTGCATGTCATGGGTGTTGTTTGGTTGTATTATTGTATTATTTCATTTTCATGCTGCTGATAAAGATATGCCCAAGACTGAGCAATTTACAAAAGAAAGAGATTTAATGGACTTAGACTTCCACATGGCTGGGGAAGCCTGGCAATCATGGAAGAAGGCAAGGAGCAACAAGTCTCATCTTACATGGATGACAGCAGGCTAATAGAGCTTGTGCAGGGAAATTCCCCTCATAAAACCATCATACCTTGTGAGACTTATTCACTGTCATAAGAATAGCACAGGAAAGACCTGCCCCCATGATTTAATTTCCTCCAGCTGGGTCCCTCTCACTACACGTGGGAATTCAAGATGAGATTTGGGTGGAGACACAGCCAAACCATATCATTAGTACACAGATTATTTCATCACCCAGGTAATTAGCCTAGTATCCAATAGGTACTTTTTTTGATCCTATTTGTTCTCTGCTTCTGATAAGCTGAGTTGCAAGCTAAAGGCAAAGAGTCATTGGATGAGAATGGAGGGCAAGATTCTTAAATACCAGCAATTCTGTTCAGATTCGTTTTAGAAACAAAGCAGTGTCCATTGTAATTTTCCTGTTTCGTGATCTCATGGTTATTTATTCATATCTTTATTAATTTGTTTTGCATTCCTACTATTCTTACTATATTTTTGTAAAGTGTGGCCTTGTTGGTTAAATTGATCTTTTAGTTAATATTTTGCAGAAAAGCAAGACGGTTATGATAGATGAGTATGCCCTACCCCAAAATACTGGACATACAAGTTGAGTAGAACAACAGACATGAATTTGAATTATTTCCTTTGAGAACATGCTGAGTGTGTTTTTTTGATTATAAGAGGGATGGTAACCATATCCAAGGAGGGATTAGTTTTATATAAGTAGGAAAGACAAGTATCTGTAGATGATAAGCAGGTAAAGGAATTTATTAAGTATTTGTGGCTGGGCATGGTGGCTCACACCTGTAATCCCAACACTTGGGGAGGCCGAGGCGGGTGGACCACCTGAGGTCAGGAGTTTGAGACCAGCCTGGCCAACATGGCAAAACCCCATCTCTACTAAAAATACAAAAAATTAGCCAGGTTTGGTTGTGGGCATCTGCAATCCCAGCTACTCTGGAGGCTGAGGCAGGAGAATCGCTTGAATTTGGGAAGCAGAGGTTGCAGTGAGCCAAGATCGTACCATTGCACTCCAGCCTGTGCAACAAGAGCAAAGCTCCATCTCAAAAAAAAAAAAATAATAGTTATTTGCCATTTTTACAGACTAACTTAATGGTCCTTCCTATTTAAGAATAATCCTCAATAATGTTTGGTATTGGTGGGAAAAAGACTAATGGTCCTCCCTATTTAAGAATAATCCTCAATAATGTTTGGTATTCATGGGAAAAAGAGTCCAACCACTTTTTAGTAAAGCTATAGAAAAGTGGTCATCTCTCTTTAATGCTTTGCAGAAATAGGAGAAAACATGATTAGGTCATGGGCAACTTAATGTTTTTATACAAGACTCTATACCTGGGATTTGTAACTGAAGCCTAAAGACAGGTTAGAATTAAAACTGGATAAATGCCAAGATAGAGGAGTGTCTAGTGCATTGGCAGCAGTGGTAATATGGCATGATAGTTCCCAGTGGTTTTTCTGCTTTCTGCTTTTTTCCTTCTGAAATTTGTTTTGGATATTGTTTTCAAAGTTTGCTATTGCAAGTGCTAGTTGTGTCTCTAGTTATGTCTATGAGTGTCTTACATCTTTCAAATGTATTTTTTATTGCCTAAAATAACTAGAATCAGTTTCTGAGGCTTACAACAAAAACCTTGACCATACCCACACATTATCTAAATGGATTATTATAATGAACTTGGGAGGCTGATATTGTTATTCACAATTTACAGAACAAAAACAGACTCTTTAGAGGAGTTTAAATAACTTACCCAAGGTTATAATCTTTTTAAGTATCAGACAAGGAATTTTAATATTGTCTTTCTAATTCCAATTTCCCATTTTAACCATTATGTGACACCACTCATAGGAGAAAAAAGCCTGCCTACTTCTTTGTCCAGGAAACTCAGGAACCAGGGAGGATGTCAAGTGACTATGCTTCTTAAAATTCTGAAATGTAACATATATTACAATGCCATATCATCAATGCTTTCTGCATTGAGCTATGAACTCAAATACTGAATGAGCATTTTCAAACAATTTGTTTCTGCCTCCTAATGCCACCTTTCCTTCCTCATTCTGAATTAATTTTACAAATACTAGATATGGGCATAAAGTATTTTAAGACTCTCAGAAATAAACTGCACACATGATCAAATCAAGCCAGAATTGCCAGTTTTTAGGTTATTGCTTCCATCTTAATGTCCTTTGAAATAACGATTCTGACTTTAATGCATGTGCTAAGATACTTCTTTATCGTTTAATAATACCATTTAACTATTATATGCCAAATTCTATGCTAAGTCCTAAAAGTATAAAGACAAATACCACATTGTGCCTCTCTTTAAGAGCATAAAGAATTTTAAGAAGGAGAGATCTATAAACATATAACTCTTTGTAATATTCTAAAGTCTGGAATCTACAAAGTGTGCAATTAAAATAAAGAGAAATAACACTTATAACAGCAATGGGAAAGAATGGGATTCAGGGAAGATTTTCTAGAAGAGTTGCCATTGGAGGTAGATATTAAAGGATGAAGAAATAATTTTCCAGGCAAAGAAGATAAGACTGTAGGGAGGGTGTACTCTAAGATAGTACAGGTTCCAAAAAATACAGAAGCGTGAATCACACTGGGCTTCTATAACTGGTCTGGCATTATAATGTAGAGTATGAGACAGGAATGGTAAGCAATGATTCTGGAGAGTCAGAAAGGGCCAACTGAAGGAAGATTTGTAAACCATGCTATAAATTGTACTGAAACCGGGAAAGGGTTATCACGCAGAAATTCAAGGAAAACAATACGTTATAAAATTAGTAGAATTTGCTAATGGGTTAACTACTGTGGTGAGGCAGGGGAAGAGGTCTAAGTTGAATTTTGGTTTCCTTTCTTAATCAATTAGGGAATAAAGAAAGAGATGAGTTAGTGCCGTTGAGGCCAGGTAATACTGTGTTTAGTTTTTAACATGCTGGAGATGTTAATAAAGCATTTATGTCTATAAATATCTGAAGCTCAAGAGAGGAAATATCTGAAGATATCTGAAGCTAGGCTAGAGATTGCTAGAAACATAGATGTTGGTGTACATCCAGGTCAAGTGAGTCAGGGAGAAGAAGCTCATATAAAAACTTCACAAAGAAAGGAGGCTACTCATTCCCAGGAAAATATTCCTTTTTCTTTGAGTTACATACCTTGTTCTCATCTTCCCCCAAGTTTTATTATTCTTGTATTTCTCTCTGAAGCTTTCACTAAAGTATTACAATAAGCTAAAAATAACTATACTCCATAGACTCATGCTTGGACAAAGTGAAACTTGGAGAGTATAATTAGAATTTTTCAGCCCTAATGAGCTATATCAGTTAATCTGGAACTAATAGACACAAGAAGTGAGAAATATTTGAACCAATGGCATGCTAGAGCCAGCTGGCATCGCCTTTTCTTTTTAACAACTCTTATTTCGGTGACATTATATTAGTAGCTTGAAATTAACCATGACGGGAGTATTTATACTACAAAAATTGGCTACTTTGGTTTGAATGTTTTGCCCCTTCCAAAACTCATGAGTTGAAAGCTTAATTACCAATGCAACAGTATTGGGAAGCAGCACTGAATAGAAGGTGTTTCTGTCATGAAGACTCTGGCCTCATTAATGGAATAATACTACAATGAAAGCGCTTTCAGCCTTCAGGAGTGGTTTCCTTCCCTTCAACTTTTTTGGCATGTGAGGAATTGTGTCTCTACCCTCTGGAGAATGCAGCCATCAATATGCCATCTTGGAAGTAGAGACTGGTCCCTCACCAGACACTGAACCTACTGGCATTTTGATCTTAGACTTTCCAACCTCTAAAATTTGTAAGAAATAAATTTCGTTTTTTTATAGATTACACAGTCTCAGGTACTTTTTTACAGCAAAACAAAACAGACTAAGAAATTGGCAAACCCTATAAATAAATATTGATCATTTTTTCCTAAGGAGTTGATTGATAAATATTTGCCAGCACACTACTGTCTCATCCATATAAATAGATACTCCTTTCTTAATGAATATCTTCAAAAGCAGTCATGGAAACAGCAAGAGAAACACTCGAAACAACTCTAGAAGGTCCACAGGAACCATATTAGAAAATATAAAGAAGAACTATAGCAAGAATGAGAAGTGGGTTTCAGATTGGGTGAGGTTACAGATTCACCGTCTAAACAGATAAATCTAACATCTTTATATCTGAGTGCTATTACCTGTCAAGAGGAAATAATGACTTAACACAAAAGAATACATATTAAAAGTTAAGTGATTATTTTAAGAAGTTTGACATGCTATGCACGTGAGCTATTATTAGTAACTCAAGGATTTCAACATCAAAAAAGTATATTCAGACTTCGAAGGCATCACTAAATTTTGCCTTTAGTACCATCATACTTCACTTGAATTCTCTAAACTCCGTGGCCTACAAGGAGTTATATGGCCTTCTGTGCATTGGAATCATAGTATAATCAATCCTTTTGTTTCTCCACATGTATTAGGTATCTCTACACTGGGATTTGCTGTCTGTCTTGCTATTAAAAATAGGGAAGAGAATCATTGCTGATATTTCTGCTAGGGAAAGCTAGAAATCTAGTTGTGATTGTTTTCAAACAGCCTGAGAGCATGGCACTGATAATTTTAGAATTAAATTATGTTTTACCATGTAAATTAGAAAGTGCTTTTGTGATGAGTTTTTCTAATACAGTTCCTGAAGAGGAGTTGATGCTGCACAGTGAATTGAGGGCCAAATCAGCAATACAACCTGGGTCGCCTGGATTTCAGCGCATGGCCTTTCCAAGATAACATGCTACTCTCTCGGTATGTAAAAAGAAATTTTTTAAAGCAAAATTGCAATTGTCTATAGTCAGAATTGTTGGGTCCTCTCTCATTCCTCATCCAAGGCAATGTGCCCTTTGAAGTTCAGTTTGAGTCTCACTTTCTTCATGCAGTTACTGCAATGACTTAACACCCAATGATGACTTCCATTCCTATAGAAACATAGCACAATTTTAGGATGTGATTATATTCTAGCTTGTAGCATATATGTGAGTGAATCTCCCCAAGAAGTATGCAGATTCCTTGATAACAAAGTAAATATCATTTTATCTTTTTATCTTTCTGTATCTCTCACACTGTTTGGCATAAAGTAGACCTAGAATAATTTTTTTTTTTTTATTGTAGAGATAGAATCTTGCTCTGTCACCCGGGCTGGAGTATAGTGGCGTGCTCTCGGCTCACTACAACCTCCACCTCCCAGGTTCAAGCGATTCTCATGCCTCAGCCTCCCAAGTAGCTGGGATTACAGGCACGTGCCACCATGCCCAGCTAATTTCTTTTGTATTTTACTAGAGAGGGGGTTTCACTGTGTTGCCCAGGCTGGTCTCGAACTCCTGATCTCAGGCAATCCGCCTGCCTCGACCTACCAAAGTGCTAGGCTTACAGGCATGAGCCACCAAGCCCAGGCTTAAAATAATTTCTGTGTGAATACCAGCTAATAGATAAAAGCAAATGTGTGCCAAAAAATCCATACTTAGAGCTAACACATGTTCCATGCACATTTGGACAAATAGACTATGGAATTCAAAAACATATGTGGCCCACTCAATATATACATGATGAGATGATGTATTTATAAAAGAGATTTTTTAGAGTTAATTTATGTGTACTATATTTGAAGCCAGTAGTTTCTTAGAAGGTTTTCCCCTGTCCACCTGATGGATATCTAATTAGCATGCTTTAAATTTAGAAAGCATGAATTAATTGCTGAGAACATTTCTTTGAAGAAATGGTACCAAAGAATACCTCCCTGAAATAAGATTTTTAGATGAATTATAAAGATGCTCAGCCAGCCTCTTGCCTCGTCTTGACGGAGGAATATTGTGCATTATTTTGTTATTAATTAATGTTTAGTGAAATATTTTAAAAAATAATAATAATGTGGAAAAACAAAAGCTTTGAAACATAGCAACTCCTATGGCATTTTTTTCCCCTGCTCTGACTCAACTGCATTACCCAGTCTGAAAAATATACTACATGACTGCATATTGGTTTTGAGAACAGAGCTGCTGCTCTCCTGTGCTTGGGATCTGAGTCACCGTCTTACACTCCAGTAAAGCTGGCAGTTGTTGCAACAATGTTTCTGTGTTCCTAGCCAGCATTGTGATCTAGTAATATCTGGATTTATGTATTAAAAATACAACGTAATGGTCTTTTAACATACCTCCATTAATTTTTCAATTCTCCATTATTTATCCATTTATTCATCATTCATCAAATAATTCAGTGTCTCTTGGGGGCATTTAATGTACCAAGGATACTGTTGTAAATCTGACATTCCTCGCATGGAACAAATCTAGGCAGACAGACACTAAAGACTTCAGAGAGATATTAAAGACCCCAGTGAAGATGCTGTGTAGAGAAATATCTGAGTAGGAGTTAGCTGAGAGCAGAAGGATAAGGAGGAATTAGCCAAAACCTGAAATCCTAAAGGTTTCTCTCCCTTTTTGAATTAACTGAAAACAGATGATATTTCAGGATATTTAATCAAGAGTAAAAGCTGCCATGCAGCACAACACAACACACTTTCTACCATGCCTACTATAGCAAATCATCTCAATTGTTTAATCTAGTCACCTCACATGCCTCAGTAAAATCTTGTAGGTGTGTGTGGATAATCTGTCTGCTACTTCCTCATGTATCTCAAGGCCTTTGAATATACTCATTCTCCAAAGCTGAAAAAGACATCTCTCTGCTTAAAATCATCCACAGGTTTCTGATGTGATTTGGAGAAGGAACTAAAATCCTGAGTCCGGCTATCTTTTCCCCCCATCTCACTCTGTCCCAGTCATGCACAGCTTCTTTCTGTTTCTTGGTAAGGCCACATTCCTATCAGAAACTTTTGTGCTCTTCCTACACAGCCTGGAATACACATCAGGCTGATATCTACATGATTTATAGTGTCACATATTTCAGGTGTCTCCTCAAATGTCATCTCAGCATGACAGTTTTCTCACTATCATACTTAAAATAGTCTTTCCGTCTCGTCAATCACTTTTTTTCTTCTATGCTTTATTTTTCTCCATAACACTATTACCATCAGACATGCCATTTACTTTACTCATTTATATCATTATTTTGTCTTCCTCCTTCCCCCTGGCATATGCTACATTTGGGCAGGCAATATTGTCTGTTGTTTCATCACTGAATTTCCAGTTCCTAAAATAGTGTTTGTCAACATAGAGATTTTGAATGAATGAACAGGTAGGTAGTAATAACAACTTATTCCTAGGTTCCTCTCAACTGCAAATATGTATATTATATTCATACATACAAAGCTTTACATTACATTTTTAATCCTCTAACTTGCTGCTTTAGAAAATCTGGGACTTGATGACATAATAAAATTTCTTCTCATTCAAAAGAAAGAACCATTGTTTTAAAGTAAGCGATTCTCACAGAAGGTCATGAGAAATTCATTAATCTGTCCTTCTACTTTAAATGGAACATGGATATTTAAAAGGTGAGAGACAATGTTGAACAATGTGTTGTCTTTGGCACATAGAATAAAAATCATTAGTTTAATTTCTAGTCCACAGATTTTGAAGAAAAAAAAAGATCACCTAAAGAGAAAATAGAGAAAAACTGTAAGTATTAATGTACTATTATAAGTCTCTATTACAAAGACAGGTTTATAGGAAATAAAAAAGCACATAAAGCATGACACAGGCTCATTACTTAAAATAAATTTTTATGGCAGAATTGGCCAGACAGACTTTTATACTATCAGATAATTAAGTAGTGATATTAGAGTTTTTTAAACAACTTTTTAAAATTATGAGAATATTCAAATATTAACAAAAATAGAAACAACAATATAATGAAACCTACTGTACCCAACACCCAGTTGTAACAATTATCAACAGCCTGCTGTACTATAGTGTGTTTGGATGTCTTTTGGGGATGCCAAAAATAAAAGCATTTTTTTTTCTTATAAAAGATGGTAAAAAAAAAGGGTCATATGTGTTTAAAATCTTCTCAAAATATATACTCATATTTTCAAAATACCTGGATCTACAATTCAAGAAGAGGTTAATTTTATTAGATAGTTACTATTATTACTCACACTTTCAATGAATAAAGTGAGCATCAGGGATTTTTGGACACTTGGTCAAGGTTATACAAATAATAATTGAAAGAGTGGAGATATGAACTCATGTTTTCTGACTGTGCTCTAAATTACCCCGGAATTAAATATGGCTATTTTAATAAGAATTTTATTCCTGATTTTTCTCATGGAATATTTTCTAATTAAATCTATATTTTTCCTCAATTATTTTGCATTATTTGTTAAATCTGGTATTACATTTACCTTTATATCATTTTTGTTTATTGTGTGATTATTTTATATGTGATTATTATAATCTACTCAATGAGAAATCCTGTGTCTAATGTTGTATGCATTTACAAATGCAGAGATTAACAAGTAGTATATTTCAAAAATACTTCTGCCATACTAAATTATCATATTTGTTAAGCAAGTAATAACCCCAAAACCAACACATAAATATCTCTTCTTTGCACAGAAGATATTATTATCATAAGAAAATTAAAGGAAATGTTTTTCTTTGAATAAATCTATTTATTTTTGTGAACTTGAATAATTCTTTATTAAATAATTTAAATGTAAAGCTGTTGTAACTTTAAATTATTCTGAGTCTCGAGAGGAATGAGGCTATGCGGCCTGAGTCATATGGCATGCAACTGCATGACTTTTGTTTCTATAAATAACTAGGAAAACCAAACAGCACCAGAAATAAGACCCCCTCAGATCACTGCCCTGCCTCATGGAACAATAAAGCAATCTTCCTTGGAATGTAACCAATAGAATCTGTACCAATCTGTAACCAGTTGAATCACTGTAACATATGCACTAGCCTCATAGGAAGAATTCGTAAATCTGCTAAAGTTTCTCTTTCTCTGCGAATGTAAGTGAAACTTTAACTTTTCCATTTGGAGCACTGACCCTATTCCTTTAGAGTTGGTGTCTCTTTGGTGAATATCCTCAAGCTTTGTATTAATACTTAAATAAACCCTATACTTTTCTGAATATCATTATTTAAGATTGACCTTTTGGGGACCACAAAGGGACCAGAAGCAAACCTCCAGCAGTGTCCACCACTTCACCCACAGGGGTACCCTGGGAACCATCACAAATTACATTTGTTTACCTGAACTTGCTAGTCAACGGAATCTCTGGTAAACTTCTCTTGTGTTCAAATCCTCGTGGCTTTGTTGAAGAATTCAGATGTTATATGAACTACACACATTCTTAACTCAGTAGAGTAGGTATTAAAGCTCTACTGTAAGGTAGGAGTTTTGTTTGTTATTTTCTAGAGCTTTGCTAATCATGAATTTGTGATTTTTACTTTTCTCTGAGGGTAGGATTTTGTTTGAAATTACTAAGAGTTTTTACAAACTTTTCTTTCCTTCAAAATTTTGGTCAGGGAGAAAACAGTTTCTCTGAAAAGAAAATGTAAATCTTTTTGGGTTAAGCAAAAAAAAAAAACAAAAACCAAAAAACAAAAAACAAAACAACAAAAAACAACCAACCAACCAATTGTAATCCTTAAAACTGGACAGCTTCTGAAGTTGGGTTTAGCTGACAAATCTAAACTTTCTTCTTGAGTGACCAAAATTAGAAAAGGCTGTCTATGAGGATGAGGTAAGTCTCAAAGATAAGAGACACTGTTCCTCAGAGACACTGTTCCTCCCAGCTGAAAGGCATCTTAGGCGACTAAGGTCTCACAGGAGTGTGGCAGCTTATTGCTAGTGATGTGAAACTGTACTAACAGGGAGTCTCTCAAGAACATTCAGGGAAGCTTGCTTAATCTGGTAAGGACACATAATGCTTGATCACCGAGTGCCTAAAGCACCCAAATCTCTTGGGACTGAGGAGACATGTAAAACAGGTAGAATCAGCTCAATGGTGACACCTTGAGGAGCTATCCCACAAGTAACACACTGGATCCAATACATCTCCCCAAGTCTTGTTGGTCATTCAAAAAAAAGTCTAAATTGTGGGAAATTGTACTCTCAAGTCTTCCTCCTTAAGAACACATCCATCACTAGAAATTCTTGCTGGATTCATGATTAATATTTATTGTGCCTTTTTATGCAGCCATTTAGAAAAATAGTGTCATATACTTTGTGAGGACCCCAAATTACAGTGGCCAAAATGGCGTACCTTTGAAATATCTAAACTAGTTTATCTGTGCACTCAGAGAAAGCTGACTCTAAAGTAAAAATAAATAAATAAATAAATAAATAACTGGGAGAACTATTTTCAGTGGTAGTTAGAACCTTTAAAAGAGTCTCTGATCCAGTCATTTTCTTTCAAGAGGAAAACAAAAGATTTTCAAAAAATTTCTAAATTAAAAACACTGCTAAAATTTTGATCCTTTCTTCTGCTTCTCCTTCTCCCTTGTCAGAATTTTCTTGTTTGAACTTACCTCCTTCTCCCTGTCTACCTTTTCTGCTATTATGGCTTCATTTCAGAAATGCCATGTGTACAGTAGAGGAGAACCTGTCTTAGTTTATTAACCACGGTCAAAAGTAGAACTTAAAGGCATACCTAAAGAATTTCCAGATCCTCTTCAGTCTGCTATTGGATTTACTAAAGAATTTGCATTAAATATTCTCATTTGTGACCCCAGATTCTCTGATTCATGTAAATTGGTTCACCTGTTAGCATCAGAAAGCAAAGCCAAAGATAGGATAGTAAAAGCAAATTAGAGAAATTATTTAGAAGATTTTCATAAATTTTCTGAAGCAGATTGTAAATGTATACACAATACTGCCAAAGCTTTATGGCATGCTATCCTGTTAGTTTTCCAAACAGTAGTTGATATGAACAAAATACAACAAGGCTGACAAAATCTTGATGATCATGTAATGGCATACCATGAAAGATTTGGAAAAAATTATTTAAACAATAGTCAGGCCTATCAGAAGAAAGTTATGCTAACTACCAAAATGATACTTTTCTTAACTCAAACATTACAAATGAATTAGATGAAGAATTAGCAATTATAAGAGAGTCTACACCCTAGTTGAGCTATCTCTCAAACTCAAGATTTAGTTATAAATTTTTGATTAAATATTCTATACTTGAACACAGAAGAAAAGGAAGAGAAGGTTAAACAGAAAGGAAAAGCAAATAAGATCATGAGCTTACAACTAAAGCAATTGTCTAACTAATTTGTAATTCCTCAACAATCTAATACATTCCAAAACTCACCCAATTCCCTGCATTACAACTACTGCAAAAAGCCTGGACATTTCAAAAGGGCCTGTAGAAAATTGAAATGGAGAGAACAGCAACAAGCCAAAGAAAAAGAAGAATAAGAATGCTCTGAGAAAATCAAAGAGAATTTCTCTTTTATCTAAACTAATACCTTAGGGGAAAATGAAATTAATTTAAATAGGAGAACAAATACAAGCTCTCATTGACACTGGAGCTACATTATCAGTGATAAAAATCCACCTTATTACAATACCACATTCCCTGGAGTAAAAAAAAAAATACAGTACCCCCTGAACCTAAAATAAACGTTGAAAAAATAAATAAATAAAATTAAAATTAAAACAAAAATATAAATGGTAGGTATAATAAGTATTCCTATATCAGTATATAAACCTCAATCTACAATTTTTCAGTTGGGTCCCTTACAGAGAATACATGTTTTCCTCTTGGTCCCTCAACCCCCAGTCATTTAATAGGGAAAGACATTTTAGAATTATACAATACCCACATCTCTTTCTCACAAAAGGGGAAAAGATATTTATAATTAGAATATAAAGTAGAATTGTTACACTTAAAACCTCTCTGACCCTTAAAAAAATACTCTAGAGGCCTTGGAAGGGATGAGACCTATAAATTTGCATTACATAAAAAGAGGCTTGATTATTCTCTGTACAGCCCTATCCCATGTAACATTTCAATTCAGTGGTACCAAATCCTCCTATGTTTTTTACTGTCATCCCATCTGAAGGTGAGTTATTTACTGCGATCATTAATATTTTCAACTTGACTTGATTGAAGGATGCAAAGCATTGTTTCTGGGTGTATCTTGGTATTTCTGGGTGTTGCCAGAAGAGATTAACATTTTCAGTCAGTGGACTCAGAGAGGAAGACCTGCCCTCTGGAAGACCTACCCATATTGTAGGTAGGCACCATCCAATTGGCTACCAGCACTGCTAGAAAAAGCAGGCAGAAAAAGATGAAAGATGCCAATTTGCTGAATCTTCCGGGCTTCATCTTTCTCCCGGGCTGAATGCTTCCTGCCCTTGAACATCAGACTCAAAACTCTTCAGCTTCTGGGCCCTTGGACTTACACTAGTGGTTTGCCAGGGGCTCTTGGGCCTTCAGTCACAGACTGAAGGCTGCACTGCCAGCTTCCCTACTTTTGAAGTTTTGGGACTCAGACTGGCTTCTTTGCTCCTCATATGGCCTATTGTGGGACTCCATCTTGTGATCTTGTGAGTCAATTCTCCTTAATAAACTCCCTTTATATATACATCTATCCTATTAATTCTTTCCCTCTGGAGAGCCCTGATTAATATATTTACCATAATAGATCTATTTAGTGCATTCTTTAGCATTCCTTCAGATAAAAATAATCAATTGATTTTCACATTCACTTGGGAAGTTAGACAATACATATGAACAGCTACACATTAGGGATATAGTGAGAGTCCAATTTATCTTTTACAAATATTAAAAATAGACATTTCAAATGTCAACTTCCCTAAGAAATCCACCTTGATACACTATAGAGTTAATTTACTTTTCTTCTCTGCTCAGCAGATAAGCAGGCCTCCATAGAGGATGGAATTTATTTATTATGACAATTAGCTTCAAAGGGACATGAGGTCTTGAAGAAAAAAACTCCAGGTTTGTCACAAACAAGTTAGGTGTTTAGGGCACTTAATAACAAAGGAAGTTCTTTTTATCAATCTGGATATAATAAAAAGAATATTGGCTTTTCCTGCCTCTAAAACTAATAAATAACTGAGAAGAATTTGAGAGTTGGTGAAACACTGGAGAAATTTTAATTTCAAACCTCATCCTAAAAACTCAAAGTTTATATACTCTTTTAAAACAAAATAGACCAGGACTCGTGGAATGGACAGAGGAAAATCAGTTAACATTGGAAAAACTTAAAACAAGTCTTATAGATACTTCAGTATTAGGACATCCCACAAATAATATTTTATTTTCATTATTTGTTCATGAAAATTGGGGAGACATCTTAGACATTCTGACTCAAACACATAGAGATCAAAATAGACCTGTAGAGTACTATAGTTAACAACTGGACCCTGTGGCTAAAAGATTGCCACCTTGCATGAAAGTAATAATTCTTCCCCATGAATAAAAGTGACTGAATAAATTGTGATGAAATCTCCCCTCACTGTCTTTATTCCACATTCTGAGGAAGCACTTCTAAACTCCCACCATACTCAACACTCTTCAGTTAGTAGACTGGCTTCTTATAAAGTTCTTCTTTCTGCTCCCCTATTACACTCTTCAAATATAATAACCTAAATTTTACCACTCTTCTACCCCTGCTTTCAGATGAAATGCGACATGATTACATAATCTTAACTGACCAGCTTCTCTCACCCAGGATGCACCTATTAGAAACTCCCTTTACTAATGCTGATGTTGTTTGGTTTACGGATGGATCTTACTTAAAGGATGACTCTGGAATTTAACATGCAAGCTATGCGAGAGTATCTTTGACTGAGGAAATAGAAAGTCCTTATCTTCTAGGAACAACTTCAGCTCAACAAGCAGAGTTAATAACATTAACTAGAGCCTGTCAATTAACAAAAGGAATAATTGCTAATATTTATACAGATAGCAGATATGCTTTTGAAGTAGCTCATGACTTTGAGGCACTATGGAAACAAAGAAGATTTTTAACCTCTTCCTATGAGCCCATAAAAAATGGACACCCTGTTTCAAAATTATTGGAAGCTATATTATTGCCAAAATCATTAGCCATTGTTAGATTCCTAGCCATTAAAAGACAAACACCCTAGAAAGCAAAGAAAATCAATTAGCAACTAGTACAGCAAAAATAGCTGCCTTACATAGATTTAAACAAGAAAATCAAGCCATTTTAGCTTTCAAGGAAGCACTCGATTTTGATAATTTAACTCAATCCAAAGCCCTAAAAAATAGAACAGGAAAATTGAGAAAAAAAAGGGAGAAACAATTGAGAAACAAAAAGTTCTCCTCTCAAACTGTGTGATGGTATGAACCAAGAGGTCAGCCCATACTTCCATCCCAATTACCGTCGTCTTTCTGAACGTGTGTGTGTGATTTAACTCATTGGAGGCTTGATAAGATGATTGCTTGGAGCAAATTAGAGCAAACAATATTATTGAAAACCTTCTCCATTTGTTGCTTATAAGGTGTACAATTGCTATCATATCTGCACAAAACATAATCCAGGGAAACCTTTACATAATTTGCAAAGTCACTTTTCTTTATGGGATGACCCTTCCAAAGTATGACAACTAGATTTTATTCAACTACTGCCATCACAAGAGTACAAATATGTCCTAGTGATGGCTTGTAGATTTTCTCATTGGGTAGAAGCATTTTGATGTGAAACAGCAACAGCCATAGTGTTAAGTAAAATTCTCTTAGAAAAAAAATATTCTAACGTGAAGAATTTTCCTAAACTTTATAAAACAGAAGTATTCATTTTACTAGACAAGTAATCTAGTCAGTATATGATATCTTGCCCATTCTTCAACATTTCCATTGTGCTTATCACCTCCAGTCATCTGAGTTAGTGGAAAACGCAAATGGAACAATGAAAACTCAATTGGCAAGATTAACTAAGTATTTTAAAATTCCTTGGCCAAAAGCTCTTTCATTAGTCTTGCTTAAACTAAGATTTATCCCTTTTGGTAAATACCAAGTGTCTCCATTTGAAATTATAACAGGCTGACATATGAAATTATCTCCAGTAAATTGTGAATTTGTGATATCAAAAGGGGATGTGTTATATTATTGCAGTGGCTTTATGAGGCAGTTTGCTAAAACCTATAATTTAGTAGACGACTCTTTCCACAGTAAGTTCACAGGAGATGAGAAACTCAAAGACCAACCAGGAGATTTTTTCTATTGGAAATAGCATATTTTAAAGGATTGCTTCTAACTAAGGTGGAAGAGACCTTATCATGTGCTCCTAACCAACTCTGGTGCTGCTAAGCTAAAAGGAATTAATTCATGGATATACATCACTCTTTTAAAGACAACTGCTTTGCCTGCTTGGACTTCATCTCTAACCAGTAATTTAAAATTCTCAAAGAACCAACAAGGATGAGAAAAAGACAACATCTGAAGTAGTCTACTTTCCCAAGACACCACACCAGGCCTGCATCTAAATGAATGCTTAATATTAATATCATTAATGTCAAGAAGGTCTTTCTTTGCAAATTATTACTTAATTTATTTGTTTTGTTCCTAGTTCTTATGTTTTGTTGCTACTATCACCAGTTCTTATGCCTTCAAAAAAACTTTCTCTTGCAATTAGTTGTGGAATATGCTAATGGATTACAGAAAAATAAACTGTTGGATATGCAGCCACATGCTCCTTTCTAGTGTTACTGGCCTACCACTGTGGTAGGCAAAGAATGAGATTGGATAGAATATCAGAAGTATATCTGTGTGTCTTAGAAATGGTCATTGGTGCCTGTGATGGTTAATACTAAGTGTCAGCTTGATTGGATTGAAGGATGCAAAGTATTGGTCCTAGGTTTGTCTGTGAGGGTGTTGCCAAAGAAGATTAACATTTGAGTCAGTAGGTTGAGAAAGGCAGACCCACCCTTAATCTGGGTGGGCACCATCTAATCAGCTGCCAGCATGGTCAGAACATAAAGCAGGCAGAAACAACATGAAAAGGTTAGACTGGCTTAGGCTCCCAGCCTACACCATGCTCCTATGCTGGATGCTTCCTGCCCTCAAATATCACACTCCAAGTTCTTCAGCTTTGGGACTCAGACAGGCTTCCTTGCTCCTCAGCTTGTAGATGGCCTATTGTGGGACCTTGTGATCATGTGAGTTAATACTACTTATTAAACTCCCCTTGAGATATATATATATATAAAATATATATTTGATATATATAGGTATATATAGTATATAGGATATATATATAAAATTAGTTCTATCTCTCTAGAGAACACTGACGAATACAGTGCCGAACATTAATATGACAAAAATGATGTGCATCACTGGCTTCTTAAAAAATTGTACTTGAAGTTCCAGGATACAAGTGAAGAATGTGTAGGTTTGTTACATAGGTATATGTAATTCCACTGATGGTTTGCTGCACCTACCAACATGTCATCTAGGTTTAAAGCCCCACATGCATTAGCTATTTGTCCTAATTCTCTCCCTCCCCTCGGCCCCCATCGTCTGACAGGCCCCGGTGTGTGTTGTTCCTCTCCCTGTCATGTGTTCTCATTGTTCAACTCCCACTTATGAGTGAGAACAGGCAGTGTTTGGTTTTCTGTTCCTGTGTTAGTTTGCTAAGGATGATGGCTTCCAGATTCATCCTTGTCCCTGCAAAGGACAGGATCTCATTCCTTTTTATGGCTGCATAGTATTCCATTCCATGGTGTATATGTACCACATTTTCATTATTCAGTCTATCATTGATGGGCATTTTGGTTGGTTCATGTCTTTGCTATTGTAAATAATGCTGCAATAAACATACATATGCATGTGTCTTTGTAGTAGAATGATTTATATTCCTTTGGGTATATACTTAGTAGTGGGATTGCAGGGTCAAATGGTATTGCTGGATCTAGATCCTTGAGGAATCGCCACACTGTCTTCTACAATGATTGAACTAATTTATATTCCCATCAACAGTGTAAAAGCATTCCTATTTCTCCACAGCCTAACCACCATCTATTGTTTCTTGACTTTTTAAAAATTGACATTCTGACTGGAATGAGATGGTATCTCATTGTGGTTTCAATTAGCATTTCTCTAATGATCAGTGATGTTAGGCTTTTATTCATGTTGGTTGGCCACTTAAATGTCTTCTTTTGAGAAGTATCTGTTTATACCCTTTACCCACTATTTGATGTGGTTATTTTTCTTGTAAAGTTGTTTAAGTGTCTTGTAGATTCTGGATATTACACCATTGTCAGATGGGTAGATTGCAAAAATTTTCTTCCATTCTGTCAGTTGCCTGTTCACTCCGATGACACTTTCTTTTTCTGTGCAGAAGCTCTTGGGTTTAATTAGGTCACATTTGTCAATTCTGACTTTTGTTGCAATTGCTTTTGGCATTTTTGTCGTGAAGTCTTTGCCCATGCCTATGTCCTGAATGGTATTGCTTAGGTTTTCTTCTAGGGTTTTTATGGTTTTGGGTTTTACATTTAAGTCTTAATCCATCTTGAGTTAATTTTTGCAAAGGTGTAGGGAAGAGGTGCAGTTTCAGTTTGCTGTATATGGCTAGCCAGTTTTCTCAGTATCATTTATCAATTGCTTGTTTTTGTTCGGTTTGTTGAAGATCAGAAGGTTGTAGATGTGTGGTGTTATTTCTGAGGTCTCTGTTCTGTTCCATTGTTCTATATGTCTGTTTTGGTACAAGTACCATGCTGTTTTGGTTTCTGTAGCCTTGTAGTATAGTTTGAAGTCAGGTAGGGTGATGCCTTCATTTTGTTCATTTTGCTTAGGATTGTCTTTGCTATACAGGCACATTTTTGGTACCAAATGAAATTTCAAGTAGTTTTTTTCTAATTCTGTGAAGAATGTCAATGGTAGTTTGATGGGAATATCATTGAATCTATAAATTATTTTGGGCAGCATGGCCATTTTCATGATATTAATTCTTCCTATCCATGAGGATGGAAAGTTTTTCCATTTGTTTTTTTTCTCTCTTATTTCCTTGAGCAGTGGTTTGTCATTCTGTTTGAACAGGTCCTTTACATCCCTTGTTAGCTGTATTCCTGTATTTCTTCTTGTAGAAATTGGCCTTTTAATAATACTTTACAAAGCAAAAGACATGGGAAAAGCTTTCAGGTAAAAGAGATCAGTGTGTTAGTTTGAATGCTGATGCTTCGCCAGCTAAGAGATAAGACAACTAGATTTTAGGAGAGTATAACAAAAATGTGGGACGGTTTCATCTCACCTTTTTTTTTTTTTGATCAGTTTAGTCAGCTCCTCTCTTTATATGGGAAGCAAAAGAATCACACCAAAGTTACATAACTTGGTAACACTAGAAATATGGAATGGATACATAAAGAATGATGTGTCTATACCATTATATTACAAAGTGCTGATTGGCATGCCACTGAATGGCACAGCAACTGAGTATTTATTGACTAGTTTCAAATGAAACATCTTGGCTATGCAGCACCAATCTATGGCCATGGTTACCCCCAGGATGGTTAGAATGGGGCTCTTTGGTTTATTAGAATTGTGCTCTTTGGTTTATGCCTGGACACAAAGTCAAATGATTTATACTCTTTTAAAGCCTACAAATCTTCCTCATTTACAATATTATTGGATTCATTTTGTATTCCATTGGTATGATCATTTAGCTTCCATCTTTCTGTCACAACTGGGTATTGAAGATGTCATTTGGCATGTAGAGGCCCTAAGCAATTACACAAAAAAGGCCCTACATGATAGCTGCCTGGGTATTATGTTACTAAAAAATGATGTTGCTCTTATGAGAAAGGTTGTATTACAGAACTGTATGGCTTTAGACATGTTCACTGTAGCTCAAAGATGAACCTGCATGGTCACAGGACTAAGTATCATATCTCAGATGAATCAGATAACATCACTAAACTGATGGGTGATATGAAAACCCAAATAAGTAACCTTTCAGATCTGATATGGTTTGTCTCTGTGTCCCCATCCAAATCTCATCTCAAATTGTAATCCCTGCATTTCAAGGGAGATACGTGTAATCCCCACATGTCAAGGGAGGGAGGTGATTGGATCATGGGGGTGGTTTCTTCCATGCTGTTCTCATGATAGTGAGGGAGTTCTCATGAGATCTGATGGTTTTAAAAGTGTGGCACTTCCTCACTCACTCACTTTCCTACCTCCTGCCACCTTGTGAAAAAGGTGCCTGCTTCCCCTTCACCTTCCGTCATGATTACATGTTTCCTGAAGTCTCCCCAAGCCATGCAGAACTGTCAGTCAATTAAGGCTCTTTCCTTTATAAATTACCCAGTCTTGGGTATTTCTTTATAGCAGTGTGAAAATGGACTAATACAAGATCTGACATCCTCTCTACACAGTAGGCTAAGCAGCTGGTTTGGATCTTAGGGAATTTGATGGCATAACCTATTACTTATTCCCAGAGTTAAAATCATTTGCTGTGTTTTATCCTATTTTTGTCTTTACTGCTGCTGTAGCATTTGTTCAAAATGCAGTCAATGTACAACTGAATGAACTAAAATGATGGTTGCTCAAAGAATTACGTTCATTGAAGGTGCAATCATCAATGTGCAGCCCAACTCAGGTCACAAAGTTACTTCCTTCATGTTACTTTAAATTTGGCCTATACCCAATGATATGGTTTGGCTGTGTCCCCACCTAAATCTCATCTTGAATTCCCATGTGTTGTGGGAGGGATCTGGTGGTCTGGTGGGAAGTAATTGAATCATGGAGGCAGGTCTGTCCCATGTTTTTCTGGTGATAGTGAATAAGTCTCACAAGATCCGATGGTTTTATAAGGGGAAGTTTCCCTGCACAAGCTCTCTTTTTGCCTGCAGCCATCCATGTAAGACATGACTTGCTCCTCCTTGCCTTCTGCCATGATTGTGAGGCCTCCCAAGTCACATGGAATTCAGAGTCCATTAAACCCTTTTTTTCTGCATAAGTTACCCAGTCTTGGGTATGTCTTTATCAGCAGCATGAAAATGAACTAATACACCCCATCAGCTTTATAGTCAGAATAATTCCATTGCCATGGTATATGACATTCTAGGAATGAGCATTCCTAGTGACATGGGACTAAGTTCTTGAACATAAAAGGGGCAAAATTGCTTGAGTTTATCTACGATGCTTTCTTCAAAAGATCTTGATGAAAATGGGGGAATGTGAAATTAAATAATTCAAGCTTTATTAAATAATTCAAATGTAAAGTTGTTGGAACTTTAAATTATTCTGAGCCTTGAGAAGAATGTGTCCATGCAGCCTGAGTTACACGGCATACAACCACAACTTCTACGTTTTTTTCTCTATAAATAATTAGGAAGACCAAACAACACCAGAGATAAGAGCCCCATAGATCACTGCCTCTACTCAGATAACAATAAAGTAATCTTCCTTGGAATGCAGCAATCTGTAACTAATCAAATTGCTGTAATGTATGCACTGATCTCATCTAGAAAATGTTGTAATTCTGCAAAAGTTTCTCTGTCTCTGCCTATATAAGTGAAACTTTCACTTCTCCACTTTGGAATGCTAACCCCATTCATTTAGAATTGATGTTTCCTGGATGGTTATTCTCAAATTCTGCTCTCAAATAAGCTCTATACCTAATTATATTTTCTGAATCTCATTAAAGGTTGACATTTGAAACAAGAAGAACCATAAATACCCTAATGTCTCTTCATTGTTTTGTACTTCAGGATCATTGAAACTTAGGAAACACAAGCTTCAATGTGTTGAAATGACAAGCTAGCCATAGATCCTTCCAGTCAAAAAGACCAATAGTCTTGAAGGAGTCTAGATTAATGAACCTGAAAATTCTAGTATTATTTTGTGGTTTTTATATTTCAATCTTGGATTATGCAATTTATTAAAAATGGAACATTGGGTTTCACATATATACAAAAAGTAGGAAAATTAAATCAGATGATAAAGTTATAAATTCATTAAAAATGAAGAACTGGATTCATGATTCCAGTTGGTTTGTTTCAAGAAGATAGAATAAGAATACTTCTCAGATGTTTGAAAAAGTTTTGAGAAAAATTAAAAACACATTGGCTGGAGACGGTTCAATTTCCATAGCTGCGTTATATTGTGATTCAGTAACTGTGAGTCCTACAGTTATGGGCTGAATTGTTTCCCCCCAAAATTTGTATGTTGAAGCACTAATTCCCATTCCCTCAGAATGTGACTTTATTTAGAGACAGAGTCATTAAAGGGGTGATGAATCTACTAAAAGGCCATCATGGTTGGCCCTAATCCAATCGGATTGCTGTCCTTATAGGAAAAAGAGAGTTGAACACACAAACAGACACTATGAATGCACACACACAGAGAAAGACCATGTGAGGGCATCCCAAAATATGACACTGTGACATGCCAAACTAAAGAAGCAGCCTCAAATTCTCTCTGATCTTCTTCTCTCCCCTTCTCCATCCTTCCTCTCTCCCAAAACACAGGATAAGGCTGTTTTCTGAAGTTCCTATTAACTGCCTAGAAACCAGAACCCACAAAAGGAACACATCAGCTCCCTGTGATCTCAATATTTATGCAGAAGGGAAGACTGAGGAGTTCAATCACACCTAAACCAATTTTTTTACAAGATAAATATTTTATATTGGGCTTGGTCAAATTCCAAACAGAATCATTTACAAGTTAATTTCTGTCTGCTGGGTTTATTCATTTTTCCTGAAAATCATTTACCCCTACACTCTCCATCTCTCCTCTCCTCAGTGAAGTATTTAAGTGTCAACTATCTGGCCCTCCTTCGAGTTTTCTATGATGCCCATGCAAAAATGCACATGTAATAAATTTATCCTTTTCTCTTGTTAGCATATCTTTTGTTAAAGGAGTGTAGGTCATGACCCTTTGCAATGAAGAGTAAAAAGATCACACCCTTTTCACCACTATGCAGCCCTAGCAAATGAATACACCTACTTTTTTATGAAATTCAGATAACTGGTTAATGAAATTCAGATAACTGGTTAAGTGTTATATGTTTCAATGGTATTTGTCTCACTCTGCTTTCTGCTTCAGGGATATCATTTTGCCAAAGAAGTATAGGTTTTGTAGTAAGTATTTAACTGCAATTTCTCAGAATATCTTTTTTTCCATTTAGCACTATCATATATAGGTGCAGAAAGATCTTACCCTGTCAGCTCTGTCCCACTCCTTTAGCTATTCAGGGTCTCATTTCCTTTTCTTGAGTTTAGAAGTGACCTGGATGAGTGTCTGTAATGGAGTATATTATTGTCCATACGCATAACCAGAAAGATTTAAGGAATGTTGTACAGCATGAAACACAGCACATTTGCAAAGAGAAAGCTTCATTAGGTGTCAGTGAGAGAAATCATCTATGTAGCTTTTGGACATAGGAATGGGAGGTTCACAAGGTAGTGGAAGCTGGAGGCAACACTGTCTTCTCAGGGTCAACTACTGACTTTTCTTGAGTACAGATCTTCTTGTTTCTGGGCTATCTTCTTCAGATGGCATCTTTCTTTTTCTCATCCCATTCCCCTTATCTAACTTTCTTTGCAATGCATTCATTTCTCCCAGGATTGCCTTTTCATTCTTCTTTGCCTTTTGCTTCCTTTTACTCTTTCCTGAAAAGCAACTTTGTGTATTTTCTTAGTGGATTTTATAGAACCCACTGAATTCAGGGACTAAATTATTAGTAACCACACAGCTCAAAGACAGAGAGTGTTAGGTCTTCAAATCCTTAAAGGAATTGAAAATAATTACTTGGATTTCATTGTCTATTGCAGCAAATAAAGAGGGTAAAACCAGGAGATCAATTTACATATCAAAACAATCTTAACATTGCTATTCTGTATAAGTTTTTGCCTGTATGGTATAATTTCAGGAAAAAATAGAAAAATTCCTGCAATCTTGTTTTACATATTTTTCCTGCACTGACATTAAATGCTTCAATATATATCCCTTTGCAATATTTTCTTTTAATAGGCAGTGTTTTTGATTGGAGAAGAAAGGGAGAAAAGGAGAATTGGATAGTTAGCCCAACATTTCTAACTTCATAGTGGTAACAAATTTATCTGAATGGGTGGTTGCAAAGACAAGTGAGCTGTCAAAAGCTTGACTTACCTACTATCTCACATACACATGCACACACAAACATGGATATGTGTAGATGCATGTACACACACACACACACACACACACACCTACATGATTCCCTTCCATATACCTGAAACATCCTGAGTGAATAAAGTCCCTAGAGGCAAAAAGTCACCTTTCTGAGAAAACTGGAACTTCAAAGTTAACAATTCACACTTTTGCTACTTTGCTACTCACTATGCTGGCTGTGGTGTAAAGAAAAGTTCATAAAACTTTTCATAATAGAATTTGTGTTTGTACTTCCTCAAGCAATATCTGTGCAAACTGGGAGATAATTTATTAGAAGATTCAAACATAAATATTGCAAAATCACTGCCCACCATTGACAGGCTAGTCTCAGCTGCCTCCTACAGGATGGTGAGTATAGTATAGTAAGGAAGTTAAGCTTTCCTTAGTGAGGATATTCATTCACTCAACAAGCACTGAGCACTTACTAGGTGTCAGGCCCTGTTACTGGCAGAGACGCTACAGTAACGAAATACACAACATTCCTGGTCCAGCCTTGCTGGGTCCCCCCAAATTGGCCCACCCACCTAGTTTATTACCATTAAGCCATACCTCGTTCGGTCCAATCATGTTTCTCCAAAACTACTCATTCTTTCATTAGAATTAGCATTTGAATTAATATAAAAATATATTTTTCCTTGGTCTTTGGTTGTATATTTATGAAGACTTCCTGTGTCACTTAAGACTAGATCATGCCAGTATTTCCTATAGCTCAAGATTCTGCCTTTAACTGTGGCCATAAGAGAAATTTTGTAGTAAGATAGACATGTTTGCTTTTCACATGTCAAACTTAAAAGCTTAGGAAAAATCCCTAATAATAATTTTTTGGCCCATATGTTAGAATTATTTTTATTCATTATTTTTAAATTGACAAGCTGAAATTATATGTATGGTATACATTGATGTTTGAAATATACATACATTATAGAATGGCTAGATCAAGCTAATTAACATATGTATTGCATCACATACTTATTTTTTTGCAGCGAGAATACTTAAAATCTATTTTCTTGGTAATTTTCAAGTATAGAAAACCTTGTTGTTAACTACAGTCATCATGTTGTACAATTGACCTCTTGAATTTATTCTGTCTAAATATATACTTTTTTTGGAGATGGGGTCTTGCTCTGTTGCCCATGCTGGAGTGCAGTGGCGCGATCTCGGCTCACTGCTACTTCCGCCTCCTGGATTCAAGTAATTCCCTGTCTCAGCCTCCCAAGTAGCTGGGATTACAGGTGCCCGTCACCACACCCAGCTAATTTTTGTATTTTTAGTAGAGACAGGGTTTCACTATCTTGGCCCTCAGCATCCCAAAGTGCTGGAATTACAGGCATGAGCCACCGTGCCCAGCCATAAAATTTTGTATCCTTTGACTCCTAATAATCTTAACTACTGCCCAACTCATTAAACATCTATCATACATAAATTTATCTTACCATCATTGTAACCTTCTTATATTTTTCACTTGGATTACTATGTTTTTCTACATGCAAGTAAATATTTGACTAACCTTTACAAAAGACTTCGCTAAATTTATTTGTTATGCTTTTCCCTACCTTATTACCCTGACTTTCATTATAGGAGTGTCAGCGATGAACCCTGTGATGGCTGAGGAAAGGGATTACTTTTTCTCTCTTACATATGTGTGTCTGTGTGCGTGTGTGTGTATACACACACATGTATTTATATTTTAAGATAAAAATCATGCAATTCACCCACTTGAAGTCTACATTCAATGTTTTTAGTGTATTCAGAATCATGCAAACCTTATCACAACTTTTTAAAAAAATATTATCATCCCACAAAGAAATCTTATACACATTAGCAGTCATTACTCATTTGTACTCAATCTGCCCAGACCTAGGCAAACTCCAGTATATTTTCTGTCTCTTAAAAGTGACTATTTGGTCATTTCATATACATAAGGGTATAAAATATGTTTTTTTCATGACCAGTTTTTAATACCTAGCATAATGTTTTCAAGGTTCATCCTTATAGTATGTATCAGTAGTTCGTTCTTTCTTATTGCTGAATAATATTCTATTATGTGGATATAATAAATTTTATTTCTCCTTTTATAATTTGATGAACATTTGGGTTGTTTCTATTTTATTTTTTTGCTATTATGAGTAATGCTCCTGCAAATATTCACTGTATGTTTTTATGTGGATATAGGTTTCAAAATCTTTTTTTTATTATTATACATTAAGTTCTAGGGTACATGTGCACAACATGCAGGTTTGTTACATATGTATACATGTGCCATGTTGGTGTGCTGCATCCATTAACTTGTCATTTACATTAGGTGTACCTCCTAATGCTATCCCTCCCCACTCCTCCCACCCCACGACAGGCCCCGGTGTGTGATGTTTCCCTTCCTGTGTCCAAGTGTTCTTATTGTTCAATTCTCACCTATGACTGAGAACATGTGGTGTTGGGTTTTTTGTCCTTGTGATAGTTTGCTGAGAATGATGGTTTCCAGCTTCATCCATGTCCCTACAAAGGACATGAACTCGTCCTTTGTTATGGCTGCATAGTATTCCATGATGTATATGTGCCACATTTTCTTAATCCAGTCTATCATTGATGGACATTTCGGTTGGTTCCAAGTCTTTGCTATTGTGAATAGTGCCACAATAAACATACGTGTGCATGTGTCTTTATAGCAGCATGATTTATAATCCTTTGGGTATATACCCAGTGATGGGATGGCTGGGTCAAATGGTATATCTAGTTCTAGATCCTTGAGAAATCGCCACACTGTCTTCCACAATGGTTGAACTAGTTTACAGTCCCACCAACAGTGTAAAAGTGTTCCTATTTCTCCACATCCTCTCCAGCACCTGTTTTTTCCTGACCTTTTAATGATTGCCATTCTAACTGGTGTGAGATGGTATCTCATTGTGGTTTTGATTTTCATTTCTCTGATGGCCAGTGATGATGAGCATTTTTTCATGTGTATGTTGGCTGCATAAATGTCTTCTTTTGAGAAGTGTCTGTTCATATCCTTCCACTTTTTGATGGGGTTGCTAGTTTTTTTCTTGTAAATTTGTTTGAGTTATTTGTAGATTCTGGATATTAGCCCTTTGTCAGATGGGTAGATTGCAAATATTTTCTCCCATTCTGTAGGTTGCCTGTTCACTCTGATGGTAGTCTGTTTTGCTGTGCAGAAGCTCTTTAGTTTAATTAGATCTCATTTGTCTATTTTGGCTTTTGTTGCCACTGCTTTTGGTGTTTTAGACATGAAGTCCTTGCCCATGCCTATGTCCTGAATGGTATTGCCTAGGTTTTCTTCTAGGGTTTTTACGGTTTTAGGTCTTTAACTCTTTAAACCATCTTGAATTAATTTTTGTATAAGGTGTAAGGAAGGGATCCGGTTTCAGCTTTCTACATATGGCTGGCCAGTTTTTCCAGCATGATGGTTTATTAAATATTGAATCCTTTCCCCATTTCTTGTTTTTGTCAGATTTGTCAAAGATCAGATGGTTGTAGATGTGTGGTATTATTTCTGAGGCTCTGTTCTGTTCCATTGGTCTATATCTCTGTTTTGGTACCAGTACCATGTTGTTTTGGTTACTGTAGCCTTGTAGTATAGTTTGAAGTCAGGTAGTGTGATGCCTCCAGCTTTGTTCTTTTGGCTTTTGTCTTGGCAAAGTGGGCTCATTTTTGGTTCCATATGAAATTTAAAGTAGTTTTTTTCCAATTCTGTGAAGAAAGTCATTGGTAGCTTGATGGGGATGGCATTGAATCTATAAATTACCCTGGGCAGTGTGGCCATTTTCATGATTCTTCCTATCCATGAGCATGGAATGTTCTTCCATTTGTTTTGTGTCCTCTTTTGTTTCATTGAGCAGTGGTTTGTAGTTCTCCTTGAAGAGGTCCTTCACATCCCTTGTAAGTTGGCTTCCTAGGTATTTTATTCTCTTTGAAGCAATTGTGAATGGGAGTTCACTCATGATTTGGCTCTCTGTTTATCTGTTATTGGTGTATAATAATGCTTGTGATTTTTGCACATTGATTTTGTATCCTGAGACTTTGCTGAAGTTGCTAATCAGCTTAAGGAGATTTTGGACCGAGACGATGGGGTTTTCTAAATATACAATCATGTCATCTGCAAACAGGGACAATTTGACTTCCTCTTTTCTTAATTGAATACCCTTTATTTCTTTCTCCTGCCTATTGCCCTGGCCAGAACTTCCAACACTATGTTGAATAGGAGTGGTGAGAGAGGGCATCCCTGTCTTATGCCAGTTTTCAAAGGGAATGCTTCCAGTTTTTTGCCCATTCAGTATGATATTGGCTGTGGGTTTGTCATAAATAGCTCTTATTATTTTGAGATACATCCCATCAATACCTAATTTATTGAGAGTTTTTAGCATGAAGGGCTGTTGAATTTTGTCAAAGGCCTTTTCTGCATCTGTTGAGATAATCATGTGTTTTTTGTCTTTGGTTCTGTTTATATGCTGGATTATGTTTATTGATTTGCGTATGTTGAACCAGCCTTGCATCCCAGGGATGAAGCCCACTTGATAAGAAGAGTCTGGGAGGTAGAGAGGCTCCAGAAACAGCAGCTTCATTCACTGAGGCGCAGGGCTGGCCCCATGGGTGCTTTCAGGGGCTCTGGGAGTTTAGCCAGACCAACAAGCCCACTGCCAGTGCAGCAGGGCCCATGGGACAGCCTAGCACTTCTCTGGCTGGCTCAGGGAACTGCATCCAAGGTATATATCTAGGAGAGGACTTGCTGGATCATATGGTATCTCGCTGGTTAATCTTTCAAAAAAAAAAAAAACAGTAGACTGTTTTTCAAAGTGATTGCACCATTTTATATTCCCATCAACAATGTATGAGAGTTTCCATTTTTCTACCTCCTTACTAATGCTTGTTATACCCTGTTTTGGATTACAGCCATCCTATTGAGTGAGAAGTACTATCTCATTTTGGTTTTGATTTGCATTTCTCTCCTGGCACATGACAGTGAGCATCTTTTCATGTACTTATTGGCCATTTTTGTATTTTCTTTGGTGAAATGTGTATTTAGATCCTCTGTCCATTTTAAATTCGGTAATTTGACTTTTTATTATTGAGTTGTAAGAGTTTTCATATATTCTAAGTAAAAGCTGCTTATAATATGTGATCTGCAAATATTTTTTCCAAGAATTTATTAGTAATGTAACCTGTGAGGCTGTGTATGTAGGAACCAAAAGATCTCTCTCCATGTTCCAGATTTAAGGGTAAGGTGCCTGTGACATTTTTTCCAACATATCCTTTTGGGGTTTGGACAGGGTTTAATATATTATTGCAAGAAAATTAAAAGAATTAAGTGAGCTAACATTTTACAGTAAAACATTTCCCTGTTGTTGTTTTATGTTTCTCTTTGGCCAAGCGCCTAAGCTTATGTCACACTTTGAAGAGTTTCTGCGTATGTCTAAAATCAGGGCAGTAAGTTTAGGGCTGTGGGTCACCTCATCTCAATTCAGAATGTGGATCTTGGCTTCTTCTTGAAATAAACTCAAACCTTACGGGTCAATGGTTGGGTCAGCAGCTAAGGCTTTCTCAAAGATGGCCTATTAGTGAAGAGGTCAGCCTGTTTACATTGATGGAAGCATAAATCCTGTCTTGAATAATTAATTCAATTATTCATAATGCATGGTAAAAGGGTGAAGCTCCAGGAAGATACAGCATTTCCCAGCAGCTCTCCCCGGCAGTGCTGATGTCAATAAGGAGGAGATGAAGTGACAAGACTCATGTAAATAATGGGAAAACAACAAAAATCCTTAAGAAAACAGCACTATTCACTTAGCAACCATGTGCTTGCAACCCAGTCTTTCTGTTCTTAAAAGTTCACCAGCAGGATCTAATTGTTCTAAAATGGAAATTCCAATAGTGAGAAATAGATGCCTTTTTGAAAATAGTGTCTTTTGAAAAGTAGTACAACCTTAGTAAAATCCAAACATATAATTGAAAGTAAAAAGAAGTTATGCTTACAGTAATAAAGGAATGACCTTTGGGTGCCTGTGTATTGTTTTAAGAAGAAAGAATAAAAAGGAATATAGTGTTGTATATCTCTCAATCTGCCTTCTGATTAATTTTAGGTAAGTCTAGTTGATCAAAGAACAAATATGAGAATGTACATACTGTATTTTATTTTTCAGTCTCTTGATAGATGGACAGATGGATTTAAAGAATAACAAAACAGTGTAAGAATCCTTATCTGTTTCCTTCTTATTAATTGATGCAAAAATTTTTAGAAAAAAATCAAAATAGGAAGTGAAGGAAGATGGAAGAGGAGAGAGGGAGTGTAAGAGGGATTAAGTTGGGGAGGCAGTCAATGAATAAAAAAATCTTAGAAATAGGCAGTGAAAGAAAAAAATATTTGCAGATGTGCCATGTATTCGAATCTTCAAAAGAACTTTTTGGAGTAGATCTTACTGAAACATTTCAGATACAAGGCTCAAGTTCAGAGAGGTTAAGTAACTGGATTTAAGTTCACAGCTAATAAGTACATGGGTCTCATTGTCCTATGAGGGAGACTCAGGGTAGACTCTGTAAGCACCAATCCAGGTGGAATGCAACAAGCATTGATTTTCCTAAGTGCTATATGGCCAATGGCCTTTAGTGCTTGCTGAGGTTTCACATTGAGACAATCAGAAATACATTCCCCACAGGACCTCTTCTGTACAGTAAACATGTTTTCTGTATTTATCTGCTCTCTTCAGTATTTTTAAACCATACCCTGATTTCTATATCTGCCTGTCCCATAAATTTCTGTCTTTAATGACTTTCAAACTGTGGGACATTTGAATGTGATAAATCAGTGGATATGAATGTAAATGTATATGTATTTATGTGTATACACACACATAGTGTGTGTGTGTGTGTGTGTGTGTGTGTGTGTGTGTGGTGTTGTTGGATGGGGAAATCCCTCTAATATCAACTTTCTTGGCCATTGTGCAGAATTTTCCAGAGGAAACAAAGTATAGTAGTTAAGAATATAAATTCTGGATTTTTACTTCTTGTGTGTCAATCCCTCTCCACCGTTATTAACTATGTAATCAGGGCAATTATTTAACCTCCCAGCATTCAGTTTGCTCATCCACAAAACAGAGGAACATGAACGAAGATTAGTGAATGTCTTAGAATAATGCTGTGTATGTAACAAGAACTCTTTTATGTTGGCTAGTTCTACTCCGTGATGAACTGCAATGAATCACTAACTTATGTACTCAACTGTACTCTGGCTTTCCCCAATCTCTTCTCCACACTACGGTCAGTGAGACCCTCTCTTTAGGTAAAATCACTCTTCAAGATAAGGCTGTAAATGGACTGTAAAGCTCTGCATTGTCATAGTTAGGATCAATCTAATTTGACGAATCCTACTCATAGTCTCTCATTCATTCCACCACAGCCCATCTGATTTTTCTCTATTTCTTTAGTGCTCATATCAGTCAGGGTTTTTCAGAGAAACAAAACCAATAAGTCGGAGGAGGAGAGATATTTGAGCAATTGTCTTATTCATTTGATTATGGAGGCTGAGAGTCCCATGATATGCCATCTGCAAGGTGGAGGTCTGGGAAAATTAGTGGTGTAGTTCCGGTCCAACACTGAAGACCTGAGAAACAAGGAGGCAAATACATAAGTCCTGTTCCAAATCTGAGGGCTTGACGATGAAGAACAGCCAATGTTCAAGGGCAAGAGAAGATGGATATTCTATCTTAAGAAGAGAAAATGAGTTTATACTTCCTTTCTCTCTATGTACTATTTGGACTCTCCATGGATGGATGATACTGGCCCACACTGGTGAGGATGATCTTTTTTTACTCAGTCTACTGATTTTCATGCTAATCCTTTCTGGAAAGAGCCTCACAGCCACATCCAAAAATAATGTTTTTCCAGCTATCTGGGCATCCCTTAGCCCAGTCAAGTTAACTCATAAACCTAACCATCATAGTGCTGCTTTATATGTATCTTTGCTCTTCCCTGAAAGCTCTTCTCTTTCTCATTACATAGTAATATTCTGCTGGCTTTTCAGAGTTCAAGAGTACTTTCCTCAGGGAAAACTTTATTTTTTTAATAGATAAAATTTATCCTTCCTATTTTTAATAGCACCTTGTATTTCTTCTACATAAAATGTTCACTGTTAAAATTTTACAGTTTTTAAACTCAGTGAGTTACATAATGGCTACCTCTCTCATTAGACTAAAAGATCCATGAGGCCAAGGACTATATTTTTTTGTGTTCACCAGTGTATCCTGGAATCCTAGTGATATGCGTTCAGTAAATAATTGTCAAATAAAAGAAAGAGAGAAGGGAGAAAAAAGAAGAGAAAAAAAGAAGATTGTGTAAGTTAGGCAAGGGAATTTGATTTTGTAGTTGAGACATTGAGGGTTCATAACAGGACTGATTTAAAAACCTCATGGCAGACCAGATATGGTTGCAGTATAGAATACAGCATGAGAAATCTTGGTATTGGTACTTGAGAAGAAGAGAGTAACTGAGAAAAGAAAAGTCAAGATGAGGGTAGAGAGACCCCAAAATGAACTTCACTGACATCAGAGTTTGAACTGATAGCAGCATATGCACTACCTAACACAGATGAATAAGATAAAGTAAGTTGCAATATTTTCTTGGATGACCCCTACAAATAAAATTCAGATTTTAATTTTCTTGCCAGGATCTCTAAAGTCCAGCCAAGGCCCCTTTGCTAGCCTTTTTTCAAAGGTAACTTTGCTACCTTTCACCTTGACCTCGAACAGCTCAGTCATTCTGAGGTAGGAGCAGGTTGGAATACAGGCATACCCCATTGAATCTGTGCTTTACTTTATTGCGCTTCTCAGATATTGTGTTCTTTACAAATTGAAGGTTTGTGGCAATCCTGCATCAAGTGAGTCTATTGCTGCCAGTTTCCAACAGCATGTGCTCACTTCATGTCTCTGAGTCATATTTTGATAATTCTTGCACTATTTCAAACTTCATTATTTTTACACCTTTTACAGTAATTTGTGATCAGAGATCTTTGAGGTTACTATTGTTATTGTTTTGGGGCACTATGAATCACACCCATATAAGAAAGTAAGCTTAATTTGTTAAATGTTGTATGTGTTCTGGATGCACCATTGACCAGCCATCTGCCTATCTCTCTCTCCTTGGACCTCTCTATTCCCTGAGACATAACAATATTGAAATTAGGTCAGTGAATAACCCTACAATTGCCTCTAAGTGTTCAAGTAAATGAAAGAGTCACAGGTCTCTCATTTTAAATTAAAAGCTTGACATAATGAAGCTTAGTGAGAAAGGCATGTTGAAAGCTGAGGCAGGCTGAAAGCCAGCCCTTTTGTACCAAATTGTGAGTGCAAAGTTTAGGCAAATTGTGAATTCAAATGAAAAATACTTGAATGAAATTAAATGTGCTACTTCAGTGAACACAGGCATAATAAGAAAGCAAAACAGCCTTGTTGCTGATCTGGAGAAAGTTTGGGTTGTCTGGATTAAAAAAAAATCAAACCAGCCACAACATACGCTTAAGCCAAAACCTAATCTAGAGAAAAACTCCTTCTTCAATTCTATAAAGGCTGAGAGAGGTGGAGAGGCTACAGAAGAAAAGTTTGAAGCTAGCAGAGATTGGTTCATGAGGTTTAAGGAAAGAAGTCACGTCCATAACATAAAAGTGCAAGGTCAAGCAGCAAGTGTTGATGTAGAAGTGACAGCAGGTTATCCAGAAGATCTACCTAAGATAATTGATGAAGGTGGCTACACTAAGCAATAGATTTTCAAAGTAGGTTAAAGAGCCTTCTATTGGAAGAAGGTGCCATCTAGAACTTTTATAACTAGAGAGGAGAAGTCAATGCCTGGTTTCATAGCTTTAAAGAACAAGTTGACTTCCTTGTTAGGTGTTAATGCAGCTGCTGACTTTGAGTTGAAGCCAATGCTCATTAACATTCTGAAAATTCTAGAGCTCATAAGAATTATACTAAACCTACTCTGTTTGTGTTCTATAAATGGAACAAACCAGGATGACAGCTTATCTGTTTACAGTATGGTTTCCTGATATTTTAAGCCCACTGTTGAGACCTACCACTCAAAAAAAATTATTCATTTCAAAATATTACTGGTAAATGACAATGTACCTGGTCACCCAAGAGCTGTGCTGGAGATGTGTACGGAGGTTAATGTTATTTTTCTGCCTGCTAACACAACATTTATTCTGTAGCTAGTGGATTAAGAAGTAATTTTGACTTTCAAGTCTTATTACTTAAGAAATACACTTTGTAAGGTTATAGCTGCCATAGACAGTGATTCCTCTGATGTATCTGAGCAAAGTAAATTGAAAACCTTCTGAAATGTATTCACCATTTTAGATATCATTAAGAACATTCATAATTCATAGGAGGAGGTCAAAATATCAACATTAATAGGAGTTTGGAAGAAGTTGATTCCAACCCTCATGGATGACTTTGAGGAGTTCAGCATTCCAGTGAAGGAAACAACTGTAGATATGGAGAAAATAGCAAGAAAACTAGAATTAGAAGTGGGGCCTGAAGATGTGACTGAATTTCTGCAATCTTATGATCATATTTGAATAGATGAGGAATTATTTCTTATAGGTGAGCAAAGAAAGTGGTTTCTTGAGATGGAATCTACTCTTGGTGAAGAAGCTTTCAACATTGGTGAAATGATAACAAACGATTTAGAATATTACATAAACTTAGTTGATAAAGCAGCAGCAGGGATTGGGAGGATTGACTCAATTTTGAAAGAAGTACTGCGGGTAAAATGCTATCAAATGGCATCTCATGCTATAAACCAATATTTTGTGAAAGAAATAGTCCATCAATGGGGCAAACTTCATCGTTGTCTTATTTCCACAACCACCCCAACCGTCAGCACCGGATCAGCTAGCAGCCATCAACATTAAGACAAGACTCTCCACCAGCAAAAAGATTAAGACTCGCCGAAGGCTTAGATGACTACTAGCATTTTCTAGCAATAAAGTATTTTTTCATTAATATATGTATATTTATTTGACATAATGCTATTGCACACGTTTTAATAGACTACAGTGTAAATATAACTTTTATATGCACTGGAAAACCAAAACGATTGCGTGACTTGCTTTATTATGATATTCAATATTTGATTTATTGTCGTGATATGAAACTGAACCAGCAATATATTTGAGGTATGCCGGTAGATGATTTTCTAATCCAATGTGTTAGTTTTATAAAAGGCTCTAAACACAAGTTCCATATGTTTTGGGACAAAATAGTCTGATCTGATTTATTCTGATTTTCCTCCAGAAAATAGCTTCAACCAGAAAAAAAAAATCAATCTCAGTATTCTCTAAAGGATAAACATAAAAAGAATATTAAAATGAGTCCAAAAATTATATATGCATTATACCTTTGAAAAAGCTCAAGCCAAGAAATATAAAAATTTGCTAAATTTCCCACAGCTAATCATAGCAAGTCTCCTAACGTCTAGTCCAAAACCAAATCTTATACACCAAAATAGCTCTTTTAGCAATTTAGAAAAAAGTGAAGGCTTATGATACTGGTTCTTATTTATGCCACAATGCTGATGCCTGAACATGTAGAAAAAACACTAAAAGCCACACCTGAGACACAAAGATGCTTCTACACTTTACCTGCTTTATGTTCATTTCCTCTCCCCTTTTATCTCATCAACTTTATTAGGTTAAAACACCACTTACCAGCTTTCTCTAAATGACTCCCTATGTCTGGAGTTTGGTGGCTCCTTGAGATGCATAGGGCTTGGCTGGATATATGTGCTTTAGATGCAGGTCTGTAAACTTTTTCTGCAAAGGGTCAGATAGTAAATGGTTTTTGCTTTTTTGGCCATACAGTCTTTATTACAACTGCTCATGCTACAATTACTCAACTCTGCTACTTCAGTGAGAAACAATCTATAGGCAACATGTAACCCAATGGAAATTTATTTACTGTTAAATGATGCTTTTTTTTAAAGAATAAAAATGACTCATAGATAAAAATGAACATGAGTTAAAGATTTTATTTAACTCATATGAGAAAATCAGATATTACAACCAACTCAAAGCAGAAGTCAAGAAACAGACACATTTATTGATCAAGATATTACAATGAATCTGCCAATAAAAGGAAAACTGGCTCTTCCACAAGGAGAAAGGAAGTATGTCCCTCCACTGGACAAAATTTTTAGTTGCATATCTATACATAAGAATTATTTTTGCCTTTCTCTCAGTTACTTACAATCTAGAGTTATGAAATAGCTTTCATAGTATCCAAAATTAGAAGAGTGTACTATTAACAGTGCCGAGCTTTTCACTGAAATACCCTTCATTACAAAAACAGATGGAGGGCCAGAGCCTCCTTTGTTTACCACTGCCCTAAATGAACTGAAGGAAATCAAAGAAAGGTAACAGCCTTTTCTTCTCAGCTAAGAATCTGCGAAGGAAGAGAGAAGAGCATTTCTACTTATTAATATTGCAGAAAAAATAATCAAAACAGCATTAGAGTGGACTCTGTGGCAGGAGTTAGTTGTGAACAATTGCGAATGCTGTAACCTTCCAACAATGTGCATGCCACTTCAAAGTCTGGGACCCTGAGCTCTGTAAGCATTAAAGAGTGAAAATATTAACTACCTATTTTAATTCTCTTGAGTTTCCTGGGGATTCGACAAGCAAGTGGATATGAAAGACTCGGAAATAAATAAAGCACACGAATAATTATACAAAGAAACCATGCACATAAAGCTGTGATTTAAATTGCTAGGCTGGTGACTGATGGCTTCAAGCTTCTTATTCTAGCTTCATTTCAATTTGTTCCTCATCAGTACCTGCCACCTAGGTAATTTGGGAGCAGATGGCAAGAGGAATGGAGGATGTTCCATTCAAAACTGCCGCCTACCTGCCTCTCACTCTGGGCCATGAAAGCCTCCCTGCGTACTCTCTAATCCCTCATCACTAGCCCAGAAAAGTGATCTTTATTGCTCATGATATAACCCTTATTGCCTAATTAGAAGCGCTGGAAAGCAAGTGGGAGATGACTTCACTGGAGATCATTAGGAAATAATATATCAGGTCTTGTTTAATTACAACTAAATTACTGCCACATATTATTGAACAGAACCTTGCTGGAATGATGGAGGGTAGCAGAAGTCTCTGTCTTCTACTGCTCCAAGATCCACATTAGTGGGAAGGGGGGTTTTGCTCATTTGGGTTGGAGCTGCAATATACACATTGGCAAAAGGTTTTATCTAACCGTGACTCTTTTATCACCAGATAATGTAATCAGTGTCACATGCCATTCAGTGAGACACTCTTCGCAGTTGCTAAAGGCTCTAGTAGGGGGAAAATGCTGATTTTCATTGTTGGCAGTTGCTTCTGAATGGCATAGATAAACATCTCACTCATGATCTCTAACTGCTTAATTGCTGGACATAATGTCTTGCACTAAAAGAGAGGACAGAAAGGATTAAACAAGAAGATAAACTCCTTTCAGGTATAAGGCAAAAACAGGAGTCTTCCTTCTTTAGTCATTTTCCTACTTAGTAGAATAACATATGTTTGCTTGTTATTTGTAAATTTATATTGATAAATTTGACAAGTATGTATTGCATGTCTAATACATAGTTAATTTCATTTTAAACTTTGTAGGGAATACAGAGTTGAATAAGACCTAATCCGTATGTACCAGGGGCCTACACTCACACAAAGGAGATAGAATGTATGCAAATATTTACACTATGAGGTGAACAAATGTTTAGAAGAGCATTTCAGATTATAAAATTTTCACTGAGGAGTTGAAAATTAGGATAAATTAAAAAATATAATTTAGACATGAAATGACTAGAAAAAGAGCGTTAGAGATAAAATGGATATTGCAAACAAAAATATACAGATCTGAGAACAGGGATCATGAATAAGAAACAAAATAAATGCAGTTTAGACTTACTGAAAGAATAACAAGGAATAGATCAAAGGCCAGATGTGGCATAATATTTTTAATGAACTATTGTTTTTCTTTTAGATTGCCCAGCATTTCTTAAGCTGTTACAACCACATACTGAATTCTTTCAGATAATTACCTATCGTACATAAAGTAATGAGGCTTTATGAAAATCAAGGGGCATTGCTCTCCCCTACTCAAAGTATTGCTAGGTACTCCAAGTTGATTAAAGAAATTCTCTAAGATCTTTAAATCACTGACTGATTGATTGATTGACAGAGTCTTGCTTTTTTGCCCAGGCTGGAGTGCAGTGGTGTGATCATATCTCACTGCAAACTCAGGCCACTGGGCTCGATAAACGCTTTTGTCTCAGCCCCTTGAGTAGCTAGGACTACAGGTGCACAGTGCCCAGCTAATTTTTATTTGTTGTAGAGAAAGGGTCTCGCTATATTCCCCAGGCTGGTCTTGAATTCCTGATCTCAAGCAGTCCTCCTACCTCAGCCTCCCAAAGCACTGGGATTACAGGTGTGAGCCACTGAGCCTGGCCCAGACTTTTAAATCTTGAGCAGAGTGGCAAAGGACTTAAATATTGTCCCAAAACCTGATCCTTGGCCCTGGCTCCTAACTAATTTATTCAGTTTTCAAGGCTGGATTTCCTACAGGCTGTCCATTTTGTTGCTAGCCTTTACCTTGATTTACTAAGTTCTCTTTTCAATAAAATTATTCATGAATTGCTTATAACCAACTCATGAACTATCATATTTTATGGAGACCCTAAATGCTATTCTATAGAAGACTTCTACTTCCATATACCAAAATTTTTGAGCAAAGGTGCAATGTTTCAAATACAGGATTCTGGAATCAGTAGAAAATGTATGTTGTTTGGAAGCAGCAAGGAAACCAGAGAATAGGTATATCAATTAGGTCATAGTTTGAGCTACTATACAAAAAAATAAACAATAATTTAAGAATTTGATTTCTATCTCATTAACAAATCTGTAGATGAACTGTTCAGGTTGGCAGGATACCTCTGCTCCAGAAAGCATTTTAGGGACACAGGTTCCTTCAATTTTTAGCTCAGCCTTCCTCTAGGGTGTTGTCCTTGTCTGCATGGTGTAATTTATGTCAAATCCACACTCAAGCCTATGGGCGGGGGGGGGCAAGGGTAAGTAGCTGTCTCTTTCAATAAGTGATTGAGAAGTTACATAGTTTACTTCTCTTTATAGCTCATTGACAAGAACATAATCACATGAGCCTTCCCAGCTATAACAGGGCTGATTATAAATACATTCTTTAGGTAGACAGTCATGGGCCCAACTAAAACTTAGTAGTTCTTGCATGATAGGCAAATGGTCCCATTGACAGGTAATAAAGGCATAAATTAGGTGCTGGCAGTAAAAATGGAGAGAAAAGGGAGAGATATTAGAGATGTAATCACCTGAATGTAGTATTTAGGATTAGATATGGTGCAAGAATGACAGAATTAAACATTAAAAGTTAAAGATAAAGCCTGGATGACTTTGGAGATTACTGATACATTTTTTAAAACAAATGTTCCCAAGGACTTTGAAGGAAAAATTCTATTTCCTTTTGATTTTAATATTTGTGGAGATGTTCCAAATGTTTTGAGCCCTGTTAAAAGATAATTGTCAGAACAAAGATAAAGTCATGACTCATATATATAAAATGACACATTTCCAAGGTTTGACTTAACTCATTAATTACAGGAGAGAACCAGAAAAAAAAAATAACTAATTCAAAAGAGAATCCAAAGAACAGTCACATTTATAGATCAGGAATATTGAAATGAATTTGCAAATGAATGTAAAACTGGTTTCTTCTAGAGTGGGTAGAGAAGTGAACTGAACCTATACTAGACACAATTTGTTTGTCTCTCAGTGTTCTGTAAGATACCTTTTACCTTTACATGGTTGTAAAATATAGCCTTGTCAAAGACAAAAGCTCTCATCTCTTAAAATCAGACAATCTGCAGAGGCTCCATCATTCCGTTAAAAAGTTGTCCAGTAATCTCATTTGCTTAATTTCAGTCTTAAATTTCTCCTCACAGTCTTAAGAAATAAGTGAAGTATTAAAGTAGCTATTATAAGACTTTGTGTTTAAGGTACTTGATACCTGTATTAGGAGAAAGTCTGGGGGCAGTGAAATCTAACAACTATTAATTAACACTTCAATACGTGGTGTTTTTCCACACTATATGCTTTTCACAGATGTACGCAAACTAGCAGTTTGAAGGGATTTCTGGGCAAGAACTGAAGAATAAAGTACAATATAGCTAGATATTACTGAATTGAATCACTATTTCTTCTCCTCATACAATAAATATGCAATATTGCAGCAAAAGCTATCCATTATACCTATTTTAGAGCACCCCATTTATGTCATTTAATGGAGGAACAACAGAATGACTCGCAGGTAGCCTGGCCATAGGCAGTGCTGACATGTGGTGGTTTGAGAGTCACCAAAGAGTTCTGTGTGGTAGTCTTTTTCATGTAGAGAAGTTCCCTCTCCGGAACCTGAAGTTTTGCCATCACCAATTATAAAGAAGTTGAGGAGTCCCTGTCAAACACTAGTTACATACAAAGCCAGTGTTAGGCTTTGAGGCTTTAGTTTAAGTATGTAACCTATCCTTCACAGAAAGCAAGACCACAGAAGAGCTGGATGTGGATAGAACATCTAGACCAGGAAGAACTCAGCCTGGAGGAGTATGGGAGAAACACAGCAACGGAAAACCTGGAACATGCAGAGTACTCTTGTAAGTGCTAGTACCCATAAGCTCTCATGATTTTTAAAGAAAGGCAAACTCAACTTGAGGCCGCTTCTAGAAGAATAATCACTGTTTTCTGGAACTTAGACTTTTTGATCCAGGTGCTCTTACATTAGAATGTAAAGGCAAAATCCTAACTGCAGACACATTTATCTCTTCACTTTCTCTAATATGTATTACAGCTGTTTCATGATGACAAATAAACCACACAATGAAACAGATTTATGCTGCCAAGAAATCACGATCACCAACATCAATTCCGTTTTCAACAAAGTCCCACAAACTCACTGTGATCTTTTGCTAATTCATTCTCTCTTTCTATCCAGTGCCTATTTTGACTTTTACCACTCCCCTTTACAGAGAAACCAGACACCATTTAGATAGGAACCCCAACAATTTTCTGCAAATCCCATTTTCAAACCTAGATTTTCCAATTATGTATGTATATATATACATCCATATATATCCATATATATACATCCATATATATCCATATATATATATCCATATATATACATCCATATATATCCATATATATATCCATATATATATCCATATATATATTCATATATATATCCATATATATATCCATATATATATTCATATATATATCCATATATATATCTCTATATATATCTATCCATACATATATCTATCCGTATATATATATATAGATATATATATGGAAGCTGACATAAAGATTCAGTCAAAACATCTCTTCTCACACTATTCTCTCTCTTTATTCTCTCATATATTCTGTGGTCATGCCTTCAGTTATCCTATTATATATTGTTGTCTCTCAAATTTAAATATTTTGTCCAGTAACAACTTTTGGATCACTAGACATATTTAGTAAACTAACTTTAAGGAATCACTGCTTAGATGGTTATCTCAGCATCAACATCAAAATTTAAGCTCATAATATCTTTCCCTAACAAACTTCTCAATTTGCACATTCATCAGTCTTCCTACTAAACAGGCATATTTTCCAAGTTCAGCTAAAGATACAACTATTCTAATCAGATTTTCCTCATATCCAACCAATTTATACCCCATTAAAAAAATCCTAAATACAACTTTAATGTCTACACTGTTCTCTAGTTCACTGAAATAGAACAAATGACCAGAATTCCTCATGCAAATCATCAAGATGTCAGATACCATCCCCTCTCCACTCTTCATATGGTTAGGAAGAACTCATGCTATTCTCCTGCTGAAGACTCTCAAAATCCATTGACTCTACCTGAAAACCCCAAAGCCTTAATGTGGTTTTTAAGTTAGTGAAGGAATGGAGATCAGTGATTACCTGTGTGGGACCTGACTCCTCCTTCCTGAGCTCAGACTCTAAGCAAATGTCTACCCCATCTGGGTCCCAGATTTTGATTGCTTCCAAAAGAAGTTTTCTCCAGGTAAACAATGAGTTTATGGTCTTAGAAAGAGGAGAGAGAACATAAAAGGAGCAAATAATTATTAAGAAATCTGATTTCATGTTTGAGAAATCAAACATTATGAATTATTAAGAAATCTGATTTCATATTTGAGCGAAGGTAACCTAACCTAAGCTGTGAGTGACTGATTTAGAGAGAGAAAGAGACAGGGAGAAAGAGAGATACTGTGTGGTGACCGCTTTGAGAGATCAAAAGAGAAGATATTCTTTGTTACACCACTCTATTCTATCTTGGTTAGCAGAGTCTCATGTACACTTCTTCTAAAACAAGGGTAATACTATTGACCTCACCCACTCCCTAAGGACAATAAATTTGGTCACTTGCTAATGATAGCCCTTAATACATTTTCCAACTCCTTCCATTCTTTAAATTCTCCCTTCTCATTTAATGCTATATTGCTTCCCTATCTTTCTTGTAAGTTGAAATGTTTTTCATGACTCTTTTGAGGTATAATTTGCATATCATAAAGTCACCCATGTGAACTTTAGCAAATGTATCAAGTCGTGCAACCATCACTATAATCAATTTTAGAACATTTAATCGCCTCAGTAAGATTCCCCATACCCCTTGCAGTTAATCCCCCATTTCGTCCCCAGCCCCAGGCAACCACTAATCTATTTTCTGTCTTTATAGATTTGCCTTTTCTGGACATTTCATATGAATGGATAGAATTGTACAATATGTGGTTTTTATGGCTGGCTTATTTCACTTAACATAATGTTTTTGAGGTTTATCTTTGTGGTAGCATGTATTAATAGTTTATTCATTTTTATTGCTGAATAGCATCCTACCATATAAAAGATGTGCCACACTTTTTGTAGCCATTTTCCAGTCAATAGATATTTGAGTTGTTTCCACTTTTTGTCTATTATGAATAATGCTGCAATGGAAGCTAACATAAAAGGTTTTGTTTAAAAATCTGTTTTTATCTGGGTAGATACCTAGGAGTGGAATTGCTAAGTTATATGTCTAAATTTTTAAGAAACTGGTGAACTGTTTTCCAAAATGGGTGACCCATGTTTTTGTCAGTTGAATTTTATCTTGAAAATAAGCAAACAGACACACACAAAAAAATGTTCTTTACTCCAAAGCTTTAATGTGGGGAGAAAGAAAAGTTTGTATTTATTTTATTTTAAATATGTATTTAAACTTTAAATCTGTATTAAATCTATACTTCTTTTAAAACAATATTAATTGTAAACTAAGCTACTGAGTTAGTAAGAGGGTTGGGTGAATATAGGTGGGGTGATATAGCGGGGAGTTTGGAGAAACACTATATGAATCAATTCTATGTCATTATCCAATTTTAGAAACTTTAATTTTTGATTTTTTTTTCTTAGAATTAAGAATGAATGGTTGAAACACATTGGCTTCAATTTACCAGTGGCTCTTGCTGCCTGCTTTTTTGTGTTGAGAAAAATTTTGCATCTAGATCTTTGTGCAGGCTCAATGGAAAGAAGGACGCTGATTGATGAGTCTGCACTGATCAGTGAGAAGGGGGTTGTTTTATTATTTGGCTATTTATTTACTTTCCAGTACTGAGGGTTAATGTGTTTCCTCTTAGAAAAAGAAGCATTGAATGAAAACCAATTAAAAAATCATCAAATAACAGATAATTTTTGTTCCACAAGAATGAATTTCTAGTGGTTAATTTCAGGCAGAATTATGGTAGTGTTGGGTCAGAGCCTCCTTAAAAATATGCTTCACCTCAAATCATGTGAGTCAACATTTTTCAGTTTTAGGTATTAATTTTAACCAATATAATCTGTGATTTTTAATCCAAAAACGTGGTTTTCTGCTTGCCTTCCACTTGGATCTGCCTCATCTCCTGCATGTTTATTTCTGCTTAACCTTTGCATGACAACATTAACCAAAGGGGGGTTTTAGGAGCACAATATGCATATAAATTTTTTGTGTGTGTGGTGGGGAGTCAGCCAAAATCACAGATTTCCAGCCTTACACAATAGAAGATCTTCAATTTGACCAGCCCTTCCCACCCACTGTGGTGAGTATTCTCTTTTACAGCCATCAGCGTTCTCAAGGCAGCTGAATATGAGTCTGTAATTACAAGGGAAACAATGGCTCCAGGGCAGGAAATGTGCATGAAATATAATGCAGCTGAGAGCAGCATTAGCCCAAAGTGCTCTAATGGTTTTAGGACCTCACCAGGTGGTAAGCCATCTCCCTGGGTTTTCATTTCCACCCACCATTTGCCAGGTAACCTTTGCCCAGTCACTTACCTTCCCAGGGTGCTGTCCTCAGAAGGCATTATGGGATTGGTCATTTGCTGGCCTGGCAGGGGGATCTCCCAGCTGGATGAGGTCATGCAGACAAAGCTTACAGAAAGTGGTAAGCCTTCATTATATGGGCAGAAACGGAGCGGCAGTGGGAGGAAGGTCTACTTCAAAGCTGAGTCTACATGGAGGGAGAGATGGTGATTAGATGGTGAGACTTGAAGGGCCCTGGATAAAGCTTTCCTGTCTCTGTGTATCACCAGTAGTATGGCTTTTCTCAGTGGGAAAAACTGATGCAGTTGAATTATTTCCCTACTAAAAAGCATGAATAATATGTAACAGAAGGAAGAACATTTTGTAAATCCCCTCAGCATTTTTCCAACTTAAGTGTGTATGTGAATTACTGGGACATTTTGTTAAAATGCAGATCCCAATTCAGTAGCTCTATGGTGGGGCCTGAGATTGTTTTTTGTTTTTTTTTTCTTTCTTTTTTTTTTTTTTTTTTTTGAGTCAGAGTCTCGCTCTGTCGCCCAGGCTGGAGTGGAGTGGCGCGATCACGGCTCACTACAAGCTCCGCTTCCTGGGTTCACGCCATTCTCCTGCCTCAGCCTCCCTAGTAGCTGGGACTACAGGCACCCGCCACCACACCCAGCTAATTTTTTGTATTTTTAGTAGAGACGGGGTTTCACCATGTTAGCCAGGATGGTCTCGATCTCCTGACCTCGTGATCTGCCCGCCTCAGCCTCCCAAAGTGCTTGGATTACAGGCGTGAGCCACCGCGCCCAGCCCAGAGTTTCTGTATTTCTAACACGCTCCAAGGTTAGCCAGTGCTGCTGGTCATAGGATCATATTTTGAATGGCAAGTCTCTACCATATACTCCTCCTCGTTTTTTTGTGGGGTGAAGAAATGAGACCCAAAGTGGTACAGTGATTTAGTCAAGACATCAGAGGTACCTTTACTGGCAGGATGACTCTAGCCCCTGGGTCTCCTCAAATTCTTTCCCTAACCCCAGCTCTCCTCATAGGAGCAACAGGAAGCAGCAGCAGGAGCACTTACAGAAGGCGATATGGTGGCTGAATAGATACAGGCCCTAACAAGATATGATTTCAGCAAACAGGAAAAAAGGGGACAGATTAAGGAATGGATTATATGCTTTAGTGAACATTCAGCCTGCTGAGGAGTGTTACGAGCTGAGTATTCTACCTTCAATTAGCAGCCAATTTGGAGTAAATAATTTTGCTTCTATGCTGCCACTACTCTCAGTTATATTGCCAGGAAGTCTAGAACGATCTGAAGATTGCTTCTAGCTCTGGCAATTTATGATTCTCTAATGACTTTAAATGTGCCAGAACTGAATGATTGATTATTCATCTGTTTTGTTTTGTTTTTCTTATCTTTTGTTTCTTTGCTCTGCCTCCAAGGAGTATATCTAAGAGATAAGAAAAACGCTAGGGCAAGACCAACACGTTTTAGAAACCTATGCTACTTGCTCACATGTTGTTTTGCCCTACGTTTTCAGAAAAATGTGGTAAAGAGGTCTTGAGTAGATAGCAGTCAATAAACTTGGGTTCAAATTCCACAATAAACAGTATAATAAAGGCTTGGACCATTGTACATGAGGATGGGAAATAGAAGATGGTATCTTTATGTGGTGCGTGTTTTTATTCTGCATCACTGTTGAAAATACACATCATAAAAATGCTAATGCCAACATGCCCTTGTTAAGATACACCATTTTCCTACTTATATTTATAACTCTAGCTCAGCTACAATTGACTAGGAAAATTGTTGATTCTACTAGAACATGTAAAGAAATGTATTCCTTGTGCTTTGTAAAGTACGCTTCCTATGCTTGAGTTATCATTTACTCAAACCACATTTTCTTCCTCACTAAAAGAGGAAAGTTACCCAAATCTAATCATATCAACAGTTTCCTGTTTCATTTTATTATTATTGTATTTTTAATGCTTGGTTTAGTTAATGAGATTTGAAAGTCTTATAATGAGAACATTTGAAATAGAATTCATTAAGAGGCAGAGATTTTTCTACTGTATTCAGAAAATTACATGCTAATAAAATAGGAATATGATTTGAGAAATTTCTAATACAAATTGATTTTTACATTAATGATTTCAGTATTCAGTTCTAGGAAAGGAGAAAGACTGGTTCTGCATGTAGGTTAGATATGAATGAAAATAAGTGAAAATAAGTAGGCTCACTCCTGCACCATGCACAACCCCACATGAGACTCTGTGGGGTCACAATAGTGTGATTCCTGCCTGTTGAAGATTCACTGTCTAGCCAGAAAGATGATTGACATACATAAACCAATTAGAGAGCAACGTGAGATAAAACAGAATTAAATTAGTGCAGTGTTGTGTTTTGCAGACTGCAAGTGATAGCTTCATTTGGAGACCTAGGAGAACACTGGACCAAGGAAAATGACAATGAAAGTAAGGGATAACATGAACCCCCACTTAAATTGAGAAGGGTAGAAAGCAGAGCTCATCTAAATCATGATACAATTCTCTCTAGTTGCATATAGTTTTATTAGTCTTTGGTTTGTGTTTCCTTTTAAAATAGACTTTCTATGGTCATTACCAATGTTTAGAGAAATAAACTCAGAATCAGAACACCTGGATTCAAGACCCGGTTTCTGCTATGCAGAAAATTTGCACTTAGCATGTATCTGACAGAATAATCACTCCCAAGGAAGTAGGAACAGATAATAATGAACTCGTTTTCACTGAAATAAACAAATGTCTTCTTTCAGTTGAAAAGGAGGAGAGTCATTTTTGAGGACAGCACATTATCTGTCATTCAGATTTATTTTACTGTCCGGATCCCATCTGGATTTATGTACTGAGTATGGTGTTGAATAGCGAGGATGTAAGAAAAAAAATTACAGAGCTGCTTTATTTCCTAAAGTCACTAAGACATTGGGATGTGAGCAGCACCACTGTGGTGTCTCAGAGGGTTCCTATTGAAACCAGAAACATTTAGCTTTTCATCTCCTGGATGCCAATTCCTAGCTAAAGTGGGCTCCGGCAGAAGAAGGTGCTTTCTGGATGAAAGAGGAGAAGCTGGAAGATGCCCGGCAAGAGGCCTCGGTCCTTCCTGGAAGACCATGAAGTCCAGTGCAGCTATCGGTACTCAACACCAGAAGCCCAGAGAGGAAAGAAACACCAATGCCACACAGTAACTAACTGGAAAGCTTACTAGACTTGTGGGTAGACACAAATGCATATGAGACATTCTGGGGGGTTCTCAGATGGATTGGTGTAGAGGTATTCTAAAAGGAGTTGGAGGAGAGAAAAGAAATAGATGAAAGGAAACAGTAAAATCTGGGTTATTAGTTGAAGCCCCAGACCCTTATGTGAGGACTGATGCTACTCTAAATGCATACAGTATGTAGATAGCTTTCTGTCTTCTTTATGTTTACTAAATTTTTGAAAAGTAATTGTTTTTTAATCATTTCTCTATCTTTATATAAACTTTTTCAAATTGTCATGTATTTTCTTATTGTATTATTTTATTTACAAATAAAATTATACAATACAAAGAACATAATATATTAAATATTTTATAATATACTTTATTTACAAATAATACAATACAAAGAATATAATATTAAATATTAAAATATATTTTATTTACAAATAAAACCATACAACATACAAAGAACCACATATTGCTTTATTTATTTATTTATAGACAGTGTCTCAGTCTGTTGCCCAGGCTGGAGTGCAATGGCCCAATATTGGCTCACTGTAACCTCAGCCTCTTGGGCTCAAGTAATCCTTCCACCTTAGCCTCCTGAGTAGCTGGGACTATAGGTGTGCCACCATGCCCAGCCAATTTTTATATTTTTTGTTGAAGTGAGGTTTCATTATGTGGTCCAGGCTGGTCTTGAACTCCTGGGCTGAAGCTAGTCACCCACCTCAGTCCCCCAAAATGCTGGGATTATAGGTGTGAGCCACTGTGCTTGGCCTGCATTATTTATTAAGTTCATAGTTTTCCATTTGTATATGTATATTTATTTTTAAATCTTATATCTTTATTTGCTTTCTTTTATTTTTATGGGTGGTTTTTGGTACTTTTATTATGTCTCAGTGCAGCATCTCTTCCAGTTCAAGCTGAGGGTGGAAAGTTGGCTCTCACTTCCACAATCTTATATTATTTCTATCACGTAATTTCATTTTAGGAACACTTGGTATCATCCTTTGGTTTGGGCTTCCAAGAATGATTTCCCCATAATTTTAATGAAAATTTACCTTTGTCCAAAGGGGAGGAGAATATATTGTTTTTGAAATGGTAAATGACTCAAGTGAGGCTTTGAAACATTCTTCCACAAGCTTGTTTGAACTATAGCTTGTGAGACAAACCTATTGCTTCTCATGTGAAAAATCTAAAAGGTGAGGAATATTCTGGCCATTTTGCAGTCTCCTGAAGAAGAAACTAACCAAGGGAAAAAAGCGAGAGAGAGCAAAATAGAGCAAGGGAGCGAGGGCATCAACCATGTGCTTTCTGTCCTATTGGTCCACAATAGCCCTGATTACTTAATTTATTCTGTCATGTCTATTAGCTTTTTTAAAATTTACTGAATTTTTTTAAAAAAACTTTCCTTGGTTAAGCTTCTTTGAGTTTTTGTCACTTGCTCTCAAAAGAATTCTAAGACATCACTCAAATATGATTGAGATATTTATTGCAATTCTGTCATCTTCCTAATGTCATTCTCTTATCTTTTCCTGTCATGTGATAACTAGAATGTCACTAATTTGAAAGGAATGTTTCCTAGATTTTCTATTTTTATAATAATAATAATAGTAATAAATAATAAAAGAACATTGGAAGCAATGAATTTCCCTCCGGGTACAAGTTTGGTTTACTTCACAGGTCCTGTCTTTATTTTTAATATTCCCTATCTAGAATGTATGAGTGCTTATTCTTGTTTTATTTAGATATTAAAGTTTTAATTCAACATAGACAGCATGACTTATAATTTTGTAAATGCTTATTATATTTTCCATGAATCAAAAATTATTAGTAGGCTGATGATCATAGGGTGATAGAGCTGTAGGGTGATGATTTTAGTATATATCCATTAAATATGTTGTGAACTTGCTACTATTGCCTTCTATTGATGAGGACAGTTTTTTGAGAAACTTTGATGCGATAGAATGTTAAGTGCTTATCATTACTTTCTTTAGAATATTTTCCTTTTATATTATATATAGTTATAGTATTTAGTTGTTTGGATGACAAAAATTTATTTTCTTTTCAAATTTCAATGAAGATACCTTATTTTATAATCAGAAAATGAAATATTACAAAGATAATCTATCTTTATTATCTTTATATGCTATTCATATAAATAGGCTGAATAACATCTTACTCGTTGTGTCCTACAATTTGCTTTGTCTGCCTGACATTTATTAGCTGTGTAGGTACAAGTGATTTAACCTCACTGGATCTCAATTTCCTCATCTGTAAGGCATGAATATTAATATGAACTTCATATGATCTGTTTAGGAGTACAAAATGAGGATGTTTCAGTCTGAAGATAAGGTCAATTCAAGAAATAGGAAAGCTTGAAATTTACAGGAATGTTTAATTTTCTGTCATTTTTCTATAGTTCTAAACACAATGCTTTCTCAACCACAAATGCCCAAAGATCAAGAGCGAGCAGAGCACATTATTTCATTGCTCCTGACACAGCTGGATAGGAAACATATCTAAAGTTAAGACCAATAAAATTTACATTCCTCGAACCCTTCATTCTCTAAAATTTGTTCCACCTTCCTGACTTTCAGAGTCACAACATCCTTGTCTGTTTGATGGGCTTAATAGCTCTCCGGGTAGGTTTCATGTGAAAGATTTAATCTTTGACAGACTCAAAGTGGGTGCTCAGTGAATTGTGGAAGTGGTTATGTCTTGCGGGCCAAGTGCATGTAGGGCATGAGGCTGTTGAATGTCTTGGGCAGAATATTGAGCATAACTCAGAAGCCTCTTTCTCTTTCTAGGTCTGTTCCAAACAGAGGTGTATGATCTTGGGGGATATTACTTAATACTTCCAATACTTTGTATCTTCCTCTAATACATTTTTATCAGAATTCTTTCCTGACCACCTCATCTGGTTTTATGAAGACCAAAGGGTACAATGGATGTGACTGAGCTTTGTACTTGCCTACTTTATACTCCATGGTATTGTACTTTGAACACTCCAAGTTTCTTAGCTTGGGAATTGAGACTTTTAATGGTCTGGTCTCCTCTTATTCTGACTAAATTTATTTTATATCCCACCTGAAATCTTTGCCCCAGTCATACTAAGTTACCTGAGATTCCCCTAAGTCACCATTTTTTGCAAAATGGGGTCCCCTGCAGGGAATATTCCCTCCTATGACCTCTCTCTCCCATCTCTCTGTTGGACTTACTGTTTTTGGAAACTTAGGCCCCAACCCTCATGTCATCTCATGCTGAAAAAATATTGAATTTTCCAAGGATGGACTGATATCATTTACCAAATTCTCTTGCCCTTAATTATCTTTGTATTTATTTGTATCTCTCAGAAGTATGTGAGTATGGTTTCCCAGAGTCTACCCTGGAATAAACTGCACAAACTTAAAATTGCATTAGCTTTGTTGAGTAGATAAAATAGCAAACCGTGTAGATACTCAAATATTATTTTAATGATTATAAATAATCATTTCAAATATAAATTTTGAGTAGGTGAGTGGGTAGAGTAAATAGTCTTCGTGGAGCAGGACAATGCAATAATAGATATTTTTTAAAAGTTTAAAAAATTTTTAATTACTGAAAACATATAAGGTGTCATCGGGTAAAAGAATCATATATGATAAGAATGATGTTTTGAGCTGGCAAACTTTTAAAGAAGCTCTTTATTTTCTAAAGCATTCCTTTGCAAAGGAGAAGGGTCAAAGATACCACGCCTCTGTTTCCTGACAATTGCTGGGGCTAGGAAAATCTTTCTTTTGACTCTACTGCCATCTGTTGTTCAAAGAAGTAATCACATTTCTATTATTTTTCAGTGTGACATTAGATCACCTCACCTGCACATCAAAAATGCTAACTTTTGGCCCTACCCCAAAATCTGTTGGGTATGGGCCTGTGGTCTTGCATTTTCAACAAGCTGTCCAGTAAGAAAGGAACATACTGGGCAAAGAACTTAATGTATGCATCCATCGTTAGTGTGTACAAGGCTCTGCACTAAGTAGGGGCTGAGTTTCCTATTATTTAAATGAAAGCACTATCACAGATTTATTCTTGACTCATTGATGCTAGTCTTTTGCTTTCTCTTGAGCCATCCCTACTAGCAGACCAATCCTCACTACCAAGCCCCAACTTGGGTGGAAAAGAATAAATTTTAAACCTCACATCACTTTTTGTTGTATTTTATTTTGTTTTTGCTGGGTTCATTCAAAGATGTATCTATCTCATTAATATGCTAATTTTACTTTTACTTATCCAAGTCTGTGGAAACCATGGGGTAGGAGAAAACCAGTGTTCATTTATTTTTCTCCCATCAATGTTTTCACTTCAAATACTTCTTTCTCTGTTTCTAACATTTTACCTTCATTAAAGACTCAGTCCTTTGAAATAAAGTTTCTGCTTCACCAAAATAAGCAAATAAGCATTGGAGTGGTGACATATTAAAGTTTTAAGTCATTAACATTTACTAGGCCAGGCGCGGTGGCTCACGCCTGTAATCCCAGCACTTTGGGAGGCTGAGGCGGGCGGATCACCTAAGGTCAGGAGTTCCAGACCAGCCTGGCCAACATGGTAAAACTCCGTCTCTACTAAACATAAAAAAAATTAGCCAGGTGTGGGGGCAGGTGCCTGTCATCCCAGCTACTCGCGAGGCTGAGGCAGGAGAATTGCTTGAACCTGGGAGGCGGAGGTTGCAGTGAGCCGAGATCGTGCCATTGCACTCCAGCCTGGGGGACAAGAGCGAGACTTCATCTCAAAAACAAACAAACAACAAACAAACATTTACCATGAAGTTTCTAAATGAACTTTTCTATACCTTGGTAAAGAGAGATTGGAGCACTAAGACCATGGAATTATAGGGTGGATAAATCTATGTTTGGAGGAAGGAGTGAGTAAAGACACATGGATACAGTTCAGGAAAGGCAATATTTCACTGTGTGTGTGAGGGAAGGACTGTGATATCTGGAGCAGCATTAAAATGTCAATCATCAGGAGCTAGAATGATATTTAAGAATGGTTAGAAAATAGGCATATGTCAATCTTTGCATTGTGTAGTTTTGTCCAAAGCTGGCTCTGAATATCACAAGGACATATTCTATGCCTTAACTTTAGGATGCTCCAAATTCTAAACCTGCTCATCATAATTCCGGTGATCTCATTAAAGCTCATGTTCATTCTCTATCCACAAATCTTAAAAAAATAGCTGTGATAATAAATAGCTATTATATCATTTTCTAGTCAATTATTAATGATATGTAGAAAATTAGAGAATTGTGCCTGTTGATAAGCATCCAATTCTGGTTGAACTCAATTTTTATCTGTATCAGAGAGAGCTGAGCTGATATAGCTAAAAATTGAGATATATGTGTGTGTGTGTGTGTGTGTGTGTGTATATATAAATATATATATATCAGCTATATATATAGTTGTTATAGCTAAAAATATAATTATTTATACTGTGAATTTATTATACTTTTCTATTTTACTGGTTATATATATTATATATCGCCTATGTATATATATCAGCTATGTGTATATATATATCAGTTATGTATATATATATCAGCTGTGTGTGTGTATATATATGGTCAGTTTATTCTCTTTGAAGGCAGACACACTTAACTTCTTGCATGAATATAGCTTTAACTATTTTATCACTATTTATCATGTTAGTATGCTACAAGTTTCTGGTAGAAAAGCTCTATCAAGCTAAGAGAGCATTATATGGAAAGATTATTGAATTTTATTAAATGACTTTTTTCAGCATAAACTAAAATGATGACGTTTGTCTTTTTAAATTGGTTAATATTTAAAAAATTATTTTATTATTGGCTTAGAATAAACTTACAATATTTTATTTTGAATTTATGTTATGTTTATAGGTGAGATTGGCCTTCTTTCTGTATATTTGTACATATAAATGTGTGTGATTGTGCATATAGAAATGCTTGTACCCTGATAATATTTTGTTTTGATGCTGATGCTACTGCAAACTGATAGGTTATGTTGTGAAATATTCTGTTTCATTATGTTTTGGAACAGTGTATTTAACATATCTGCATCATCTGTTTCTTAATTAGTATAATTTTTTCATCATACTTTCAGTGGCTGGTGTGTTTTCTAGAGTAGATCTTTGTTTATATTTCAAATTACTTCTTTTTTTTTGCTGTAGAAAATTTTATTTCTAAGGCTTTCAAAATAGATTCATGAGGTACAAAATGTTGCATTCCATTCTTTATAAAGTGATTTGATTTGACCATCCTCCCTGGTGAAATAGTCTATCTTTATCATTCTTGTGGGTCCCTGTTGGGTCTTGAGTAATCAAAGCTAGTTACAATGCCTTGGCTGGTGGTCCTCTCTGATCATTAGCCTTCTCCCCAAGCAGGCTGCATCTCATTGTGCATTTGTTCTTTTTCCATTGTGACTTTAGGTTTGAGGGTCGTTGTTGTTTTCTTTTATATATATATATATATATATATATATATATATATACACATATATATATACATTTTAATTATACTTTAAGTTCTAGGGTACATGTGCACAACATGCAGGTTTGTTACATATGTATACATGTGCCATGTTGGTGTGCTGCACCCATTAACTCATCATTTACATTAGGTATATCTCCTAATGCTGTCCCTCTCCCCTCCCCCAACCCCACAACAGTCCCCAGTGTGTGATGTTCCCCTTCCTGTGTCCAAGTGTTCTCATTGTTCAGTTCCCACCTATGAGTGAGAACATGTGGTGTTTGGTTTTACGTCCTTGTGATAGTTTGCTCAGAATGATGGTTTCCAGCTTCCCCTACAAAGGACGTGAACTCATCCTTTTTTATGGCTGCATGTTATTCCGTGGTGTATATGTGCCACATTTTCTTAATCCAGTCTATCATTTTTGGATATTTGGGTTGGTTCCAAGTCTTTGCTATTGTGAATAGTGCCACAATAAACATGTGTGTGCATATGTCTTTATAGCAGCATGATTTATAATCCTTTGGGTATATACCCAGTAATGGGATGGCTGGGTCAAATGGTATTTCTAGTTCTAGATCCCTGAGGAATCGCCACACTGTCGTCCACAATGGTTGAACTACTTTACAGTCTCACCAACAGTATAAAAGTGTTCTCTTTCTCCATATCCTCTCCAGCACCTGTTGTTTCCTGACTTTTTAATGATTGCCATTCTAACTGGTGTGAGATGGTATCTCACTGTGATTTTGATTTGCATTTCTCTGATGGCCAGTGATGATGAGCATTTTTTCATGTGTCTGTTGGCTGCATAAATGTCTTCTTTTGAGAAGTGTCTGTTCATATACTTTAGCCACTTGTTGATGGGATTGTTTGCTTTTTTCTTGTAAATTTGTTTATTTGTAGATTCTGGATATTAGCCCTTTGTCAGATGAGTAGATTGCAAATATTTTCTCCCATTCTGTAGGTTGCCTGTTCACTCTGATGGTAGTTTGTTTTGCTGTGCAGAAGCTCTTTAGTTTAATTAGATCCCATTTGTCAATTTTGGCTTTTATTGCCATTGCTTTTGGTGTTTTAGACATGAAGTCCTTGCCCATGCCTATGTAATCCAGCATATAAACAGAACCAAAGAAAAAAAACACATGATTATCTCAATAGATGCAGAAAAGACCTTGGACAAAATTCAACAGCCCTTCATTCCAAAGACTCTCAATAAATTAGGTATTGATGGGATGTATCTCAAAATAATAAGAGCTATTTATGACAAACCCACAACCAATATCATACTGAATGGGCAAAAACTGGAAGCATTCCCTTTGAAAACTGGCATAAGACAGGGATGCCCTCTCTCACCACTCCTATTCAACATAGTGTTGGAAGTTCTGGCCAGGGCAGTCAGGCAGGAGAAAGAAATAAAGGGTATTAAATTAGGAAAACAGGAAGTCAAATTGTCCCTGTTTGCAGATGACATGATTGTATATCTAGAAAACCCCATCGTCTCAGCCCAAAATCTCCTTAAGCTGATAAGCAACTTCAGCAAAGTCTCAGGATACAAAATCAATGTGCAAAAATCACAAGCATTCTTATACACCAATAACAGATAAACAGAGAGCCAAATCATGAGTGAATTCCCATTCACAATTGCTTCAAAGAGAATAAAATACCTAGGAATCCAACTTACAAGGGATGTGAAGGACCTCTTCAAGGAGAACTACAAACCACTGCTCAATGAAATAAAAGAGGACACAAACAAATGGAAGAACATTCCATGCTCATGGATAGGAAGAATCAACATCGTGAAAATGGCCATACTGCCCAAGGTAATTTATAGATTCAATGCCATCCCCATCAAGCTACCAATGACTTTCTTCACAGAATTGGAAAAAAACTAGTTTAAAGTTCATATGGAACCAAAAAAGAGCTCGCATTGCCAAGTCAATCCTAAGCCAAAAGAACAAAGCTGGAGGCATCACGCTACCTGACTTCAAACTGTACTACAAGGCTACAGTAACCAAAACAACATGGTACTGGTACCAAAACAGAGATACAGACCAGTGGAACAGAACAGAGCCCTCAAAAATAATACCACACATATACAACCATCTGATCTTTGACAAACCTGACAAAAACTAGAAATGTGGAAAGGATTCCCTATTTAACAAATGGTGCTTCAAATTACTTCTAAAGTGATTGGACTCCTCAAATTCTATCATTTTTCTGGAATAATATATTTTCTAGAAAACATATAATCTATCTAAATTTTTCATAATTGTATAAAGTTTTCCATAATAAAAGTGATTTTATAATTTTGATTATTTTAACTATAATGGGAAGTGACCAAAGTTCTAAACAGGTGGCACCTAATCTGATCTACATATTTAGTGTAGTTTCATTTATTTACGTACCTATAGAAAACTGTACACATTGTAAGGATACAGCTTGATGAGTACTCATAAACAAATCTGAAACTAGCACCCTGATCAAGCAACATATTACTAAAACCCTTTGTGCAGTTTCTACCTGTCCACTGCCTGCTAGAGTCATTGCTATTCTGACTTTTAGCACCATAGATTAATTTTGACTGCTTTATAATTTTACATTATTGAAATTTGGTTATGTACTTTTTTCTGTCTTGTGTTCTTTGCCTAAAATAATTTTGTGAGATTCATTTACATTGTTGCAGGTAGTGTAGATAGTTCATTCTTATTGCTGTACAATATACCATTGTATAAATATAGTATTACTTATTTATTCTACTGTTAATTTATATATTATATTTTTCTATTCTACTGGTTATTTATTGTTTACAGTTTGGGACTCTTTAGGGTAATTTTTATGAAGATTCTTGCCCATATATTTTAGTGAATATAAAAATCTGTTAGGTATGTAAGAAGCAAATTGTTGGGTCTGAAACTACATGTATGCCCAACCTTATAAGATACTATCAAAAAGATTTTCAGAGTGGTTATATCAGCATTGTTTGAAAGTTTCTGTTGATATACAGTTTAACTGACACTAGGTAATTTTTGCGTTTTTAAAATTACTATTTCATTTTTGTGCTGTGGAATTTAACTATAGTTTTTCTTAGCATATCCCAGATAACCAATTAAATTGATAATCTTTCATATGTTTATTAATTAAATGCATATCTTCTTTGTTGAAGTATCCAAGTTTTTGCTGATATTTGTATTAGGTTTTCTACCTCTTTCTTATTGATTTGTAGTTTATTACATACATTCTGGATACAAATTTTTAAAATCCGATTTATGAATTTCAAATATCTTCTCATATTCTGTGGCTTGCAGTTTTATTCCCTTAATAGTGCCCTTAGATGAAGAGACATTCTTCATATTAATGCAATTCAATATATTATTTTTTCCTTCCCATGTTTTTAATATATTTTTTGACAGAAATTTCTTTACCACGAAGTTATTTCTCCCTTAATTTCCTTTAAACCTTTTTTATTTAACTTTTTACATTAACATTAATATCTGGAATTAATTTTTGATTATGATGGGAGATGACAGTTGTCACAATCCATTTTTTTCCATTTAGATAATCAATTTATCTAGCACCATTTACAGGAAATTCCATCACTTCTTTGTTGTACTACCATTCCATCTTTGTCATAAATTAGGTGATCATATATTTGAGAGTCTCCTTCTGGACCCTTAACAATTAATTTTATATATTGACTTGTTATGAAATAATTTTACAAAATTCTCTAATTCTGATAATTTGTAAATAATTTTAAAACTTTCTATGTATAAAATTATGCTATTTATATATAAGAACATTTGCTAATATGCATGAATACTTGTTCAACTTATTCACATCGTCTTTCTGAGACTGAAATTTTGTTTGTGGAAAATGTATAACTCTAGATTTATTTTTCCTGGTAGAAGACTACTCTAATTTTCTATTTCATCTTGTTTCCATTTTCCACATTTTTATTTACTTAGAAATTTGTCATTTTGTTTGAATTTTTTAATTTATTAGTAAAAATTTTTAAATAAAATTATTTTATAATTATTTAATGTCTGTAAAATCTGTGGTGATGTCTTCTATTCATTTAGTCTTTAATTGGAGCTTATAGTCCATTCATACTTAATACCATTACTGATATTTTGTGTATAATAATTTAGCCTTACCATTTACTATGCTCTTTTTTCTCTTGTTCTTAACATCTTTTGAATTAATGATTATTTATTATTCTGTTTCCCCTCTATTGGCTTAGAAATTTTATATATATATATATAATATATATATTATATATATATATTTTATATATATAATATATATATTATATATATATTTTATATATATAATATATATATTATATATATATATAATATATATATTTTATATATATATATAATATATATATTTTATATATATATATAATATATATATTTTATATATATATATAATATATATATTTTATATATATATATGCTACCCTGGAGATGAGAACATGCATATTGACTTACTGAAGACTAAAATAACTTGTTATATTTATTCTACCTAAAATATGCAAAATTATTTAAACTCCATTAATATTTCTCTTAACTTATATGCAATTGTTGACTTACATACAATTTATACTTATATTTAGAACCCCTATAGGATATTATTTAGATATTCCTTTTTGTTCATTTTTAATTGTTCTTTATTCCTATGTCCCTATCTTTCCAATTGATAACTTTCATTTTGTGTGAAGAACGTGTTTAACAATTTCATTTAATTAAGGTTTACTGGTAAGAAAAAAAAAATCCTTTGGCTCTTGTATGATTGAAAAGATATTTATGCCCTTGTAAATATCTTCTAAATCATACTACAACCATCTGATCTTCCACAAACCTGAGAGAAACAAGCAATGAGGAAAGAATTCCCTATTTAATAAATGGTTCTGGGAAAACTGGCTACCCATATGCAGAAAACTGAAACTGGACCTCTTCCTTATACCTTATACAAAAATTAGCTCGAGATGGATTAAAGACTTAAGTGTGAAACCCAAAACTGTAAAAACTCTAGAAGAAAACCAAGGCAATACCATTCAGGACATAGGCTTGGGCAAAGACTTCATGACTAAAACACCAAAAGCAATTACAACAAAAGCCAAAATTGACAAATGGGATCCAATTAAACAAAAGAGCTTCTGCACAGAAAAAGAAACTAGCATCAGAGTGAACAGGCAGCCTACAGGATGACAGAAAATTTTTGAATCTACCCATTTGACAAAGGTCTAATATCCAGAATCTACAAGGAACTTAAACAAATTAACAAGAAAAAAACAAACAACCCCATCAAAAAATGGGCAACGGATATGAATAGACACTTCTCAAAAGACGACATTTGTGCAGCTAATAAACATATGAAAAAAGCTTATCATCACTGATCATTAGAGAAATGCAAATCAAAACCACAATGAGATACCATCTCATGCCACTCAGAATGGCGATTCTTAAAAGGTCAACAACAATAGATGCTAGCGTGGCCGTGGAGAGATAGGAATGATTTTACACTGTTGATGGGAATGTAAATTAGTCCAGCCATTGTGAAAGACAGTGTGGTGATTCCTCACGGATCTAGAATGAGAAACCCTGAAATCCCATTACTGGGTATATACCCAAAGGATTATAAATCATTCTACTATAAAGACACATGCACATGTATGTTTATTGCAGCACTACTTACAATAGCAAAGACTTGGAACCAACCAAAATGCCCATCAATGGTAGACTGGATAAAGAAAATGTGGCACATATACACCATGCAATACTATGCAGCCATAAAAAAGAATGAGTTCACGTCCTTTGCAAGGACATGGATGAAGCTAGAAGCCATCATCCTCAGCAGCTAACACAAGAACAGAAAACCAAACACCGCATGTTCCCACTCACAAGTGGGAGTTGAACAATGAGAACACATGGACACAGGGAGGGGAACATCACACACTGGGGCCTGTCAGGGGGTGGGGAGCAAGGGTAGGGAAAGAATTAGGACAAATACCTAAGGCATGTGGGGCTTAAAACCTGGATGACGGGTTGATAGGTGCAGCAACCCACCATGACACATGTATACCTATGTAACAAACCTGCACATTCTGTACATGTATCCTAGAACATAGAGTTTTAAAAAAAAGAAGCAGTAAAGATATTTACTTCATACTAACTCCTACAGTATAATTGAGTATCGGATTTTAGCTGGCAAGTATTTTACTTCAGGGCTTTGAATTCATATATTCAAGTATGATAATCAAAATCACAATAGTTTTATATGTTTGAAAATCAAACATAATATTGAACATGTGAGTTCTGAAAAGTAACCAAATGTAAAATGTGTTACTATATGTATATGTCTACATACATACTTTGATTTTTTTAGGAGATTGTACTATTTTGAAAGCAGGGATCTTATGTTCAAAAAAATTATTAAAGATAAAAGAGTAAATCACATCATTTTCCGGCAAACAGGCAGATTAGTTTTCACCAACAGATACTCACTAAAGGTACCTCAAAAAGATACGCTTCAAAAGGAGAATATTGAACCCCAAAGAAGAACTCAAATGCAAGAAAGAATGGGAGTAATAAATTGGTCAGCACATAAAGAAATTTAAATGAACATCAACTTCGTAGGGAAATAACAAATTAGAAGAAGGAACAAAAACAAATTTGAACTAAAATTCTTGAAAATAAAAGCATGTGATATTAGAAAGGATGATTGGAAGTAGGAAACGATAATAACTTTAGTCTTAGCCTTCTCTAAGTATACAAGCTAAAAATTTAAGAGTAAGTATAAGCACAAACCAAATGGGACTCTTTTATATCCCATGTTCTTCCACTTTTCTGCTCTTTATGAGGGCTATAATGTTGTATTATGGATTGTTCATTGTTGAGGTGAATGAAAGTGCAGCTGTATTGAGAGGAAGTGGAGATATTGTAAAGTGAGACAAGGGTCCAGTCTTCTCCGAGGTAGGAAAGAGTTTATTGCAGAAGTTAAGATGGAGTGTCACCTGCTTCTCTTATGCTGGAGAAGATTGTATAAGAAGATGTCTTTGTCTTCTCGGTTTAGATCTTATAGAAGGCACCGAGACCAAGTGGCAATAGCAATATAAGAGTTGGCAATGACCTAAGATGAGATTTTCCAACATTCATGTGAAATTTTGGGATCAAGTTTAAGCTTGGGAGAAAAAGATTGACTGTTGTAAGCTTTTATTCTAACATGAAATCTAGAATACATTTAAGGTTCAATAAGTCAAAATACTGGTGATTATCATAAAAGAAAAAATGAGCTGAGATTTTTCCTATGCTTTTTATTAAATAATGTTTTTGATAAAATAAAAAATATACATTTACTGTAATTTTTCCTCAATGAATTCAATTGTACTTCTGAGTTTTTCATCAGATTTGTCTCACATCTAAATTCAAGCAAAGGCATCCCTGTCTTCAGCATAACCATCAATTTAGAAGGAGAGAGAAGAATTTAGCATCAATGCTGCCTTGAACACCAAACAACAAAATTGCATAGTGCACATGGGAAGAGAAATGTACTCAACCTTCCCTCTACCCCTGCACTTCCTCAGTTCCCTTTATACTCCTTCTGCAATAGTCATACAGGGTTCCTTTTAACTTTTCATCTACTGTTTTAGAAAAGAATGAGAGTAAGATTCAAAACTGGGAGATGAACAAATATTTAAAGATGATACAATATCCAAACAATTACCCAAATAACAGTGTGGGGGAGTACAAGCCACATGAGGAATTACAGTTCTAAAATGCAAGGGAGGATGACATACTAAAAAAAGTTTCTAATATGCCAAGTTACTACAAGTAGAAGAACACAATGCATGCTAGCAGTAGTGTTGAGGATTAAGGATAGAGAGGTAAGGAGAGGCTAGATCATGAAGGACTCTCTGTGGGAGTTCATATTACATTCTGAAGATATTGGAAGAAATACTGGAGAGAGTTAGGCAGGGATGTACTCATATTTGTTTGTTTATTCATATTTTAAATATAATACCTGTTACATTTACTTTGTATTGCATGTTAAAATGATCATTCTGTATAGAGAAAAGAATAAAAAAAACTTTTGAAATGATAATAGAAGCAGTGAGCTCAGTTAGGATCAGGCAGCTCTTGCACAAACTCACAGAGAGTACATAACAGCCTAAACTAGGATGAAGGCTGCTGGAATCGAATGAAAGTTATAGGTTTAAAAAATATATAAGTAAATAGAACTGGTGATCTGTGGAGGGTGGATATAGCAAGAGGAAGCCAAAGTAGTCAGTGACAACATTAGACTTTTATTTTAGTTGTCAGGTAGCTAATGATGGCATTCATTTATATTTGGAACATGTATATGCCTAAACACACTCACACACACACACACACACACACACCCCTTCACCCACAGGTTTTAGAGGGTAAGTTCAATTGTTAAAGGGGAATTGAATTGGTGATGCTTTTGTAACATGAAAATAGAAATATAATATCATAACGTGCAGTGGAAATAGAGTTCTGGAGCACAGGAAAAAAATCTAAACTGAAGACCAAGATTTGGGAGTCATCCATAGACAAGTCCCCATGAGGAAAAACAAGATTAGCAAAAGAGGCTGTAGAAGTTAGAAAGACCTGAGCAAAACCAAGATTGTGGTGTCAAGGATGCCAAGAGAGATTTTGAGTAAGAAATCATGGTTAGTTATGACAAAGAACAAGAAGTTCAATCTCTAAATCAAAGGACCCTAACCCCTGTGGGGGCTCTTTCCCTACAGAGAAAATACGCTGTGCATTCAAATTAACTAGAAGACATTATGTGGGCAGCCTTTCCTTTGTTCTGAGACAAAGTTCTACATATGTTTTCCCAAGAACCAGGGCATTGTCTAGTTGTTCTTCAGAGATTCATTCTCAAGCTGTTGTCAGCCAAATCAGCCTGCAGGAGGACCAAGAAAAGAGAGGTACTCACAACATTGAGCAGTTGCCACATCCTGACAGCTGTGCCAGTTACTTTATACCCATTAACTCACAGAAACTTTCATTATAACCATATATTGTGAGTATTTGACTGATTTTAAGGTGAAACATTGAAGATAAAAGAAACAAATAACTTTCTAAAATTACACAGCTGGTAAGTGATTTTTTTAAATTTGAAGGCCCATTAGTTTTCCTAAGTGACTTCCAGAGACTTCTCTTGCAAAAATTAATATTTCTATTGGTTCGTGGCTTGAAGGGAAGACACATTAAGCCACTGAACCCTCTCATCCTGGAATATTGAGAGTAGAATAGTTGTCCGTTAGGGCACTTCTTTCCCATATTGTCCATAATTAAGAAAATATATTTTTCTTCTTATTTGTCTATGACACTGGTGACTAAGGATCTTACTATAAGTATACTAAAAATTTTTTTGAGTAGAAATAACGGGCAGGTGTATATTGTTTATGTATGGCTACGAGATCTTATAGTTTGAAATTCAAAGCCTTTCATAAATTAGCCTGTGTCTAGTTTTACATTTGACATATATCATGGCCATAATTTGCCATGTTAGCTGCTTCTTTCTACACACAGTGTTTCATTTATCATCTCCTAGAGGATCTTTTTTTATTGTCACTTTTCTTCTATTAATGTTATCACTCTATTGCCTTTAAAGCCCTCTGATTTCTGACTTTTTTGGCTACAAAATGCTTCAATATTTCACTAGGTACACATGGACATACAGAAGAGAATAACAGACACTGGGAAGTCCAAAAGGAGGGCGGTTGGGAGGGAGGTGATGATTGAAAAATTAACTATTGGGTACAAAGTTCACTATTTTGGCGATGGATACATGAGAAGCACAGATCTCATCACTACACAATATATTTATATAACAAACTTGCACATGTACCCTGCGTCTACTTTTTAAACAAGGAAAGCATGAAAACACACTTCAGTTTCTGACTTTACCACTTCTAGGAACTTGTCCTTCTCAATCTGCATTATATAGCACCACTGGCAGATAGAAAGCATTTCTATTATATTTATTAATTAATTATTTCCCTGTATACTTGGAATCACAGTTTATTTTAAATATTATTTTAATTTTATTGAGATACACTTTACCTGCAGTAAAATGTCGAGATGGTCAGAGTAGTTTGATGAGTTTTGGCAAACACATACACACAAATTAAGATGAAGAAAATCCTTATTACTCCAAAAAGTTTATGACCCTTTTCATCAATATTTTTACAGAGGCCACCTATATTCAGATTTCTATCACCATCAATTATTTTTGCTAGCATCGTTTTTTAATTTAAATTTGCATTAAAATTTTTTTTGTTCCTATAAAGGTATAATTAAATATGGTAAAATGCCCAGCTCTTAACTGTATGGTTTGGTGAGAGCTGACAATTTGACAAATATGAACACTTGGGTAGCTCACACATTTGTCAAGATATAGAACAATTTCATCATTAGTTATTAAGAAAGCATTTACAAGAAACTGCAAAATGTTTTTTAAATAGTAATACTATTTTTTTTTACTTATATCTGCAATGTGTGAGATTTTGTTTGCTTCACATACTTCCAACATTGGATGTTATCTTTTTTATTTTTATCATTTTAGAAGATGGTACTGGTATAATGTGGTTTTAATTTGCATTTTTTTGGTGACTATATTAGCTTTCTGTATTTGCTATAACAAATTAACATAAATTCAATCACTTGAAACAACTAAAATTTAATCTTTCACTTTTCTGGAGGCCAAAGTCTGAAACCCAGGAGATGGCAGGGCTGTACTCCCTCTAAAGATTCTCAATTCTAGAAGCTCTTGACATTCCTTCACTTGGAATCTAATTACTCCAATCTCTGTTTGTTCTCTTCACATCGTCCTCAACTCTGTGTCTGTCTGTTCCTCTGTTTATCTCTTATGAGAAAACTTGTTATTGGATTTAGGGCCCACCCAGATAATCCAGGACGGTCTTCTTATATCAAGATCTTTAACATAATTACATCTGTGAATGTTAATAACATTTACAGATTCCAGAGATTAGGACATGAGCATATCTTTTGAGAGCCACCATTTAATCTACTATGATGAATGATATTGAATATCTTTTCTTGTGGTGTTTGGCTATCCATATATCTTCCCCGGTGAAGTATAGCTTGCCCATTTTTTAATTGAAATGTTTAATTTCTCATTACTGATTTCTGTAAATATTTTATATACTCTGAAGAGAAATCCCTTTTTTCTCTCCTTCTCTCTCTATATGAAAATATGTAATATTTTTACTCAGTCTTTAGCTTGTTTATTTATTGTGACCACCCCGCCTGTGGCACAGAGAGAATGCATACAGACATGTGCCTGCCAGTGTCCTGCTCCTGTGCCAACATAACTACCAGCACAGTCACACACACAGTTTCCATCTGGGCCTCCTGCACCACTCTAGTCACGTTGCCTGTGCCACTGTGATGAATTATCTCAGGGACCTGTTGGCACCCTGCCACAGCGAATGAGCATGCACCTCACCACACTGCAGCTGCTGCTAGAACATGCGAATGAGGACAGATGCTGCTGTCACCACACTACAAAGTGATTTGGCCAATACTACCCATTGGAGTGTAATGATCAGTGGTCTGGAAGCACCTCATCCTCTCGCACTCCAGCACAGTGGATTCCTAACCTTGAGAAACCAGAGAAAAAAGTCTGTCCAACACAAGTCCCCCAGAGTTAGAGCGCACAGTCCAGGAGTTGTGAGCTGAATGCTGGCCTTCCTTTCTAGAAATAAAGCCAATTGGCTGAATTCACCTTATACCACAATCAGACCCTCAAAGTTACCAAACAGAATAAAAGAAAAAAATCCAGAGATCAGCAACTTAAAAGATTGAAAACATCAGCCCACAAAGATCAGAAAGAACCAGTTGTCAGCAAGAATTTTGACAACTCAAAAAGCTGGAGTGCTTTCTTTCCTTCAAACTGTTTCACCACCTCCCCAACACTGGTTCTGAACTGGGCTGAGATGGCTGAAGTCACAGGAATATAATTCAGAATATGTATAAGAACAAAGATCATTGAGATGAGGAATATGCTGACACCAAAACCAAGGATGCTGAGAAACACAATAAAATGATGCAGGAGGTGACAGACAAAATAGCCAGTAAAGAAAAAAAAATAACAGACCTAATAGAGCTAAAAGACACACTACAGGAATTTCATAATGCAATCACAAGTATTAATGGCAGAATAGACCAAGTACATGAAAGAATATCAGAGCTTGAAAACCAACTTTCTGAAATAAAACAGTCAGACAAAAATAGAGAAAAAAAATAAAAAAGAAGAAAGAAAACCTTCAAGAAATATGGGATTATGTAAATAGATAAAATCTCTGACTCACTGGTGTCCTTGAAAGAGTTAGTGGGGGAGTATAAGCACTCTGGAAAGCATATTTCAGGATTTCTTCAATGAAAACTTTCCCAGCTAACTAGACGGGCCAACATTCAAATTCAGGAAATGCAGAGAACCCAGTAACATACTTCATGAGAAGATCATGCCCAAGACACATAATCATCAGATTCTCCAATGTTTACATAAAAGAAAAAATGTTAAAGACACCTAGAGAGAAAGGCCAGGTCACCTACAAAGAAAAGCCCATCAGACTAAGAGTGGACAGGTCAGCAGAAACTCTACAAGTCATAAAAGATTGGAGGCCAATACTCATTATTCTTAAACAAAAGAAATTTCAACCCAGAGTTTTATATCCAGCTAAACTAAGCTTCATAAGCAAAGGAGAAATAAGACCTTTAAATAAGCAAATGCTGAGGGAATTTATTGCCACCAAACTTACCTTACAAAATCTCCTCAAGGAAGCACTAAATATAGAAAGGAAAGACCATTATCAGCCACTACAAAAGCTGAAATACACAGACCAATGACACTATAAAGCAAGCACATAAACAAGTCTGCATAATAACCAGTTAACATCATGATCAAATCCACACATATCAATATTAACCTTGAATGTAAATGAGTTAAATGCCCCAATTAAAAGACAGAGTGGCAAGCTGGGTAAAGAACCAAAACCCATTGACATGCTGTCTTCAAGAGACCCATCTCATCTGCAAGGACACACATAGGTTAAAATAAATGGATGAAGGAAAATTTACCAAGAAAATAGAAAACAGCAACAACAAAAAGCAGAGGTTGCAATTCTCGTTTCTGACAAAACAGACTTTAAACCAACAAAGATCAAAAAAGACAAAAAGCGGCATTACACAGTGGCAAAAAGTTCAATTAAACAAGAATATCTAACTATTCTCAATATATATTCACCCAAAACAAGAGGACCCAGAATCATAAAACAAATTCTTAAGGACCTTCAGAGTGACTTAAACTCGCACACAACAATAGTGGGAAACTTCAGTCTCCACTGACAGTATCAGATCATTGAGGCAGAAAATTAACAGATATTCAGGTCTTGAACTCAGCACTGGATCAAATGGACCTGATAAATATCTTCAGAATGCTCCATCCCAAAACAACAGGATATATATTCTCATCTTCACATGGTACATACTCTAAAATCCAGACATAAAACACTCCTCATCAAATTCAAAACAACTGAAATCATAACAACCACTCTCTCAGACCAGAGCACAATCACATTAGAAATCAAGCCTATGGAGTTAGCTCAAAACCATACAATCACATGGAAATTGAATAATTTGCTCCTGAATGACTTTTGGGTAAATAATGAAATTAAGGCAGAAGTCAAGTTTTTTGAAACATTATAATGAGAACAAAGATACAACATACCAGAATCTCTGTGACACAGACAAGACAGTGTTAAGACCAAAATTGACAGCACTAAATTCTTGCATCAAAAAGTTAGAAAGATCTCAAATTAACAACCTAACATCACAGAGGAGCTAGAAAAAAAAGAGCAAACAAACCCCAAGGCTAGAGAAAGACAAAAAATAGCCAAAATTAGAGCTGAACTGAAGGAGACTGAGACACAAAAGATCATTCAAAAGATCAACAAATCTAGGAGTTGTTTTTTTGAAAAATTTAAAAAAATAGATAGATTGCTAGCTAGACTAATAAAGAAGAAAATAGAGAAGATTAAAATAAACACAATTAAAAATGACAAAGGGGACATTACCACTGACCTTACAGAAATACAAACAACCGTCAGAGAATATTATGAACACCTCTATGCACATAAATTAGAAAATCTAAAATAAATGAACAAATTTTTGGCACCTACACTCTCCCAAGACTGAGTCAGGAAGAAATCAAATCCCTGACAAGGCCAATAACAAGCTCCAAAAATGAACCAGTAATAAATAGCCTACCAACCAAAAAAAAATAAGCCCAGGACCAGACTGACAGATGGATTCACAGCCAAATTCTACTACTTGTACAAAGAAGAGCTGGTACCATTCCTAGTGAAACTATTCCAAAAATTAAAGAGGAAAAACTCATTTCTAACTTATTCCATGAGGCCAGCATCATCCTGATACCAAAACCTGGCAGAGACACAGCAACAACAATAACAAATCTTCAGGCCACTATCTTTGATTAACATTGAGGCAGAAGTCCTTAACAAAATACTGGTAAACTGAATCCAGCAGCACGTCAAAAAACTTATCCAACACAATCAAGTAGGCTTTATATTTGCGTTGCAGGTTTAGTTCAACCTAGGCAAATCAATAAATGTAATTCATTACATAAACCATGGGTGTCAAAACTTTTGGCTTCCCTGGGCCACACAGAAAATACACTAACAGTAACAATCGCTTATGACCTAAAAAAAAATAGGTCTGTGCATAATTTTCATGATGTTACCACCACAGATAGGCAAAAAAGTCCTCACGTTCAAAGGGTTGGTCACTACTGATGGAATTAAAAACAAAAACCACATGATTATCTCCATTTTATTACTGGGTAGTTTGTTTTCTTACTATTAAGTTTTGGTAGTCCTTATATTCTGAATATAAGTCCTTTATTAAGTATATGTTTTACAATTATGTTCTCACAGTTTTGTGTAGTTATTTTTTTAAATCTGATTAAGTCAAATTTACCTTCTTTTACTTTTACTTTATTTTGTGGCTGTTTTTTCTGGTGTTATATTTAGATGTTGTTGCCTAACACGAGGTCAGAAAATATAAATACTTGGAGATAAATTGGCCCAGTTGTTTTTTCTAAAAGTTTTCTACTTTAAGGTTTTATATTTTGGTCAATGACATATTTTGAGTTAATTTTAACATACATTGTGAAGAGTGGAGGAAATTCTTTTTTGGAATATACATATGCAAATTTCAACATTACACATCAAGACTACCCCTTCTCCACTAAATTGCAATTGTAACTATGTCACGATCAGTTGGCCATTTATGTGTGAATCTATTTCTGAGCTCATTATTCTGTTCCTTTGATCTAGCTGTTTATCTTTGCCAATACTATAATATACTAATAATTGTTTCTTTATAAGTCTTAAAATTGAGTAGTCTTGATCCTTTTTTAAAAAAAAAATTGTTTATTCTAGATCTTTTGCCTTTTCGTATGAATTTTAAAGTCAAATTGTCAGTTTCTACAAATATCCACATGCTGTGATTTTGACCAGGATTACATTTAACCCATGGATTAACTGGTGGAGAACTTACATTTTACAATATTGAGTCTCTGACATTTTAAAATGGTATATTCCTTCATTAATTTAAGTCTCTTTTAACTTCTCTCAGCAATGTTTGTATAATATTTAGAGTACAGGTCTGACACATCTATTGTCAGATTTACCCCTAAGTATTTTATATTTCTGATGCTATTGTAAATAGCATTTTTAATATTTCAATTTTCGTTTGTTAGTTGCTAGATTACAAGAAAAAATTGATTTTTCTGTATTGACCCTATGTACTATGAACTTGCTAAACTAACGTCAGTTTTAGTAGTTTTATTCTTAATTCCATCAGATTGTCTACAGAAATGATCTTGTCATTTAGAAATAAAAATGTTTACTTTTAATTTTTAAAAATATAAATACCTTTTATTTCCTTTTTTCTTTTTGCACTAACTAGAAAATTCATTGAAAATAAGTAGTGAGATCAGAGAACCTGTCTTATTCCTGATCTTAGGGGGAAGGCATTCAGACTTTTCATCTTTGATATGATGAGTTTTTTTTGTTGTTTGCTTTGTTTTGTTTTTATAGATGCTATTTATTGAGTTGATAATATTTCTTTCTATTTCAATGTTGCTGAAATTCTAAAATCTGGAATGAGTACTGGATTTTGTCAAGGTTTTTCCTGCATCTATTAAGATAATCATACGCATTTTCAAATTTTTGGTTTGTTAATATGGTAAATTATATTTATTTGTGAATATTAAACCCACCACACATTCCTAGAATAAACTTCATACCTAGAATAAATTTCATATTATAATGATAGATTATTTGTGTGTGTATATATATGTAGCTGTGTTTGGCTAAAATTTTGTTAAGAATATTTACGTCCCAATAAAGGACATTGCTCTTTAGTTTCTTAAGTAAAGCCTTCTTTTTCTTCTGTATTAAGGTAATACTAGCCTTTATTAATGAGTTGAAAAATATTTTCTCCTTTTCAACTTTTTAGAAGAGTTTGTCTCAAATTAACATTACATTATTTCTTCCTCAAGTGTTCACTTAGAACTCTAGTTCTAAATAAAGCCATCAGGTTTTGGTTCCGTAAGCCAGCCTTCCTTCCTTCCTTCCTTCCTTCCTTCCTTCCTTCTTTCCTTCCTTCCTTCCTTCTTTCCTTTCCTTCCTTTCCTTCCTTCCTTCCGTTCCTTCCTTCTTCCCTCTGCCACTCTCTCCCTCTCCCTCTTTCAAAGGTTTTAAATACAAATTGAATATTTTAAATTTAAATAGGATTATTTAGATTTTAACATTTATTCTTAAGTGAGCTTTGGGAGTTCTAGGCTCTCAAGTAATGTGTCCTGGTTTTGGTCATGTTTTTATTAAACATTTATCAGCATTAACACTATTCACCATCCACGTTGCATATTCCTAAAGCAAAAATCCAAAATCTGAAATGCTCCAAAATCTAAAACTTTTTGAGTGCCTACATGATACTATAAGTTATACTACAACATTATTTTTTCACTGTATTAATGGAATGACATTTTTTATTGTTAAGCACTTCTGTGTGAATAAGTTTTGGAAAATGATTGCTTATTGAAAGCATACAAATACAGAGTCAGGAATGATGGCGATGACAAACAATCATAGATTATTCACAAGGGTGGCTGAGACGGTGACATCATTGCTTTCTAATGGTTCAGTGTATGCAAACTTTGTTTCATGCTCAAAATTATTAAATATATAAAATTAGCTTTAGGCTATGTGAATAAGGTGTGTATGAAACATAAATGATTTTCATGTTTAGACTTGGGTTTATTTCCAAGATATTATCTAAATATTTGAATTTACCCAGATATTAAAAACAGCCCTGAAATCTGATGCACTTCTGTTCCCAAGCATGTTAGATAAGGGATACTCAATCTGTATTTTCATGTTATCCTCTTACTATCTGAATCTGTAGAGACATGACCTTTGTCATTCCTGATATTAATAATTTGTTCCTTCTTTTTTTTCTACTGACCAGTCCGGCTGGAGCTTGATCCATTTTATTGATTAAAATCAACAACTTTCTTCTAAAAAAAAATTTATTTAAAAAAAATTTGTTTCAAATAACTTTCCATTTTTCTGTTTTCTATTTTATTGATTTCCACTCTTATGTTTATTATTTCCTTTATTCTCTTATTTGGGCTCTCTTTTTCTAGTTTCTAAAGGTAGAAACTGAGATAATCGATTTGAGGCCTTTCTTGATTTCTAATATAGTCAACTGCATTCTAAGCTGTGCTTTAATGACATCCTACATAATTATATATGAGTGTTTTTATTTTTATTAATTTTAGAACACTTTCTAATTTCTCAATGATGTGTTACTTTTTTACCTAAATGGTATTTAAAAGTGTTTTATTTAGGTTCTAAATATTTAGGGGGTTTTCAAATGTCTTTTTCTTCATTTCTTACTGAATTCCATTGTGGCCTGAGACCATACATTTTGTGAAAAATTGTTTTACATTTGTTAAGACATGTTTTATAGCTTAGAATATGGACTAATTTACTTATTCTATTCTATATTCTAAGCATATTCTAAGCAATAAAACATGTCTTAACAAATTTATAGTTGTGTTTTATAGCTTAGAATATGGACTAAATGTGTCTTTTTCTGTTGTTGGGTGAAATAGTCAATAAGCATCAATTAGGTCAGGTTGGTTGGTAGTGTTGTTAATGTCTTTTATGTTTCTTCTGCTTTTCTGTCACTTGTTCTAACAAGATATATAATATATATATAATAATTGAGAGATGAGTATGTGAAGCTACAATTTATAAATTTGACAATTTCTTCTTGCAGTTGTATTAGTTTTTGCCTCCTTTATTCTCAAAGCTATTTTTGCTGCATGGAGTTTTATGTTATCCTAATGAATTGACCTCTTTATAATTATGAAATGAACTTACTTATCACTGGCAATGTTTTTAGCCCTGAAATCTATTTTGAATAGCATTAATATACTCACTCATGCCTTCCTCTGATTAGTTTTAGCTTAGTGTATCACTTTTTATCCTGCTACTTATGACATAACCTTATGTTTAAATGTAGGGTGGGTTTGTTTGTAGGCAACATACATGTGGATTATGCTCTTTTTTCCCATGTAACAATTTGTTCCTTTTAATTGGATGGTTAAATCATTTATGTTTCATTTGATCATATATTTTGCTTTAACCTATCATCTTTCAATTTGTTTATTTTTTCTAACTGTTTGTTGCTCCTTCTTCCTTCTTTTTCTGTATTCTTTTGAAATAATTGTGTAATTTTTATGATTTTCTTTAACTTCCTTGACAGCTTATGAGCCACAACTATTTATTGTTTTATTCTAATGGACGCATCAGGGTTTATAATATATCACTTTAACTTACCACAATCTACATCCAAGTTTATTATACATACCACTGTATGTATAATAGAAGTACACTACAATAAACTTCCAATTTCCCACTCCAGCTTTTGTGCTATTGATGTCATTCATTTTAATTCTTTAGATATTAACTCCCACAATCAATTATTATTTTTAAAACAATTATGTTTTAAATAAATTTAAATACTTCTCAAAGGTATATATATTTATATATTTATAAATAATACTTCAAAGTTACATATATTTAAATAATACTTCAAAGTTTTATATATTTACAAAGTTGTATATATTTACCTAAATAGTTACACTATTCTAGTAACTTTCATTCCTTTGTGTAGATTCAGATTTACGTATGGTATCACTTTCCTTCTGTCTGAAGAGCTTCTTCTTTCAATATGTCTTGTAGTATGGGTGTCTCTTTCAGCATTGGTATTTCTGAAATTCCCTTATTTTCATTGTCATTTATGAATGACACTTTCCCAGAATATAGAATTTTAGGTTATAAGCTTTTTTCCTTTTGATACTGATAAAAGAAAAAACTTCAGCTGAATTAAATTTAAAGGAATTTAGTTGAGCAATGAACGATTTGTGAATCGGGCAGTCCCCAGAATCACAGCAGAATCACAGAAATTCCAGCGCAGTCGGGTGGCTCACGCCTATAATCCCAGCACTTTGGGAGGCCGAGACGGGTGGATCACGAGGTCAGGAAATCGAGACCATCCTGGCTAACACGGTGAAACACCGTCTCTACTATACCAAAAATTAGCCGGGCGTGGTGGCGGGCGCCTGTAGTCCCAGCTACCCGGGAGGCTGAGGCAGGAGAATGGCGTGAACCTGGGAGGCGGAGCCGAGATCGCGCCACTGCACTCCAGCCTGGGCGACAGAGTGAGACTCCGTCTCAAAAAAAAATAAATAAATAAACTCCAGCACAGTCACGTGGTGGAAGAAGATTTGTAGGCAAAAAAAAAAAAAAAAAAAAGAGAGAGAGAGAGAAACGACATACAGAAATTGGAAACGAGGTACAGAATGGCTGGATTGGTTACAGCTCGGCATATGCATTATTTGAACATAGTTTGAACACTCAGCAGTGTTGAAGTATGGCTGCTGGGATTGGCCAAGACCTTTTACAGGTACACACTACTAACATAGGTTTTCAATTTTTTCTGCCTGTTAAGCTAGGTTACAGTTCATCCACAAGGACTCAAATATAGAAGCATGGAGTCCTTCTCAGGCCATATTCAGTAAGCTTTAAAAGTACTTTATATATATATTGTTTCACTGTCTTCTTGTTTGCATTGTTTTCTATTAAAAAAAATCTGCCTCAACCCATATCTTGGTTCTTCTGTATGTAATACATTTTTTTCTTATGCTGCATTTCATATTTTTTTTGCTTTATTAGTGGCTTTGCACAATTGCATTATAATGTAACTTTGTGTAGTTTTCTTCAAGTTTTCTGTATTTGGAATTCATTGAGCTTTCTAGATATGTGGACTTTGAATTTTCATCAAATTTGATAATTTGTACCATTATTTTTAAGTGTTTTTGCTTTTCTTTGCAAAACTCTAATTACCTATATATTAATGAGCTTGAAGTTTCCAAAAACTCACCAATGCTCTGCTCAATTTTTTCAGTGTTTTGACTTCCTGTGCTTTATTTTAAAGTTTTTATTGTTGCAGCAGTATGGAAGGTGCCCCCAGGCAGAAAGCCAGTGTGGATTTAACACTCACCTCATGTGTTTTTTTTTCTCTCAAGGATCTCAACGTTGTGATACCTATTATCTAATGCCTGAAATAGTTGCTTCATATATTTTGTACTGTTTGATTTTTTTTTTAGTGGTTTTGGGGTAAGTTCATTAGCTAAAACTCTATTATGAGTAGAACTGGAAATATTCCTATCATAGATTTTTGAATAAAAACATGAGCATCGTCAATAGATTTAAAGCTTCTTATAATCTGAAGCCATGTGTTAAACTTCTATGTAAATTAAGTATACTATTTCAATAGAATAGCATTAAATAAATATCTCTTAATATGATTTTCCATTTTTTTATTTAAAAAATGAAATAATGACCAGAAAAAGGATCATTAAAACATAAAGCTATTGGCAATTGGGCTTTGTGAAAGAAAAATATATTGGGCCCCCAAGATCACTAAGGAAAACTCAAGCTGGAAACTGCTTAAGGCAAACCTGCCTCTTATTCTATTCAAGGTTATCCTCTGCTCACTGAGATAGGTGAATATATGATTGCCTTTTTTGGAAAGGCTAATCAGAAAGTCAAAAGAATGCAACCCTTTGTGTCTTACCTATCTGTGACCTGGAGGCTCCCTCCCCACTTGGAGTCTTCCTGCCCTTGCTTCAAGATGTCCCGCCTTTCCAGATTGAAACAATATACTTCTTACATGTATTGAGTGATGTCCCATATCTCCCTAAAATGTATACAACCAAGCTGTTCCCTGACCACCCTGGGCACATGTTGTCAGGACTTGCTGAGGCTGTGTCATGGGCACACATCCTTAATCTTGGCAAAATAAACTTTCTAAATTAACTCAGATCTGTCTCAGATTTTCTGGGTCCACAGCTTCTAAGTTTTTAATATTTTCAATTTCAGTGACACACACAGTGCAAAGATTATACAGATACAGAATCTAGTGTCTACTCATTTCACTAAAAAGTTATTGATGTCTATAATATTTCTGAAATGTATAAAATGTAATAATAATGAGAGATACTATGCTTGACTAGGAAAAATCTGCCTACAGCTGAGCTGTCCGTGTCCACTAGTAGAAAATTAACTAGAATAACTGACATGAAAGAAAGAGCAGGGAGATGAAATTAACAAAAGAACACTATTTGAAAGGGTGGCTATACAGTTGCATGTTTGAGCAACTTGGAGAGTGCATCCTGATTTCATCAACTCCAGAGAATTTTTCACTATAGTTTTTCATCAAAGAAATAGGTTTTAAAATATTATGTGATAAAAACTTTATAACTTGTATATTGCTGAGGTAAGCATTGGACGATGAAAATTTTATTATATTCTCTATTTAGTTGTAAGACATTTGTAAGGGTATATGCAGCCTAGTACAAATTCACTGCCATGTCCTAGGAAAGGAGTTCCATATTCAGATAGCATTGGTGTACATTTTCCACTAGATGGCAATCTATACCTATTTGATGTCTTTAAATACAAAGCAGTTCCAACTTAAAACTGTGCACCTGATTCCTGGACTCCTATTAGGAGGGCCTGTTCATTCACTCATTTACTCAATCAGCAATTTCAGAGCACCTACTATGTGCCAATATAAATACTAACGATAAGAATAAATAAGACATAGTTGCTCTCCTGAAGTTTCTCACAGACTCCTGAGGGGAGAGACAAATATGTAACCCATTAATTAAAAGTCAAAATGATAAGTATTGTAACAAAAAGAAGCTCTCAGAGCCTCTGACTTGAGGACCATAGGAAATATCTCTAAGGTGTCTTTGCCTTTCCCTAGTACTGCATTTTTCAAAAGGAGGGGCAATTTTATAACAGGAGGGTTGATGTTTAAAAAGGAATCTAAGCAATGTATATTTATTAAACATCTGGTATATACATGTGCAAACCAAGATATTAGACACTACCATAGAAAATCAATAACTTATTCTTTCATTCATTCACTGCTTAAGAAACTTACATCAGTTGGAGATGTTGAAAAAAGTACATAGATAACTATAACATGGGAAATACTATAATAAGAAGCCTTAAAGTTTCTGGGGAGAGAAGGCTATGTGCTGGCTGGGGGAATCACGGAGGTCTTCATCTAAGAGGTACCAGGTAAAGAATCTTTGGCCGGGCGCGGTGGCTCACGCCTGTAATCCCAACACTTTGGGAGGCCGAGGCGGGTGGATCACGAGGTCAGGAGATCGAGACCATCCTGGCTAACACGGTGAAACCCCGTCTCTACTAAAGATACAAAAAATTAGCTGGGCGTGGAGGTGGGCTCCTGTAGTCCCGGCTAGTTGGGAGGCTGAGGCAGGAGAATGGCGTGAGCCCGGGAGGCGGAGCTTGCAGTGAGCCGAGATCACGCCACTGCACTCCAGCCTGGGCAACAAAGCGAGACTCTGTCTCAAAACAAAACAAAACAAAACAAAGAATCTTTTAATAGATAAAGTACCAATCAGAAAAAAATGAGTAGGAACCTCACTTCAACCAGAAGGAATAGATGAGAGGAAAATTACCGTCGGTGCAAAGCCCCTACCATATTCCTAAGGCTTTATCTGATTCTAACCATGCTGCTAACTGACCAGCTCTGTGTCCTTGGGCATGTCAGCTAATTTTCCTGGGTGCCAGTTTTGACCTCTATTAATAAGCTGGCTAGACATACATAATCACTATCTCTCATCTCAAAGATATTCAGTTCAACGATAAGGTGGTGGAAAAATGTAGGTTTTATTTACAGAATGGGAATTCTGCATTTCTAGCTAAAATGTAAGGTATGATCAGAGGCAGTTATGGGCTAAATTTTGTGTTTCTTGCCACCCTCAACCTTAGCAAATTCATGTAGAATTCCTAATCTCCAGTACCTCAGCACAGCTTGTGACTGTATTTAAAGACAGGGCCTTTAAAGCCGTGATTAAGCTAAAATGAGGTCCATAGGTTGGGCTCTAATCCAATCTGACTGATGTCCTTATAAGGACGAAATTTGAACACACAAAGAGACATCCGCTATGCATGTGCACAGAAAGGAGACCCCGTGAGGACAGAGTAAGGAGGCACCTATCTGCAAGCCAAGAAAAAAGGCCTCACGACAAATCTAACCTGCTGACACCTTCATCTTGAACCCTCAAACTCCAGAACTGTGAGAAAATCAACTTATGTTACTTAAGCCACCCATTCTGTGGCATTTTGTTGTGGCAGCCCTGTGAACTAATATAGAAGATATTATAAAATATACTTGGAAAGATAATCTGGACTATTCTATAGAACTCCTTAAAGCTGAGATAGAAATTACATATTTGATCTGGTACTAAGTAAGAAACTATCACAAGTTATGAGCACTGGAAATGGACACTCTTTCCAGAACTCAACCATCAGCTGCTGTCTTGAGAGTAAAGATAGGATGGAAAAAGCAAGTAATGTTGAAAAGACTTTTTGAAAATCATTTAGAAAAAGAGGAAGGAAAATGGAAGTAAAGTGGCATAGCACAGTAGAATAGTTCTTTCTAGAGCAGCAGCCAGGAGGTCATGTTCTTATGTAAGCTCTCCGGTCAGGTCCTCAGTGACTTTTAAAAAGGTCCTTGACATTAGGGGGCTGCTGTTTCTTTGTTGGTAGCACAGAAATGTTAATAGTGGTCATCCTCCTTCTACAGGATGCTTGCTGGTTAAATATGAAACTATTGAGAAAGTACTTTAAAAATTACAGAATGTTAGACAGATATTCTACATTTTCTTAATGTTAGAAGAGACCATAAGGCCAAAGAGTCTAATCTCCTTACTTAAAAGTTGTTAGACAAAGGTATGGCATTATTTGTATTGAAGGCAGATAAAAAATGACCCCTCTCCCATGATCTCCAACATTAATAGGTTTTTAAAAAAATTGTTCCGCTTATATATCTGAACAACTTGACAGAATTGAATTGGCATACACTTGGGAGAAAAGTAAGAGGAAGACATTTAATTCAAGCACCGAATAAGACCTGGAAATTCTTTAAATCAAAATTTAGCTATATGTTCTTAGGCAAGTAATTGCATTTGTGTATGTGTGTGTTTGGGGGGGTATGAATCTATATTATATATTGTTAGAAAATATTAGAGAATCTATTTTTAAAGAGCCCAAAAGATTATTAGATAGGTGACAATTATTGGTATTATTACAAATTGTAGTAATAGTGGCAACATTCTTGTCAGGTTAAATCCTAGTGGTGTTTAAGAGCTAAACTGTTACATTTTTACTTGCTCTAATTGTTAGAAAACCTTTTTTATATTCAGTTGAATTTTGCATTCCCTGATTTCTAACCAGAGGCCCTTGTTTTCTTCTTGTCATTTTCATTTTATTTTTCAAAAAATAAGTATCTGTTCTTTTGCAAATAATAGTTCTTTAGTTGTTTGACATCAACCCTCATGTTCCTTTTAATCCTATAATCTTCAGGTAAAGGGTATCAAGTTCATTGTATCAAACCACACATAAAATGAATGGCTATCTCTTCCCTGCACTAGTTGCAGTGTTGTGAATATACTGTAACTCCACAGTTTCTTTAATAAGTAGTATCTGGAACTTAGCATTAAAATTCAGCTGTGGATGGACTACTGCTGAACACTTCTGAGAAATCTTCCAGTCACTAGATCTTCTAATTAGCATTCCTTGTACTGTGTCATTTACAATAGTAGGAGCTCAATAGTTTTAGGTTTTAGTATGGCTTAAATTGACATTTTAGGCTTAAATTAACATTTTAAGTAGCTATTTTCTGTTGCCCACTACCCTTGTATATTCCAGTGAATTCAATCTAAAGTCAAAGATGTTTGCTAAAATCATACAGAAATTATGCCCCATGTATAAGCTATAGATAATGTTGGGTCTTATCAGTCACCTTTTGGTGGTTAATATAAAAATAAAGCCACTTGATAGGCATGACTAAAATTTCAATAATAACATATTATTATATATTAAGTCACTTAGAGGAATGCAAATATTTTCATGTGACAGGCCATGACACTATGTGACTTGCAGCACAGCTGTGAGAAATCAAGTGCTAATCTACATTACATGTGAGTATTTAATACATTTTTAATAGTATAAAAAGTAAAATGATGAGATGATGAGATGTTCACAGTGTGGATGAAAAAGAATGAGGGCAGACCCAAAGCCCAAGGAACACATCTTTCCCACCTTTTCCCACCCTTTCCTCAGCTTCTCAGAGATATCCTAGCTTCACTTCTTCGTATGTGAGGTTGTCAATCAAACTAGGTGTTTTTGGTGTTGAGATGCCACTCAAAATGGACACTGTGCAAGTGAAACTGTCATTCAACATTGCTGCCTGGCAAATGGAGCTGTCAGTCATCTTGAACAGTTTAGTCTGTTGAATTGTCAATAAGATTGTCTGGTATGTACTGATAGCTGCTTCATCAGATTCAAAAAGTCTTCATTAACTCCCTAGTCTGCAGTTTCCCAACCTCTTTTTCTTTTCAATGGAAAGATACGTTTTATTTTCCAAAAGCTGATGATAATCAACAACTAAAACAGAAGGTTATAGTGAAAAGCAAATATCTAGGCTACAAATTGCTAATAAAAATGGACAAGGAACGAGGTTGGCTGCTCACTCAACTTGTCATCATTAAAGGCCAAAAAGAATGGAGTATATATAGTGTATGATAAGCATTATGGATATTAATTTATTCAAGTATTAACTACATAAACCTCAATGACATATTTATTGGGAACCAGTTGATATTTATTTGAAATAAGACATTAGTGAGTTCAGAGCAAATTAAGACTTCAGGAGCTAACATTTTTCAACAGGCTCTGAGTAAAATGCTCTATCCTGCAGTGCCCCAATTTTGCCTCTTCCTCTATCATTCTTGACACAGTTTCACTTATATGATGAAATCATGTTTCCTTTTACCTGCTATGTGGCTACAGGTGATGCTTCCCTCTTAATTCTTAACTTACTGGCTTCACCTGGCCAAAGCTGCTTTAGTTTTAACTCTTTTCCTGTTTAGGAAAAGAAAGTGCATCTCGCTGCCAGTGCTCATTTAATTTTATATAAAAAGGCTTTTTGAGGCTGAAGCAAATCTGACTGATTTTCAATATGAAAATAAAATATAAAAACTGTTCTTGGAGTTGTTCTAAACAGAACTAACATCAGAATCATCTGAATCATCAGGATTGTCTATTTCGGAAAAAGCAGATTCATCAAAGGACTATTTGGCTAACTATTTGAGAACGATGTTAACATGACACGTAGGAATACTATGTTTTCTAGGATTTGACATTTTCAGTGATTGAGAATTACTACATTTTGTAAATGGAAATACCACTACTGAAAACAGAATGCTATAATTAGAATGCTGTCTTTTGTTTTTAAAGTCTATATACTAAAGTGATGCAAAAAATAATAATAAAAATAATAATAAATGATATTTGGTAGCAAAGTTATCTCAGGGTAAACGCTGCAGCTGCAAGCGCCACTAGCAAATAATCTTGGGGCAAACGGGAAAAAGGTTAAAAGATTATGGCAAATGTATTAGATTAGGAGATATCATTTGAATCTATGTCTATGAAATGTCCATTTAAAAATAGTTTAAGCTGACATTAAGTTAATGTATGACTTTCCAGCTACACCTACTAATGGAAAAACAAGATATTAACCTGTAGTTTTAGCAGTAACTAGACTGCATGGAAATTCCCAAGGAAATAAATTCCAGATCCATCTTGGCAGAAAATGCATCTGATTTTTTAGTACTGTGTTAGAAACAGTCACTCTGCTCAACACAGAGTACCTTTGGTAACAGTATTAAATAAAGGAATCTTAGCCAGATTAGGGTGCGCTATAGGAAGCTTCGTTTTAATGATAAGATAACTAGAGACAATATTTCTGGCACAAATAGGCCTAGTATTTGGAATGATAGAGCAACTTCCCTAGATTCTGCGAGCTCAGAGTGACTCAGCCTGGTTCTACACACCCTTCTGATGGCAAGGGCGGGGCACTTGGAGTAGCTGCTGCCATCGGGCTGGCTGCAGCAGGAAGGCACCTGCGGTGGTGGCAGGAGCCGCTGAGGGAGCAACAGTGGCGGCAATGGGATCCTGTGCCCTGCATTTCCAAGGCAGCCAACTGCACCACCCCCAACCTCTCATGGCAGGGCAGGACCAACTCCCAGGCCTGGAGCCTCCACTGGAGCTTCAACCTCGCTCCCTGTGCATCCTGGGAGCCCACGAGCACCCAGTGGAAGGTGCAGCCAGGACTGGCCCCAAGAGCATCAGGTTCATTTGTGCAAGGTTGGCTAGGGCCCTATGCCACCTGCACCTCACCCACTGCCGCTGCAGGGAAAACGCGGAGAGGAGGCGACAGTCCTCAGAGCCTGCCCCTGGGAGACCCCCCGAACCCACTGCCCTGGGAGCCACTGCAGTGGGGCCGAGCCACATGTCCCACCGGCAGGGGAGCAGCGTGGTCCGGCACGGAGGGGGCGGGCAAAGAGGGGCCCCAAGGAGGAGCTGGGCCAGGGGCAGTGCCACGCTCCACAGAGCAGGCAGGAGCAGGGAGCAGGCAGGAGCCCTGCATTCCCAGGTGCAACTACAGCTACCCAAGTCATGGCTGTGGACCCGGGCCTCCCTGTGCTCTTGAGGGCCTGGAGCAGGCATGAGACCTGCGTCCTGGCTGTAGACCCAGGCATCTTTGCACTCTTGGGGCCAGAAGGGACCCCCATTCCCCTGCAGGCCTGGAGGTGTCTGCTTCCGCTGCCTGGCCTCTCCCCATTCCTGGCACCCACTCTGATCTTGGAGCAAATCTGGGGCCAAGGCCAGAAGCTGTGGCAGCCAGGCCAGGTGTGCACATGCTCGGGCAGAGCTAACATGCCAGCCTCCTGCTGCTTCGGCCCCCTCCAGGCTTTGGGCACAGATGAGCATGGGAGGGAAGCTGATGGGGGAGCTGAGGGCAGCTCAGTGCTGGCCTGCAGGTGCCCCTTGTCGTGAACAGCCTGGGTGCCACGAATGGAGGCAGGAAGCAGACAGGCTCCTGGGTGAAAGAGGGCAGGTCCCAGGTGAAGCTCCACCTTCAAGCCGGGGAGGGCCTGAAGCCTGGGGGCTGGGCTGCTGGTCCCACATACCGGAGTGGGAACTTGTGGTGCTTTCTCTGGGCCCGCCGTGGCCGCCCATGGACCAATCAGCATGCACTTCCTCTCCTCTAGACCCATGAAAAGCCCTGGACTCAGCCAGACCAGAAGAGATGATGTGAAGACCCGCCTGCAGAGAGGAGCTACCCTCTCTGCTAAGAGCTGGACACTCATCAGGACACCCTGATTACAAAGAGGAGCTACCCACTGTGGCTCTCCTCTGAGCTGTTCTATCCCTCAATAAAGTTCCTCTTTGTTTTGCTCATCCTCCACTTGTCTGCCTACATCGTTCTTCCTGGATGCAAGACAAGACTTGGGACCAGCCAAATGGCGGGGCTAAAAGAGCAGTAACACCAATAGGGCTGACACACGCCCCTTGCTCACCACGTTACAGGCTAAGGAGAGAAGCACTACAGCCCTTTAACTCCCTAAGCCAGGGCTGTGACTCCCTTTTTGGAGCCCTGCAGTTCCTGGAGCCTCCAAGCTTCCAGGCACCCCTGTGTTCCCTGGTGCCAGCCATGGAAGCTGCTCTCGGTGAGCCTGGTCCAGCCACAGCCTCATAGGGAGCTGGGTCCTGTTCCAGCAGCTGGTGCTGCCCACCCTGTCAGCACTGGCGTGCCTGGCTGTGCGCAGTGGCTAGACCCCATGCTTGCTCACATTCCCCTGGTCACTCTGTGCCTGGCTTTTCCTTGGCAGGCATAGGATCCAGGCCAATAGCATGAGCCAAATGCAGCCTGCCAGGCTGAGTGGGCAGAAGGAGCCCAGAAGGTCAGAGTAAAATTCAGGCAAAGCTGCCACTGGTCACAGAGGTTTCCAGCTGGTGAAGCGACACACCAAGTATTCCATAACACTTCTGTGTTGTCCCACACTGAAACGGTAAACCGTTGCCCTGAATTTTTCACCCATAGCACAATTAAATTCAAGAATGCAGGTCTCCTATGGCATCAGTAAAATTAAGACCCTTACACAGAGCTATTCTAATTCTTTCCAGTAATTCCTCTACCTAGAAATAAATGCAACTCTGCCATTTAAGACCCAACTAGAAGCCTGATGTAGCTGCCTCACCTGATTATGAATACTGCTCACCATCTCTACTTCTGATGAACTACTTTTCCCAGAAAATCGCAACTCTCTGGATATTTGGTAATATACCAATTTTTGACATACTTGGATCCTGGCTAATGAACCCCTACCACTCCCCACAATCCAGTCTCTTTCTTCAGCCCCAGGTTTTCCTCTGCCTTGTTCCTTCTCAGTTGATGCCATTCCTCTTAGAAAATTTCCACTAGAGTACGGCAAACAACTTCTACACTACTTTGTTTTGATCAACTATATAAATAAAATCTTCATTTCAAATAACAAAAACCATAAGAAGTAACCCAAATTTATTCATAGATTTCATGGTATTCCCTTTCCTTTGTTTATGCTTCTTATTTATTTCTCCTAACTACATCTTGTCTTAATTTAACTAAGCTCCCTGAGAGGAAGGTGAAAATAATGTCAGAAAGCATTTTACAGGGAAGAAAGAAGCCTGTGTTCTACTCATAGATCCACCACTAACTTCTTGGCTGGATATCATAAGTTTGCATTAGATACTTTTCATTTCCCTTAACAGTTCTGGAATTTTCTGATTTTATATGAATGACTAGAGAAGACAGGAAATGAGGAAAGTGATTTTTTCCCCTAAGAAATGGGGAATTAGGAAGTATGAAAGGTATAACAAATCCCTGTCTAGCTGATGGTAGTACTGCTCAGTGGTGAGGTTCAGATGAATGACATCATGTCATCACATGCACTGTATGAATAGAATAAACCATGCATTACCTCAGTGTATTGGGATATGCCACTGATTTTGTTGAAGGTAGTTTTGTTTCTGGCTGTACTTTTCTTGATAGCCACCAGGTGGCATACGGATTTGATTTCCTGAAATGTAGACAGGCCTACATCTTGGAAAAAACATGCTGTAGCAGAGCTTTTCCAGGTTCACTCAAACAATAAAGCCTTATTTTAAGAATTACATAGAAAATTCTACTAGCTCAACTATCAGAGAAAATGGGCTAATCTCTGTGATATATTTATATATAAAAACCTGTCAAATATGAGTCATTAATATGCAAGAGCAGAAAAGACATTAGAGCATAGAGAATAAAAAATATAAAAATAAAATGTTAGTGGAAGAGAGACAGAAGGAAGATGACACAAACAGAAAAAGAGAAAAGGAATATAGAAAAAAGGAAGTTGAAGAAAGAATGGAGAAATGTAAGCAAAGAGAAATAAATGTAAGCAAAGAGAAATAATGAGAAAGGGAAATGGGGGAAAGAAAAAAACAACAGCATTGAGAATTCCACAGAGGAAGACTAAAGAGATAATAATCTTCCAGAGAAAAAGAAAGGGAGAGAGACTCAGTAAGTTTTGGGGTGACTTATAGAGATTAATTAATCTTATTCTTGCTATCACAGTATTTCTTTTGTTTTACAAATCTTTAAAAGTTTTGCATATAATTAGGTACATACTTAAACTGGCAAAATATTAGCTCCATCAAATGAGTAGATGGATCACTTGACTTATTTATAGCCCAAGTTGAGGCAAGAAAGAAGGATACATTCAGAGGCTTCTTTTTTTTTTTTTTTTTTGAGACGGAGTCTCGCTCTGTCGCCCAGGCCGGACTGCGGACTGCAGTGGCGCAGTCTCGGCTCACTGCAAGCTCCGCTTCCCGGGTTCACGCCATTCTCCTGCCTCAGCCTCCCCAGTAGCTGGGACTACAGGCGCCCGCCACCGCGCCCGGCTAATTTTTTTTTGTATTTTTAGTAGAGACGGGGTTTCACCTTGTTAGCCAGGATGGTCTCGATCTCCTGACCTCATGATCCACCCGCCTCGGCCTCCCAAAGTGCTGGGATTACAGGCGTGAGCCACCGCAGAGGCTTCTTGTATTGAGGCTCAAATGGCCTCTTTAGAAAAAATGACTTTAAATGATATAAACATTTTCACACCATGCCTCTAAAACATTGTTAGGCAAAAAGAATATGGCCTCCCACCACTAACCAACCTCCAGGTCTGACAATGACATCTCCATGACTCAGTCAAATGTAACACTTTATAAGAAATCAAAGTGGTGATGGAGCTCCCTGATTCATACAAGTTTGGTCAGAAATTGAAAAATCAGAGCTTTGGTTAGAAGAATGACTTCAAATAGCTCTCCAGCTAATTTCTCTCTATAGCCATGAGTAATAAAGCTAGAATCAGATATAATCTCTAAATCAGAAGAGCATAGTTCTATGTCATGAAATTCAGTAGAAATGGGCGCATCTTGGACTCTAGTGGAATTTGTTAAAAGGATTGGTCAGTAACAATAGAATGATCCATTAGTGTGAAACCTGAACTCGAAGTTAAAATAGATTTTTAGAATAAAGCAAAGTCAAATAAGTAGAAAAATTTTGACTGGAGGTTGTTATGCATTACATGCTTATATCCCCCAGAAGTTTAATATGTTGAAATCCTAATCCCCAATAGGATGATATTAGGAGGTTGGGCCTTTGAGAGACAATTAGGTCATGAGGGTGAAGTCTTCATGATGAGATTAGTGCCCTCCTTACAAGAGACAAGAGAGCTTGCTCTCCCTCTCTTTCCTCTTCACCATGTGAGGATACAAGAAAACATTAAGTAACCTTTCAACCAGAAAAAAGGTCTTCACCAGACAGTGGACCTGCCAGCACCTTAATCTTCTACTTTCCAGCCCCTAGAATTATGAAAAGTAAATGTTTGTTGTTTAAGTCAACTAATCTAAAGTAATTTGTTGCAGTAGCCTGAAAAAAAATGGCTTTAAGGCAGTAGAAAAGACAATCAACTCAAACCAGCTCAAGAAAAAAAAAATGAAAATATATTTATATATTAGTAGATACAACCAAAAAATTCAAGGATGAAATTGGCTTCAGTTCAGTTGAGTCTAGTTGTTCAAATGAGATTATAAGAGCTCTGCCTCTTTATCTCCCACTTCTAAATATTTCTGCTTGGTCCATTTGCTCCTGGATTCAGGGATAAAATTATGTCACCTGGGTTTCTTTCCCCGTCTCTCTCTCTTTCTCTCTCTCTCCACATAAGTTCTGCCTGACTTTATGCTAATTGTAGTCTCTGTTCACATGGCAGGAAACATGGCCATTCAGGATTAGATTCATGCTCTTTTAACATTGAACACTTCCTGTAAAAAAGTTTCTCCTCTTAACAGCTATTGCAGGACATATATATATGCTTGTCTATGTATCTACCCATTGGAAAAGGAAGGAGTGCTGTGTTGCAAAGACCATTGATGTCAATTATAGAAGGCCACACTAACTATTCTGCAAAGACAGCTGGGCTGTTGACCTCAGCAGTTTTGTACTCTAGCACACAGGGAAATCAGGACAACTCTGCTTACTGTGTAACTGTGTAATATGCCCTTTATCAGCATCTAGGAGGTCACCCTATCAATAAAAGCCTCCCTTCAAGTTAAGAAGTTTTTAACATTAGCTGATTCCACCATTAATTAAAGTGGTAAAAACAACTCCAAAACTCATTGTGTTGAAAAAATTTCAGCTTAGTGTACAGAAATCAACTTATATATTTTAAAATTTCTACAGAATGAAAATGAAGACAAATGAGGATATTCTAAATGATATCATTGAATTATAAAGTTCATTTTATATCTAATTTATTTTCAGTATGTGGTATATGGTATTAAGTCAAAAGCATTTGTTGATAAAAGAATGAATGTCATGGTCATGGACCTTAAAAGCAAAATCTGGAAGACATGGAAATTATCAACGATCACAAGCTAACTGAGTGGAGTTGTATTCTTTAATGAACCTTCAGGAGATATTCAGTAAAGAAGAACTTCTGGGAAATGCATTCCCTTAAATGAATGCTTATTATTTCAGTTTGGTCCCTTTGTTACTTTTTTAAAAAAATTATTGACCATTAACCTTTCAAAGATAGATTTCATCCTTCAACTCTTTTTTCAAAAGAGCATATTACACATATCTTCCTTTACTCTTGATGAGTCAGGTCCACAAGACTTAATAGCATTTATCATAATTTATTGTATCCAGGTATAATTTCAGGAGGTAGGTTATTATTATGACTATATTCTTACAATAGAAAACCATTAAAATTATATATATGTATATATATGCATAGAAAATCTTTCATATGTATATGCAGGAAATAGAAAGTATTTACTCTCTGAAAAACTGAAACAATTGGTAGTACCAATTAGGAGCAATCAAACAATACTCAAATATTTTACTGAACAACTTCTTTGTGCTTGTGCTTTCCAGAGACTCAGAAGAACAATGTAAATTATAAACCATGAAATGTTTTAGAAGAATAATGTAAATTATGGACCATGAAATGTTTTAGAAACATACTAGGAAGTTTCTGATCTATGTGGGGAATATACCTTAAATGTATTCAAGAAAATAGAGATGAAAGTAACAGCTAATGGATGCCATGAGCCCAAACAGGGATACAGCTATGAGAAAAGCCAAGTAATCGGGGAAGGTTTGGCAAAAATTGTGGTTTTAAAATTGAACCTAAATATAGTTAGGACAAAAATATTAAGTTCATATTTTTTCTGTGGTATGGTCTTTTTCATTTGACTATGCCTAACTCTGTCTTGGGATGGTTGGTCTTCTGGGGCTTGAGACTTTGAGGAATAAGACAAAGCAAAGTGAAGTTTCCGTACCGGAGATGACCAAGAGCACAAACAGCAGCAGAAGTATGTACTTTCATGAGGTCCAAGAGATAACGCTGGAAAACCTGAACTCTGTAAATTTCAAAAGGCAGCAGATCAAGAAAGAATAGGTAACTTAGGCAAAGATTTTGAAGAAAAATACATCAAAATCAATCAGAATTAAGGCACATTAAGAACAAGCCCCAAACATCCTGAGGAGTTGCTATGAAAAGAATCATATGCTAAATGCAGATGCACTGTTCATCTCCATTTAGCATATGGCGCACAGGCAGGTTAATGTGTTTTACAAAAGCAAAGGTGGTATGAGTAGATTTGGATAAAAGAATCACAGCCTTCTAGAATCAAAAAAAGTTTTAGAGGTGAATTACTCTAATTCTATTCATATAGCGAAATGAATCAAGTGTAATGTAAAGTTTTGGAGCACATATGAGCAAAATACAAGTCTTTATACATCTAGTTCTGCAGATACAGCCAACAGGATTCATCACTGTCATGGCTAATTTGTTTATATTATCACTTAGAGAGACCAATTAGAGGAAAATAATTTACTTGTGAGCAGTCAGTCACATTCATTTGTAAGTCCATAAATTAAGTGAAGTTGATTGGGTCGCAGAAGCAGCCACTTCAGTCACAAAATCCTAGGAATTCTTCTATGATTTGTCTATTACAAGCATTTTTGGCGGCCCCGAAAGGTGTAGTTTTAGTGTTTAGTAACTTTAGTGTATGTATTAAAGAGATTTTCCTTTTTCTACTTTCCTTTTCTGTTTTCACTATTCATTTATTTTTATGCCTTTTGTTTGGGTGCTACTGAAAAAGAAACAGCATTTCAATTCAACAAAAATTCTTTTGGCATATGCTAGGTAGGGTAATCACAGAAGTTATGATTCAAACTGAAACACTTTTTTAACAGCTTTACTGAAATTTAATTAACACATAAACTGCATATATTTAAAGTGTGCAATTTGCTAAGTTTGGATATAGGTATACACTTATGAAACTGTCACACAATCAAGATAGTGAACATGTCACCTACAAAAGCTTTCTCATGCCCCTCTGCAATCCTTAACTCTTGCCTCTTCTGCCCCCAACCTTCCCAGGCATCCACTGATCTGTTTCTGTCACTATAAATTTATTTGATCTTTATAGAGTTTTAGATAAGTGGAATAACAAAATATGTATTCTTTTTGTTTTATTGCTTTCACTCAGCATAATTATTCTGAGAGAGTCTTCCAAGTTATTGAATGAATCAATAGTTTGCTCCTTTTTATTATTGAGCAATATTCCACTGAATGGATATAACATACTTTGTCTACTCCTTGTTCTGTTTATGTACATTTGGGTTTTTGTCGGTTTTTTAGCTGTTACATATAAAGCCTGATGGGAATGCTTATATAACATTTTTTTATGCTTTCCTTTTGATTGGTAAATATCTATGAACAGCATGCCTGAATTTGGGAGCACTTTGAGGTGGAGAAGGACTGGATCAGACGCCAGGAAAGCAGACATGAACCACTGTGTTCTGGGAAAACCCAGTTTTTAGTCACCCTAAGGTCAGCTACCAGAAGAGTGTTTTCAAGTTGAAAGTAATTGACTTGGCAAAAAGCTATTTTTCATTGTGCTTCCATACTGCACTTGGCAATAGCATAGTGTCAGAGGCCACTGGCTGTCTCCCAATACCTGTTATCTTTCAGAACAGGAGTTCAAATTGTGGCCACTGAGTTACATTTAGCCTACCACCTGTTTTTCTGAATAAAGTTTTACTGGAACATAGCCATGCTCATTCATTTACATATTGTGTATGGCTGCTTTTGAACTATAACAGCACAAATACTTAAATACATGCGACAGAGACCATATGGCCTGCAAAGCCCAAAATATCTACTATCCTAGATGTTTTATACATAAAAGTTTGCTGATTCCTGTTCTAAATCCTTAGCTATATACTTGATTACCTAGAATAGGATCTAATTTCTAGTTTCACCTGAAGCTAAATTCTGGCTAATATCATAGAATATAAGAAGTGGTATATGCAACTTCCAAAAATTATCTTTAAAACAAAGGGCTTAACCCTTCTCTTCCTGCCAGTGGGTCTACCTTTGTACATATTAGAATGTAGCCATAGTAGCCAGAGATCCTGCAAGATGTTAGACAATGATGTCACCTTGAGTGTGGAAGGAACCTGTCTTCCCAATGCCATGGAGTATCACATCACACTGGGATGGACTTCAGCCAGGCACATATATAAAAAGTAAACTCCTACCTTGTTTAAGCTGCTTTGTTTATTGGTGGGATGAGGAGTTCCATTACTCATAGTGAATATAACCTAAAGGATATAATATCCTATGTTGTAACCAACTTTCACGTTGTACAGCATTCCGAGGGTAATCAACGTTATAGAACCTTGGGCAAGTTTCTTAATCTTGGGAGCCTCAGCAATTTCATCAATCAATATAGCCAATAGAGCTGTACCTCCCTAAAGGCTGAGGTGGAACTCAGTTTCCTGTTCAAATTCCTTCCACTGCAAATTCATGAGTCTTCCTCACCATTATCATCCCCAAATCTGTGTCACCAGGGCTGTGTATTCATCTTATGCAGAATTGTGTTCAGACCTTACTGGGGATACAGGTACTAGTTGCCTTGAATAGTTTATTCTTTGTTGTAGGAAATCAGGTCAGTTCAACATTTTATCTTGATTTTGTTGACAACAATTTTGGCAGATATGAGAATTTCTTTCTGATGTCAATGTAAATGTTGCAATAAAAAGAAAAATTCAAAACCCTTGATCAAGTTATACACCCATGTTATACATGACAGATTAATAAAAATATGATCATACAGGTTTATGGTATAGGGAATGTTGATAATACAAATATATCCATGAGTACTTTATAGTCAAGATTCACAGATAGAAGCACCAGTTTGAATAGTAACACTTTATGAAAATGAGAATTATTTTATAAAAATATTATGATTTTATAAATTCATAATATTAAAAAAGTCTCTCACATATTATCTCTAATTTTTGCCTGTGCTTATTTTTCTACTATTTTTGACATACATATTTGTACAAAGAGATAAGTTAAAACAGAAACATTAATTTATTTGAAATAGGTATATCAATATTTCCCAGTGGTAAAAAGAAAATAGCAGAAATACTAATGATGATCATCACAAGAAGTCATTACTAATGTTGCTGCTGCTATAGCTGCCAATGCTTTTATTATCTCCAGGACTACGGCTACCACTAGAATTACTGCCACCATGATTAGAATACTACTGTAAAGAAAGTGGATATCACTCAGACTACAAAATCAGTTCTCCAAAAAATAAAATCACTTTTTCTTCCATTTTCTATACATTAATTTCTAGGTCCCAATCTGTCTGGCTGGCAGGAAATTCAGAGTTATTTTGGGGACTCCCTGCTTCCAGGATTGCAAAAACAGCAAAGTGTAGTGAGGCCTATTTGGTCACTGCAGACCATGGTCTCAAGCCTCTGACCCTTTGAGACTCTTGGGCACAGAAACAGTTTGTCAGGCTGGGAAATTACAACCTAGAGCCCAGCCTCCCTTGACACAACTATCAGCCTCTGAAGTTTTGCCACTGCCCTAGTATACTGTCACCAAGTTACAGGTCTTGAAAACTCATTCTCTGACCTTGGAAAAACCTCTCTCTCTTCCTCTGTCCTTTTACAGTCCTTTTGTGAAATATTCTCTCTCAGTGTCTGTCTGTCTGTCTCTGTCTCTCTGTCTCTGTCTCTCTCTCTCAGTATTAGTTTTCCAACAAGCCCTGGCTTTCACAAGATAAGAAAAAAACACTGATTTAAAAAAAATATTTTTAAGGCCAGGTGCAGTGTTTTATGCCTGTAATCCCAGCACTTTGGGAGATGGAGGAGGTTAGATAACTTGAGTCCAGGAGTTCAAAACCAGCCCTGACAGTGTAGTGAGACACCCCAGTCTACAAAAATAAAAATAAAAAAATAGATAGGTGTGGTGGTACGTGCCTGTAGTCCCAGCTACCTGGGAAGCTGAAGTGAGAGGATCACTCAAGCCCAGGTATTCGAGGTTACAGTGGGCTATAATCGCACCACTGCACTCCAGCCTGAGCAACAGAGAGACTATCTAAAAAAGAAAAGAAAAGAAAAAAAAATCCTATTTTCAGCCTAGCCAAGATTTCTAGAAAAAGGAAATACTAAGAATCAAACTCCAGGTTTCTTCCCCTTAGCATATTAACATTTTGGGCTGGAAAATTCTGTTATGCGGGTCTGTCATGTGCATTGCGAAGTTGTATAGTAGCATCCATGGACTCTACCACTAGATGTCTATAGCACCCTTCCCCAGTAGTAAAAATTAAGAATGTCCCCAGACATTACCAAATGTCCCATTGTGGGTAAATTTGCACTGGTTGATATTTCTTTTTCTAATGGCTTAAAATGGAGAAAGAAAAAAAAAGCTAAAAATATAGATTAAAATTTAATACATTGTTTGGCCCCAGAGTTATGTTTAGAGTGCTTACAACGTAACAGGCTAAGTATTTTTATGTGGTCTCATTTTATCCTCACATGAAATTCATGATTACTGAAAGTTTCCTTGTTTTATAGTTGAAAAAAATATACTACATCATTTAGGGTCCAGTCAGAAGTCAGAAAACACACTAGATATTTGAACAGAAAAAATTTTTAAAGACATTTTTGTCACATATAATGTTATTAACTAAGCAACTAAACCGTTAAAAAGAGAACTCTAAAGGGGTAGCAGGCTGCTAAACTGGCATTGTCTGGTAGAGGTGAGAGTAGCCCTGCTGTTTTGCATGTGTCAATATCCATGGTAGGCATATTCCCATCTTTGCTGATGCCAAACTACCAACTGGACATCATGGAACTCTTGAAGAGAACAGTCAACTTTGGCAAGCTGGTATAAGCCAGTGCCAGCACAGCATAAACCCTTAAGTTTCACCTCAGAGCTGGTTCTACAAATATTGGAACAAACACAATTTGGATTAGCTGCTACCACAGGAAGAAATTGCTGCGGCTGCTGGAGTGAAGAAGTGTTGCTATGGTGATAATGACAAGAAAAACAAGCAGACAGAAAGGAAATAGTCCCTGCTTCCTTCTCCAGCCTTGCATTCTCCCTGAAGTGCGGAGCCCAACAGGGAACCACGAACGAACCAGAGGTATGGTTTTTAGAGTCCCAACTCCAGCACCAGCATTAGAAAACAGAACACTGAAACTGACAGATGATAAATTCAATAATTGACACAGATACCTAGTGATACATGAGGTCACTTACATAATTAATAAATATCAACTAAGTCTAGTTACCTAATATCATATAGATTTGAACTCAATTCTTACTTCATATGATGTTCTTAATTGCTATATTATATTATGAATAAGTTTCAGTAAATTTTTTTTTGCTCTGGATGTTATGTTGATCTTTAACTTGCTTATCAAATAGATTACACTACAATTTCTATTTGTGGTGGTGACTCTTTTTAAAAATTTCTAACACATGCTTTGCTTCTTCTTGGAAGCAAATGCACCACAAACGAATGCAAATGAGAAATTGATTTAATGAAAATAGATGAGATCTGGCTTCTGAAAGAGCATACTTATTTTAAGTCTTCAATATGTTCACATATCCACAAAACAAATAATTCAGTAGGAAGAAAATCTCATGGGATCAAGCATTTCCAATTTTTGAACACAATTTTAAGGTTTCCTTTCAGGTATCTAGGAAAGAAGTGTTGTATTAGGATGGCTAAATGGAGCTGGAACATGGAGAAATTCAAAGATCTCTTTCCCATCACACAAAACATTGATCAAATGGAATTGGAAAAAATATAAAGTACTATAGGTTCAGTGACACACACACACACAAACATCACACTCAAAGTGTGAAAATACTGTATAGAGAGAAGATACAGAACTTGATAGAATTTAGATTCCATTAATTGTAAGATTCTCCATTAATCTATTACTAAGGAAAAAAGCTGCCACTTAACTTATGACAAATGCACGCTTTTAAGATATATCACAACTTCAGAATATTAAAACTTGAAGAACATTTATCTTGGACTCTATGAAATATGATATAAATAAAGGATACAATTAGATATTTGTGTTAGTAATGACACATTAAGTGAAAGGGATTCTGTACTAGTGAGAATGCTTTCAGCCTTAGTATGACTCTTCAGATATAAACTTTTTTATCCTTCATATGGTTTTTCTCTATTTCCACCAAATAATAAACTGAGGGGGAGTGTCATTTTTTGCCAGTGTATCGAATTATAATTGAACGTAAGAAAACATTTTTTAAAAGTAAGGTGTATTAGTTCTCTTCAAGAAGCAGATGTCAAAATGAAATTAGACAAGGCAGAAGTATGTTGAACTATGGAGTAGAGGAAGAAGGAGAGAGCCTTCAGACTGTGATACAGGTATCACTCCTCTTCCTGTAGAAGAAGAGAGGGAAAGAAGGAGAAGGAGGGTTGGGATAGCAAGAATGTGTGACTGCAGCACTGCACCAAGAAAGGTTTGGCAAAACTAATGTAGAGCCCCAAGGGTAAGTCATCTGTTGGAGGAATAACATGTCTTGTTGGAATGGGTAGGCTTTCAGGCCCTGCAATGCACTGTCATTGGCTGGGAATAGTTGTAAGAGCCATGGCCTCAGTACAAATGAGGTAGATCCAGAAGGATAGCACCTGGACTATCAATCACACTCCCTGCAGCAGGAGAACTGAGCAGAACATTTTTATATCCACCATGTAAGATCCAATAAGCACTGGAGGAAGACTGAGAATTTTTTTCAGTATGTGAAAATAAAATATCATCTAATGTTTTGGAATGAGATTCCTTCTAAAGAGAAGAGACAAACCTTAAGAACTATTTAAGTCTTTCTCAGCATTGCAATTTCATTACTACACACATCTACATTGTGATCTACAATTGATGAAACTTTAGGAGCAAAAATCACAGCTGGAAATGAAAGACATTTACATTGCAAGATTGTTATTGAGGATGTACCAGATTATGATGTAGGAGCAATATTTAGAAGTCTACAGATGATGCTGAATTAAGTAAAATGGTAATAATGAGCACAGTGTATTCATACACAGCACGACTTTAGCCATTTAATTACTGTGCTGGGCTAACATGATAAATGCACCTGGACACAAATCAATGGTAAATGGTTCCCAGAACAAAACATTCAAGAAAGCCACGTATACTAAACAGAATAGTGTTTGCAATATGCAGCTAGAAATACTTCTAATGATAGACTATGGAGTTGAGGAAGCAGAATTCTAATTACATATTGAAACTGGCTCTCGTAGAAGAGTGGGCTACTTCCTGGTTACAAATGTGCAATTTTGGCAGGTGCTATTAGTCTTGGAAACACAATTTAATATACAAAATGTCTCTTTATGTCCTGAGGGAGAAGAGTAAATGCCTACCTTCTCCCTTTACTGAATCTGAACTCATAACTAGCACCCACATTTATTGCAGTCAGAAATTGTAGCAGGTAAGCCCATGTTTGTCTTTCTCAAACTCTTTAACAGAGAGAAATATACATGATACCAGAGGGAAAAAGGTCATTTATAAACTGAGGACACTATACAATATTCATGCCATTTCCCATGAACTTAACCAACGACTACCTATCCTTTTTCCACTGTTTCTAAGATGATGGGAGCACAGGCTTATGGCCATTTTTATTTTCAAAATAACTGAACAAAAAATGCCTAGTAGCACAGGGCTGAGACAGTATATGATATTCAATTATTATTTGTGAATATATTATTAAGTTAATACAAATTTCTTCTTTGAAAATACTGCTTTTTCACATATTGGTCTTTGGAATTCTGTATCTTTTACTTAGTCTTAAAAATAACATTTTATTTAGGATCTTATAAAAAGACTAAATTTCCCTCTGACATATGGCTACACAGATTTGGCACATAAACTTGCAATTCTAGAGGCAATAAACCATTAATGATTTATTAATAAGCCACTAATGATTATTAATTTATTCAATATTTCTTATGTACAGACAGAATTTGTATATCTGGAAAATGCAACAGGAAGTAAATATAGTAGGTATTTGTTGTATTTTGAGGTATAAAATATCCAATCACACACTGAGAAACAGTTACCATATCTATTTAGGGCTTCTGCCTCCTCCCTCACTCTCAGGATGTGCAGTTCCTAGGAAGCTGACTATAACTCCAGCCTCAGGAGCCGGACATATGAGCAATGAATGTGAACCTATCAGCTCATTCTACCCCCAATCTGGGTGGCTTGCCAATGGATATGTGCTCTTTACTAGGCCAATCAGAACTTTGAAGCTTTAATGCAAGTACTTTTTTTCAAACTTTATTTATTTATGTTTAAATTGCCATGTAAAATTGTATGTATTTATCTTGAACAAGATGATGTTTTTAAGTGTGTGTTTTAAGTAATATGTTTACACATGCACACACATATATACACACATATATATTATATACACACATATATGTGTGTGTATATATAAAAAGTGGAATGGTTTACTCTAGCTAATTAACAAATACATTACCTCACAGAGTTATCACTTTTTGGGTTGAGAGCACTTATCCGCTTGCTTAGCATTTTTCAAGAACAATACATCATTATTAATTGTATTTGTTTGAGCCGTTGGGGGAGTAGATTGAATCTCCTGCTGAATGTAAACTTGAATGGATGTATGAGCTGGACCTGTTCCCATCATCTTGCTACCAGGTGGACCTGAGACTGACGCCAACATAGCAGAAGGCAGAGCCAGAAATAGAGAATAAATTGAGCCCTGAAAACATCATCTGATTCCAACAGTACAGTGATAGCAGAGCCAGTTCTCTCCCTAGACATTTCAGTTATGCAAGCCAATAAATTATCTCTTTATTGGGTCAATTTGGATCACACTTTATACAGGCAACCACAAGTGTCCTGACTTTCAGATTACCCAACAGGGGGAGATAAGTGTGTTGGGGTAAGATACATTGAAATGACAAAGTAATAAGAAGTAAACATGAAACTCATTTTGTTTAACATTATCATAACAATTCCTTTAAAATAAGCACATAATAATTGAATGAGCCAGGAATGCTGACCATAACAGAATACCAGTAAGGTGATTAAGATAAATTAGGGTGTCTTATATTATGCCAACCCCTAAAAAACTTTATCAGTTCAAATAATTATCTAGATTCTTCAAGAAGGAGGAAAATATGGCAAGAAAAACATAAAAGAAAAATAATACACGAAAGAAATTTAAAGATATTTTTCCCAAGAAAGTAGTATAAATCATGGTAAGAAGGCTGGGGTGTAAAAGCTAGGAAGGGACTTTGGAGAATGAAAACTGAACTGCAGGTGACATTTCCTTAAGATGAAGGTGTTTTGAATTCCTGTCCCACATCTTCCTGTCCCATTACATCTTCTTTGCTCACCTGACAATCCCTTCTCTTACTAGTGAGTGCCCCAAGTAAGCTTACTGACGGACTTGTAATTCACTCAACAGTCAACAAGTATTTCCTGAGCACCTACTCTAGGCAGGTGCTGTGTGAGCTGTGAGTGATATTGTAGTAAACACAAGGATGGGCTCTTTCCACGTAGAGCTTACGTTCTACCAGAATACACAGTAGAAAACAATTCATTATACAGACTTATTTGTTAAATGTTTTCAAATGTTCTATGGAAGATTATGACTACGGGAAATGACATGATTTGTAGGCTTAGCAAGTATATTCTTAAGAAAGTGGCATTAGAACTGTCCTTAGTGTAGGAGTCAACCAGGTAAAGAGGAAACCAGGAAGAGTCTTGCATCAGAGGGAATAACATGAGTGAGACCCTGTAGTGGGAGGGAGTTAGGCATATTTGAGAATCTGAAGAAAAACCAGTGAGGCTGAAACACTGAGGGCGCATGAAAAAGGAGCATAAGGTGAGGTGGGAAAAGGCAAGGGCCGGACCAAAAGGAACCTGGCCGTGAAGGATTGAGGTCTTTATTCTTAAAGTAACAGGACTTTATTGGGGAATGCAATCAGAGGTGCCGCATGATCAGATCTGTAATTTTAAAATATAATTCTGTGTGGATGGTTAGTGAAAAGATAGATGTGATGTTGGAAGTCACATTAGGAAGCTCTTAGAGCAACTCAAATAAGAAAGGTTTGGAGTTTATTAGGGTGTCAAAATGAGGTGAAGACAAGCAGTTAGATTCAAGAGATGTTTAGGTAATAAGTAATAATCTTTTCATTATTAAATACGGAGAGGGGCAGATAAAGACTGAGAGATGCTTACAGTCATCCCTAGCTTTCTGGTTTGCAAGAAAAGTAGAGATTTTGTTTCCTGATCCATAGATACCAAAAATAGTCTTGATAGATGCCCAAGAGCATATGTTCACTTTTGTGAGATAAAATTTTGAGGTATCTGGAAACAGTAGGGAAATTGAGTAGGAAGGTAAATACATGAATCCGGATCTCAAAGGATGGATATGACAATACATATATAAAAATTGGAAAATAAAAGGCATATCACTAGCAATTGAAGAGACCACGAACGTGATGAGATAGCCCAGAAAGAAAGTATGAAATAAGAAGACAGGAGGATCCTTCTGAGAGTCTCTGTTATTTTATTCTCCTCTATCAGGCCTATAAAAGTTGAAATAACTTCAGGGCTCCGTATAAGATCATAAAAATAGAAACAAGATGGGTTATCACAGAGAGCAAGAAGAGAGAATAACTCAGGGTGGAAGAAGTGGTTAAGAGTATCAAATGCTACTGAGATCAGATAAGGTTTAGATTAATGTCCATTTGATTTAGTTTTATGGAGGCCATTGGTGACTGTATTAAGAGCTGGGGAAGTGAGTACAATAAGCATGAAACTGAAGTATCTTAAAAATAAATACAGAATCTCCATTATTAATACATCACATTCTAGTTTTCTTAATGATGAGCATATACAAAATTAATTGAGATCTCTGATGAAACCTGTTCCTTGAGATGTAGTTGAAAGCTAAATAATGTTTTTTCTGTTTTGAAGTAATCCTGCTTTGGAAGTAGAATCTGAGCAGAAATAGTTTCCAAATACACAGATCAACTTAATAATAGTATTGTCATTGCCTCCAACATTTGTGTATCAAAAACTTTGTTATGATTAAACAGTGATGGCATTTGCAACTAAAAATGGAGGGTGGTACTTGCAGCTAAAATGGAAACTACCAAATAAAGCAGTTATATATCAGCATTTGGAGGCAATGAGTTAGTCTGTGCTTGCTGACTTAAAGGAAAACTCAGCCAAGCCCTGTTGAATAAAACCTGCTAACTGAACAGAAGCTGACGGATTGAGTTGGGCTACTTTTTCAGTTACCTACTTAGATCATTTCATTTAAAGTTGGAGATAGACTGTATGACCTTTTATCCTCCCCTACTTTCTATGTCAGTAATTCACTGGAAGCAATCTTTTGAAGAAAATGGTATTTACAAAGTAGAGATGAGATCATTATTTGGTGAGACAGAATTTATTGAGATATGATTCATTGTGAAAGCGAGAGATAAAGCAGGCCAAACCTTTAATATTCACTGTCAGGTGCAACAACTTCTGTTTTTGGAGACATCTGCAGAAACAGAGCGTGTGTCACTTTTCAGACCAAGTTTCTGTCTTAAACTTAAGGAACAGCTGTTTCTATTTGAGAAATGACAAGGAGAGTATAAATTTCAAAACATGTGCCACAAACATCTTTCAAAATCAACAACTTTAACAGTGGAAGACACTGACTTTTTTTTCTTCTTTTTCTACATTTTCTACAAATTCCTGTAAAAATAGCTCATTCATTAAAAAAGTGCATTGAGTTTGCTAACACAATGTTAGGTTCTGGGATATAAAGTGAAAATATGCTACATCCCTTACGGAAATGGACATTGTGCCAGACCAGGCATAGAACTACATATATTACAAATTGAAAATGATCATTGGTATAACAGAAGTGTAAGAAAACCAATATGAGAGTGAATACTCTGGAGTGAGAAGAGATTCACCTTATAGAATGTGGGCCATATGGAGCTGTACTTGAAGGACCAGTATATTATTAATGGGAAAGACTAAAGGGTGGTTTATGATGGAGAGAACTGCATGAGCCAAGAGTTGGAAGTATGAACAGATATGGCTCATTTATTTAAAAAAAACATTGTCAGAGTGCCAAGGAAAGGAAAAAAAATTGTTTCTATTTTATCTGAAGGTTAACACATGGAAAAGGACTTAAAGATATATATATATAATTATTTACCATTTATAAAATGGATAAATGAAAAGGGAAGAAAGATAAACTCTTCTATCATAGGTAAAGAGGCAGTATGTTCTATTTTTAGAAGCAGGACCCTTGAGGCAGACTACCTGGGCACGGATAGAGCACCTGCACTTATAAGCTGTGTGACCCTGGGCAAGTTATTCAACCTTCCTGAACCTTGATTTGCTCTTCTCTAAAACGGGCATAAGAACATTACTTGATAAACATGGTATGTTGGTTTATTAAGTGAGTTAACACATGTAAAGCCTTTGGACCTGTGTCTGGAACATAGTAATTCTACATAATGTTCAGTCTCTGTTTTTATTCAAAAAGCTTCAGCCATTATTATTTGATAGGTTACAGCTCCACCTACTGGTTGATGGGGTTTGGTACCGTTTTCGGTTTATTTGGATTCACATTGTTTTTATGTATGTAGGCACCATGGGTGGCAGAGTATGTTTTCTCTCATGGTTTTTCCCTTGCTATTTTCCTATTGAAGTCAATGCATGCCTGTACTTTCTCTCAAAGAGAAGCAGATGGCAAAATAGAAAGTTAAAGTCACCTGTTTTGGGTTTTAAAAAGCCAAAAAATTTTAGAGAAATTAAGGGATTCTCAGTTATGGACAGACTGCCCTGAAGTAAACAAAATGGACTATTTCTCCTAAACTGGAAGAGACATCTGGGGCTGATAGAGGGGTAGGTGTGAAGAAAGATCTATTCTCTTCTTCCTGGTAGCTCTGCTAAGGAGGCCGAAATGTACACAGGTCAACTGGCGTTAAGGAAAGCAAGTGGAAGACTACGGGTAGCCCAAGCATGACACTGGATAAGACTATCTAAGGGGCTTGTTCAGCCTGGATGGTGCTGACCTGAGGTAACCTGTGTGACTCTGCAACCACTGTTGGTATCTCTTAAAGCTGGATTACATTTTAGGCCATGAGAAGCCGGGAAATTCCTATAGTGTTTGAGGTTCTTATTGTCCTTGCCAATAATGACAATGGTCATGCACAATCCATTATATAAAATATAAAATGATCTGAATTGCTCACCTGAGCTTATGGCTACATAATAGCTATATCCTGGTTGAAAATGAAAATAAAATTTTCATACAAATCTAGATTATTCTTTGTCCTCTGTTCTGCATTATCTCTTGTTACATGGTAAACAAAATAGAGTTGAACTCAGAAAGCTAAGTCTCGAAGGTTTTTCAAACTAATCTTTATCTCAGTTAAAAGAAATTCAAAAGTTTCCACCAGAAGTCACCACAAATCTAGGCCAAGTTGGTATCCTCAGTTTGCTTCCATTATTCTCCCAAGTCTAATTCTGACACCCTTCTAGACCATCTCCCTCTTTTCTCCGAATTTCAATGCCAACTTTCCTCACACTACCAACTTCTCACCAAAAATTGTTTTAAAGTTTTCCTTTCCTAATTTCTATGATAGCCCCAAGCATCCATTACTGCTGTCTGTCTCATGGCATTGGTCTGATTATCTACTTAAAGACATTGAGAATAAGGCTTAAAATAACATAATTTCCCACAAGACATTTTCATTTTGTTAATACAGGGGAAATGTCAGTTATTGGAATGTGTGAGGAAAATAAATTTAACACAGGACAATACCTTGGGCTGCTGTCTATTTATTGGGTTGTTGCAAAAGTAATTGTGGTTTTTGCCATTTTTAAAAATAATAGTTTTCTAGAATTTTAAACATGAAATCAATGCAGAAATCCCAAGTAAAAATCTGCTCCTATCACTGGAAGTTAAAGAAGCCCTCCACTGATACCTTGTAGCATATATAATTTAAAAAGACACATCATTTTAAATACGTTCAATCATTTGATTTTCATGAAAACCAGTTATAATAGATCGTGTACTACTGGCATCGTTAAATGAGCTACCATCAATTGCTCTTTACTTCTCAATGTTAAACATGCAAATGCTTTCTAAACTCAAAATTTTACAAACTTTTTTAACTCTCCTTTTATTAATGCAATCATAATTATTAATTTTGAAGAGTTTTCATAAGTTTGATTCTACAATGAATATTTAAAGATAAGAGCTTTAGATAAACTCATTTTCCCTTCATTCAGAATAGTAAGTCTATAGAAAATGTTAGTTTGGCTTCAGAAATGGACTAGATTAAAATTTACTTGGAAGCTTCTACATCTTGCTGAATAAAAGCAAAAAAACAGCAATCAAGGCTAATGGAAAAACAAATGCAAGATGCACTTCTATGTTTAAAGGCTCTTTTCATACTCGTAGACTTCAGCTCCACAGAGAAAGTACCTTGCTTGTTGTTAATTTTTAGTAGATGTTGATCATGTATTAGCATTATAACTACCAAATGCTGAAGCTGAAAGCACCTTAGTCACAATTGAGACTAGCCCCTAGTTTTCAGATAATGAGAGCCAGGGGTCTAAGATCCACACAATTAACAGGTTTGCTGCAGGCACAAATAAAGCCACAGAGACCTGGAATTGTGTCTTGGTTTCCTAATTCATATTCCAAGACCATTCGAAGACTGGACCCCACAATACATTTTCATCTATTTGGGAGTTAATGTTGATGTCCCGCTGAACCCTACCTTCCCTATCATGTCTATTAGAGAAACTCACTCTTTTCTTTCCAACTCTCCTCCATTCAGTGAATTCTGGATGCCACTATCATGCTTGCATCTTTGTCCTGATTCATATTTCTGACTCTAGTCACATATCCTATTCTGCCCACTGCCAGCTAGATAAATACTACTAAGATGCAAATCTGATCGTGTCATTCACCTCATTAAACTCTCCAAACAGTGATAAGCAATGCTTATTTACCACTTATTAAGTGGAGTCTTTAGACATTGAATCTTCACAATTGAGATGAGGAAACTGGCACCAAAAGACTAAAAAGCTTGTCCTGGGTCCTAGCTAGTAAGTGGCAAAGGAAGATTCACACTTCAGACTTCAAGCTCTTATCATGCTATGCTATGCTGCTTCTAGGACTCAACAGTGCTCTTAGGACAAATTCTGAACCCCTTCCACACCACAAAATGTTGTTGGATATAGAGAATGCTAACAAGGAGTTGCTTACACCTTTGCCATTACTCTGGTTACGTGAGTATACTTAAGCCAGACTAAACTTATGATTCTCAATATCCATATACTGTTTCTCTCCCCTGAAAAAGATGGGATTGAGAATGCCAGTGGCTAATTAATGGAAAGACATGATATTCTTCTACTTTCATGTTATTCAAAATAAACATAATATTAAATCATTAAGTAAGTGTAAGAAAACAGAATAAAGTAATTTTTCCTATGGTAGACAGTCAGATATTTTGAATATCAAATTCTTTATACGTGTTTCTGATTGTTTTTAGATCTCTGCTTTTCTAAAGCAGAGAAACAACCTGATACAATTTGGCTGTGTCCCCACCCGTCATCTTGAATTGTAACTCCCACATGCCCATATATTGTGGGAGGAACCCTGTGGGAGGTGATTGAATTATGGAAGCCGGCCTTTCCTGCACTGCTCTTGTGACAGTGAATGAATCTCATGAGATCTGATGGTTAAAAAAAAAAAAACTGAGTTGCCCTACACAAGCTCTCTCTTTGCCTGCCACCATCCATGTAAAACGTGACTTGCTCCTCTTTGCCTTCTGCCATGATTGTTAGGCTTCCCCAGCCATGTGGAACTGTAAGTCCAATTAAACGTCTTTCTTTTGTAAATTGCCCAGTCTGTGGTATGTCTTTATCAGCAGTGAGAAAACAGATTAATATACAACCTGTACATAACAACCTGTACTTTACTTGCCTATTGGGTAAACTGGCATGCATTCCTGGGATCCCATTTTTTATGCATCCTTTTTGCCTGATTAACTTATTTCCAGATTATAGAAAGACTACCTAATCTTATAATGGTCTTCCCTGAGACTAGGTCAGCTCCCCAGATTTTGTCTTACCCCAAACCTCTGCACATCTCTTGTGTAGCCCTTTATCACACTGCCCATCTATTAGTCTATCTCTCAAACAGCATAGTTATATACACTTACGACCTAACAGATTTCAAACAACCAATTGTTATTAATAAAATAAGTAAGAGTTGAGCTCTATCCTTGTGCTGTGTTATAAATGCAACAAGATAAGAATTCAGAAACTTGAGTTCTAATTTTGGGTCTATGAGAAAATGTTTTATAATCCTTGATCTTGCCTCTTAATTTCCTAATCAATAAAGCATAATAAAATTTAAATGTGTTTACCTACATCATAGAGACTTCACGAGCATCTATGGAGAAAATGTGAATTAAAACAATTTAAAAGGAAGATCATTGTTGGAGAAAAGCTTGTGTTATTTTCATGACTGTAAAAGGTACCAATATCTCTAAACATCATTTGTTACTAAACAGAACATTATGAACAATATAAAGGATTTCACCTTACAGCTCAGGTTTTGGGCCATTAAAGTGAGAATTATAAACCTGAGCCTTAGACATATGAAGCAGAGGGTGTAAAATATGACCAGACTACCACCCAATATGCCTGAATAAAGTCAATGGAGGATTCAGAGGATCTGGCTACTAACTTGATTTAGCAGATCGAGCTAGCATTGGATAAATAAACATGAGAAGAAACATGATTGATTTACATAATGAGCTGAATTCTATTTTGCCTTTTCCCTACTGGAATCAGTTGATAAATTGTTCCAGCTGAAGGGACCTGGAAAAATTGTCTTCTGCTGTGGGGTGGAGGTGGGGGCACCTAAATAAGTATGATGTAAACACCTTGCCTGCATATCCACAAATCTTTTGGATGACAGTGCCCAAAATACATGTATGACCAATTTTGTATGTATAGACACTGTTTACTTCCAAAATTCAGAGCACTGTTTCCTACTGGAAAAATGCTGCACTAACATATAAGTGACTTGATGCCTTGATTTATTCCTTAACTAGTCTTTTAGCCTGAGACGTTACTTTATTTACTTAATCTATGTCAGGTTCTTTATCGATGAAAATGAGTAGAAAATATCATTTGCATCTACCAGGTAGCATTATTATATAGATTAAACTCCAAAAGAGATGGGGAGAATGTTCTGTTTGAAGCATTCGGGGTTCTGCAAGGGATAGAGAACTTGGCCTCCATGCCACAATAAGACCATCAATGCACACACTGGATAATAAAATTAGTCTAACAATTGGAGTGCTGGGATTATTAAGTAAAATAAGGGTTACTTGGACCCAAGGCCTGTGATACACCAGCAATTAATCTGATAACCCAGATAGCTATTAAGTGACTAACAGGTGGGTGATGCAGATGCATAAACATGCCGGACAAAGGGATAATAAATGGACACAGTGGGATGGTTGAGATTTCATCAGGATACTCAGAATGGCATACAATTTAAAACTTACAAGTTGTTTATTTCTGGGATTTTCCATTTAATATTTTCAAACCATGGTTGACCTCAGGTAACTGAAACCATGAAGGGAAAGCTGCAGATAAGAGGGGAGCATTGGGCAGTGCAAGGACACCTTTTCTATCCACTCAGATAACCCCACTGTTAAAATTCTTTTCTACTTCATTTGCTCTATAGCCTCCTTATATCTCTCTCCACACACAAACACATATGTATGTCATCATCAATCTTTTGTTTTCAACTGTTTAAAAGCAAGCTGCAGATAGGATATCTCCAACACCCCTAAATGCTTCAGTGCTTATTTCAACCAAATAATGTCTCCTATCTAACTACTATAAACACTTCCAAATCAGAAAATCAATGCTGATATGACACTTTCTTTCTGGTCCAGAATGTCATCTAGGAATACCCATTAACTTAATTGCTGTGTCAATTCAGTCTTCTCCAAACTACATGTTTATTAGTCTTTCTCTGTATTTAATATCCTGGATAGATTTAAAATCTATACATCTTATATTTTGTAGGATGATCCCTAATTGCATCTGTCCAGTGTCACCTCATAATCAGACGCATAACACTTTAAATGATTTTAAAAAATAATTTTGAGGTCTTCTTTATAGCATCATATCAGGGACAGACAATATCTGTCCATCCCACCACTAATGATGTTAACCATAAATGCCTGGTCCCATAATGTCTGCCTCACTGTAAATTCACAATATTTTTGGTAATCAATAAATATTTTTCCAGAGTATGCCAATGCCCTGTTCTTCATTAAACCTTTGCTTATTAGCTTTAGCCTCAATTATTGACTATTACATGAAACAACTAGCAACATGATGAGTGCTAAACTCTGATGTTCAATTTCTTTTTCCCCCTACATTTATTATGGGCATTCTACCACAAGGAAGAGCTTTCCACTCTCACCATCAACTATACATTTATTCATACATTCATTTATATCAGTGTGAACTCATGGATTTCTATTTTACTCAGTGTGGTGCAATCCATCACTATCATTATTTACTTTGATGTTCTAATTGTACCATGTTTGTCCAGAAGGAGTCCCTTCAAGCTGGCTCTTGTGGCCTCTTGACATGTTGCCAATGTTCTTTTAGGATTTACCACAATATGTTGTAGGCCCATCTTATTTTTTTCTTAGAGCCCTTGAATGTAGCATTTCAAAAATATTTATTTAAAGACCCCTGGTGATATTTAGATATCAACATCTGGGTGCTGGGTATGTTCATTTCTAGTGAGATGCCTTCACTTTCATTATTTCTAGGTTTTCTGGAAGATCAAGGAATGTAATATATGAACATATATGTATGCATACATATAAGTATGTATATTCAGAAATTTTCACGTACATAAGTGTGTGTATATATATATACACACACACACATATATACATGCATATATATGTATATGTCTCATATAGGTTAATAACCATAACTCTAATTATATTCTGACAAATCAATGGACATATTTCTTTCTACCCTTTCAGTATTTTGAATTACTTTCTCCAGTTAGAAACTTGGCTTTCACTATCCATAGTGTATTTTTTATACACTTATTTGTTCAATATTATCAGTCTTACAACTGTGCTCCCTTTTCATCTGCTACCTCTGCACCCATCCCCTTTAGCATCTTGTAACCTAAACTGCCAAAGTGCTTTGTGTAGCTTCCTCTACCCTCAAATGCTGTATCCTTGGGTGCTAGTGAGCACACAGCCAGAATGCTTCCATGTGGCATCTCCTAACCTACCCACATCCTTGGCCACTGGTAAGCACATTGTCACTGTGTCTTGGAATATCTCCTCTGTTCACCTCTTATTACTGATCTCCAAGCCCTCAGGCACCTCTCAAACACTCTTCAGTGTGAAGAAAGGAAAAGGAACCTGGGAAGAACAGGGACAATGGAAATAGAGGATTATTCTTGGTTTTTACATGCCCTTCCATTATATCAGACTGTCAGCTGTGACTTTTCCTGTTGTCAATATGCCTATCTCTACCGTATCATCCCCCAACTTCCACACATCTGATATTTCCATCAAATCAGTATAATAAAGATACTTAACCTGTCTGTGCATTTGCTTCCAAATCTGTATTATGGCATAATAATGATGCAGAGTTCATATGGTTGTTGTGGGGGTTATATGTGCTTAAAATAATGACAAAGAGTGAGTGCTGAATAGACACTAACAATTGTTTAATTCCTATTTGGGCCATGTGATGGCACTAGAAGCCCTGTTTTCAGTATTTGGTGGCTGGCAGCAGACATTTCCTGGCAGTCTGTTGGCTCGTGGAAGATTTGACCAGAGAAGAAGATTAGTGTTTCTGAAAACTTTGTTCCTAAAGAAACCGGCTATAGGTCAGGGACACTTTCATTGTGACCAAACAAGATCAGCGCATGAGGTCATGTGAATCACAAATGCTATTCTTCACAAAAGTAAAGTGTGAAAAGTTTCCATGGGCTAAAATGACTGGAAAAAAAGGAACATAATACTTTAAACTCACACCTTTCTTGACCTTTTACTTCCTTTTGCAGCTCAACAAATGTCGTTAATGCTATTTGAGGCTCTTTGTTCTGTGTTACCCATCTTGAATTGTGTTTCATGGACAGGTCTTCTTGAATAAGTTCTCTTTGGCGTGCTGTAATTTTTCTCTCTCCATTTCCTAGAAATGAATGGGAAGCCTATATATACAGACTGACTTAGGAGAATATACTAACTCCTAATCCTTCTGCCATTCTCTGAGTCTGGTGCTATTCGTAGCAAGTGCCACACTATTGCTTCAATGGTGTCAAGCTATCAGTGGAAATGGGAAACAATCTGATCCAGGTGTGAATATGCAGAGCAGAAAATGATGCTAAATTGTGACAGTAGTAACCCAGTTCATCCTAAGGAGCAGATGGAATTGATTATTTACCACCCTTTCAAGAACTTGGTGCTTGATTTACCATTGTTCTAGTGACTATTGTTCACCCTACAGATAACCAGAGAAAAGATTCCTTATAGAACCTACACCGCTTTATTAGTATGTCCCTGGTTGTCACCCTATTGTAACAGGATCATTCTTTCTTCTGAGATAGATGACAGAGCACGAACATCCTCAAATAACATTGACTAACTCCCCCCAGAGTCCTTGACCAGGCCATTTATCTACTGAAATACATTTTTAACACTTTCAAAACAAAGAAATCCAGCATATGGCAGTTAATTTGGATCTTAACAACTCTGTACTTTGAAAAGACAAATGATCAGCAAGCTGTTTCAAACCTTAACCTATAATTTGAGAGGAATAATTTATTATCCAAACAAAACGCCTTTAATTAATCAAAACTTAACATTAAATTCAGAATTAAGTTATGCCACCAAGCCATCTGTTTCCAAGTACACAGAGGCATTCTCTCCTACTGACAAAATACTTTGTCCTATGTAAGTTTGGAAACAGGTGTTTTTTAAAACTTAATTAAGCTCAGACATTGTGTTATTCATTAAACATATCTTAATGACTTTTAATCAAGAGTTGGCTGGCATAAAAAGCTATTTAACATTTTTGTGAAAGAGAAAGGCAACGGATAATTAAGAATATAGCAAAAAAAGAAGTGATCAACTTGTCAGGCACAGAATGACAAAGAAGTGAAAGTTTGTCTTATTGGTAATAATGACAAAATTCACCTGATCTGCCATGAAATCATGATCCAACCTTCCATTATTTAACTTCTAGACTTTTTAAGCTAATTGGAGCTCAGTTATCCAGTAATTTTGAACACACAGAATGCAAATAAGCCTGGGAAAGAAGAAAAGTCTGAATCATTTATGAGTGAACAAAAAGTAGACATCCTAAAGCATGCATCAATAAGCATGCCTCATTGAATAGTTCAAAATTTACTAATGATACTACAAAAATATACCTGCCAATAGGGAAGAAGAGAGAAAATGTTAAATACACAGTCAAACAGAATTTAAAAAATTTGTATATGGCTCTTTCCCTTAGGGAGGTATAGCTTATATATTTCAGGAGCTTCTGAAAGCATTGCTATATTACAAGTGAAGATAAATAATGATTCAGGGATAATGTTACATTATGCCTACTGCCTACAATGCAAGAAGGTAAATAATTATGTGTTGCATCTAATTTTATATAAACTTAAATTTAAAATAATTTAGGTGCATCCCAAATACCTGTTTAGTAGGACAATTTGTTCCCCTAGTATGTTAGGTTTGGAAAATTTTCCTTTACTTTTATGGTCCAAGTTAATTTGGTCCAAGAACTTTAAAAGACACTAATGGTAGACTATGGATACAATTCGATAGACTAGATTCATAATATATTCCATGTCAGCCAATTGGAAGATAATTTTAGGTGAAGGGAAGAGAGGTGAAGGGATCTCTGAGTTTTCTAGAGATCTCTTCCATAAGTTGTGAAGCATGATTTAGTATTCACGTCAAAATATAAATAAATGCCAAGGAGCTATGTTTTAAAGTGTTTTTCAAACACTTTTCATTACAACTTCCAAGTTTCCTGAATGTAGGTATTCTAAAGCCATTCAATATCCTTTCCTATCTTTTCTTTTTCTCTTTCTTCTCCTTTCTTCCTTGCTTCCCTCCATCTTACCCACTTTTCCACCTTTATTCCTTTATTTGGTTCTAATACATTATGCTGATTTAAAACAAATCTTTACGATGTTTCCATTTCCAGTTGAGATAGACCAAACTTTATGAAAAACTAAAACAGTGAGATGAAATTTTAAGACATATATTTCAAACCACTGGAGAGCTACAAATGCAGCAAACAAGAAAGAAAATTCTGGAGAGATAGAAAAAAAACATATATAGAGAGGTCTACATTTATATAAAACTATTAAGTGAAAATAAACTGCTATATTATTCCAGTCACTGCTATACTGGTGTATCGGTCACTTGCATTTCAAGTTAACTCTAATGAGTAAAGCTATTCCATGCTAGAATAGAGTCCAACCTAGCTTTGATGATTTAAATTTCACTGATTTGTATGCTGCCATAGAGCACTTGAACTTCAGAACCTTTGAGAAAGGGATTGAAGAGAAATATATGATCAGAAAAATGCAAAGAGCAACCCTATGAAATTATTCAGTGTTCGATTTTCTTCATCCTTCTGTGCTAGAAATTTAATTGGCTGTTGGGGAAGCTTCATGCCCATTTTCATGCTCTCAGATAACATAGAATAATTATTGAGGACTCTATTAATAACTCTGCCAAAGGAGACAATATTGAATTTATATTTCAGGAACTGGCCTATAAGTGTTCGCTCAGCTCCTCACTAACTGTGTAACATTGTCAAGTACTCTACCCTCTATGAGCCTCAATATTTTCATCAATTTGATGAATCACGTAATGAGTATAATAATTACTACCAGAGGGCGGGGTCAAAATGGCAGGGCCAAGATGGCAGACTAGAAGCAGCTCATCTGTGCAGCTCTCTTGGAGAGGAAACAAAAGGGCTGGCCAGGCCAGGCATGGTGGCTAATGCCTGGGAAGCCAAGGTGGATGGATCACTTGGTCTCTAGTTCAAGACCAGCCTGGCCAACATGGTGAAACCCTGTCTCTACTAAAAATACAAAAATACAAAAATTGCCCAGCATAGTTGGAGGCACCTGTAATCCCAGCTATTCAAGAGCCTGAGGCAGGCAAATGGCTTGCACCTGGGAGGCAGAGGCTGTAGTGAGCTGAGATTATGCCACTACACTCCAGCCTGGGTGCCAGAGTGAGACCCTGTCTCAAAAAAAAAAAAAAAAAAGGTGTGGGGGGGTGGGCCTGGTGAACACTAACCCTGCAGGCCAATCATCTCAGAAACCACACTGGGATCCATCTAGGCAGCAGGGGAACACAGAGAATAGAGAGGAGCAAAGCTGGGCGCCAGCCTATCTGGGTTCAGTGTGGAGGCAGGGGAACCTTTCCCACACAGAAAAGGGTGAGTGAGTGAGAGCCCTCAGAGCAATTCATGCTTACCACAGGGACCTGTGCAAAACTGGAAACAGGAGAATCCCACTGGCCACCCCACAACTCCATACCATGCTTCTAGAATGAGACAGAGAGCCACCTGGACATTTTGTTGGGGCAACTATTGAGTCCAAGGAGACCACTATGAACCTTGAGAAACAGAGGGGAACAGCACTGGTGCCATAGCCCCAGTAGAAGCTGCAGTTGTAGTGCCTGGGAGCAGTGAGATTGCTCTACCTCAGCTTACCAGACAGCACTTAGTGCATACTTCTAGCCCAGCCATCTTGCTTCTATCTGAACTCAACCAGCGACTCCACCAATCCTCGCCACTGGCAGCCAAGCAGGCAACACTTGCTAGAGCTTCGAGTCCAGCAGTCCTGTTTTGTATAAACTCGGTTGGAGGGCACAGCCTCTTGTTGTCTTCAAAAACACCCAGATGGCAGAGCACATGACCCTACCCACCTCCACCACTGGTAGCCAGGCAGGCAATGTTTGTTAAAGCTGTTGGCCCAGTGGCCCCACTTCTGTGTGAACTCGGCTGGAGGCTGCAGCTTCTTGTTGTCCCAGGAAACACCCAGATGGCAGGGCACATGACCCCACCTGCCCCTACCACTGGTAGCCAGGAAGGCAGCACCTGCTAGAGCTTCTGGCCCAGTGGCCCTGCTTCTGTGTGAACTCAGCTAGTGGGTGCAGTCTCCTCTTATCCCCAGGAAACACCCAGATGGCAGGGTAGGTGACCCAAGGCATCCCCACAACTGACACCCTGGCAGGCAATGCTTGCTAGAGTTTCCAGCTCATTGGTTCTGCTTCTGTGAGAACTCAACTGGAGGGCACAGCTTCCTATAGTCCCAGAAAACACCTGGATGGCACAGCACATAATTCCACCCATTCCTGCCACTGGTAGTAAGGCAGAAAATGCCAATTAGAACCTCTGGTCCAGGGTCCTGCTTTTGTGGGAACTCAGCTAATGAGGACAGCATTCCACTGTCCCAGGAAGCACCTGGATGGCAGGGCAAGTTACCCCATGCCCACCCCCACCCCGTGCTGGTAGCCAGGTGAGCCACACCTGCTATTGCTTCTGGCCCAGTGGTCCTACTTCAGACCTGAATTTGCCAGGAGGTGCATCCTCTTGTTGCCATTGAAACACTCGGATGGCAAGGTGGGCAACTCCACCCACCCCTGCCTCTCATAACCAGATAGGCGACACATGTTAGATCTTCCAAACCAGCAGTCCCACTTCTACCTGAAATCTGCAGACAGGTGCAGCCCCATGTTTGCCAGGAAGCAGACAGATAGCAGATTACGGCCAACTTGGCAAAGATATAGCTTGTCTGCTAACTGTCTCTGCCTTATGGAGCCCTGTGAAACAGAAAACCCAACAAAAGAAATGTATACATAGAGATACTAATCAGAGAAGGATTCTCCAAGATCCAAGAGTGGACTAGAATTGAAGCCAGTGAACTGAATCCACATTGTCTTATAAATCAAACCCCCAAGAACATCAAAGAAGAAAAAAGCAAAAAATTCCATCCAAAGGACAGCAATGTCAAAGATTGAGAATACATCAGCCCACACAAATGAGAAAGAAACAGTGCAAGAACTCTGGCAACTCAAAAAGCCAGCATGTCTTTTTAGCTCCAAACAACCACACTTGTTTCACAGAAATGGTTCTTAACAAGGCTAAATTGGCTGAAATGTCAGAAATAGAATTCAAAATATGGGTAGGAATGAAGATCGTTGACATACAGCAGATAGTCAAAACTCAATCCAGGAAACCTAAGGAATACAGGAAAAAATATTTAAAAAATCACCATTATAAGAAAGAACCAAAGTGATCTGATAGAACTGAAAAACACACAAGAATAATTTCGTAATGCAATCACAAGTATTAACAGCAGAATTGACCAAGCTGACAAAAGAATCTATGAGCTTCAAAACTGGATATCTGAAATAACTCCGACAAAAAATAAATAAAAAAAATAAAGAATAATGAACAAATTGGCCTTTGAGAAATGTGGGATTATGTAAAGAGACCAAATCTGTGACTCATTAGTGTCCTTGAAAGAGAGGGAGAGAAACCAAGCAACTTGGAAAATGATATTTCAGGATATCATTTATGAAAATTTCTCCAACCTCACTAGAGAGACCAACATTCAAATTCAAGAAAGGGAAAGGTTCTTTGCAAAATACCACCCAAGACCATCCCAAAGACACACAGTCATCAGATTCTCCAAGGTCAAAATGAAAGAAAAAGTGTCAAAGGCAGCTAGAGAGAAGGGGTAGGTAACCTACAAAGGGAACCTCATCAGGCTAATAGCAGATTTGTCAGCAGAAACTCTGCAAATCAGAAGAGATTGAGGCCTACATTCAGCATTCTTAAAGAAAGAATTTTCAAAAAAATTTCATACCCAGCCAAACTAAGCTTCATAAGTGAAGGAGAAATAAGATCCTTTTCAGACAAGTAAATTCTGAGGGGATTTGTTACTACCAGATCTTCCCTGCAAGAGATCCTGAAGGGAGAGCTAAATATGAAAAGGAAAGATCACTATCCGCCATTACAAAAACACACTTAAGTACATAGACCAGAGGCACTATGAAGCAGCAACACAAAAAAGTCAGCGTAATAACTAGTGAACAACATGATGACAGGATCAAACCCACACATCTCAATAGTAACCTTAAACCTAAGTGGATTAAATGTCTCAATTAAAAGACACAGAAGGGCTAGTTAGATAAAGGAGCAAAATTCAACAGTATGCTGTCTTCAAAAGACCCATTTCACATGCAATGACACCCTTAGGCACAAGGTAAAGGGATGGACAAAAATTTACCAAGCAAATCAAAACCATAAAAAGGTAGGAGTTGCTGTTCTAACTTCAGACAAAACAGACTTTAAACCAACAAAGATAAAAAATAATAAGGGAATTTCATATTGGTAAATGGCTCAAAGGCTAAATGACAAGACCTCACTATCTTAAATATATGTGCACCTATCACAGGAGTATCCAGATTCATAAAGCAAGTTCTTAGAGACCTACATGAAGACCTAGATAACCATATAATAATGGAGGCAGACTTTAATACCCCACTAATATTTTAGACAGACCATCAAGGCAGAAAACTACCAAAGATATTTGTGACCTAAACTCAACACTTGACTAAATGGACCTAAAAGACATCTATATAATTTTCCACCCAAAAACAACAGAATACACATTCTTCTTATCTGCACATGGCATATACTCTAAAATCAAACACACGATAAGGCATAAAATCATTCTCAGCAAATTAAAGAAAACAAATCATATCAATCATGCTTTCATACCACAATGCAATAAAAATAGTAATCAATGTTAAGAAAATCACTCAAAACCATACAATTACATGGAAATTAACCTGCTCCTGAATAACTTTTGAGTAAATAATGAAAATAAGGCAGAAATCAAGAAAGTATTTGACACAATTGTGAAAAAATATACAACATATGATAATCTCTGGGACAAAGCGAAGGAGTGTTAAAAGGGAAGTTTATAGCACTAAATGCCACATCAAAAAGTTACAAACATCTCAAATTAAAAACCTAACATCACAATTAGAGAGACTACAGAAACAAGAGAAAACTGACCCCAAGGCTAGCAGAAGACAAGAAATAACCAAAATCTGAGCTGAACTGAAGGAAACTGAGACACAAAAAACATACAAAAGATCATAGAATCCAGGACCTGTTTTTTTTTTTTTGAAAGAATTAATAAGATAGATAGACCATCAACTAGACTAATAAAAAAAGAAGAGAGAATATCTAAATAAAAACAATCCAAAATGATAAAAGGGATCTTATCTCTGACCCCACAGAAATATAAAAACCCTCAGAGACTATTATGAACACTTCTATGTACACAAGCTAGAAACCTAGAAGAAATAGATAAATTCCTGGAAATATATAACATTTTGAGATTGAAGCAGGAAGTGATAGAATTCCTCAACAGACCAATATTGAGTTCTGAAATTGAATCCATATAAAAAGCCCAGGATCATATGGATTCACAGGTGAATTCTACCAGATGTATAATAAAGAATTGGTACCATTTCTGCTGAAATTATTCTAAAAAATTGAGGAGAAGGAACTCCTTCCTAACTCATTCTATGAGGCCAGCATCATCTTGATACCAAAACATGGCAGAGACACAACACAAAAATAAAACTTCAGGCCAACATCCTTGATAAACACAGATGCAAAAATAATCAACAGAATACTAGCAAACTGAATCCAGCAACACATCAAAAAGCTAATTCACCCCAGTCAAGTAGACTTCTATTCCTGGGATGCAATGTTGGTTCAACATACGCAAATCAATCAATGTGATTCACCATGTAAACATAACTAAAACCAAAAGCCACATGATTATCTCAATAAATGCAGTAAGGCTTTCAATAAAGTTCAACAGCCCTTAATGTTAAAAGTCCTCAACAAATTAGGCATTGAAGGAACATACCTCAAAATAATAAGAGTCATCTATGACAAACCCACAGCCAACATTATACTGAGTGGGCAAAAGCTAGAAGCACTTCCATTGAAAACTGGCACAAGAAAGGATGCCTTCTTTTACCACTATTATTCAACATAGCACTGGAAATCCTAACCAGAGCAATCGGCTAAGAGAAAGAAATAAAAGGCATCCAAATTGGAAGAGAGGAAGTCAAACTATCTCTGTGTGCAAATGATATAATTCTATACCTAGAAATCCCCATAGCTTCTGCTCAAAAGTTTCTTGATCTGATAAACAACTTCAGCAGAGTCTCAGGATACGAAATTAATGTACACAAAAATCAGTAACATTCCTAGACACCAACAACACCCAAGTTGAAAGCCAAATCAAGAACACAATCTCATTCACAATAACCACAAAAAGTATAAAATACCTAGGAATCCAGCTAACCAGGGAGGTGAAAGTTCTGTATAACATAAATTACAAAACACGGGTCAAAGAAATCAGAGATCACACAAACAAATGGGAAAACACTCCATTCTCATAAATAGGAAGAATCAACATTGTTAAAATGGCTGTACTATTCAAAGCAATTATAGATTCAATGCTATTCCTTTCACACTACCAATGGCATTCTTCACAAAACTAGAAAAGAAAAACTATTTTAAAATTCATATGAAACCAAACAGGAATCCAAATAGCCAATGCAATCTAAGCAGAAAGAACAAAGCTGGAGGCATCACACTATCTAACTTCAAACTATACAAGGATACAGAACCGAAACAGCATGGTATTGGTATGAAAATGAACACATAGACTCATGAAACAGAATAGAGAGCCACACATCTATAACCATCTGATTTTCAACAAAATCTACAAAAACAAGCAATGAGGAAAGGACTCCCTACTCAACAAATGGTGCTGGGATAACTGGCTAGCCATAGGCAGAAGATTGAAAGTGGAACCCTTTCTTACACCATATCCAAGAATCAACTCCAGATGAATTAAGGATTAAATGTAAAACCTAATACCAAAAAAATGCTTGAAGATAATCTATGAAATACCATTCTAGACATAGGACCTGGCAAAGATTTCATAATGAAGATGCCAAAACTGATGCCCCCCACCCCTGCCTCCACATAGAAAATTAACAAATGGGAACCTAACTAAAACTAAATAGCTTCTGCAGAGTAAAAGATACTATCAACAGAGTAAGCAGACAACCTTCAGAATGGAGAAAATTTTTGCAAACTATGCATCCAGCAAAGGTCTTATATCCAGAATCTTAAAGAACTTAAACAAATTTACAAGCAAAACCCCCAAAAAGTTTTATTAAAAAGTGGGCAAAGGACATGAACAGGCAATTAAAAAAATACATACACGTGGGCAACAAGCATATGAAAAAATGCTCATCACTAATCATTAGAGAAATGTAAATCAAAATCACAATGAGTTACCATCTCATACCAGTCAGAATGGCCATTATTAAAATGTCAAAAAGTAACAGATGCTGATGAGGTTTCAGAGAAAAGAGAACATTTATACACTGTTGGTGGGAGTGTAAATTACCTCAACCATTGTGGAGAATAGTTTGGTGATTTCTTAAAGAACTCAAAACCGAATTACCATTTGACCCAGCAATCCCATTACTGCGTATATATCCAAAGGAATATAAATTGTTCTACCATAAAGACACATGCATGTGTATGTTCATTGCAGCAGTATTCAAAAAGGCAAAGACATGGAATCAACCTAAATTCCCATCAATGGTACACTGGATTAAAAAATGCGGTATATATACACAAAGAATTAGTAGGCAGCCATAAAAAATGAAAGCATGTCTTGTTCAGCAACATGGATAGAGCTGGAGGCCATTATCCTAAGCCAACTGACACAGGAACAGAAAACTAAATACCACATGTTCTTACTTATAATTAGGAATGAAACTTTGAGTACATATGGACACAAAGAAGGAAACAACAGCCACCAGGGGACACTTGAGGGTGGAAGCTGGGAGGAAATTAAGGATCAAAAAACTACCTATCAGGTACTATGCTTATTACCTGGGTAACAAAATAATCTGTACATCAAACCCCTGTGACAGGCAATTTACCTATGTAACAAACCTGAAAATGTATCCCTGAATGTAAAATAAAATTTGAGTAATAATAACTACCATTTATTATATAACTAAATTGAAATATTAAAGTGTTTTAAAATATTTATAATTTCTTTTAAAATGCTAACAAATGTAACAACATTATTGTTATGTTTGCTACACATCAGCCAAAATTCGCTGCAATTCCATGGTTCATTATAACTATCCTTGAAGGGCTATGCATTTCTATACCTGTGGTGAGTCCTCTGTGGACTTGAGACTTCACTGACCTTATTGCCCATTAAGGACTTCTTGATTCATTTTTGAGATGTTCTCAGGACATCACCTACACTATCTCCTTTTACTCAGCTGCTTCCTCAGCATGTTGACAAGTACCTGCCTCTGTTACCAATGACTTTAAGACAGTTGGAAAGGTGAGCACAGTTGGGATTCACCAATGACACCCACTCTCTTCACAGGGATGAGGACAGTGATATCGGCAGAGCCTCACCCTGAATTCAGTCCTAACCTAAAAGTATTGCTCATAGAGGGCAATAACACTTAGTAAGAATTTGTGGTGTATGTGCTCTATAAAAGCTTTCATGAAATGGAAGTTCAAAACAAAGATTAATTTTTGTGTCTATGCCCTATTCTAGGAAGGATCCTGGCTTGACTTAATATTATGAGGACAGCTCAACTTTCTTCTCTTCACCCACCCCTGAAACACACACACACACACACACTCTTTGTTCCTGAAATAACCTAAGCCATCTTCATAGTTTGTCACCTAGGTCAATCAAAACTTAGTTGGAAATAAGAAATTTTTTCTTCACTCCCACCTTTCTAAATTCTCACTTTCTGATACAATGTTAACTTCTAAAAATGGCTGACTATTGTGTTTCACTTATTTTCAAAAGAAAACTACCCCCTCACTGTCAATTATATGTTCAATTTTTTGATATCAGAATCCCAACATCTTCCAAGAAGGGTACAATTCTGGGTTCATCCATATTCATGCCAATTTAAACTTGCAAAAGCCTTTTTGATGATGAAATTATTGGATTATATGATATCAGTCATTGATTACTGCTGAAGAGCAGAAATCTATGAGAATAAAATTGGCCTAAGAATGTCCAGTTGAGGAGAGAAGTTTTCAGGGGTAAGATGCTTCATACAGGCAGCAGAAACTCAGGGGATGCAAGACTCTAGGAGGAGGAATGTGGAAGCTGAATTTGTGAGTAGCAAAGAGGATTTAAGAGGTGCTGAAGGCCAACCTCTGCCCAGTTAATATATTTTAGTCAATCATGGTGGGTTAATGATATGGTTTGGTTGTGTGCCCACCCAAATCTCATCTTGAATTGTAGCTCCCGTAATCCCCACACTTGGCAGGAGGGACAGGGTGAGAGGTAATTGAATCACAGGGTCAGGTCTTTCCCATGCTGTTCTTGTGATAGTGAATAGTCTCATGAGATCTGATGATTTTATAATGGGAAGTTTTCCTGCACACATTGTCTTGACTACTGCCATGTAAGATGTGACTTTGCTCCTCATTCACCTTCCGCCATGATTGTGAGGCCTCCCCACCCATGTGGAACTGTGAGTCAATTGAATCTCTTTCCTTTATAAATCACCTAGTCTTGGGTATGTTGTTATTAACAGTGTGAGAACAGACTAATACAGTAAATGCAACACGCTTGACCAGAAGACTCCCAATCAAACATGTAGAGAAAGAGAGAGACATGGGAAAATAAATAATTAAACAAACAATAGGAATAAAGTAGGATATCATAGGCATCCAAAGATTAAGTATTTCACAAGGATATGTGTATTTTCCTGTGAGGATTTTCTGAGAGAGAGGGATTAGAAGTAACTCAAATTCTAAAAGCCACAAGCAGTGTTTGCATTTATTCATTCCAATGTCCTCATCTAATACACAAGGAAACTATTGTCCATAGGAGTCAGACCCTCAGAGATTATGTTACTAATCCAGTGACATAAAGGGATTATTTCAAAACCATGATAAGAAGCTTATCATCAATCATACATTCCTGATATGTTTTGGCTCTGTCCCCACCCAAATCTCATCTTGAATTCCCATGTGTTGTGGGAGGGACCTGGTGGGAAGTAACTGAATCATGGGGCAACTCTTTTCTGTGCTGTTTTTATAGTAGTGAATAAGTCTCATGAGATCTGATGGTTGTAAAAAGAGGAATTCCCCTGCACAAGTTCTCTCTATGCTTGCTGCCATCTATGTAAGATGTGACATGCTCTTCTTTGCCTTCGAACATGATTGTGAGGCTTCCCCAGCCAGGTGGAACTATAAGTCCAATTAAACCTATTTCTTTTGTAAATTTCCCAGTCTCTGGTATGTCTTTATCAGCAGCATGAAAATGGACTAACACAGTAAATTGGTACTAGTAGAGTGAGGTGCTGCTGAAAAGATACCCAAAAGTGTGGAAGCAACTTTGGAATGGGGTAACAGGCAGACATTGAAATAATTTGGAGGGCTCAGAAGACAGAAAAATGTGAGAAAGTTTGGAACTTCCTAGAGGCTTGTTGAATGGCTTTGATCAAAATGTTGATAATTATATGGACATTAAGGTCCAGGCCGAGGTGGTCTCAGTTGGAGATGAGGAACTTGTTGGGAACTAGAGCAAAGGTGATTCTTGTCATGTTTTAGCAAAGAGACTGGTGGCATTTTGCCCCTGTTCTAGAGATTTATAGAACTTTGAACTTGAGAGGTGATTTAGGGTATCTGGTGGAAGAAATTTCTAAGCAGCAAAGCATTCAAGATGTCACTTGGGTGCTCTTAAAAGCATTCAGTTTTATAAGGGGAGGAGAAAATAAAAGTTCAGAAAATTTGCAGCCTGAAAATGCAATAGAAAAGAAAATCCCATTTTTTGAGAAGAAATTCAAGCCTGCTGTGCAGACATTTGCTTAAGTTATAAGGAGCAGAACGTTAATCCCCAAGACAATGAGGAAAATATCTTCAGGGCATGTCAGAGACCTTTGTGACAACCACTCCCATTACAGGCCCAGAGGCCTAGGAGGTAAAAGTGTTTTCATGGGCTGGGCCCAGGGCCCTCATGCTGTATGAAGCCTAGGGACTTGGTGACCTGCATCTGAGTCACTCCAACCATGGCTGAAAGGGGCCAAGACAGAGCTCAGGCCACGGCCTCAGAGGGTGCAAGCCCCAAGGCTTGGCAGCTCCCACATGGTGTTGAGCCGGTGAGTGTACAGAAGTAAGTAATTGAGGCTTGGAAACCTCCACCTAGATTTCAGAAAATATATGGAAATGCCTAGATGTCCAGTCACGTTTGCTCCAGCGGTGAGGCGCTCATGGAGAACCTCTGCTAGGGCAGTGAAGAAGGGAAATGTGGGGTCAGAGCCCCCAGACAGAGTCCCTACTGGGGCACTGTCTAGTAGAACTGTGAGACGAGGGTCACCATCCTCCAGACCACAGAATGGTAGATCCACTGACAGCTTGCTCCATGCACCTGGAAAAGCTGGAAATACTTGACACCAGCCCATGAAAAGCTGGGAGTGAGGCTGTACCCTGTAAAGCCACAGGGGTGGAGCTGCCCAAGACCATGGAAATCCACCTCTTGCATTTGCGTGACCTGAATGTGAGACATGGAGTCAAAGGAGATTATTTTGAAGCTTTAAGATTTAACTGCCCCACCGGATTTTGGATTTGCATGGCACATATAGCCCCTTTGTTTTGACCAATTTCTCTCATTTGAAATGGCTGTGCTTACCCAATGCCTGTACCCCCACTGGATCTAAAAAGTAACTACCCTGCTTTCGATTTTACAGGCTTATAGGTGGAAGGGACTTGCCTTGTCTCAGATGAGACTTTGGACTGTGAACTGTCGAGTTAATGCTGAAATGAGTTAAGACTTTGGGGGACTATTGAGAAGGCATGACTGTTTTTTAAATGTGAGGATGTGAGATTTGGGAGTGGCCAAGTGTGGAATGACATAGTTTGGCTGTGTCCCCACCCAAATCTCACCTTGAATTTCCACGTTTTGTGTGAGGGACCTTGTGGGAGGTAATTGAGTCATGGGAGCAAGTCTTACCCATGCTGTTCTTGTGATGGTGAATAAGTCTCATGAGGTCCGATGGTTTTATAAGGTGGAATTTCTCTGCACAAGCTCTCTTTGACTGTTGACATCCATGCAAGACATGATTTGCTCCTCCTTGCCTTTTTCCATGATCGTGAGGCTTCCCCAGCCATGTGAAACTGAAAGACTAAATAAACCTCTTTCTTTTATAAATTGCCCAGTCTCAGGTATTTCTTTATCAGCAGTGCAAAAACAGGCTAATATAATTCCTTTATTTTGTTTTCTCTACCAGCTTTACACTAGATATATCTAATCTTTGTAGTTTACGTGGGTAGCTGAGGAGGAAACATGAACAAGACAGAGATAAACTCTGATAGGGTGTGGAATCTTCTCTTTAGTCCATTCTGCTTTTAAATTGTATATTTTCTATTGATTTTAAATCTCCTGTCCTTCTCTCCTCCCTTCTTCCAGTCTTCCCCTCCTCCTCCCTTCTCTCCCACTCTTTTTTGTCATTTTCTTCCCCTACATCTCCTTTTTTCATTCCTTCCTTCCTCTCTCTCCCTCTCTCTTTCTTCCCTTTTCTTTCTCTTGCTATATTTCCTGTCTTTCTCTACTAGTTTTTCTTTTTCTTTTCTAATTTAGTCTTCTTTCCCATTGAAATGTCTTGGTTGCTTTTTCCATAATTTATAGATGACTACTACCTGGCTGACTCTTTTTATTTGATTTTCCTTTTTTTTCAATAGTGTCTGATGGAAGGGGAAAATATTTAATTGAGAATGCAATAAAAGATTATGTGGCTCTATAATTATGAAATTAAATGAAAATGATGTCCACGGGTTAATACAAAAGAGCTAATCTTATTCATTAATGGAATAGTTTAATCCTCACATAAGATTATATTTAAAATAAGAAGGTATCATAGCTTGTAAGTCATAGCTTGTCATAAGACAAATGGAATTCTCCTTTCATGCTTTTTAAGCCTTATGTTCATTTTTTATTGTCTAATGTTTTAAGAAGTTCTCATTAGCTAAATAGCTCTGTTTTCTTTTATTTGTTGAGCTCAAGACTCAATCACTATGAAGCCTCTTGACATTTCTTAATAGAGATGTTTCCAAGCTTCTTTTGGCAATTTGGGAAAAGGGAAATGGTTGTTAAAGAGAATTTCTGACGTTTAAGTTTGGTTGCTATAGGATCTATTAAAGCAAATATTTTGTTCTTTGTTAAATTGGTTTGGTAACTAGCAGCCATATTTTAGTTTCTCACTGAATCCATTGCACATAAAAAATAATACTGTTTTCTAATGGACATTGATAGAGATTCTAGCTGCATGCAGACTTCCTTCTCTGCCAATCCCCACTATTGAAGTTGCAAGAAAGCACTTATAGTTTGTATTTAAGAATTCTTTTTTAAGTATGTATTGAATTAAATGCATTTGTTGTCAGAAGAGTCATTAAAATTCTGTTCTTCTTATTTATGTCTTGGTAATAGGAGAAAGGTTCTTTAAACCTCAGCTTTCTTATCTATATTTAGGTATAATCACAATACTTATCTCCTGCTCTAAATAAGATATTTATATGAGAAAATTAATGTAGTGTTTTGCCTACTGCTTGTGTCAGATAAAACACTTTATAGATGTTCATTGCAATGATAATTATGATATAATTCATACTTTTAAAAATACTAACATGTAGAAATATATATTCTCTAGGTTTTCTTCTAACAAAATGTTTATATCTTTATCATAGTGCTGAAGATAGAAGGATGTTTTGATTGCTTTATATTAATATTAAAACACCCTTTCTGTTGCCTTAGGACTGTAATGCCATTAGACTCATAGAGCTGAAAGGAAAGTTAGAAATTATCTTCTTCATACAGTTGGCACTTGCCCTTATCTCTATGCCATGCTTCCTCCTGCTTCTCATTTTTTCCTATTTGAAATGCTGATATAATGGCAGGCGTTTTAGCAGTAATATCTTCTCATGAAGCAAGGTGAAAAGAAAGCCACAGGCTAAAGATGGTGAAAGAAAGTGGTAGAAAAAGCCTCTGACATCATTGGCAACATGAAGCTGATATGTCATGCTATCCTGCCTGCCACTGGACTTCAACCCTTGATTTTTCAACCTACTAGTATAACCAGTCTCTTCACTAATGAAATCAATTGCTATAGATGGCAACAGTTAGCAGAAGACTGAGGCAAATTTTATTGGATTATTACCCCTATTTCTTTTTAGAAAACATTTTTGATATATGATAGATGTACATATTTTTCTGAGTACATGTGTTAATTTAAAATATTCACATAATCTGGAAAGGTCAAATCCATGTAAATGGAATATCCATCACCTAAAATAGTTGTTTAAATGTATTTCCTTTACATGTCAAAATTCAATTAAAAAGGAGAAAGAATGAAGACCCTTTTATCTTTGCACAAGTTTTTTTCCTTTGGCTAAGCAACATCTGATAAAGAAGAGTCTTTGAAATAGATAAACTCTTTGCAGCTTTTAGCTGAAAGGAAGCCTGTTGCTGGGACATAGCATTGATAATCTGAAGTAATCTGCAGCTTGCTCTTTTTTTATTATTATTATTATACTTTAAGTTTTAGGGTACATGTGCACAATGTGCCGGTTAGTTACATATGTATACATGTGCCATGCTGGTGTGCTGCACCGATTAACTCGTCATTTAGCGTTAGGTATATCTCCTAATGCTATCCCTCCCCCCTCCCCCCACCCCACAACAGTCCCCAGATTGTGATGTTCCCCTTCCTGTGTCCATGTGTTCTCATTGTTCAATTTCCATCTATAAGTGAGAACATGTGGTATTTGGTTTTTTGTCCTTGCAATAGTTTACTGAGAATGATGATTTCCAATTTCATCCATGTCCCTACAAAGGACATGAACTCATCATTTTTTATGGCTGCATAGTATTCCATGGTGTATATGTGCCACATTTTCTTAATCCAGTCTATCATTGTTGGACATTTGGGTTGGTTCCAAGTCTTTGTTATTGTGAATAGTGCTGCAATAAACATATGTGTGCATGTGTCTTTATAGCAGCATGATTTATAGTCCTTTGGGTATATACCCAGTAATGGGATGGCTGGGTCAAATTGTATTTCTAGGTCTAGATCCCTGAGGAATTGCCACACTGACTTCCACAATGGTTGAACTAGTTTACAGTCCCACCAACAGTGTAAAAGTTTTCCTATTTCTCCACATCCTCTCCAGCACCTGTTGTTTCCTGACTTTTTAATGATCACCATTCTAACTGGTGTGAGATGGTATCTCATTGTGGTTTTGATTTGCATTTCTCTGATGGCCAGTGATGATGAGCATTTTTTCATGTGTCTTTTGGCTGCATAAATGTCTTCTTTTGAGAAGTGTCTGTTCCTATCCTTTGCCCACTTTTTGATGGGGTTGTTTGTTTTTTTCTTGTCTCAGCCCAAAATCTCCTTAAGCTGATAAGCAACTTCAGCAAAGTCTCAGTATACAAAATCAATATGCAAAAATCACAAGCATTCTTATACACCAATAACAGACAAACAGAGAGCCAAATCATGAGTGAACTCCCATTCACAATTGCTTCAAAGAGAATAAAATACTTAGGAATCCAACTTACAAGGGATGTGAAGGACCTCTTCAAGAAGAACTACAAACCACTGCTCAATGAAATAAAAGAGGATACAAAGAAATGGAAGAACATTCCATGCTCATGGGTAGGAAGAATCAATACCATGAAAATGGCCATACTGCCCCAGGTAATTTATAGATTCAATGCCATCCCCATCAAGCTACCAATGACTGTCTTCACAGAATTGGAAAATCTACTTTAAAGTTCATATGGAACCAAAAAAGAGCCCGCATTGCCAAGTCAATCCTAAGCCAAAAGAACAAAGCTGGAGGCATCATGCTACCTGACTTCAAACTATACTACAAGGCTACAGTAACCAAAACAGCATGGTACTGGTACCAAAACAGAGATATAGATCAATGGAACAGAACAGAGCCCTCAGAAATAACGCCACATATCTACAACTATCTGATCTTTGACAAACCTGAGAAAAACAAGCAATGGGGAAAGGATTCCCTATTTAATAAATGGTGCTGGGAAAACTGGCTAGCCATATGGAGAAAGCTGAAACTGGATCCCTTCCTTACACCTTATACAAAAATCAATTCAAGATGGATTAAAGACTTAAACGTTAGACCTAACACCATAAAAACCATAGAAGAAAACCTAGGCATTACCATTCAGGACATAGGCATGGGCAAGGACTTCATGTCTAAAACACCAAAAGCAATGGCAACAAAAGCCAAAATTGACAAATGGGATCTAATTAAACTAAAGAGCTTCTGCACAGCAAAACAAACTACCATCAGAGTGAACAGGCAACCTGCAAAATGGGAGAAAATTTTCGCAACCTACTCATCTGACAAAGGGCTAATATCCGGAATCTACAATGAACTCAAACAAATTTACAAGAAAAAAACAAGCTTGCTCTATCTTTAGAGAGCAAACATTTTCCTCCCACTTTTAACTTATGCTCTTTCTTCACCTTCTGCTTTATTATAGATTATTACGTGCTGGTTTGGGAAAAGTTGCAAGTGCATTGGATTTTGTTTAACATGATCTCACCTGTGTGCCCCATGCCCTCTCCCTCCTGAGGCCTTCTTGGATATTCCCCTGGATTCCCAGGGCTCTGCCAGAATAAGTCTCAGCCAGGTGTTCCTGCCATTGGTATCTCATGCTCCAGGATTACCACCATCCTTATTTCTGTGCCATACAAACTCTCATTATACTATTTTCCCAGTATTCCCAGAGGAAAGGAATATTGTTAATTCATCTTGAGTCACTAGTGATAGACTCTCATTTTGTATCTTCCCTAAAATATTCCTTAGGATATTTTCATCTTTGTTGATCAACTTCTCTCTTGAACTAATATAGTTACTATAATCTGTACCAGCCATACAATTTAGTCCTTAATTAAATAATATATTGTATTCCTCGAGATTTTTTGCATGTTTTCCCTCTCCTTCTAGATTGTATATTTCCTAACGGTAAAACATTAAGTATTCATTATATCTTGCAACACAGATCTCTCAGCATTAGGCATACTATATTTCAATTGATTGAACATTTAATATGTTTCAAACCCTGTTATAATAAAATATGAACCTAATTCTCATTACATAAATAGTTTGAAAATAATTGTCTGAAGATATTGAGATACAAAGCCAAGATACATTGAGTAAAATGCTGTAAGAAAATTGAGATGAGACACAATTTAGAATTACTCTCTTGAAGCAAACAGAGATGTACATATTAGAAACTGAAGCTAGTTTAGACAATTATCAGCAAGAGTTATCCTTTGTGAAGATAAGTATATTTGAAATGAGGCACTGTCACGTTAGGTTTCTTGCAAAGACACTTGCACAATGTTAAAAAAAAAGTCATCATTTTGTGGAGAAGTGTGCTATAAAATTATCTTCAAATAAAGCTTTTGTATTTGAAATTTTATTCAATATTTAATGGGTATTTACTTGATTGAAAACATGTCAGTTTGCATATCCACCCAGGAAAAGACTGTTTCTAAGTACTATCTAGGGGCACTGGTCACATCCTCAAATGTCATGGTAACTGCCATTGGGTATGTTCTGAACTGGTGGGCGAACATCATGACTTCTTTTCTCATTCTCATTGCTCCTTGTCAAAAAATCAATTTTATTTTAAAAATTTAATCTCTAATTTTTTCTCAGCACCAGATTCATTTGGATTTCAGCTGTGATTATCTTAAAGCAGCAATGTCTTGGAAAAAATGACTGACACTGAGATGTTAGACACTGTCTGTAAATGAGGTTAATGTTGGGGAGGGAAAGCCTTTTAATGACTCTCACATCACAATAGCTACATCACTATTCATTCTAGCATTTTATGAAAGGCTGGAAACCATGTTTGCACACAAAATCATGGTGTATTACTTTTTAATTTTTTTCATTAGATAGAGAGCTTGCAAGCCATTATAGTAGCCACTTATTCCATTTCTCCTGCTGTGGTTATTGGAGACTCATTCATTCAGCAATCAGCATTTTTCTTTAGAGCCTATGACAGAACTGGCTGCTGTGGGTACCAGAAACACAACATTAACCCTAATGCAGGACACGCTAATTCACTTAGGGGTCACTTGATGCTCAGATATTCATCTCTAATTCACTTGAACTCAGCCAAATCAAGAACCGTGCAGCCTGTGAGAGTCTGCAGATCTCAGAAATGGTTCTGCTCGTTCCTTAGCTGTATGCTCTGTGGCTTGAGGTCTCCTATTTCTACTGTCTCCGTATCACACTGAATGTAGAAAATGTTTAACTTGCTTTTATGAGAAATTTTCTTTAAGATACTTATATATTTGGGCACAGTTTAATTAAAATTTGAGGTCTTGTGTAGTAAGGTAAGTTATGTGGTGGTGTGTCCAAATTTTCACAGCGCCAGGTGCCACTTTCTCTTAACTTCCATATCTTCTCCTCACTCTTTCCTTCTCCAGATTTCCCTCTGGATTAGTTTGCTAGGGCTGCCTTAACAAATACCACAAACCAGGTACCTTAAAGTAACAGAAATTTATTCTTTCACAGTTCTGGAGACTAAAAGTTTAAAATCAAGGCAATGGCAGGACTGCTTTCTCTCCAGATTCTTTAGAGAAGAATCTTTCTTTGCTTCTTCTAGCTTCTGGTAACCCCATATGTTCTATGATTTGTGGCAGCATAATTACAATCTCTGCCTCCATCTTCATATGACTGTCTTCCCTCTGTGTCTGTCTCTGTGTCTTTTCTCCTCTTCTTGGAAACACACTAATCATATTAGATTAGGTCCCACTCTACTCTAGTATGACTTCATTGCAACATTGATATGGGAGGGGGTGCAGGGAAGTGCTGGGGGAGAAGGGTGGGGTCCCTGGGGAGGGCTCCAAGCTCTGGCCTGTGCCCACGGACCTAAGGGAGAATACGAACTTCTGCTTTCATGCCCAAATGTTGCATTTCCCAAGAGCACTCTGGCCCTCCACGCCCCCATCCTGTGCCTATAAAAACCCTGAGACCCTAGTGGTCACACACACAAGTGGTCACACACACAAGTGGCTGGACGTTGAGAAGAACACACCAGCAGAAGAACACATGGACAGACTCCAGTAAGCCATCGACCGCAGAAAGAAGTGAATGACGGGGGTGGTGGGAGGACAGTCTGGTGGCTGAGTGGCCCAACCCCAGAGGAAGACCACCTTTCCACTCCATCCCCTTTCTGGCTCCCATCCATATGCTGAGAGCTACTTTTACCACTGGATAAAACCTTGTACTCATTCTCCAAGCCCACATGTGATCCGATTTTTCCAGTACACCAGGGCAAGAACACCAGGATACAAAAAGCCCTCTGTCCTTGAGATAAGGCAGAGGGTCTAATTGAGCTGATTAACACAAGCCGCCTGAGGATAGCTAAACTGAAAGGGAGCACTGTAACACACACCTACTGGGGGTTTGGGAGCTGTAAACACTTATCCCAAGTCGCTGCTATGGGGTCGGAGCCCACATTTCCCACAACCTGCCCGTCTGCATGTTCTCCCTAGGGGTTTGAGCTGCAGGGGCACCAAAGAAGCGAGCCACACCCCTGTTGCATGCCCTGCAAGGAGGATGAGGGAACTTTTCCCATTTCAACTTGATTATACACATCTTCAACAACCTATTTCCAAGTAAGGTCACATTCCAAGGTATCGGGTGTTAGAACTTCAACAAATCTCCTTAGGAAACACAATAAAACCTACAACCACCTTTTTCTATTATGTTGACCCTGTAGAAATTCCTGTTTTGGAGGAAAGTGAGACTGTGAGTCTCACTCATTTTATTCAGTGCATTGAAACTTCTTTTTCTTCATAATGTACTCTAAGATACACTTTTAACAATGTGCTCCAGGACAAATGCACAGAAATAAAACAAATATTTTACAAATCACCCTTTTTAAGAAGTACCTTTAATATCACATATTCTCCTATAGTCTAGTCTATTTCCTTACAAACATATTGCAACACCAAATTGATTGCAAAATCCATTAATGGATCTTAACAATTTTAGAAATAATGCTATAACTTACGTACAAAAATCCCACAAGGCACACTGCAAAACAATTGTCTTCTGTTAACCATCATTGAGATCATAGGAAACAAAAGATTTTTATCCCTTTAGTAACATTCATACTTGGGAAAAGAAGGCGTATTTGGAGCTCCACGCTCATCACAAGAAGCAATCTTGCTGTGGCAGGGAATTAACTGAGTGATACCTTTGAGTCTCTTCATCTTCACTTGCCTGCAATTGTGAAATTCCCTTGGACATTTTCCTTGAGAGAATTTAATTGTTCTTGGCTCTTGAAGGCATAGATTTTTAGTTCTTTTTCTGCTCTGATAGATTTTCATCATGTCTCAAACCGATTAACTTTATCATTTTTAACTCATCCATATTAATAAACCTTTTATTACAGGTGAAGTCATTATGACTTGGCATGGGCCACATTTTTAAAACAATTTTAATTTTCTAATATTCTTTCCATAGGCAGAGAGGATGTATCCCCTTTGAAAAATGTGCATTTTGGGAAAATGCAAGAAGAATTTAAGACATAAATGTACAGGTATTTATGACCCACACTTGGCCATTTGTGTGCATACATGTGTGTAAAACCTTCTATATCTTGAATAATTCTCTATTATAGCATGTATTACCTCTATTATTTGTGTACATCTCTTTAGCTACCTTTATATAGTAAATCCATGCTTCATTTATTAAATGTAAGGTCCTATGGATTGTGGGATACAAATAAGGATTATGTTAACTTTAATGAAGAGCATTTCTCTGAATCACATTTCATCTGCTACTGTGTGGCTTTGTTATCTTTTTCTTTATCGTTATGATCCTATTTGGTGAAAACATTTTCCTGAGAAGCTGTGAGCTCTTTCTACACCACCTCCTGAGTCTTCTCAGCAAGCTGCCCCTGAGCACTGCTACTGAACACCAATCCTTCCAAGTCTCCAGGTTGGGATGCTGCTAATGGCTTGAGGCCCTGGGTCCTCACTAGAGAACTCCAATGTGCCTAAGATACACTATGTCTGTACAAGAATGGGAAAGATAGGATTTTCTTCCCATTGGTCCAGGCATGCATGCATTTCTGGCTTGTTTTCCAATATGTACAGATATTACATACAATATCTACAAACATATTAATTTTCCTAGAGATATTTTTCTCCATAATATTAGACCTCTAGATCTGGTTGGAATTAATGTGATGCTGTAAAAAGCAACTGCATTATTATAGGGGTTTTTTTTTTGCATTTTTTGTAAAAATGTTTTTGTACTCACATTTTTCACTAAAAATGACAAGAACATAGTAAAAGTAATCCAGATGAATCAAAAGGATATGCAATGAAAAATTATTTTATTTCCCACCCCACATGCCTGGTTGCTGATCCTCAGCATTCCAGAGACAGAGTCATTGTTTAATCATTGAAATAATTCTGATTTTTTTCACTAGTATGAAAGATATTTTGAGAAATGTCTCAATCCCAAATGTTGACACAATTTAGAGTCAAAATTGGCATGCTCCTATATGCATAGATGTTTACATATCTGTCTTCGTTTCAAGACAAGCAGTGTGTCCTACTTATCTTTAGATTGTCAGCAGTGTGTCTGGCACATGGAAATTAATTAATTCTTATTTCATTGTTAGAATGAATCCTAGGACCCAATAGAAGTGTTTTTGTTCACTAGTTTTAGAAATGTCATTCAACACTCTTACTAGTTAATCAAGTAGGCAACTGTCTTTTCAAGTTCACGAATTGATTTCCAATATAAAAAGACGGGAATGTTATTGGTTGCATGAAAAGAGATGCTGGTTTTACTATGTCTGTTGCATATTTGCTGTGTGAGTTGGGTATGTATTTTCCTTTCTCTGGACCTGTTTATTTTTTTTTAACTGAAGGAGCTGGATAAAATAATCTATGAAGTCTTTTCCAGCTGTATTATTCTTTGAATCTATATATTTTTATCTGGCATGTTCTTTTGGAAATATCCTAGAACTTATTTGACCTGTATTCAAGCTGCTTCTTTTCCTAGAATAAAATTGCCCAAGTTTGAAATTTATAGCTCTCAAATATCTACTCCTACAAAATCCACAACAGAAGCCACATGCAATTTATATCATGTGAGTCTCAAATCTGTGTCTGACTCCATTAAATTTGTCTAAAAGGAAAGAGTGTGGATGCTACCAAACCATTCCAGAATTTCCATTTCTTTCTTTCTATTTCAGCAAATACAGAGCTGGGTCTGTAGTGGGCAATTGGTTAATGTTTTTAAAAGTCGATTTGATATGTCAAGCTTTGAAAAATCTTTTTTCTATTTTAATTTATTTTATTTTTTGATGAGTTCATGCTCTTTGCAGGGACATGGATGAAGCTGGAAGCCATCATTCTCAGTGGACTAACACAGGAACAGAAAACCAAACAACGCATGTTCTCACTCATAGGCAGGAGTTGAACGGTGAGAACACATGGACACAGGGAGGGGAAGCAGGGCCTGTCGGGGTGTGGGGGGTTGGGAGAGGGATAGCATTAGGAGAAATACCTAATGTAGATGACTGGTTGATGCGTGCAGCAAACCACCGTGGCACATATATACCTATGTAGCAAACCTGCACGTTCTGCACATGTACCCCAGAACTTAAAGTGTAATTTAAATAAGTAAATAGTAATCTTTGGGTCACAATCCCTTAGATGAGTCTTGGGACTCGGTCATTGCTTAAATGCATTGATATTTCTGGAATTGTAATTTTATTTTTACCAAATACAGGCAAATATCTTTATGTGAGAAAAATGAGATTTATTTTTGAGAAAACCCATGGGACAGCTTAGTACAATAAATTGATTCATAACTATATAATAAATAGTGATAATGAGGAAGGTGTTTTCTGCATTTGTTGTTTAGCACATTGTGATTTAATCTTAATCTTTATATTAAAGCATATACAATTATTTTGAAAAAAAATTCTTTTTTCTTACTACAACTTCCTCTCTTCATGCTTATTCTCCTCTTATTCTCCTACACAGAGCTACAATTTCATCCATATATCATCAGAGTTTCCCTCAGATCCTCACTCTTCGTCCACACCACAAGCCAATCTGAGCTTCTTTGCTCTTTAATCATCCTATTCCACTCTTATGTTCACCCTCACCCACACTGCACCTCATCTTCCGTATCTGTCTTTACCATCCCCAACTCCAGGTGAGGCTAATTATCTTTTTCTTCATCTCATATTTATCCTAGGTTGATTTTTTTATATTTACATGAATGTTTAAATAAATTTACAACCGGCTTCCCTAAGATGGATGTTCAGTGTATTTATTTGCAAACATAAAACAACATGACATTGTCATCTAATTATTCTAGAGATCAAAGACCTAAAATAAGTCCCAGTTGGCTAACATCAACGTGTCCTCGGGGTAGGTTTATTCTGGAGGCTCTGAGGGTAGAACCCACTTCCTTTCCTTTTTCAGATTCTGGAGGTCACCTGCATTCCTTCATTCTTGACCACTCCTTGGATTCCTCCAACCTCCTGCTTCTGTTGTCACATCTCCAACTGCTGATTGTGATCCCCCTGCCTCTTTTGTGGACCCTTGTGACTACATTAGGCTTACTTTAAAAATGCAGGATAATTTTCTGATCTCAATATCCTTGCTTAGTCACATCTGCAATGTCTCTTTTACCATGTAAGGTAACATATATATAGTTACTGGGGATTAGATTGTGGGGCTCTCTGGAATATTATTCAGCCTACAATGTTCAGTAACCTCTGATCATCTCTCAGTGTCAGCATTTGGTGCAGTCTGCCAAAAAGTGTGGTCCATGATCCGCATGAAAATACTAATTCCAGAGCCCTACCTATGAGGCACTGAAGCAGAATCCGGCATGGGACACAGAAGAGTTAAAATATCTTTAAAACATATACATACCTTAGACTTAAGGAATTTGCTCATCCCTAATTAACTTAATGTTCCATTGACTAAATCAGTTCCTTACAAATGTTACTAACATATTTTATTAAAGCTCAAATTACTTAACATGTCTTCTGAATCACCACATGACTCTATTTTATAACTCACTGAGGAAATAGGACTTATGTGACAAATGTTTCTGAATACCATATGTATAGTTTGGAAACCTAACAAGCTACCAATTCTATGTTCTCATGCTCCTAAAACACTGCTCACAAATCACCTCTGCGGCCTTGATTCCATCATTCATACCTTTCTCTCTAACGTACTAAATTTATCACTTTGGTTTTGGAAGATATATCCTTTTATTTTCTCTAAATCAACATATGTACAAACAAATTGACAAAGGGGGAAAAAGTAAGGGAATTAAGAGAATACTTCTTCCCTTTCTCTTTTCTGCTGAATGGGTCAGATCCCAGAGTCCAGTCCAGAGAGAAATGGCTGTAGCAGCAGAAAATAGAGACCTTCATTGTAAAATCCCCACACCTCCCTCTCTGCTCTCTTCTCTCTCCCCTTTTCCAGTGTGGTCCCATTTTTCAGGCTGACTTAGAACCACTGGGACATCCTGCTCAGTCACTTTGGCGTGTTTGCACATGGCATCCACTCTCTCAACCTTGGACTGAAGTCCTCTGTGCTTTACCAGCCCCCACTGCAACCCTCCACACTTATATCTAAACCTACTCACAAGCACCATGCACATATGCCACACTACACAAACACATATGCACACACCATCCCACACATACAAACCCAGGCTCCCACCTCCCCCCAACACAAATGTACCTCCATACATAAAAACCCACACAGACACACACCACACATATCCATTGGTATGGTTTGGCTGTGTCCCCACCCAAATCTCATCTTGAATTTTAGTTCCCATAATTGCCACATGTGGTGAGTGGGACCCAGTGGGAGGTAATTGAATCATGGGAGTAATTTCCTCCATGCTATTCTCCTGATAGTAAGTTCTCATGAGATCTGATGGTTTTATAAGGGGCTTCCCGCTTCACTCAGCTCTTGTTCTCCTTGCTGTTGCCACTTGAAGAAGGATGCATTTGCTTCCCCTTCTGCCATGATTGTAAGTTTCCTGAGGCCTCCCCAGCCATGCTGAATTTTTGTATTTTTAGTAGAGACAGGTTTTCACCATGTTGGTGAGGCTGGTCTCGAACTCCTGACCTCGAGATCCACCTGCCTTGGCCTCCCGAAGTGTTGGGATTACAGGCATAAGCCACCGTGCCTGACTGGTTACCCCATTTTTATGTGAAAACTAAGCTATTTGTCATCATTCAGTTGATATACATGCAACTTCCCACTATGCATCTTTATTTTGATTGTCTTTTCAACTGTCTTTAAAAAAAATCGTTCACACTGATTCAACATTGAAATAAAAGTTCTATGCAGAAAGGTATGGAAATAGAGCAGCGGGTTGTACATTTGATAATTATGAAGGAGATAGCGTTTGTTGAGAATAACCACTACCAGCATAACCTGAGGAACTGATGTAAGCAGTTTAGAAGAAATTCTTAGAGGCAATTTAAGACACATTTTTAAGAAATATGGTCTCACCAATACTCTTGATGTTGTTTCTTCATTGCTAAATTGGGGATCTGCAGTTGGAATTGTGATATTTTGCCCAATATTCATTTCTTAGGAATACAGCCCCAATAGCCACATGGCTTCATATAATGAAAAACACATTTTGCAACCTCCTTTCAAGCCCAGTCTAAAAGTTATATAACTTAATTCTTTCCAATTTGATGAAACTACAAATGCAAAACTTTCATGAGGTGTTTTTGGTAAGAATGTCTTTCTTTACTTTTCTTAGCCATATTAGATCATGGAGTAGAAACCACATTTTAAGAATAGACAAATAGCAAGACACAAGGTATCCGGGTCTATAATAATCATGGTGCTATCAAATTATCCTTCAACTGTTTTCCACAATATTTTGTTTACCTAAGAATGAACTTAGTATCTATTATGTTCAAGACATTTTGTTGGGGGTGGTGTTCTTTCACTTGCAAAGCAATTTTAAACTTAATTCATCAACACCAAAATGCATATACTCTAGAGGTAAGCTTTGCACTCTTTGAGTAGGAAATGCAAAATAATATGACTTCATTGATTATTATCAGTTACTTATATTCAATCCCTGTAGTGGTGGAAGTCGGGTATTACAATATTTCTTCTGACCTGTACCATTGAGTAAGTATAAGGCTGCATCCCTTTCCCCAAGAGGTTCCTCTTCCCCCTCTTTTTCCCAAACACTATCTGAGGGAAACTCAGTTTTCCTCACGTAATTGTGTGGGTCATTAGTGGATCCCCTGAGATAGATCTCATCCCACTTGTTGAAACAATTAAGACCTTGACATTATGAAAAACAAAAATAATTTAGTATCTCAAAAATAATATCTGTATTATACTTAAAATATCAGATCAGTCAATAAAAATCATGATTGCTATGGTATAATCTAATTGAGGCAGTTATTCAGACTATTCAGACAGTAACTTAACTTGCAGCCATTTGAAGAAATTGCTAGAAAAATACCTTGGAGACATACATTTTCTTAAGCAACATTAAATTTTTTTTTTTTTTTTTTTTTAGCTATTTTCACTTTGTTCTTGCTCTGAAATTGACAAGTACTTTCTTCTATGAGCCTTTTAAGCCTTGCAGACTGCTTTATAGGCATGAAATTGAAGGTATCAGACATGAGACTCTATTGACCTTTTCATGGTTTAAAATGCTTTGGTTTGAAAGGACATCCTTGATGTTTTTCTAGCACGAGGAATGTAAACTTCTTGCATCACTTAAGATGGGCAATAGTTGAAGGTGTGATTCATAGTCCCTTTCATTCAGCTTGTAAAACGCTAGTTTATGACTTCAAGTTAATGCTTGTTAGCAACTTGTGAATATGGATTCATGGTCATCTGATTTTAACCCAAACTTAAATCTAATTGATCTTTAGTGGAACTTTATTCAAAACAATGTACTGATTTTAACAGGAAGTTTGCAGACTCAGCAAGGGAAAACGCACAAAAAAAATCAATATACAATGTGCATGATGTTAAATTTCAACTGGACAAATCAATAAGTTCCAGATGTACATGGCTTTGTGACTCTTGTTTATCCTCAGGAAAAATGTAATATGATATATTTTTTCACATCTAAATAGGATGTGAAAAATGTTCACATTAGTTTAAAATTGTGTTACTTAATTTACTTCTGTAATCCCTGGAGAATTGTTTAAAATGTGAATGCAACATCAGGAAAAGGACTGTGATCTTAGAGTTAGAAAACCTTGTCTTCAAACATGTTTCTGCCATTGCTCCTCCATTAATATCTAAGAGAAGTCACGTACAATTAAGTATCATAATTGTTATTTTCTTAATTTTTTAATTAACCATTTTTTGAATGAATGATGTGTGCCCATCACACAAAAGTCAAAAAGTACAGATATTTACAAAGTAAAATATCAGACTACTTTCAGTCTGTTGGTCAGCTAGTTCTCTTTCTCAGAGACAACCGTGGTTAGGAGTTTCTTATGTATTCCTGTGGAGACATTTTATGTGCATAAGGCATGTATATGAAACTCAATATTATCTATTGAAATATTTAAAGGCGAGGTCTCAGCACTTACTTAGCACTGTTCCATGGCTTGACTTTTTTTGTTTAAATAGTCTTGGGGGTTCCTTTTCAGCTTTCATATTAACCATAACCCTAATTCTGACATTCACTCAATTTTACTTTATGGCGTTACCATAATTTATTTAATCAATTCCTTGTTAATGAACACTTACGTTACTTCTAGTCTTTTCCTATATTAAGCAATGTTTTAATAAATAGTCTTATAATTTTTTTAGGTTTACTAGTATCATATTTGGAGCATGAATTCCTAAAAAGTGAATCATATGTGCAAGCAAAACACATTAATTTAATATCTATGACTAACATTGTTTCATAGAATTTGCACCAACTTATACTCCCATCAATAATGTTTGAGTGTCAGTCCCCCCTGCTCCACCAAAATACTGTGGCATCAAATTACTTGATTTGATATAAGAATAGCATAACTATCCTGTACATTATTACAAAGAGATTAGGTCATTTTTTATGTTTAAACACTATTATAATTCTCTCTTCTTTTTATGAGATGAGGTCTTGCTATATTCCTCAGGCTGGACTGGAAATCCTGGGCTCAAGCAATGCTCTTGCCTTAGCTTCCCATGAAGCTTGGAATCCTCAGGAGTGTGCCACATAGGGTGGAGTGCCCGAATGAATTATTTTTCTGTTGGAATAATTTTTATATCCAGTGTTCTATTAGGCTCTTGGTTTGTTCTTTCTCATTTTTTTGTATGAGATTTTCTCCAGTTTTTCTTTTACCTTTAACTTTGCATCTGGTAATTTTTTGTCTGTCAGATTTTTTTAATGCAATCGCAGATAACAAACATTCATTTATTGTTTTTACGTGGCATGTCCAAATTTTAAGAATGTCTTCATTCTAGGATTTATTTTTAAATTAACATTTTAGAAGATATTTGTATTAATTTTATTTTACATTCAAATATTTGCTTCATCTACACTTGATGTTGGTGTAAAAAGAAAATAAGAGCCTAGGCAAGGTGACTCATGCCTGTAATCCCAGCACTTTGGGAGGCCAAGGTGGGCAGATAACCTGAGGATCCTAACACTGGAGAACCTGGATTCTCTGGAACATAGAGTCATTAGCATCACCTGGCCCAACCTACCTACTGAAATAGAATCTGCATTTTAACGAAATCCTGAGGCCATTCACATGCAAGTTAAGATTTAAGAATCTTGGCCTTAGTAGATTTGATTATTAAATTGTGACTCTGTGGCTCCTCTGCTTCTAATCCTGTACATTGCGGTGGATCAGGTCATGGGCACATTCCTGATTTCAGACTATGTACTTAGAACGATGGACTTCTCTTTAGGAAACTAACTTTGTTACAGACTCAAGCTTGCTGTTTCTAGACCTCTTTTCCCAGGAAGCTCCGTAGATCCTGATGCAAACAGATTTCTACCAAACTATTCCTCCAGACTCTCAAGCACACTTGAACTTGACTGTATTTTAGTAAGTGAACTCTCATCAAAGTGGAGCATCCTACTTCACTTGTATTATATGTCATTTTTGCTCAAGGTTCTTTCAATATGGGACTCAACTTTGAATTAACAAAGCATATCTATTATTGTAGGAAGATTTTTCTCTTGCCTGTCAGTCAGTAGCAAGTCTTATACAAAGGTTCTATCAGTTATAGAGAAACTTTTGCATAAAACAGATGAGGGAAGAAATGAAAATTTAGGAATGTTTTGAAAATACACACCAGGACATTCTCATGCCTCATAGATTGAGAATAGCTTACGTTTTCTAGAAGGCTTGCTTAACTTTTCTAGGCAAATTTAGTTGATGAGCTTGAAAGTGTTTAGCACTAAGCCACAAAATGATTGAAACTTATCATCTTATCTCAGGTCTGTATGCACACCTATCATGATCGGCATCACCTTCATCATAATTGTTATCATGAACATCATCATGAGATTGTCTACATGCTTTACCATTTATTCAAAAATCTGATGGAAATTCCAAGCTTGTTTGTTTGTTTTTACCTCTTACTCTGTAAAGTAATAAGATAGTCAGACACTTTATTCATATGTCCTATTATTGGACATAGTAACTATCTTATAATGACTCAAAGAAGAAATAGTTTCAAAATAATCTAACAAAGTGAAAAAAATCTAATCTAAGTAAATAGAAACATTATTTTTAGTTTAATATCAATCCAGGCTTCTAAAGGTGCACACGCAACTTGTCAAATAAGCGGCATAGCTGCAGCTGAGCGTTGCTATCCAATGCCACCAGCACATGGATGCTGAGCCTTCTTATGTCTCCATGCAACCAACTAGTCAAATAGATTCAACAAACAGAAACCAAAGGACTGACTATACAGCAGCCTCTGAAAAAGAAATTCATGATTTTTCCTGGTTGTCAAAAGTACAAAATAACAATCTAAAATACACTGTAAAAGGAGTGACTTACAATCCTTATTACTGTATAATGATTTCACTATTAGAAATGGGTTTTCTATTTCTGTCTTATGATGTTGCTCTTATACTTGGATTCAAATTATTGAATATATGTGGATGTAGGTCTAGAACTAATTTTTTTTAAATGGCCATCACTGAATTGACAGGCCACTAATTGAAATGGATTAATTCTGTACACAGTTTCTTATAATGGGAGGAAACAATGGTGGGCTAAGGAGCTAAGCTGAGTAATGAAGGACGTGATCATAGCCTCACTCCAAAAGTTCAGTTACAGTAAGTGTTGGGCCATGAAACTAAAGTAGAGGAATGACAACATATTCCTAAAGGATACACTAGTCAATAAGTGGAAAGAAAGCTTGATAAAAAATGAAAGGCACGACTAAAGCCAGAGGAGTGTCTAGAAGGTCCCAAAGCGCTGTCCTAAGATATAGTCACATGCACAAACTTGAGGCACTGTAGTGAAACTTTGTCATTAGTAACGACTTTTGTCTAACACAGATTAACCAATCAAGAGTCAAATGCTTATGTATAAAGCACACTGCTTTAAGCAATTTTGAAGAAAATTTTTAAAATGTACTGGGTAAAGACAGTAACCTCAAAGAATTCCCAGTCCAGCTATAGACAAATCTAATATAAAGATAAAATAAAATCTTAGAAATAATGCTAAATACTATATATTTTTACTACTATATTAATTTCTTCTACAACATTACTATTTTCTGCAATATTTCCAAAATATTGTCAAGTAATTTCTCTTTAATCAGCACTAGTGATAGAGAATTCACTAATTCTCAAATTGTTAGAACAATGTATTCCACTGGGACAACTCTAATGCTTAGAAAATTCCTCTCACTATTAAGCCAGTCTATGTCTCCAAACTTTTCATTACTCACTTTGCTGTGATTTTTGTTTCATATTATTTAATCTTCTTCTCCAATATAATATTTCAAAAAAGTGATTAAACTAGAATCCTAGTTTCTATCCTGATGCCCATTCTACACCTTTTTCTTGCCTCACTTAGAATGCTCCTTTCGGTTGACTCTTCCTAATTTGGCATGGTTCCAAGGGCTCCCACAATCAAGATATTTTTTCTCTTAGCTTAACTCTCACTCCATTTTAATGTCCCACTTAAAATATAATTTTAAATTCCACTTAAATGGTTCCATTTGAAGTGAGTTTTCCAAGTACAGTATTATTGATGCCAAAAAAGGTTTATTATTCTCCTCAGATTACCACCTAAATCAAAGACAAAATTATCTGATTCATCAACTTTATCCACCTATTTATGTGCATTAATCTTTCACTCAATCAAGTCTTTTTTGGTTTCCCTTATACTGTACTTCTGCTCTGCTTCAAAAATCTTAAGTATGAGACATTTCCATTTATTTTTATAAAATAATTATATGGCTGATATGCAAACAAACAAAAGATGCATGTTTGAGTGCACATGAGGAATGCTTCCATTAAGAACACAAATCATAATATACCTAGTTTTCTACTCTGTTGTCTAAATTCTGATATTGGTATATCAACCCATGTACCCATACTTTGTCCAGGAAAGAGTGGCTTAATAGTAGTTCAACAAGAAACAAAGACAATTGTACTTAGGAAGATGCTGACATTTTTAGAGGTGTTCCAAGAGTTGTCTCAGGAGTAGTCTCAAGTTGGAGGCAGCAGAGCACTATTCTGTTGTTAACATGTTGTAAGGCCGGGCGCGGTGGCTCACGCCTGTAATCCCAGCACTTTGGGAGGCTGAGGGGGGGCGGATCATGAGGTCAGGAGATCAAGGCCATCCTGGCCAACATGGTGAAACCCTGTCTCTACTAAAAATACAAAAATTAGTTGGATATGGTGGTGTGTGCCTGTAATCCCAGCTACTCAGGGGCTGAGGCAGGAGAATCGCTTGAACCAGGGAGTCGGAGGTTGCAGTGAGCCGAGATCATGCCACTGCACTCCAGCCTGGTGACACACGAGACTCCGTCTAAAAAACAGCAACAACAAAACAATAAAAAACAGTTTGTAAAACAACATGCTTCATCTGTCAGTCATTCATTGCATGAAGTTGAAGACACTGCATCCAGTTAACACATGAAATGTGTTCTTCCTCTATTCTAATATCCAATGGAGTTTTAAAGATCTGTTGAATTTGGGGTCAGATCATGCAGAAATTCAGGAGAAACAACCCTTAGTAATTTTAGGGTGTTCCTGCCTATCCTTGACTGACAAAAGCCATTTTTTAGCAAGGAACATTTAGAACACATGAGAAAGTTATGACACCCAATGTGATTTGCTACGGGTTGCTTCAAAGTCATCTTTGGAAATTACCTTTTCATGCCATGTATCATGTGAGTCTCTGTGCTAATGCTTCCCTAATACATCTCTAGAAGGAATCCTATGCATTAGAAAAGGCTTACATTTCCATCCAAATCCAATAGAATGTGCAACAGAGAGTACACATTTGAAAAATATTTTCAGCCTATTATGTTAAATAAGAATTTCATAGTTATTCCTGTCTATATTAAGGTTAAACTGTTACGTTTTGATTAGACAAAGAAAATATTGTTTCAAGAAGATCTTTCATATTCTCTTTTATTTATTACAGCACGAGAGGGAAAATTGTGTTTTGTTTTTTGTTTGTTTGTTTGTTTGTTTTTGAGACCGAGTCTCGCTCTTGTTGCCCAGGCTGAAATGCAGTGATGCGATCTCGGCTCACTGCACCTCCTCCTCCCGGGTTCAAGTGATTCTCCTGCCTCAGGCTCCCAAGTAGCTGGGGTTACAAGCACCCTCCACCATGCCAGTTTTTTTTGTTTGTTTGTTTGTTTTGTATTTTTAGTAGAGACGGGGTTTCACCATGTTGGCCAGTCTGGTCTCGAGCTCCTGACCTCAGGTGATCCACCTGCCTCAGCCTCCCAAAGTGCTGGAATTACAGGCATGAGCCATTGTGCCCAGCTGCTTTTTTTTTTTTTAAACATGAATAAGGATGCCAAGTTAACTGTTTTCTGGTATCCTGATTCAAAGTACTTTGTTCCTTCCAGATTTTACTTCAAGTACATTGAGAAGCCCAAGAAGACAAACACATTGCTAACACCACAGGCAAATAATCTCAAAGCCATGAAATCTAGAGATATTAATAGAACAAAATGACAGGACAAAGGAGAAAGGAGGTATTTGGAATTGACCCACCAACACAACCCAATATAGATACACTTCCTGTCTTTACCTAACCCCTTTAACATAAACCCATATGTTGCCCCCGGGTCCCTACTCCCTAAAAATGGCCCCACTATTTATAGTTTCATCAGAAACTCTTATTGTACTCTTTGTATAAATGTATAATTTTTATAATTTTTAGAAAATATGTTATATGTTAAATTTTTGATGTGCTTAGTGATGTTCAGCCAGAAACAGGCTTGGACATTTTTTCTAGAAGCTTGTAGAAGAAACAACAGATAGCAGGAAAAAGAGCCTAAGATATTCTATACCTATATCACAGTTTTCCTATTGAAAAAAGTTGGCATCCTTAATTTAAACTAGAGTGTAAATCATTTTTTATTGCTAGTGCTACAAAATTTAAATCACTCTCTTGAATACTGTCTCTTCACTTGATATAATTTTTTAAGACTTGCCATAGAAATTGTGGTCTGGCTTCTTAGCAAGGTTTCTTATTTATAGGCTATCATGTTTTGTACCATGTGACTGGACCTTCCCCCAGAGCTAACTGGAACAGCACCCATGGGCTGGCCAGGAACTGGGTTGGTAGTTTAGAATGAGAACTCAACAGACTTGTGTTACCTGCAGTGGCATAGCACCCTGGATAAGTCTGAGTTGCTTCACGGAGTTGTCAGAAACCAAAATAAAAAGAGACTCTAGGGCTTAGAACACAACAAATGTCTGCTTCTGAGGACATGATTATTCATAGAACCACTGTTAAAACTTGACAGCTTGTGTCACCCTAATAAAACCATTGATATACCCTGAATTACTGTCTATTTCTCTCTAAAGTCTATTTGCATTACTTCTGAATCCTTTCTTGGTCTCTCTCTAGGTCTCTTTCTTGGTGGACAGAGAGAGAGAGAAAGAGAGAGAGAAAGAGACAGACAGACCAAGAAAGGATTCAGAAGTAATGCAAATAGACTTTAGAGAGAAATATATACATACACACACGTATATCTCCCTAAACCCCACTAACTGAAACACCTGGAACATGTTCCTATTCTTTACGAGGTAAATGAGCCTAATTTATGTAATGTTTGGGGAGCAGGGGTCAGAAACCAATACAGTGATATTGTTCAATTGAAAGCACTTCTTGTTGGGGACACAGAACATAATAATTAGCATTGTTGATAATCAAGCACCCTATGGTGCAAACAGGCTCACATATTTCATAATTGCTAGTTCTTTGCTACTGATTTTGATTCCATGTAGACTCAAGTGGAGACAAAGAGATGGAAATGTTTGGGAAGCTCTGCTTGGGAATTAAGGTCCTGTCATAACATTTAAGCCAGAATGGCAGAATTGGGTATAAAACGCCTGCCAACAGCTTGCATAGTTCACAAATGACAGAAAACAGAGCCATGAAAAGATTCATCCAAGCCAATTCAGACTGGTGTAAACAGATGTACCACTTCTGTGCACTTTGACATTTCAGAGACAGGATTTTTGAGTGTTTTTATCTTTCACACTTGGCTTAAATAATTATATAAAAGGAAGTATATTATACAGCAGATAAAAACATTTTGAAACTATATTTAATAGTGTATTCTTTTTCTCTTTGTCCCAGGCCAGTGATAGTCATTCCCATTTATTTCTCAGCAATGCGAAGAATGCTGAGCTTTGACTTTGTTCCCATGACAAATGTTTATAAAATCTAACAACTGCAGAAGAAAACATGGAAAAAAAGTGAGAAAGGTTGGCAAGGATAAAACAAAAACCTCAATTCTTAATTATTTGGTTGCAAAATTCCAATGATGAGTTTAAAATGATCAGAATTTTAAATCTGGTATCTGAGTATGGACACTGCCCTTCTCAGTGAGGCTATAAGAAGTATGAGCCAGAGGCAAATGTACAGAAGATTGAATCAGCTGATGAAGGGTCTGAAACATTTCTACTCTTAATGACTAGGGTGTTCCTAGGGACATCAATTGGCTTCTGGATTTAAATAGGTAAGATACATAGACTGGTGAATAGATGAATAGGTGGACAGACCAATAAAACGAGGACCGGAAATCATATTCTACTACCATACAGAAATTAGTGAAAATAAGAAACATTTACTATAAGTTTTAATTTATTTTTTGAAATGACAGATTAAATTGTATGTATTTATTGTGTATAACATGTTTCAAAGTATATTTACATTGTAAATAGTTAAATGTAGCAAATTAACAAATGTATTACCTCACATAGTTATTTTGTGGTGAGAATACTCAATATCCATTCTCTTAGCATTTTTCAAGAATACCATATATTGTAATTAACTGTAGTCACCATGCTGTACAATAGTTCTCTTGAACTTATTCCTCCTGTCTAACTGCAATTTTGTATCCTTTGGACTAACAAGATGCTTGTTTTAATAGTTCCTTAAAGAGATAAAGGACAGGGTGGTACTATTGCTTTAGAAGACAGAATTTGGGACTATAAAATTAATTTTATTTGGCTACTGTGCTAACAGACTTACCAGATAGAATAAATAAACCTTAGATATCAAGGTTTATGTCAATAGAGCATACATTTCATAATCTAAATGAGAAAACATATATTCAAAAAATTAAAAGTTATTCCTATGATAACTTTACTCATTTGCATTCCAATATGCTTCCTGGAGTGGATGAGAATTGAGTGGCATTAAAGGTAATAGATAGGGAAGTAATAGATAGGTAATAGATCCAGGAAGTTGACTAGATCAAGAAGCTTCACATCTGATTTGAACTCTAAATCACTTCGTTAATTCTAACCACAAACCAAAGGCTATAAACCCCGGGGCTAGTGATAAGGCAAACTGACATATAAGCCAGGAGGGCTTAATAACAAATAGATCAAAGTTGGAGACAGAACAAACCATGAAGTCCATGTCACTGGGAACAAAGACAGCTGGCTTAGTGCTAGAAACCAGAATGAACAGGCACAGTGCCAAAAGTTGATGCCAGAACAAGGGCACAGACATCTGACTTAGCCCAGAAGCTACATAATGTGCAAGAAATATTAATTGACTACTTGACTGAATGAGTGAATGTTGATAAAGAGTTATCTAGCTAAAACAATCAATTAAATAAAGAACATCTGCTTTGAAAGTGAGGAAGATATAATATTTAAAATTACATAATTCATGGAGGATAGTCAATAACCAATGATAATTCTATCATTAATAGTAGTAATACATAGCTTTTATTGAGCATTTACTATATAATAGCAAACACTACATACATTATTACATATTATCCTTATCAAAACTCTCTGAAATAGGTGATATTATTTCGGCTTCATTTTTTTTAGGCCTAATAAGATTTACAAACCTTTTTAAATCACCTGGCCACAAAGTGGCTGGACCCGAATTGCATCCAGATGTGGCTACTTTCAAAACTTAAGCTCTTAAGAGTCTAAAGTCACTAATGTGACTTTCATTAACAGATATTTATTGAATAGCTGTTATGTTTCAGCCAATCTCTAAGGCTTTGCAAGAAATGAAAAGATAAGACACAGTATCTTCTTCAAAGAAGAGAAGATTATAATCTAATACAGTCTAAGAAGGAATGATGTAAGAATGATATAAGAATTTTAGTAAGTGTAATGCAGCGTTTAAGGGAATCTAAGTAATCTAGCCTAAAGGATAATACTTGATGTGTTAAAGGTCAGTACCTAGTGGTTTTGGTGTTGTTTGTGGTTTTTGCCTTTTCTTTTTCTTTCCAAGGGGGACAATATTAGACTTATAATGTACAGTAGTCCCTCCTTAATCATGGTTTCACTTTCTGTGGTTTCAGTTGCCAGTGGTCAACCATGGTCTGAAAATATTAAATGGAAAATTTCAGAAATGAGTAATTCATAAATTTTAAGGTACATGTCATTCTGAGTAGCATGATGAAGTCTTGCACCATCCCACTCCATCCCACCTGGGATATGAATGATCCCTTTGTCCATTGTATCCATAGTGTCTATGCTATCTGCCCATTAGTCATTTAGTAGCAGTCTTAGTTAACAGATTGACAGATCACAAGTATTACAGTGCAGTAAGATATTTTGAAAGAGAGACCACATTTATATAACTTTTATCATGTATTGCTATAATTTTTCTATTTTATTATTAGCTAGTGTTCATTTCTTACTGTGCCTAATTTATAAAGTAAAGTTTATCATAGATAGCTATGTACAGTATTTGAAAAACCCTAATATAGACAGGGTTCAGTACTATCCTTGGTTTCAGGCATCCACTGGAGAATCTGGAATGTATTCCTTACATATAAGGGAGGACTACTGTACTTGTACATAGTTTTATATCCTGCTTTTCTCCTGAGATTTTATAAGCATTTTAAAACTGAGATATAATTCATATACTATAAAATTCACTCTTTAAAGTGTACAATTCAATGGTTTATTACAAAATCATAAAACCATTATTGTTCTCTAATTCCAGAACATGTTATCTCCACGAATTCCCTAATGTTAAAATTTGATTTTGAATTTTATTATTTCTCATGTTTTTAAAGCAGTGAAACCCCTTTTAAAAATACTTATTGTGCAGAAATATAGAATAAAAGATATATTAAAGCACAATTGAATTAGTTGTGTGAATGAGAATAGAGCCCTAATCACCCTTGACTCTTTTTTCTTTATTGTTTAGAATTCAATCTGAAACATAGTGGTTAACTGGATTCTTAATGTGCATTGTAAACACCTAGTAAAAAATTATTAAAAGGTTCTATATGGGTGAATATACAGGAATAACAGATATACAGGAAGGTCTTGAAAAGGAAAGGGCTACAAAATATTGTACAAGTAAAATATATGGAAATACTTTTAAACACTATTATAGATTGAATTGTGTCCCTTTAAAACTCAGATGTTGAGGTCCTACCCCTCAGTACTTCAGAATGTGACCTTATTTGAAAATACTGTTGTTGCTGTAACTAATTAAGATGAGGTCATTATGGTGGATCCTAATTCAATATGACTGGTGTCCTTATAAAATGGAGTTCAGACACACACAGAGTGAGAAGGCCATGTGAAGATAAAAGTAGAGATGTGGGTTATGTGTTGGTAAGCCATGGAATGGCAAAGATTGACAGCACACCACCAGAAGCTGTGCAAGAAGTATGGAGCAGACTCTCTTTCACAGCTCTCACAAAGAACTAACCCTGCTGATAATTTAATCTTGGATTTTAGCATCCAAATCTGAAAGACTATACATTTCTTTATTTAGTCCATATTTAGTCCACCCCGTTTGTGGTAACTTGTTACAGCAGAATTAGCAAACGAGTACATGACTTAATATCCATCTTGAGATATTTTTTTAATAGCACTTATTCAAAGTTCCCCTGAAAGTTGCTACTATACCAAAGATGTTCTCATCCGTTGGAAGGAAAGATTTATCAGGGCCAATTCCAATTTTCTTCATGCCTAATGATCATAGGAATAGCCTTCATTCATTACACTACTCTTTAGTCTGTATCTACCACTGATAAATCAACTGCCTTGTTAATAATTTTTTAAAATGAGAAAGACTTCAGAAAGAGATTAGAGTTGTAGAGAACAAATATCAATGTTTCTGTAAATTTGGCATATTACTGCCAAGCTAGAGACTTGTCCTTGTGACTTTTCTACTCATAATGAATAAGACCCATGCAAAACACCACGTATCTGGGTGGAAGATTCAAGTGCAGAATATAGTTTGTTCCCTGTCCCTTTCTTCTGAATAAAGAAAAATATCCTTTCCTTTAAACTATTCGAGACATTTTTTAAAAATAATTGAACCTAGAATATACAGATGTTCCTTGACTTACATAACTTAGTGGGTTACATTACAATAAATCCATCCTAAGTTGAAAATATACTAAGTCTAAAATGGATTTAATATACCTAACCTACTGAACATCATCGCTTAGCCTAGCCTATGTGAAACGTGCTTGGAACACTTAGTTACCCTACAGTTTGGCAAAATCATCTAACAGAAAGCTTACTTTGTAATATACTGTTGAATATTTCAGGTAATTTATTGAATGATGTACTGAAAGTAAAATGGTTGTATAGGTACTCAAAGTTTCTACTGAATGTGTATCACTTTTGCACCATCAAAAAGTTGAAAAATTTAAGTTGAACAATTGCTAAATTGAGAATTGTCTGCATATTAAAGTGTGAAAACACTGTTTGCAATAATACAGTAAATAAAATATGTGAGTTTAATTATTTAACAATTTTTCTTTGCAGTGACTGGATATATATTGTTGCTAAACCATGGAAACATTTTTTTTTTTTTTTTTAGATAGTCTTGTGCTGTTGCCCAGGCTGGAGTGCAGTGGCCCGATCTTGGCTCACTGCAACCTCTCGCCTCCCAGGTTCACGCCATTCTCCTGCCTCAGCCTCCTGAGTAGCTGGGACTACAGGCGCCCACCACCATGCCGGGCTAATTTTTTGTATTTTTAGTAGAGATGGGGTTTCACTGTGTTAGCCAGGCTGGTCTCGATCTCCTGACCTCGTGATCTGCCTGCCTCGGCCTCCCAAAGTGCTGGGATTACAGGCGTGAGCCACCGTGCCCGGCTGGAAACATTTTTAAATGATAAAAGAAATGTAATGAAGGAACTCAGCAAGACTTAGCCACCTATAAAAATTACTGTTATATAATGAGAAAATAGATATAAAAATAGTAGTAAAAAGATAAAAATTCATCATAAATATTATCTTTTACCTTTTCTTTTATGCATTCTAGCTATTGTTTCATAACAGAGATTGGTAACCAACTCCACCAAAGACAAAAGTTGGTAAAAAACGTAGACGTATATTCTCCAAAGTAATAAATCTGTTACTACATTCTGTCTCCTCTTGGTGCACACATATGTAAATCTAAAGGCCCCCCCCCGAAAAAAAAAGTATGTATGTATGTATGTATGTATGTATGTAAATATATAGCAATTCATCATGAAGAATACATACCCATCTGGATTCTTGTACAGTGGCTTTCTCTAGGGTGGTCAGTAGAATGGAAGGGAGGTTCGTATTGAAGGGAAACTTCCACTCAATAAGATATTTCAGTTGGGTGTGAACTGTTCACAATAAGAATATTTTCTCGTATTATTTGTGTCATTATTTATAATTATTTATGATTATAAAAACACAAAGGGAAATTGATTATATATATTTTGCGGTAGAGAGTTTCTTTCTGATATAAAAGATATAAATAAGACAATGGTTATATATTTATTGCCTACAATTATAAGTTATCTGTGTGTCTAAAACACCTTAAGTCATGTTAAAGGCAAATAAACTGACGAAATGACTGCACTATATTGTTCATACCAAGGAGCAGCACCCATCAAAATAAATTACTTAAATATTAATAAGAAAGCACAACACCCTAAAATGATCATGTAAGGAAAAGCTCTAAGTGATAATTCACAAAAGTACAAAAACAAAAGCAATAAACTCGTAAAACAATGCTGAACCATGCCGTTTATCAAAGAAACATATGTAAAAGCAATGTCACTGTGTTTTATAGAAGATTAGAAGTAATGACAATTCTAGTGTTGCTATGTCAAAGAGAAATGGTCATGAGCTCAAACTACTATAGGTATGAGACATTGGTAAAATAATTAAATTAAAAAATACCTGAAGGCCAATTTGGTAATCTGCATCAAAATCTCTAAAACTACGTTTATTTTTTGGTGCAGCAATTCCACTTCCAGGAAATCAGTCTTAAGGACATAGAGATTAATATACATCTTTGCCCAGCATAGCATGCTTAAAAAGAAACTTCTAAAACATTCTAAGTAGCCAATATTTGGAAACAAATATAATGAAATGTTAGTATTGCATTTAATTTCATCGAAACATGTATTACATTTTAACAATCAATTTACAAAAAACAAGATAATTATACTGATTATATTTTTGTTTAAAACATTATACATAAGATGGTAAATAGTATTTTGCAAATGGTTATCTCAAGATAGTTTGACTATAGGTAATTTTCTTTTTTTATCTTTGTAATAAACATTGATAGCATTTGCAATAAAATGTGCATATTAAAATATAGCTTTTTATTAACTCAACTCATAAATCACTTATAAAGAACACAGATTGATTATCATCAGATTTGGAGTCTGTTATCTTCAGCAAAAGAATGCAAATAGGAATCAATCTTGTCAACCTAAATTACAAACAGATAGAGGCTCTCTTAATAGAAAATTATATTTATTTGGAAATAGAACGTTGCAGTGGTGACGCACAAGGAAGAAGTATTTTTTGTGTAAGATTGCAATGGCCTTTGTGCAAGCTCGTGGTTTTTGCAGTCTCCTATGACAATATTTTTGCCAAGCATTTATAAATGAGAATTCTCTCTTCATAGCCTTCTCCAGCTCTATTTGTTAGTTTAGTTTTTTTTTTTAACACAAGTGACAAATTTGATTCTGACAACTTTCACAATTTCCAACTATTCTAGTTGTAGTTCTTTTTGAATTCAGTTGAAGTTTAAAAGTCATTTAATCTCCAATATTGACAGGATTCAATAAGTGGCCAATATAACATGGATTGACATCAAAATGTCAGCATTAGAAATTTAATCCAAAGGGGATTTTTTTTTTTTTTCAGAGAGGATGAAATGAGATAACCTGAGGGGGTGAGAATAAAAACACCAGAACCTTTAATTGAAAAAACAAACCTATGTTGGCTTCAGGATTTCTAGTGCTTTATTGGACTTTCAGGGAGGAAACGGACCTTATGAAATTGGAAGCTGGATACATTTCCAATGTTCCCTCCAGGGCCTTAATAGTTGGCATTCCTCTAGAAGCTTTATGAAATAAATTCCCTTATGGGAATTGTACCTGTTCAATTTTATAGCTTTAATTTAGTCAAAATCTTCGTATGTTTTCCAGGAGTTTAATCAGTAAAATTGCTTTAAAAAAATGAAGACAATTTTGTTTAGTCTAAAATACTATAATCTAAGCTACAAATAATAGTTGACATTCACTTAGACTTACATGTTGCAACTTGTTCTCATTTACGTTAGTTAATTTGTTCCACATAACAAAACTGCAGAAGTAGATACTTTTATCCTCATACTATAAAGGAAGAGTTTATTCTGATCATGCAATCATGCATTTTATCCTAGCAATCTTAATAACAACACAAAAATGATAAATAACATATTTTGAGGAGGGTCTACACGTGCCAGACATTTTTCTGGTACTTTATATAACTTATCTACAATCTTTATAATACACCTGAAAGAAAACATATTTTTATTCCCATATTAAATATTTAGAAATAATATTAGTCCTTTTCCACACTGCTACAAAAAACTACCTGAGACTGGGTAATTTATGAAGAAAAGAGGTTTAACTGACTCACAGTTCCACATGGCTGGGGAGGCCTCAGGAAACTTACAATCATGGAGGAAGGGGAAGGGGAAGCAAGGCTTAGTCTTACAGGTGGCAGGGAAGAGAAAACAAGTGAAGGGGAAAGTGCCACACCCTTTCTACCAATCAATTCTCTTGTGGGAACTTACTATCACAGGAACAGCAATGAGGAAGGCAACCCCCAAGATTCAATCACCTCCTACCAGGTCCCTCTCCTGACACATGGGGATTACGATTCGAGATGAGATTTGGGTGGAGATACAGAGCCAAACCATATCAGGAATCACGACACATAAACGTTAATTTGCCTGAAATCACTTGGCTATTAAAATGACATTTTCCCCTCTTCTAGATTCCATTTTTGATGAACATTTGCTCTGGTTTTTACTTACACATACATTTTACAACCACTGCATGGGAAAAAAAAAAAAAAAACAGACTGGATTAAATTTGGACTATCTGAAAATTTATGAACCAATCCAGCCTGCCTTTCCAGATGCATAGGAAGTAAACTCACTTTCATGATTAGTTCACAGGAGGCCAGAGCAGAACACACCCAGAACTCTTTCCAGCATTTTTGGCTTTGTTCTTATAACCTTGGGAGTTTGAGAAATGAATGAAATCAGCAAATTCAGAGGAAGTAAAAAAAACACAAGACAGAAATAAGTGGGAGAAAAGAGTCTAAAAATCAAATTGGGTGTAAAAAATGTAATAAAAATGTGGTGGTAGAGCAGAAAATTTTATTAAAAGATTTTACAGGTTTTCTCCTTCCTTGGAATGATTTGTTAAAAAGAAGGAATAACTGTTTGGAAAATGTCTATGGAACAGGAAAAATATTAAGGCTTAAGAAGATGTACCAGAATTCACAGCCAGACACCTGCCTATGCCTCAATCTCCTAGTTGTTGGCTTGTAACTGTATATAAATTTGATCATATGGATGCACATGGGGGAACATATTTAATCATGAGTTAGATTTATTATACTTCTAATTAGCTTGATTAAAAATGTGTGCTTCCTCAGTGAGAAGAAACACATTACTCTAATTGAGGAAAAGAAATTTAAAAGAGGAGAAAGTTTCTGTTTAGTTGTCGATATATTTCATTTTTATTAAAAGAACTGATTATGTTCCTACTTGGAATAAATTAAACATTTGTCTTAGCTGGGAAATTTAATTTTCATAAAATCTAAAATAGTGATCAATTGAACAATACATATCCTTGATTTAGTGTAGTAGAGAGACTAGAATAGGTCAGACTAGAATAATTTTTATTACTAAAAGCCTATGATTAGCATAATATATTATGACTAGGAGTTAAGTTCTTCACTTTGGGGATACTTTAAAGACGTCTTATTCATTTAGTCACATTGCAAACTCTTTCAGATAGATTCAATAACAGCAAAGCTGAGCAGCTTTTTACCTTAAGACTTTCATAGAGATAGATTTGATTAGAGTATATTTCATCTTTAGAGGAATATTTTCAGCTTTGACTGTACGTTGGGATTCCCAGGGAGTTTAACAAAATACCTATGCCTAGGACTTTACCCCCAAAGCTCTGCATTTAATTGGTCTAGTATATTGGCCTAGGCATCACGAATTTTAACAGCTGCCCAGCTCTAGTGTATGAGAAAACTGGTTTTGAAAATCTCATTATTCCTACACAACACAATTAAGGCAGGCAAAATTGAAGGCAAGGCATGGGAAATAAACAGAGGCAGAAAGTGTTAATTCCACAAGCTCTCTGAATATAGGACAGTCTTGCTCATTAGTACTGTACCTGTATAGCAGTAACAAGAGCAACAACAATAAATTACCTCTTAATTTTAGTTAATATATTGCAGAGTGTGGGAAGCTTGATTAAGGGAAGAATTCCATAAAAGACAGATATACTTCTGCCTAATTTTTCTCTAGAATCCTAAGATTACTTCTGATACACATTGCCTATTTTGGACCTTCTTTCATTCAATAACAATTTATGTCTACCAGCTATGTACTAATGGTAGTAGTGGAAAAGAAAATAAATAATACATCAGACTTGCTCCAGAGAGCTTACACCTAACATAAAATATGTACATGCAGAGCTACACACAGACATGCACACACACTCAAGTACAAAGATATGTGATAAATACTACAGCAGAAGTACAAGTCAACCAACCATTTCATGGGCTCAAGGAAGAGGATCCATTCTTCCAGAATTATGCATTATTAATTATATAATAAATTATCCTGGAAAAACATTTGTCGAATTTATTTTTTAATTTATGTGTGTTTTGTTCATAAGCAAAAACTTTTTGAATATAAGAAACGTGTTGTACTTATTTTTATATGTTTTGGGTCCAGCAGAGCTTAAAACAGAGTAAGATTTGATACTTTTTGTTGAACTAACATAAATTTGCAATTAAAACAAGTGGAAAATCTTGGTGGATCAAGAGTAGTTTAATACCTCAATTTGAGAACAGAACATGAGAAGTCTAGCTGATGGTGTTACAAGAAAGAAGCTGGAAACAATCTTTGTGGGTGTGAGTTCTTGACAAGAAAATTTACTATAACTAGTTAATATAGAAGAAAAAAGTTTTGTAGACAATGTACAGAAGTATTGAGAAAGGCTAAATACATTAATTCTAGGCTGAGCTTCCAGAAAAACAAAAAACAAAAAACAAAAAAAAACGCTATTCTACATTGCAATACTGGCTCCACAAGAGAATTGCAACCTCAATCATATTCAGGACGCTTTCAAATTAGAAAGCCATGGTAAAGAACCAGGTTGGCTCTGAGGCAATTCACAGAAGCAAAAATGATGGTCTCTTCAAATCTGTCATTTATTCCCCCAAATAATCCAACTCTGAATCATTTTTACATCTCACAGGGATGCATCTCATCGGCAGAATCTAAATCATGTGTATTTTAAAACTATTGTTATTATTATCATTATTATTCACTGGCACAGCAGCATTTATGCTATTGAAAACAAGTAAGTTATTTTTGATGATCTAAAATGAAAACGCCTTTTTTTCCAAGACAGCTGACTAGATGCATCTAAGAAGTGCTACTGCCACAGCAAGTGGTGATTTCAACTATACCAACATAATCTGAACAGATCTTCAGAGAGAAAATGCAGAATGTGAAAGGAGAAAAGATGCAGTCACTGAGGTTGAAGAGGGAGGAAGCCTCAAAGGTACACAAAGGAACCATTTGGTTAAGTTTACCTACTGCCCATTGCTCTCAAGTGCCTTCTACTGGTTCCTATCCCAAACTACAACGTGCTAAATTGCTCTACTGATTCACCCCCTTGCAACACCGGGAACAACCATTCTATAACAAAGATGCTGCACAGAGCCTTAGTACTCTAAAAACTTCCAAAAATAAAGCCAGTGGACCATACTCAACTTATAGCACAATTAAAGTAATGACAGCCCTTCCAGATGAGAAAAAAAAAAAAAATCAGACAATCCAGATGAGAAAAAAAATCAGACAAGAACTCTGGCAGTTCAAAAAACCAGAATGTCCCCTTATCCCCAAACGAGCCTACTGGCACCCCAGCAATGGTTCTTAGTCTGAATTGTCTGAAATGACAGAAACGGAATTCAGAATGTAGATGGCAAGGAAGCTCATCGAGATGGAGAAAATTGAAATTCAAAGAATCCAAGGCAAGCCAGTAAAACAATTCAAGAGCTAAAGACAAAATACTAATTATTTTTAAATAAATATTTTAAGTTCTAGGATACATGTGTACAACGTGCAGGTTTGTTACATTGGCATACATGTGCCATGTTGGTTTGCTGCACCCATTAACTAATCATTTAGATTGTGTGGTCTAACTCCAGCCAATGGGGAAAGGACACAGAAACAGGAACTGAACTGTGTTAGGGATAAAAGCTCCTGCCCTACCCCACTTGGTACGCTCTTTGTGGTCACGACTGATGCAGGCAGCACCCTTCGGCAGAAGTAAATTTGCCTTGCTGAGAAGTCTTGTTTGATTGCTCATTTTCTTTGCTATTCTGAGCTCTTATTGCAAACAATCTGGGGGCTCGTCTGGGATTCCCATTCTTCTCTGGGAAGGGTCTCCGATCACCTCTCATGAGGAGACACATCTTGCTGCCTTGTTGTGGTGGCCTCAGGGTTAAGGAATCGCAATCCACCCCGTGTGACAAATAAACTCGAGCTCTCAGCAACGTGGGAAGGGGGAAGAGAAGGCCTACAAATACCGCAGTGACCAGGTAATTCTGTGCACAGACCAAGGTAAGAAAAACTGCAGAGGTGGTAAAGTATTTCCTTGGTGGTTGGGAAATCTTGGAGTTTGAAACTGTGTAAATCAGATGCAAAATTGAGTGTGTAGCGAGTACAGAGTCCAGATCCACAGTTCCATGGTCACCTCATGTGGTTTAGGGTGGCTTGCCTGTCAGTGATTTATGCTAACCTGCCAATACTAAGAGGGACCTAAATTCCCACAAGGGAAGTGGCCAGAGAAGGACAAAATGAAAGCTGAGAAGTGCAAGAAACCTCCAGTAGTGGGGGTTGAGCCTCTAGAGAAGGGGTACAAGAAATCTCTGTTAGGAGGGTGTGAGCTCCACTGACAGGGAAACTCAGGAACACCCAAAACTTCCAGGATGGGACATAGCTCAAGCAAGATGGGGGATAAAAAAGAAAATGCAGACAATATAATCCCCTCAGATAGCCCTCTAGTTCTCACGTTAAAATATTGGAAGGATAATGAGAGAACCAAACACAAGAAAAAGCAACAAATTATAAAATATTGCTGTTTTATTTGTGCCAAAGAACCTATCCTTGAACCCTCAGGTTTCTGGCCAAAGTTTGGGTCTAGTGAGGATTGGAACTGTTAACTTTTAATAGAATATGTCAATAACAAAAATCCTGTCTCTAAGAAGGAAATAAACTACGCCCTGTGTTAGCAGCAGGAGTCTGTCCTCCTCTATCCCCTAAAAACTACAGAAGACAAGCAGGGAAATACTTCCCCTCAGGAAATTGAAATTCCTAACTCCAAACCGTCCACTAGCATGTGGTGTCCTTTAGACCACCTTCCTTCATCCATGTCCATGGAGGAGCCCCCAAATTTGTTGGAAACAAGGGTTTGGTGTAGCCAAAAGTAACCTGCACTTGGACAGAAAATTTCTTACCTCCCTCAACCTACTCACCACCATAGATGAAGAGTATATTCATCCAGATATTTTGTCAAGAGAAGGAAATCTGGGAAAATTGCAAGTTCTTCCAATTAAGGTCAAATTAAAGATTCCTGGGGAGATAGTAAAAAGAAAACAATACTCTATTCCTCTAAGCCAGAATAGGTTTAAAACCTATAATTGAAAGCCTTGTTCACAATGGACTCCTTGAACCCTGTATATTCCCTTACAATACTCCATTATTGCCTGTAAAGAAGCCAGATGGGTCATACTGGCTAGTGCAAGACCTCCAGGCTGTTAATCAAATAGTTCAAACCACTCACTCTGTTATCCCCAATTGTTACATCATTATTAGCAAAATTCCACCTGACCATGAATAGTTCACAGTAATAGATCTAAAAGATTCCTTCTGGGCTTGCCCTGAGCAAAAGACATCTGGACTTGTTTGCCATTGAGTGGGATGACCCCAACTCTGGCCTAAAACAACAGTACTGATGGACAGTTTTACTCCAAGGGTTACAGACTCTCCAAATTTTTCAGTCAAATTTTGAAACAAGTATTAGAAAATTTCTCCCTCCCTTCATCCATATGTCTACTCCAGTATGTGGATGACCTGCTTATCTCAAGGGACAACAAAAAAATGGGTAACGGCATTTTCAATTAATTTTCTAAATTATCTGAGAGCACAGGGGCTAAGAGTCTCAAAAAGTAAACTCCAGTTTGTAGAGCCTGAATTAAAGTACCTAGAAATTTTAATCAGCAAAGGCAAGCAAATGATTGGGTTTGAATGAATGGAAGATATCATATCCCTACCTCTGCCAGAAACAAAACAGGAACTTACAAAGTTCTTAGGCTTAGTTGGATACCATCACCTGTGGATCACCTCTTATGCCTTAGAAACAAAACCTTTATATCAAAAGCTTACCCAGCAGGAGCCAGACCCATTTATATGGACCATCCCAGAAATGCAACAGGTAGAAAAGTTAAAACATTTACTAATAACTGCCCCTGTTCTAGCCTTACCCTCTCTAGAACAGCCATTTCATTTTTTCATGACTGTAAACCAGAGAGTGGCTTTAGGGGTACTCACCCAAGGACATGGGGACTACCAGCAGCCCGTAGCCTTCTTGTCAAAAATTCTGGACCCAGTAACCCGTGGATGGCCTGAATGTGTCCAGTCTGTAGCATCAACAGCTTTGCTCGTGGAGGAAAGCAGAAAATTAACCTTTGGGGAAAACCTCATTGTTAGCACACCTCACCAAGTCAGAACTATCCTCAGTCAAAAGGCAGAAAAGTGCCTCACCAACTCAAGAGTTTTAAAATATGAAACTATCCTGTTAGAGAGAGATGACCTGACACTAGCCACTGACAATTCTCTAAATCCAGCTGCTTTCCTAACTGGGAATCCAAACCAAAATGTAACAGGGAACCCACACCCAAAAGGAACTTGAGCATAAATGTTTAGACCTAGCTAGTTACCAAACCAAGGTTAGACTAGGTTTATGTGAAACTCCTTTCCAAACAGGGAAACATCTTTTTATAGATGGTTCCTCCCAGGTAATAGAAGGAAAAAGGCATAACAGATACTCTGTAGTTGGAGATACCCTCACAGAAATAGAATCAGGAAGATTACCAAATGACTGTTCTGCACAGATGTGCAAGCTATTTGCCCTAAATCAAGCCTTAAAAATTTTACAAAATCAGGAGGGAACAATTTATACTGACTCGAAATATGCCTTTAGAGTGGTACATACCTTTGGAAAAATCTGGACTGAACAAGGCCTTATTAACAGTAAAGGTCAAAACCTAGTCCACAAAGAATTAAAAATACAAGTATTATATAATCTTCAGCAATCTGAGGAAATAGCTGTTGTTCATGTCCCAGGACACCAAAAGAACTTCTTATTTGAAAGTCAGGGAAATAATCTAGCCAACCAAATAGCCAAAAAAAAAAAAAAAAAAAAATGCCTCTTCCCAAGCTGCACCTATTTTTCATTTAACCCCTTGTTTTCCCTCTCCAACCGCACTCCCCATCTTTTCCCAAGCAGACCAGGAAAAGCTAAAGAAATTGGAAACTAAGGAAAACCCAGAAGGAAAGTGGGTACTACCAGATGGAAAGGAAATGTTATCCAAGCCTCTTATGAGGAAAATATTGTCACAACTTCATCAAGGATCTCAGTGGGGTCCTCAAGCTATGTGTGATGCAGTCCTTAGAGTCTATGGGTACATAGGAATATGCACCCACACTAGGCAAATAATAGACAGTTGCATAGTGTGCAGAAAAACTAATAAGCAAACCCTAAAAAGGCAACCTCCCGGGGGAAGAAACCCAGGGTTAAGGCCATTCCAAAGCATCCAAGTTGACTATACTGAGATGCCCCCAGAAGGCCACCTCAAGTATTTACTAGTAATAGTAGGCCATCTCATGCACTGGGTAGAAGCCATCCCCTTCCCAAGCACAACAGCCAATAATGTAGTAAAAGCTCTGTTGGGACATATCATATCCAGGTTTGGACTAATAAATACCATTGATTTGGATAATGGGACCCATTTCACTGCACACATCATTAAGGGGCGAACCCAAGCACTGGGAATACCATACCTCTGGCACTCATCCTCATCAGGAAAGGTAGAAAGGATGAATAAGACTCTAAAGAATCATTTAACTAAACTAATTTTAGAAACCCACTGCCTTGGACAAAATGTCTTCCCATTGCCTTGTTAAGAGTCTGAACAGCCTCTCAAATAGACATTGGCCTCTCCCTTTATGAGATGCTTTATGAATTGCCTTACCTAAACTCTGCTACTGATCTTCCTACATTTGAAACAAAGATCAATTTCTTAAAAAAACTATATATTAGGTTTGTCCTCCACCTTTTCCTTCCTCAGGACTCAAGGCCTTCTAGCACAAACCCCACCCCTTGAATTTCCAGTTCACCACCACCAGTCTGGAGACCACATCCTTGTCAAAGATAGAAAGAGGGAAAACTCAAACCCACTTGGGAAGGACCTTATCTAGTACTCCTAATGACTGAGATGGCTGCCTGGACTGCTGAAAAAGGATGGTCTCATCATACCTAAGTCAAGAAGGTGTCGCCCTCTCCAGAATCACAGACTGTCATCCAAGGTCCAATTCCCACAACCATAATGTTAAAAAGAAGTTCCTAATCTGTCTGTCCCTTTTTCCTCTTCTTTTTCCTTTAGCTACCCCACATCTCATTATTAATGTAACCAGGTCAAGCTCACCTCAAACATTACTTCTGACGCCTGTCTTATTATACCCTATGGTAATTTGCAAGGTCAAAGGCAAATCTTTACTTCAGAAAAGTGTATCTGCCCTGCTTGGGGCCCCTCAGATGAGGCAAATTCTCTTAATTGGGATGATTGAGACAATTCTGAAAAATATTCTGTTGAATCCTGCACTACTAGAAAAGAGCTTCTCTGCTGTTGCTGGTCCAGTGACTTCCAAAAATCAAGATTGGACCACCTCAGCCAGTAGGTGTATATCCCTAAAGCCACATATTCACTTCACTAAAGGAATTAACCCCCACAATTGTCAACTAAACCAATGTAATCCAGTACAAATTTCCATTACTATCTCAACTTCCCAAGATTCCTCCTCTTCATAAAGTCGTTTTTACGGTATGGGAGTAGAAGCTGCAGGGGTGGACCCTATAGGCTAATTTGAAGTGTGCCTCATCCACCCACCCCCATCCCCTCCTTCTCCTTCTAAATCTTCTCTTCTCTCTCCTTTCAAACCTTCTGATCTCTTCCTACCCAATAGCAACACCAAAGACACCATTGTAGAAGTTAAAGTTTAAAAAAAAAAAAACTCTAGCTATTGAAACAGGGTATAAGGATGCAAATGCCTGGCTGGAATGGATTAAATATTCTGTTCACACACTAAACAGAAGCAATTGTTACGCTTGTGCAACGGGCAGGCCAGAGACCGAAATCATTCCCTTTCTACTTGAATAGTCCTCTGACTAACAAGGTATGCACTACATGGTAGCTCTCTTCCAAGATCCCACAGCTTGGGGCAATAAGGCATGCCAAACTCACTGCAACTCCCAGAAGTTGAAGGCCCTGTAGGTCAGCCCCCAAGGGCTACCAGGCCTCTGGATAATGATGTCAGTTTTATCTCATGTCTCTCATGACGAGGGGAAAATTTGGCATTCCTCGGAAGCCTAATGGGTTGCAGTGAATCCAAGCCTTTTCAAGAGCTAATGAATCAATCTGCCCTTGTTCATCCCCAAGTGGATGTATGGTGGTATTGAGGTGGACCACTACTGGCTACTCTGCCAACTGGAGCAGCACTTGCCATCTAATCCAACTGGCTACCCCTTTCACCCTAGCATTTCATCAACAAAACAAAGAGAACAATTGTAATAAAAGAAGTGCCCCTCACAGGTCTTTTGACCCTCACATTTATATAGATGCCGCTGGAGTTCCACAAAGGGTGCCAAATGAATTTAAAGCTTGAAATCAAATAGCTGCAGGATTTAAATCTATATTCTTCTCGTGGGTAACTGTAAACAAAAATGTAGACTGGATAAATTACATTTACTATAATCAACAGTAGTTTATTAATTTTACTAGAGATGCCATTAAAGGGATAGCTGAACAATTAGGCCCTACCAGCCGAATGGCCTGGGAAAAATAGAATAGCTCTGGGCATGATATTAGCTGAGAAAGGCAGGGTCCATGTTATGATTGGAGTCCAATGCTGTACTTTTATCCCTAACAACACAGCCCCTGATGGAACAATCACAAAGGCCTTACAGGGCCTTACCACCCTAGCAAATGAATTGGCCAAAAATTCTGGAGTAAATGACCCTTTTTCTGATCTCATGGAAAAATGGTTTGGAAGATGGAAGGGACCCATAGCCTCAATCTTTACCCACTTTGCAATTGTTATAGGTGTACTCATTCTTGTAGGCTGCTGCATCATACCCTGCATTCACGGATTAGTACAAAGGCCTATAGAAAAAGCTCTCACCAAAACTCCTCTTGATTCTCCTCTGCCTTATTCAGATAAACTTCTCTTTTTAAGCGACCAAGAACAACAAAGCAAAAATATGTTAGAAAAATTTGAAGAGGAAGAACTATGAAATCAAGAGGGGGAAATTGTTGAGAACAATAAATTCCTCTTCAAACTCCTCTGTGCTTTCTTGTTCTTTCCTCCTCTGTAAACAGCTTAAGCTCTTCCTGCCTTTGCCATGTCCAGATATGACCAGATGCGCTTTGTACTTGTTCTGTAAACAGCCCTTCCCACCTTAGCAATGGACAGCCTCTCTCTTCCCACCTAATTAGCCATATTCAATTTCAAAACCTAGCCAATTGGGTCCGTTTAGATTGTGTGGTCCAACTCCAGCCAATGGGGAAAGGACACAGAAACAGGAACTGAACTGCATTAGGGATAAAAACCCCTGCCCTATCCTGCTTGGTATGATCTTGCAATCATGACTGATGCAGGGAGCACCCTTCTGCAGAATTAAATTTGCCTTGCTGAGAAGCCTTTTATTTGAGTGCTTGTTTTCTTTGTGACTCTGAGCTCTTATTTCCAACATGCTGAAGTAGTACATTTCAACTAGGCCAGCCTTACAAGAGGTCCTTAAGGGAATGCTAAACACGGATTGAAAAGAAGGAAACCTGCTACCACAAAAGTGCACTTAAGCACATAGCCCACAGGCATTATAAATCAACCATGCAATCAAATCTTCCCAGTTAACAACACAATGACAGGATCAAAATCACACATATCCATACTAATCTTGACTGTAAATGGGCTGATCACTCCACTTGAAAGACACTAAGTGGCAGGCTACATACCCAATCATCTGGTGGGTCTTCAAGAGACCCAGCTCACGTGTAATGACACTCAGAGGCTCAGAGTAAAAGAATGGAGTTAGATCGACCATGCAAATGGTAAGTGAAAAGAAAAAAAAGCAGGAGACTCTGTTTTCATGTTAGATAAAACAGTAAAACAGTTTTCATGAAACAGATAAAACAGTAAAAATTAAGAAGGACAATGAAGGTCACTACATAATGCGGAGGTGTACAATCCAACAAGAAGCCTTAACTATCCTAAATATGTACGTGTTCAACTTTTATTCACCCACATTTATAAAATAAGTTTTTCTTGGCCTATGAAAAGACTTAAACAATCACACAATAGTGAGACATTGAACACCCCACTGTCAGCATTAGACAGATCATCGGGGCAAAATATTAACAAAGAAAGTCTGGACTTTAAGTTGACACTTGACCAAATGGGCCAAATAGACGTCTACAGAACCCTCCACCCCCAAACCACAGAATATACATTATTCTTATCTTCACAAAGAACATATTTTAAGATTGAACATATGTGCAGTCATAAAGCAAGTCTCAATACATTCAAAAAAATTTGAAATCATATCAAATACTTTCTTGGACCATAGTGCAATAAAAACAGAAATCAATACCAAGAAGATGTCTCAAGGGTACACACATTTATAGAAATTAAACAACTTGCTCCTAAATAACTCCTGGGTGAACATTGACATTAAGGCAGAAATTTTAAAAAATATATATTTGAAATTAATGAAAATGAAACACAACTTACCAAAATAACTGGCATGTAGCCAAAATAGTGTTAAGAGGAAAGGTTATAGCCATAAACACTTTCATCAATATCAAAATAATGTTAAGAGAAAAGTTTATAGCTGTAAACACCTTTATCAATAAGATTGTTCTCAAATTAACAATCTAACTTACCACCTAAAGAAACTAAAAACAAACAGCAACAAAAGATAGAACAAACCAGTCCCAAAGCTAGCAGAAGCAAAGTAAAAACTAAAATTAGAAAACTTAATAAAATTGACATTAAAAAATCCACACAAAAGATTCATGAAACCAAAAGTTTGTTATTTGAAAGCATAAATAAGATTGATAGACACCTAGCTAGATTAACAAAGAAAACCAAATACAAAATTTAAATAAGCACTATCACCAATAACAAAGGTGATTTTACAACTGATCTCACAGAAATACAAAAGACCCTCAGAGACTACTATGAACAACTCTGTGCAAACAAACTAGAAAATATAGAGGAAATAGATAAATTCCTGTAAATACACAATCTTTCAAGGTAGAATCAAGATTGAAATCTTGAATAGACCAATATCAACTTTTGAAACTGAATCAGTAACAAAGAACCTACCAACCAAAAAAGCCCTGGACCAGATGGATTCACAGTTAAATTCTACCAAGTGTACAAAGAATAACTGAAACCAATTCTACTGAAACTATTCCAAAAAATTGAGGAAGAAGGGATACTCTCTAACTCCATCTATAAAGTCAGCGTTGTCATGATACCAAAATCTGGCAGAGATGCTACCAAAAAAAAAAAAAAAAAAACAAACTTCTGATCAATATCCCTCATGAACATAAATGGAAAAATTCTCTACAAAATACTAGCAAATCGAATCCAGCAGCCTATCAAAAAGTTAATACACCATGATCAAGTAGACTTTATTCTTGGGATGTAAGACTGATTCAATATATATAAATCAATAAATATGTGGTAGAATGGGAGATGCAAAAATAAATAAATATTCATCACATAAACGGAATTAAAAGCAAAAACCATGTGATCACCTCAAGAGATACAGAAAAAGTTTTCAATAAAATCTGAAACTTTGTCATGATAAAAACTCACAACAAACAAGGCATTGAAGGCAAACAAGGCATTATCTCAAAATAATAAGAGCCATCTATGGCCGCCCCACAGTCAACACCACACAGAATGGTCAAAAGCTAAAACTATTTCCTAGAGAAGAAGAACAAGACAAGAATGTCCACTTTCACCATTCCTATTCCAAATAATACCGAAAGTCTTATCCAGAGCAAGCATGCAAGAGAAATAAAAGGCATCCAAATAGGAAAAAAGTCAAATTATCTCTCTTCTCTGATGATATGATTCTGTACCTAGAAAATCCTAAACACTCTGTCAAAATGTCCTAGAATGGATAAATGAAATTAGTAAAGTTTCAAGATACAAAAATCAATGTACAAAAATCAGTAGTATGTTATACATCAATAATGTCCAGTCTGAGAGTGAAATCATGAACACAATCCTTACAATAGCCACAAAGGAAATGAAATTCCTAAGAATACAAGTAACCAAGGAAGAGAATGATCTCTACAAGGAGAACTACAAAATACTGCTAAAGGAAATCAGAGATAACAAAAATAAATATAAGAGCATTCCATGCTCTTGTATTGGAAGAATCAACATTGTAAAAATGGCCATACTGCCCCAAACAATTTACAGATTCCATGCTACTCCTATCAAACTACCAACATTATTATTCACAGAATTAGAAAAAAAATTATGAAGTTCATATGGAACTATAAAAGAACCTGAATAACCAAAACTATCCTAAGCAAAAAGAACAAAGCTGGAGGCATCATACTACCAAACTTCAAACTATATTATAAAGCCACAGTAACCAAAACAGCTTAGTACTGATAAAAAAAAACATGGCAATGGAACAAAGTAGACAACTTGGAAATAAAGCCAGGCACCTAATCAACAAGGTAGATAAAAGGAAGCAATTAGGAAAAAAGACTCCCTATTCAATAAATGGTGTTGGGATAACTGGCTAGTCATATGTGCAAGACTGAAGATAGAACTCTACTTTTCAACACTTACTAAAACTAACTCAAAATGGATTTAATATTTAAATCTAAGACCTCAAACTATAAAAATCCTGGAAGATAACCTAGGAAATACTGTTCTCAACATTGGCCTTGGCAAGAATTTTTGGCTAAGTCTCCAAAGCAATTTTAACAAAAACAAAAATAAAGAAGTGAAACTTCAACTAAAGAGCTTCTTCACAGCCAAAGAAACTATCAACAGAGCAAATCTACAGGATGGGAGAAGATAGTCTCAAACTGTGCATTCAACAAAGGTCTAATATCCAGAATCTATAGAGAACTTAAAGAAATCAACAAGCAAAAAGCAAATAATTCCATTCAATAATGGGCCAAGGACATGAACAGACACTTCTCAAAAGAGGACATACAAGCAGCCAACAAACATATGAAAAACTGCTTAACATCACTAATCATCATAGAAATGCAAATCACAACCACAATGAGATACCATCTCACACCAGTCAGAATGGCTATTACCCAAAGTCAAAAAACAACAGATGCTGGCAAGGTTGCAGAGAAAAGGGAATGCTCATACACTGTGGGAATGTAAACTGGTCTAGCCACCATGGAAAGCAGTCTGGAGCTTCCTCAAAGAACTTAAAATCATGCTATCATTCAACCCAGCAATCCCATTACTGGGTATCCCCCTCCCCGCCAAAAATAATGAATCATTCTAACAAAAAGACACATGCACTCGTATGTTCATCACTGTGCTATTCACAATAGCAAAGACATCCAGGTGGTTGATCAGTGGTCAACTGGATAAATAAAATGGAGGTACATGTACACCATGGAATACTATGTGACCATAAAAAATGACATCATGTCCTTTGTGGCAATATCGAAGGAACTGGAGGCCATAATCCTAAATAAATTATCACAAGAAACAGAAAACCAAATACCACGTGTTCTCACTTATAAGTGGGAGTTAAACACTGAGCACACATGGCCATAAATTGGAAAAAATAGAATCTGTGGCTACTGGGAAGAGGGGTTAAAAAATGATCTATTGGGTACTATGTTCACTATCTGGGAGACAGGATCCACATTTCAAACCTCAGCATCACAGCGCATTCCCACATAACAAATCTGCACATGTACCCTCTGTATCCAAAGTAAAAGTTGAAATTTTAAAAATGTAAAAATGAAAGAAAAAGAAAAATCCCTGGCACCCTGAAGGACTCATCTTCCTCAGACTGTGGGGCCCTGCATGAATTCAGGGCAACTTCCATCATGGATAGTAGAGATTTATTGGGAAGAGGTCACTGAATTTTCTAGGCTGTTGAGCCTTTATTCATTTACAAGAAAGCCCTCTTCTGTGATAGCAATCCTGGAAAAATTTAAGTTGCCCTAGAAAACAGAAATCTCTAAAAACTTCTTCTATAGCCTATGCCTCAAGGAACCATTCCTGAAGTTGAACTAGGAGCCTGATTTTTCTGCCAGGCTGGTCCTCATTGCAATACTCTGATTAAGCCTCAAATCTCCTATTAGAAACGAAACTCAAGACTTGCTTGTCCATGGAAACTGCCAACTCTGTCCACATGTGCAGGCCTTGCAGTCTGATTACTGGTATTTCCCACTCTTTTTCCCAGCCCTCTTACCTCATCTGTCCCATCCTTTCTTCCCTAGCCTTCTGTCCTAGAGTCTCTGTGCCTGCTGCTTATCTCCTGATGCCGTTAATAAATCAAGTCTAAGGAAAGTGAGATGAATTTAAAATAATCCCGCTGATTAGCATTTAGGGATTAAATGATGCTGTTTTCCATTAATCCTCAGAGATGATCAAAGAAAAGTATTTGCTTCCTTTTAAATGGTCAGAAAAAAAATACAGATAAAATATTGTTTTTCATTTAAAAAGCATGAAAGAACCAGGAGGCATATATTTTTCAAATATGATATGCATAAAAATTAGGCTGAACAGTACAGTACAATAACAGCACTTTCAATGCTGTGGTTGGGTTGCCAGGAATTTCTGCCAACTAATCAGATTATTATTTTTTTTCCCCAAGACTACATTCTTTCTAACTAAATTCCTTATAGGTGGAAAAAAAGTCTCATGTAGAGTTTGGAAGACATCGTTCATCTCCTACTATGGGGTCTGTGTTCTTCAAATAGGTCTGTAGATGGACCTTATAATTCTTGGTTTATAATTTTTTTGGTGGTCTGGATCTCCCGACCTTGTGATCCGCCTGCCTCAGCCTCCCAATGTGCTGGGATTACCGGCGTGAGCCACCGCGCCCGGCAATTCTCCAATTTTTAGATTGACTGCTTCGCTGTCAGATAATCAACTCTTTCTGTTGGAATAATTCTATTGTTTTCTTTGCTGCATGCTTCATTGTTGAAAGTTTTAGCTATCACATATTCCATGTTTTGTTTTTAAGTGCCTGGATTTCAATTTTTCTAAATTTCCCCTTATTAACTTGTCCATTTTAACTATTTTCAATCTGTCTTCAAATTTCTTATTTCAAACTGATCTGTTTTCTGAATAATTCAAAATTGTTTACACTTTTAAAATATAAATTTTAAAATTATTCTTTAATCAGGAAAGTTTTAGGAAATTTGTCCTATCAGAGAAGTGGCATTAAATATAATTGCAACATTGTAAATAAAATGATTGAGTGAATCATTGATATGTAAATTGACCCAATTCGTGGGAATCGATGTATTTTTCTAATTAGAAACATAACAACTGCCACCGAGGGTTCTTTATATGACTTTATTTTTTGCTTTTTAATCTTAAGCTAACTTCAAAGACTCTGTGGAATAGCATGAACCACATGAGTCGGTAAAATTGAACACTCAGATGGCTGCACTTGGGCACCTGCTAAATCTGCCCTAACTACAGTACTAAAATTAACCATTTCTCTCACCATCGATTAAAAGGATAAACTCCGCAATTAGTCATTACATGTTTAAAAGGGATAACTAATTATTTTTACAAATAGAAACAGGCCAACAAATGAGAAAGCAAGACAAAAACGATCTAAAGGAATATGCAGACTTATTTAATTAAAGTAATCTCTATAATCACAAGAACCTCCAGCATTGAAATGAAGCTCCAATCCAATGCCTGGCAGAATGAGACGGTGGGAAGAAATTGGTCCTTGGATCACATATTGAGATGGAGGATCAACGATCTCTATAACTAACCCAACTCTGGGCTTTTCAATTGCATCAACCAAGATGGTTGATGCAATCTCTTTTGATAATAGTAACACATATAGTACCTAAAAAAAAAAGTTCGAAGTGTTTTACATATATTAACTTATTTAATATTCATTTTTAAAAATAAGAAACATATGAGATTATTTCTATTGATGTTTTATTTTAGTGATAAGAAAAATGATGTACACAGGGGAGAACACAGTCAGTTTTCAGATGCAGGATACACCCATAAGTTTAGTTAGAGTCCATGGTATTGACCACCAATCTATAAGGCAAACAGTTGATAAATGTTGATAAACCTATAAGGCCTCAAAACAATTGATGCTTATGGAGATGGTTACAGTGTGCTAGACACTTTCTAAGTGCTTTCCATGTATATTGTCATATACTTCTCTCAATGCCATATCAAGTAGATGTCCCTGCCAGATTGTTCTGAATTGACTTGCAAATACTGGATGTGGAATCCACTGAAAATCAGAAATAGCTGTGTCACTATATACCTTTTAGGCTCTGTCTCTTCACAGAGCTAAATGCAACCATGCTCATCTCACTAGATTTTTTTGCAGGAATCACATGGGCTGACATTTGCAGGACACTTTTGTGTTTTATAAAGTGCTATGAAAAGCTTGCCTGCCCTGTCTCACTTAACACCTGCCTCCGCACATGCTGCCTTCTCTGCAGAGCTCCCTACTCTCACCACTTCTCAGAAGTAAACCTTGCTCAGAACATTTTTTTTCTGGCTTTGTAACTTCTATAAGCAGAACCCCTTATCCTCTGAACCTTCCCCTGAGTATTTAATTGCTCTTCACGAGACTTCACATTAATGCATCTGTGTGAAGCTGTTCATGGCAGAAGTTAAACACCAGAAGTTTAATAGCACCTTTCCCTAGAGAAAGAATCATGGGTTGATCTATATATTTAGGTTGTTCTGCAATGTTTTTCTTTTTTTGATAAACACATACTAACTTTTACAGCTGGATTTAAAAATATGTTTAATATAAAGACATTGTGAAGATGCTGCCCAGACCCTGCTGCCACTTTTATCTGTCCACCTTAATCAGCCAGTGGACCTTAGAAGCTATTTTACATAATGTGGCCTTGACCTTTAGTAATTGTAGCTCCAATCTGGTGTGGGCTCCTTATGTAAGTATAGCCAATTAGATTATCTCTGCAGGAATTTTGGAATTCAGACTGAGAAGCACAGAGATTCTCATTTTCTTTGACTAGTTGGAGGTGAAATACGTGCATTTTAAAGCTGTGGGGAGAACACTGTTAATGCGCTATATGTACCAGAGAAGCAGGCAAGTGAATATTGGAAGAAGGGTGGGTGAGAAGGGTGGGTATATTAGTCAAGATTATCTAGAGAGACAGAATAGGATATATATATATATACACACACACACACACACACACATATATATATACACACACACACACACACACAAAGAGGAGTTTACTAAGTATTAACTCACATAATCAGAAGGTCCCACAATAGGCCATCTGCAAGCTGAGGAGCAAAGAGAGCCAGTTCGAGTCCCAAAACTGAAGAACTTGGAGTCTGATGTTCGAAGGCAGGAAGAATCCAGCATGGGAGAAAGATGTAGGCTGGAAGGCTAGGCCAGTCTCCTCTCTCTCACATTTTTTGCCTGCTTTTTATATTCTAGCCATGCTGGCAGCTGATCATATGATGTCTACCTAGATTAAGGGTGGGTCTGCCTTTCCTAGTCTGCAGACTCAAATGTTAATCTCCTTTGGCAACACCCTCAGAGACACATCCAAGATCAATTGTGTCCTTTAATCCAGTTGACACTCACTATTAACCATCACAAGTCCATCCCTTGTCAACTTGAACCCATACACATCCCCTGAGATCATACATAATTTTCAAATAAAGACAATAATAAGCTCATAATTACTCCTAACATAATACAACTATCTTTCCTACAACTGGAAATGCACCAGTTCCTAAGCCAAATATCACTACACAAATTTAACGATACTTAAATGATGATATGAAGTCAATAAATCTTATGTTACACAATAAAGGTAAAAGGAAACAAAATGACAATATTTTCTTAGTACAAGTGTATACATGCACAAACATGTTTTTACAAAAGAAGGGGGAAATACTCATAACAATTACAGTCCTGGTTCCTGAAGCTGGACGTATGATCGTAGCTGGTATTGATGACTACCTTCTTCTACTACCCATTCTGTATTCCTTTTGCCTTCAGCAAGCACCTCAGCAGGACATGGTTTTTTCCTGGTGTAGTGACCCAAATTTTCATTCATGAAGAGTCTGGGCCATTTGTAGTCCTGCCTGGATTTGTCTGTTGCAGTTTTCCATTACCCTTGATCACAGGGCATGGTAATACTGAGAGATGCCCTAATGGATATCCTGTATTCCATGCATAATCTTCCTTACCTCCGTTGTGGAGTGGTAGACTGATTTCATCATGATAGTCAATCATCCCAGCCAACACAGTCACTCCCTTCTTAGCCTGTTGACTTAAAGGTAGGAGGAGCCCAAAGTACCCAGGTGGCAATCTTAACTTCAAGTTTAATGGAATTGTTGTTGTGTCTCCTGGTGGAAGTCTTCCTCCATCTGGAACTAAAACCTCTAGGCCAGCAGACAATAATGTCGCAGGAACAGGAAGCAAAAATTTTGCTAGTGGATCACTAGGGGTGACCATGAGTGGTGCCACTTCTACTCCCACCCCTTGATTCCTGGACCTGTGACTTCTGGCTGTGGGAGAAACAGCACCATATACTGGACACTGATTCAGAGCATACACAGCCTTCTGGAGAACTTTGCCCCACTCCTGCAAAGTATTGTCACCTAGTTGGCATTATAATTGGAACTTCGAAAGGCCATTTCATCATTCTATCAATCCAGCTCCTTCATGATGATGGGAAACATGGTAAGACCAGTGAACTCCATGAGCACAAGCCCACTGCCTCGCTTCTTTAGCCTTAAAGTAGTGCCTTGGTCAGAGGCAATGCTGTGTGAAATACCATGATGGTGGGTAAGGCATTCGGTGAGTCCACAAATGGTAGTCATGGGGGAAGCATTGCATGCAGGATAGGCAAACCCATATCTGGAGTAAGTGTCTACTCCAGTGAGGACAAACCTCTGCCCTTTCCATGATGGAAGAGGTCCAATATAATCGACCTGCCACTTGGTAGCTGGCTGATCACCCCGAGGAATGGTGCCATATCAAGGGCTCATTGTTGGTGTCCTCTGCTGGCAAATTGGAAACTCAGCAGTGGCCATAGCCAGGTCAGCTTTGGTAAGTGGAAGTCCATGTTGCTGAGCCCATGCATAACCTCCATTCCTGCCACCATGGCCACTTTGTTCATGGACCCATTGAGTGATGAGAGGGTGGCTGGGGAAAGAGGCTGAGTAATGACCACAGAACAGGTCATCCTATCTACCTGATTATCAAAATCCTCCTCTGCTGAGATCACCTGTTGGTGAGCACTCACATGGTATAAAAATATCTTTACAGATTTTGACCACTCAGAGATGTCCATCCACATACCTCTTCCCCAAATTTCTTTGTCACCAATTTTCCAATCCTGTTTCTTCCAAGTCCCTGACCATCCAGGAAAACCATTAGCTACAGCCCATGAGTCAGTATATAATTGCACATCTGGCCATTTCTCCTTCTATACGAAGTGCACAACTAGCTGCACTGCTCAAAGTTCTGCCCACTGGGAACATTTCCCTTCACCATTGTCCTTCAGGGATGTCCTAGAAAGGGGATGTAGTGCTGCAGCTGTCTACTTTCAGGTGGTGCCTATATATCATGCAGAACCATCTGTGAACCAGGCCCTAATCTTCTCTTTCTCTCTCAACTGATCATAGGAACTCCCCATAAGGCCATCGGTGTAGGCTGAGGGGAGAGAAGGCAGGGTGACATGAGTGGAGACCATGGACATTTGAGACACTTCCTCATGTAACTTACTGTTGCCTTCAGGGCCTGCTCGAGCCTGATCATGTATATACCATTTCCATTTGATGATGGGGTGTTGCTGTTCATGACCCACTTTATGGCTAGATGAGCCTGAAAGCACCCAGTTCATGATAGGCAGTTCAGGCTGCATAATGACTTGATGACCCATAGTCAGATGTTCAGTTTCCACTAAAGCCCAGTAAGAGGCCAAAAGCTATCTCTCAAAAGGAGAATAGTTATCTGAAGAAGATGGCAGAATGTTGCTCCAAAATCCTAGATGCTGCCACTGTGACTCACTTATGAGGGCCCGTCAAAAACTTCAAACGACATCCTTATCTGCCACTGACACCTCAAGCACCATTGGATCTGCTGGGTCATATGACCCAAGTGGCAGAGAAGCTTGCACAGCAGACTGGACCTTTTGCAGAGCCTTCTCCTGTTCTTTACCCCTCTCAAAAATGGCAGCCTTTTGGGCCACTTGATAAATGGGCCAGAGTAACACACCCAGATGAGGCATGCATTGCCTCAAAAATCCAAATAGGCCCACTAGGCATTGTGCCTCTTTCTTAGTTGTAGGAGAGGCCAAATGCAGCAACTTATCTTTCACCTTAGAAGGAATATCTCAACAGGCCTCACAACACTGAACCCCTATAAATTTTACTGATGTAGCAAGTCCCTAAATTTTAGTTGGATTTATTTCCCATCCTCTGCATGCAAATGTCTCACTAATAAGTCCAATGTGCTTGCTACTTCTTGTCCACTGAATCCAATCAGAATAATGTCATCCATGTAATGGAGCAGTGTAATATCTTGCGAAGTGAAAAGCACTCAAGGTCTCTCTGAATACAATTATTACACAAAGCCGGAGAGTTGATATACCTCTGTGTTAGGACAGTAAAGGTATATTGCTGGCCTTTCCAGCTGAAGGCAAATTGCTTCTGATGGGCCTTTTGGACAGGAATGGAGAAAAAGGCATTTGTCAAGTCAATGTCTGCATACCAGGTACCAGGAGATATGTTAATTTGCCCAATCAATGAAACCACATCTGGTACAACAACTGCAATTGGAGTCACCATTTGGATAAGCTTACGATAATCCACTGTCATTCTCCAAGATTCATCTGTCTTCTGCACAGGCTACATAGAAGAGTTGAATGGGGTTATGGTGGGAATCACTACCTCTGCCATCTTTCAAGTCCTTGATGGTGGCATTAATCTCTGCAAGCCCTTCAGGTATGGAATATTGTTTTTGATTTACTATTTTTCTAGGTAGAGGCAGCTCTAATGGCTTCCACTGGGCCCTTGTCACCATAACAGCCTTCAACCTACCAGTCAGAAATCCAATATGGGGGTTCTGCCAGCTGGCTAAGTATGTCTATGCCAATTATGCATTCTGGTACTGGGATAATGATCACAGGATGAGTCCAGGAACCCACTGGACACACTGTAAGTTGGGGCTGTTCTAAAATTCCAGTAATTACCTGACCTCCATAAACCCCTACTTCAATTGGAAGACGACAATGACATTTTGGGTCCCCTGGAATCAATGTCAGCTCAGAGCCATTGTCCAGCAGTCCCCAAAATGTCTGATCATTTCCCTTTCCCCAGTGCATAGTTATCCTGGTAAAAGGCTGGAGGTCTCCTTGGGGAAGGATGGGAGGAAGATTCACTGCATAAGTTTTCAGTAATGTAGTGGGGTCCTTTCTCAAGGGGACTGGCCTCCCCTTCATTCAAGGGGTCCTGGGTTTGTAAACTGACTCAAGTCTGGAAATTGAGAGGCCATGATTCTTTGTCTTTATAATTCAAATTAGTCTCTGGTCCATTCGACCTAGAAGTTTTCTGCTTGTATAAATTGAGTAGGAATGCAGTAGGCTTCCTATCAATTTCACTTCTAGGAACACTGTGATTAATTAGCCAATGCTGGAGCTCTGCATGAGTTAGACTATTCTGATTGCTGCTTTGCCTCTGCTGTCCATTACAGTAGATACACCCACCTTGCCTTTGATGGTTGAGTGCCACCACTTGGTCTTTGCCATTTCAGGATCCAATTATTCCCTCTGTATTTAAATTTTATAGTTGAGTGACTGTGGTTTCCACTGTTAGATATGACATACAGTGAAGAGGAATTACAGGGCTCTTCAAAGATGCACGTGGTGCCCCCACAAATCTATTTTGCGAGGCATTGGTCAAGGGTCTGTCTTCTGGACCCTCCCAGCTAGGATGAGTAGGTCTAAAGTAACTAATCCACTCCACCATTTCAATCTCCCTAAGCCTTTGGATCCCTTCCTCTACATTAAACAAAGGGAGATCAGGGATGTCCAACTAGCTCACAGCTGGCCATCTTTTAATGAATATTTCAGCTAACCAAGCAAATAAACTCTTAGAACCCTTTAAAACTCCCCAAGCTGCAACATTAAATGCACAGTCCCTATTTAGTGGGCCTAAATCAATAAAGGCAGCCTGATCCAACGGTATGTTCCTTCCATCATTATCCCACACCTTTAATATCTATTCCCATGCCTGTTCTCCAGATTTCTGTTCATCTAAGTTAGAAAACTCAAGCAATTATTTTACTGTGTAGCAAATCTCTTCATGGTTCACACTCTCAACCTCACCTCTAGGGTTCTGCGAGGACATTAGTCTAGTTGTAGGTCTAGAAGCAAACATGGCTATTGGCGGTGGCTTCTGAGGAGAATCAACATTATCTTTCTTGGCAACTGCCTCAGGGGAGGCCATCACTGTTGTGTCAGTCAGCACAGGGTTTATCTCCTCAGACCAAGGTGGAAAGGCTGATGTCAGCATGGGTCAGGGAGGAGATGTTGCCACTACTGTGGATGGAAAAACTATTCCTTCTGGCAAAAGAGATTCATCAAAGTTTACAAAATCTGTGTCCCCAGCTTCATCACGGTCCTCCCACACATCCCAAGTTGCAGGTTCCCATTTTTTTTTTTCCAATCAATGCCCTCACTTTAACAGTAGACACCTGGCAGGGCTGTAGGTGCGCCTTTCATTGCAAGTCAGCCATGCACATAATAAGAGCTTGTGTCTGTCTTTCCACAATTTCAGTTTTCTCTACAGGAGATAAGAATCTCACTCAGGGCAATCTTAGCAGATTTGAGGCTCAGTATCTGCTTCTGAAGCCAGGAGATATAACCCCTGAGTTCATCACTTCCTTTCATCACTTTGTCCACTGAACTTAGGAACAATCAACCATATTTATTAGGTTCCTTGGTTCTCCATATATGGTCAAAGGTATTATATAGAGTCACTAAACTCCTTGCCTCTCATGAGCAGTGAATCAGGATTGTCAAATGCATTTATTTTGCATAATTCTCTAAACAGTTCACGCCAAGGACTATTAGTGTTGTCCATACTATTGGGAGTAGTGTCCTTAGCATTTTTGAGTGTGATCATATTCAGCAGCCAACTCCAGAAACCCCAAAACCAATGAAAGAACTCCATTCTTAATATTCTGTTTCTCTAGAACCACTCCTGGTACCAAATCTGTATTAGTCTGGGTTCTCTAGAGGAACAGAATATATATATATATACACACACACACACACACATATAAATTATTTAAAAAATTCATATATAAAGTGAGGTTATTAAGTATTAACTCACACAATCACTAGGTCCCAAAATAGGCTGTCTGCCAGTTGAGAAGTAAGGAAAGCCTGAGTCCCAAAACTGAAGAACAAGGAATCTCATGTTCAACAGCAGGAAAGCAAGGCATTGCCAGTGTTGTGCTCCCTCTGAAGCCTCCAGGGATGATCATTTCTTGCCTCTTGTAGCTGTTGGTAGTAACAGGCACCCCTTGGCTTGCAGCTGGAGCACTTCCAGCTGTCATTGCCTGTGACATCACATGGCTTTCTCCTTGTGTCTATGTCTTCATAATATGTGTGTGTGTGTGTTTTAATAAGGATGCCAGGCATGTTGGATTAGGGCCTACACTAATGACCTTGTTTTAACTTTATTACCTCTGCAAATACCTTATTTCCAAACAAAATACCAGAGGTTAGGACTTTGACAAAATGTCTGCAATATTTTTTGCTTCTAATTATTTTATAGTGATTTGTCTTTAATTCTACTTCTAAGAAGCTAGCAAGGTAAAATGCTTGTTAGGTTTATTTTTCTAGACAAGAAGAAGTCTTAATTGACTGTTGTTTCTAAACTAACTTCTTACTAATACTCTCAGAAAATCTCTGGAGAAATAAATTTTTCATCACATATTTCTCATTAGAGAAAACTAATTAGAGTTTTAATTAGTATATAAATGATTTTCAAAATAATATTCTTTATTATCCAAAATAATTTACTTTTTCAATTAGATTTTGTGTTTGGCAAGATATTGGATTGATTAGATTTCTGAAAGCCTTGGATATAATGGCTGAGTCCTCCTTTTCCTTTTCCCCATGGGGCACAAGTGGGAAAAGAACGGAGGAATGGATAATAGACTTTGCTCTACTTGTATACTGTGAATGTAGCTATTTGTCTCTCCTTTTCCTAAGCCTTTGGTCTTGTTCCCTTATTCTCTATTTGTTTGTTTATTGTTTGGTATGTTTATGCAGAAACAAATGTTTTTCTAACAGAAGGGGAGTGAATTGCCATTTAATCTTAGTAGAAAAGCCTACAAAACACGTTCAATAAAATGTTAGCTAAAATCTGATATGTTTTTTAAGATTAAGGTCAGCTTTACTCTAAAGTATTGAGTATGATGGATAATTTTAGCAAGGATATAAAGGCCAAACCACACACATCCTAGTCAATCATCTGAGGGGATATTGTCTTTAGCTTAGGGAAAATGAGGAATCATACATAATTCTAAGTGAGGGGGTAACATAACCAGAATTATAGTTAAAAAGTTCCTTGTGTCTATACTGTTGAGAATGGATTATGTATGGTCAGAATGAATGGGATTATAAATATTTATGCCTTAATTTATTTCAATGACTCTTCTGTTGTCAAAATGTTAGTACACCTATCATTTCCTAGACACTAGCTAGAAATACAAACTGAAACCACTGTCTCTTTTTTTTTCTAGTTGGGGATATAAATAAACACATGATTTTAATATTTTCAGGTCTCTAACACCAAACTCTACCTATTTATTAAGCTTACTGAGTATACTTTGCTGAAAAGACAACTATCATCTGATTTTAACTAACTCCATTTCCCTTATCTATAGTAGGTATTGGTATATGGCACCTACTAAATATCAAGCATCTTTGTAGGCCCTGAAGATATATTGGTGAATGGAAGTAGAACTTGCTCTTCTGGACCTTATATTCTAGCAAGTCCCTACTCAGTTACCACTCTCAGAACACTGATATTTCTCATCGTATTTAAAGAAATCACTCATTCTTTATTACCTGCTTTTCCTTTACATTTAACTTAGAGAGTCCTGGGTTGACTGGTAAAATCTCCACAGAATATCTTATTTATATGATCACCAAATCTTTTATCATGAAAGTAGAAAATAACCTTGTTTTCTAAAAATAACATCTTGCTTTTTTATTTTTTTTTTATTTTTTATTTTTTGAGACAGAGTCTCGTTCTGTTGCCCAGGCTGGAGTGCAGTGGCATGATCTTGGCTCACTGCGAGCTCCGCCTCCCGGGTTCATGACATTCTCCTGCCTCAGCCTCCCGAGTAGCTGGGACTACAAGCACCTGCCACCACGTACGGCTAATTTTTTGTACTTTTAGTAGAGACAGGGTTTCACGGTGCTAGCCAGTATTATCTTGATCTCCTGACCTCGTGATCCGCCCACCTTGGCCTCCCAAAGTGCTGGGATTACAGGCGTGAGCCACCACACCTGGCCCTCTTTCTTCATTAAAATAAATGTACATACATTTCACCCTTCTTACTGTACAATTTTGAGTTTTGATAAATGCATTAGGTCATGTAAACATACAACAATGAAGGCATAGAATAGTTCCATCACCCAAAAGCTCCCCCATTTCATTTTTTAGTCAAATTCTCCCCACTGTTCTCCGCCCCCATATCCAGTCCCTGGAAATCACTGATCTGTTTATCTCAAGTTTCTACCTTATCTAGAATGCTATAAAAATGAAATTACATGGGTACACAGCCTTCAGTCCAGCTTCTTTCTCTTAGCATATGGATTTACAACTCCGCTATGCTGTTGAGTGTATCAGTAGTATGATTCTTTGTATTCCTCAGTAGTATTTCATTGAATGATGTACCACTGCTGTACAGCTGTTAATCTACCACTGCTGTACAGCTGTTAATCTATCAGTTTCATAGTTGAGAGAACTTTGAGTTGTGTCACGTTTTTTGCAATTATAAATAAAGCCTCTATAAACATTTGTGTAGGATTGATGTGTGAAGATTTCATTTTACTTTGATAAATACAAATTGAGATGTCAGGCTATATTGATGAGTGTATATATAGCTTTATAAGAAACTGCTATTCTCCAAAAGTAGCTATACCAACTTGCAATCACATCAGCAATGTAGGAGAGTTGCAATTGTTCTGCAACCTTGCCAGAATTTGCTATTATTTATTTTTTATATCCATTCTAATATGTGTGTAATAGCATCTCATTAATTAATTTAATTAATTAATTAATTAAATTAGCACTTATCTAATTATTAATGAGTTTGCATATATTTTCTGATGCTTATTTGTATGTGCCTATCTATTTTGGTGAAGTTTCTGTTCAGATATTTTACCTGATTTTATAAAACTTTTCAAGAGATTATTACAATTTGAGAATTTTGTTAATAGTCCGGGCACAGGTCCACATGTGATTTGCACAAATTCCTATGATTTATTTCAGTAGCCTTTTGTAGTTTTCAGCATACAGAGTTGATACCTTTTTTGTTAGATTTGTATTAAAGTTTTACATTTTTGTGGAGTTATTGTATATATTACTATTTTGTTTAGTTTTATTTTGGTCTCTAGTTGTTCGTTGCTACACAATCAGTGATTGTGTCTTGGCCTTGTATTCTGTCACCTTGCTAACTCCTAGTTTTAGTTCTAGAATATTTTGCTTGTTTTGTTTTATATATTCCTTTGTATGTTCTATACAGAAAAATTATATAATCTACAAATAGAAACAGTTTAATTCTTTCTAATCTGTATGATTTTTATTAATGTTTATTGACAATGTACTAGAGCTAGGTGTTTTGGTACAATGCACTTAACTGTACATACATCCTTGCCTTGTTTCTTACCTTAGAGAAAGAATTCATTCTTTCCTTATTAAGTATCAGTGATGTCTGTGGGGTCTGTAGTTCTATCCCCTGTATCTCTCCTGATGCTGTTAAATGTGTGCCTTTTCTTTTTTTGCCTCTCTTTTCCTTAGTTTTAATAAACAAACAATAATAATGTAATAGGTTAACATAAAAGGAAACTGATTGAGGCATATAGGAGAAATATGTGTACTATCTTTGCAAATTTGTTGTAAATTCAAAATTATTCCAAAAAAAATTTTAAAAATATTAAAAACTCATTAGGTTTATTAGCTTATATAATTTCAATATCACCGATTAGAGAAAAGCCAAAGATTTGTCAATTATAAGTATTGGTTTGTCTGTTACTTACAGGTTAGGTAATATTAGGCAAATAGTATACCCTTCATAAGTTTCTCTATTTATACAACAAGATTGTCTTCATCATACAAGACTGAAAATTGAGATGACAGTTAATGTGTCTAGAACATTATATGGAATATACCAGGTGTTCAATAAACATTTGTTTTCTCTCTCTGGACCTCACAATTGCTTATCTTTGCTTAAATGCTAATGTTCTATTTTATTTTTTCTCAGTTTCCTTTTTTGTTTATAAAATTATTACTTATTGCTTTATTTGAACTACGTAAGTGGGAAACAAACTGGTAAAAGGTTTAATCTGTAAAACAGAATTTCATAGCTTATGCTTTTAGTGACTAAAATCTCTCAACACTCTGGAAAATCAAAGCCTTATTCTAAGGATATCACCATTATTAGAGACAGGATTAGAAACATACCTTATCATAACAATATTCATAAATTTACTGCCCAGTGTAGAACAATGAATTTTTCCTGAGCAATATAGCTCACAATCTCCAAGGGTGTTCCCTGGTTGTTGTATTTCACGACATAGTGAACCAGCTGCACTTTCTGCATTCAGGTTTCCCCTGGTCTTCTGGACTTCAGACATGCCTTCCCTGAGACCTGCTTTCCAGACTAGAGTTAAAATCTTAGGGCTTCTCCTTATCCTATCTGCCAAAAGCAGTTCTTTTCTTTTCTTATGGTGTGTTTGTGCTCTATCATCAGCCCCTAAACTCCATTGCTTATTTGCCTAGAAATTCCTAGGTGTGTCCCCAAGCTCAGCCCAGGACCAACCTGAACCCCTACACTAAGCTCTGGAACCTGTTTTTGCACTCTTGGCACTAGGTCATCACTTCATAGGCAAGACCCACTATGGCCCACCATGTCAGTTGCTAACTGGCAAATTCTCCATCACTGTATGTTGTTTTCTTTTTCTTTCCTCTATTCTTACCTTCTTCCCTCCCTTCCAATAGGGTCTAGCTCTATTGCTCAGTCTGGAGTGCCCGGCATGATCATGGCTCACTATAGGCTCGACCGTCCAGGCCGAAGTGGTATTCCCACCCTAGCCTCCCGAGTAGCTGGAACATGGGCATGCACCACCACGCTCAGATACATTTTCTAAAAACAAAACAAAACAAAAAAAAAACGGTGGGTCCCCGTGTTGCCCAGGCTGGTCTCAACTTCCTGGGCTCAAGCAATCTCCTGCTTCAGCCTCTCAAAGCGCTGAGATTACAGGTGTGAGCCACCACACCCAGCCTGCTTTTTACTCATTTTCCCCCCCAACAGATTCATTGTTTTCATTTACAATAGAAATCTAAATGTCTATTTGCTTAAAACAAAAGAGAGAAACACAACTTATATTTCTCTCTGAAAATAGCTTTTAAAGATTGAGGCACACAGAAATCTTGTTTTATTGTTTATACACATCTGCCTTAAGTGGGAAATGCTGGGGGCTCATTGACAAGTGCAAATGGATTGAAACCTAATCATTTATGTTAATATTCTTCTTGTCTGATATTTACAAACTCATAAGAGCCTTGTAGAATTTGTTGGAAATTTTCTTGTTTCCTTGGAATATTTAAGATATTTTGCATTATCCACTCCTTGAAATTTTAAGCCATCTGAATATCATCACTTTTTAAAATTTTAAGGCAGAAAGATTTTAAACCATTGATTCAATTACTTTAGTAATTGTAGAACTAGTTAGACTGCCTACTTTGTCTTAGATAATTTTTAGTGAGTTATATCTTTCTTGAAATTTATCTATTTTTTCTGTTTTCAAATGTAGTTATATAACATTTTTCAAAATTATTTTTCTAATTTCTGTGTATCTATAATTATGTCCTGTTATTTAGTCCCATTTGTTTTCTTGACTAATCATGATAGAATTTTAATCTATTTTATTAACTTCTTCAAAGCTAAATTTTCAATTAATTCATTCTCTTTATTCTGTGTTGTTTTACCTTTTGGTAATTTTTGTTCTTTTAAAAAATATTTTCTTCTTTTACAGGCAGTTTTTTTTTTCTCTTTTATTCCATGTCTTAAGTTTAATGTTTTACTTTTTAATTTTAACCTCTTATTTCTTTTATGAACTTTTAATGTGATAGATTTCCTTCAGTTACTGTGTCTGCCATATCTCATAAGTTTGAAATTTAACATTTTTATTATCACTTGGTTCTAAGTACTTTAGAATTTACATTACAATTTTTTAGTCATAAATTATATTATGTACAAATATATAAGCATTTAATAGAGTTCCATACCTGCAACATGGAAAGAAATAACTAATTGTAAGTAATTTATAATCATATGAAAAATAAAGCATTATAGTCTTATGTCTTTATTATTCTAAGCAATGCAGAATCCTAAGCACATTGTTATTTCAAAATGGTCTTATGTTCAAAGCATGAAAATGAAAAAGAAATTGACATTCTGATCACTTTTTCTTCCGTGGCTTTTTAATACAATGCAACTCCCAGATATTAGTTATAATTAGCTATCATCACTTAGCTTTCTCTGTCAAAAAAAAATCAGCTGGAATTTCTTTTCTCTAATTTTTCTTTGATATGTCTGAAAAAATGTCACTAGTTAAGACAAGAACAAGAGTCCAGTTGTTAACATACACAACCTTTAAAGTCATTATTTTTATATTCTTCTGTATAGAATTATCACTAAACATACATGTTATGAGAATTCATCATGACTTCTCTTTTGTAATCTCTTTAATAAATAAGCAAAAAACTGCAAGGGAAAGTACTTTTCAAAAAGTATGCTTTTGTTTTGTTTTCTGGACATTGTTACTGATAGCATCCAAATTGGTGTTTGTCTAATTGAACATGGTTTGGGACTGGTTAAGTCTAATTTACCAGGTCAGGGTCTTTTTGCTCAAAGAATTTATGTCCCTCAAACCATAAAAACTAAATTGTACAAAAATAATCAGATGATTAAATATTCAGTCACTCAACCAGTGTCTTTGTCTGAAAAGCTTCAGGTAATCATTTTGATGTATAAACCATAGCCTCACTGGCATTTTAAATAATTTGATTACTAAGTTAAATAGTAAGTATTTTTGTACCTACTATGCATTTCGAACTACCTCAGAGACCATGGAATATTCAAAAACATGAAAAGTAACATTTTTCCACAAGTAAGTAAAATACAAATGAAGAAATAATAGAATAAAATATCAAATATTGCATATAATTTTACAGATTAAAAGTCTTATAAAAATGAAATATTCAGTGTCATGCTAAGTGTCGGGTTCTAGCCCAAGCTGAGGTTCAACAGGAGTTGGTGGATGAATGATGGGTAGCTGAAAGAACACTCGAGTGGCCATAGGCAGGTGAATATGGTATTATTATGCTCTTTCTCTTTGTCAGCCTTTGTCTTGAGTACCTGCTCCAGCTGCGGCCCTTCTCAGCAGCCAGCTCTGTGCTCTGTAGCTCCTGCCACCCCTGTGCCTGCAGCTGCACTCCCTGGTGCACTTGCCATTTCTTGGCTCACTCTCCCTGTCCACCTGCAAGGTGGATGGCTCTATTATGTGTGCAGTAGCAGCAGCAACAGCACTATTCACAGCATCAGTGACTTTACTCTCTCTCTCCCAGCATCTGCCTGCAAGGTGGCAGGGCAGTTATACTCCCTACAGACAACAGTAGCTTAGAGCCAAGAATGAGCTTACACCAACAGGTTACATAATGAGCAGAGCTGTGCGCCTGCACTCCAAACTCGCTGAGTCATGCTGAACTGGATGCCTACCTTGTGCCGTCCCAGTCTGGGGAGTCATTACCCATGAACGCACTCATTCTGCTATTGGGTAAGTTATCCACATGATGACTGTACCCATCCTATCATGCTATCATGAGCCTAAAGGGCAGCATATGCAGCTACTAGCTGCTTCCCTATTAATGAATACTGGAGCTTAGCTCCCTTTTAAAGTTGGAACCAAAAGCCTACTGGTGTTCTCAAGTGCTCTGTGTGCTGTCACAGGCCCCAAACAAAACTATCTGTGGTTACACACACATTAAATTTAAATGGGTACCCCTGGCTAATCACTTCAGGGCCTGTGCTTGCTGAATAGCCTGCTTGGCTGCCAGGAAGTCAGTCTCAGTTGCACTATCTCGATCCCAGGCAAGAGGGGCATTGCTGCTTCTAAATTAGCAAGAGAATCAGAGGTTAACATAATATCAACAATGAGACCATGACATATGGTGGGGTTATGCATATAGTCCTATGGCAACATTGTGAAACTCCACTGTCACTCTCCCATGAAGGCGAACTCTTCCTGGCTCTCTGGAAAATAATGCATTAGCCAAGTCCACCACATAGTTGTATTGTCCCAATTCCTTTGTCAAGCGGTCTATCAAATCTGTGATAGATGGGACAGCTGCCAAGCCATGTAAAACATTCACACCCAGAATGTATTCAGGTATGAGAGAAACATACACAGTGTATAAGCAGGGAGCCAAGTGGCCAATGCCAGGTTGCAAAGATACAGGTTTCACTTTCATTGACCGGCTTTCACAGCCATTTATATATATACACAGTCTTGCCAGGAAACTTATCTGGGTTCCCATAAACAAGGCTGCAATCTGCACCAGTATCTACTAGTGCCAGCACCTGCTGTACAAATCAAACAGAAAAGGCTCTGCACCCTCGCCTAGCTGCCACCACTTAGTCTTTGAGCTGGAGCACCTGGGCAGGACTGGGTTGCAAAGCATTATCCTTCTCCTGAATGACTTGCACCAAGTCTGTATACGACTGCCTTCTACTGACAGTTTCTGGTATTTCACCGGCATCAGTCCACACTGTCCGTATGGCCACCATTAGCAATTTAATTAAAGTATGGTTGCCTCGCCCCACTGCAAAGTGCCTGCTCACATGCAACTGCTGATGGAGGGAGGGATGAGTCCTGATGGAAGTCACCTGTCTATTCCAGAGGTGAAACTGCAGATACTATCTGCTCCCTCGTCCCATAGATGAAGAATCCAGGTTGGCAGAGGTTCCTCTGGACGCTGATGGCACTGTTTATTCAATTCCCATAGCTCAAGGTGGAATCCTGTAGGGACTGAGCATGCACTTTGCACAGCACAGTCACAAATGCCCATCTAACTCTGCTGGCAAAAGCTTGCTCCTTCTTAGTGCTCTGTGCTTCCAGTTGCTTTAGTATCTTCTCCATGCTTTCAGGGGACCTATCTACCACCAACCCAGGTTTCCACCGGAGCTCATTCGAGCAGCACCACTACCACTGGGTACCACAACCCATGTTGCAGCCACATGGCTGACCCGGAATCAGCAGAGGCTGAAAACTCAGTCACCTCAGTATCCTGCCAACTACACCAAGTGTCAGGTTCTATCCCATGCTGAGGTCCAAGGGGAGTTGGTGGTCACTCTTTCTCTCTCCCTCTATCCACCTCCAAGGTGGCAGGGCAGTTATACTCCTTACAGACAATAGTAGCTCAGAGTCAAGTATGAGCTTACACAAACAGGTTACATAGTGAACAGAGTTGTGCGCCTCTGCTCCAAACTTGCTGAGTCATGCTGGATGGAATGTTTACCTTGACCTATTCTTGACTGAAGCACACCTGTTTTGTTTACATTCAGTTAGCACTTAATTTTTTAACAAGCATTCAACCAAAAATTTTTAAAACTACTGTAAAAGGAAGGCACTGGGAGTACAATTATAAATAAGAACCTCTTACGAGTAGCTCACAGTTAGATGGAAAAAAAACAGTAAGCAATTAATTAGGATATAATGAGGTAATTAGTACACCATTCAAAAGTGGGGGTCAAATGTTAGAGGCACTTAATCTGGTCTTTGCAGGTTAGGAAAAGAAATGAAACAGGTAAAAATCAGGGAGGGCAGGTAGCAATCATCAGTATTCCAGAAATCAAAAGAGTATTATGTGCAAAAGACAAAAATAGCACATTTGAAAAATTGCAATTAGGACAAATAGTTAAAGATGTCAGGAAAAATTGCCAAGAAAGTACTCTGATAAACTTGTAGATATATGCAGAGACTATAAGATGGGGAAAAATATAAGCCATATTAAGAAATTAAGCTATTAATGTATTCTAAAGGCATTGGCTTCCAAAGTTTATAAGCAGGTGTGATTGATTTTTTTTCAGCAAGCCAATCTGCCTTTATCATGGAGAACGAATCGGGTAAAATCAAGACCAGAAGTTTACTATCAGAAACTAGTTCAGAAAAGGTGGTTTGAGACCTGAACTAAGGTAGTCACAAATGGAATATACAGAAATGCCGATTCAAAAGCTTTTAAGGAAGTGAAATGCAAAGACCTGAGGATGCCTTACACATGAAGCAAGAGGGAGAATGAAAGGTCAATTGTGAAGTTTTAGTTAAGAACAACTTTACCATTTAGTGTCTGATGATGTTGTTCACAAGTTAGGAAATACTAGAGAAGGTCTGGTTGAAGGAGATAACAAGTTTTAGATATACTGATTTGAAACTGCATTTGAGATACCCAAATAGATATAGTCATGAGGGTGCAGAATAAATGGTGGCTACTGAGCTCAAGAGAGACTCTGGATGAGGAATAAAAATCTAAGAGAACATTACATACATGATTCTAAAAACCTGACAATTATCTAATGAGACAACTGTTATCCCTAATTGCCACATTCCTTTAACGTTCTACTCGGAGCCTCAGAGTTCTTATTGACAAGTTAGTGATAACAGTTCTGTTTAACGGTAGCATGAAAACAGATTCATATTCTATCCTGCTCCAAAATCAGTGTTTTCCAAAATTCATTTAGGCATTAAACCCTTTTAAAGGGAAAACAATCTGATGGATCCATAGTTAACTTACTTTTTCATCATAAAACATGATATGCAAAAAATGAGTTACAGTATCCCTTTATCTATGCTTCCTATAACAGCCAAAACCACATTTACAAATCAAATGCAAAGAAAAATTTCCAACAAAACTCAAAACATATTTAACAAAATTAATAGATGATGCTTAGTTGACCCAAAATCTCCACTTACCCTTTGCATATGGACTAAATGCTATGATGTGGGGTCTTTTAGGTTTGTCTGCATTTACTACTTGTGCTTTATGATAACTCAGTTGTCCTATTTCTCCTATTATGTTTCTCTATTCTAGGTAGAGATTCAGCTTATTACTTAACAGAAGGAGGGCAACTTGGTGTAATTCAGGGCCCGAGCTGTGGCTCTGCAAAGGCTGTAACCTGCATTTCTACAGTGATGACACCTGCTCCAGGGATCGTTATTGCTACGAGGTAGAGCCACCAGGGGACCTGCCACACTCACAAAAACCAGGAATGTAGCACCTTCCAGGTGTGTGGGCATCTAGGCAATGTGGGAAGCACAGTGGCAGGCACATAAGGGGATCCCCAAGTACAATGCCCAGTTCAATTTTCTGGCAGATATGGCCATCCTGTTTCCCTACAGACCCATAAACTCCCAGGGGGCACAAAGTCCACTGGGGTTCGGCCTTCATAAGGCCGCTTGTTACACCATAACCTTGCTTCACCCCAAAATCTGAGTAATCAGAGAAGGAGGGGCTCCGCTGGATGCTGCCAACAATGTTTGCCTGACTCCCGGAGCTCAGCGAGGGTATAGGCACCATACGAAGTGCGTTCCACCACAGTAGGGGGCCCCTAAGCCCGCCCCTGAGGGCGCATCGGCTGCTCATGAACGGGAGTTTCCAGCAGCGAGGATGGGCTCAAGGTCACACTGACGGCAGCCTCTAACTCCTGTTCCAGGATGTTTATCTGGGCCTCTAAGTGCCCTGTTTGTGTCTGGAGGTCCGTTACCTCCAAGTTTTGCTCCAACCTGTGTATTTGGGCCCACGGGCATGTGGCTTGCATGTAGAGGTCACTTACCTGTGCAGCATCCCACAGGGACTGAGCATGTACTTCCCGCAGTGCAGTCAGAAATGCCCATCCAACTCTGCCGGCGAAGGTGCATTGCATTTCTTCTCAGCACTGTGTTCTTCCAGCGCTTTAGTGCTTTCTCCACACTCACAGGAGACCCGCCCACTGCCTCCCACGTTTCCACTGGGGCCCATCCCAGCAGCACCGCTGCCACTGGGTACCACAGCCCATCATGCTGCGGCCACATAGCCTGCCCGGGAGCCTCGGGAGCTGAAGACCCACTCACTCTATCCTGCTGACAACGCTAAATGTCAGGTTTGAGCCCCAGCTGAGGTCCGATGGGGAGTGGGTGGACGGACAGGGAGCTGGTAGAACAGTCGAGAGACAGCAGGTAGATGGGATATGGCTTTATTGAGCAGCTCTCTCACAGTGTCAGTGCTACATTTATATACCTCACAGAAAATAGTGCCTCAGAGTCAGATGATAAGCCTCCCCATGTTATGGCTACATAGCTGTAATTATACGCATGGAATTGTGCACCTGTGTTCCAATTCCGCTGAGTCGTGCAGGATGTTTACCTCGGCCTATGCCTGCCTGGCTAGGCCTATGCTTGGGCAGCCATGTTCCTTACAGTAAGTCCAGACTGTTCTACGTTCAAAATATTTAGTAAATCTGAGCAATGAGAACACATGAACACAGGGAGGGGAACAACACACAATGTGGCCAGTTGGGGTTGAGGGAGGCTAGGGGTGAGCATCAGGGCAAATGGCTGATGCATGCAGGGCTTAGGTGACAGGTTGATAGGTGCAGCAAACCACCACAGCACACGTTTACCTATATAACCTGCACATTCTGCATATGTATCCCAGAACTTAAAGTAAAATTTAAAAATATGTATATACATGTATGTGTGTATATATATCTATTTAGTAAATCTTAACTATGTCTTGAATGTCCATTAGTAATTAATGCTAATCTATTCTTAACTCTCTCAGTATGCAGCAAAATATAAAAACAACATATTCTCCTTGGTTTCCCTCTTGCTTCACATCATCTTAAAGTGCCTACACACCCTACACTCTGGGCAGGAAAATTGCGACCATCTGCAAACATCATACAGTTGATATAGGATTCTCACTTAACTCTATCCCCCTAATGACCTCCATCTGGAAAGCTTTATTTTACTCAAAAGTCAAGGCCTCAATCGCCTCTACAGCCTGTATTGCATGGGACAGGCTGGGTGGGTTGGAATGGGGACTCAGCTGTTCTTTATACAAGGAAGGAATCTCCAAGTTGGCCACTCCTGGATTCTCTAGCTTGGAACAAACATTCAGGTGCACTCCAAATAGTGACCAGAGTGAAATGTTTTTTTTTTTCTTTCAATGTAAGCACAACCCTTCTCCATGTTTAAAATTTTCTACCAGCTTCTCACACCACCTAGAGTAAACGCCAAATACTTGCCCTATTTTACTGCCACACTGGCAGGGATAGACAGTTTTTCCTCTCTTGCACTTGCTGTGTCTTCTATTTGTCATCCTTTGCTTCAATTCTCATGTGGCTCCCTACTTCTCACTACCTAGACCTCAGCTCAGATGACTCCATCTTCTCATCATTAAGTCAGCTCAGCTGTCCTTTTGATTTTTATCAAGTAGCTTTACCATTCTGAGTCCCATCGCCCTATTTTATTTTCTTCCTAATATTTATCATATCTAAATTAGATATTTTTAAAAAGAAGTGTTTAATTGTCTATTTATTAATTCCTTCTTTAAAAAAATGTTTTTTTTGAAGTGTTTATTGCTTTTTTCCTCATTCAAAACATTGTTTGCTGGAAGTCAGGTAGTTTTTCTGTCTTGTTAACTGTAATATTACCAATCCCTGGAACAAGCTTGGTCCATAAAGGATATGTAGTATAAATTTGTTTGCTAACTATTATGAATTTTAATATAAATAAATAGAAGTCAACTGAAATATCTTGGTTACAGAATGATACATTATAATATAGAATTTAAAAACAGGTAAACTAAGGCAAAACATCATTTACAGGTGAATTAGCTGAGGTCCTGAGAGATAAACTAGTAAGTGAGACAGCTGGGTCTCAAATTCAGGCTAACTGAATATAACTCTCGAATTGTCAAACTTTTACTTGGGATTTATTTTCATTACTGATCAATATGAATGTGGGCAGAAAAGATAACTTTTAATTAGCCATAAACCACTTATATAACCCTGTATTTGTTGGAGACCAGAATATGTGTGGGAAATACAAGAACTCTCACCTGTAAACACTGCCCTCAAGGAGGCTAGTGTCTAGATGAAATAATGTACTTTTTTCTTTTATTTGAGAAAAAATGTTTAAGTCTTAGGTCCCTAGGCAGAATCATAAAAGATAAATACAGACTCTGCAAAGAAGGAGAACTGAAATTAGTAGATATATGACTTCAAGCTGGAAGGGAGCAGGTTGGATGAGGGATCATTCTTGAGCTCTCACTTGAAGAAGAGAAAAATTTCTACCTAGAGATGGAAATGGCAAAAAGATAAAAGTAGCCAGGGACAGAACACAACATAGGATTCTGCAGCATTAATATAGTGAATTCAGTTTGTTTTTAAGTGAAATTGGGAAAGAAAATTAAAAATAATTCTGGCCCATCCATTTGTTTTTACTGGAAAACTCCAACATGAAACACAAAAGTTCAGAATAAGATGAATGATATAAACTTAAAATCCTGAGGACCCTTTACCCCAACTGAATAGACCCTCTTGTGGCCAAGGCGATCCTAGAAAAATCTTAAAACTGAGTTCCTGGCCGTGACACTAGAGGAAGTCAGACTTTGTTATACCCCCTCCCCTTTATGGTTTACAGACAACCACCAGCATTAATCTTAAAATAGAGACTGACAGAACCCTCTTTGTGGCAATAAGATACCAAATTACAAACAGGAGCTAAATGCCAGGGAAAGGTTAAGTAATGCACTGCACCCGTCCCCCCGACTTTGGCCCCCAACACTTAAAGAATCAACTCTGTTCTATCTGCCACAAGGTTTTTCGTTCACTCTAGCAGCTAAACAAGCACTGGTCTTGAGATAAGCAATGTTAAGATAATTACAGTTCATCCAGCTCACAGACATTGACTGAGCCCCTGTTTTACCAGCCACAACTAGAGCTTTGATTGGCCAAGACTGATTTTGGTAACTTTCTTTTTATAAGACCAGTGACCATGGACTGCTCCTGGCCAGTATACAGAGATTGTGCACTTGCAGGCCTTTGGGTTCTGAAAAGACCTTTTGACATATAGAGCCTAACTGTAATACATTTACATGTTAAGTCTCCATCCTATTGTGTCAAACTCCTATTAACCTCAGTATGGAAGGCACCACATTCAAGAGGCCAAAGAAGAGACCCAGAGCCAGCAAATGAGACATGGGGCTTTATTAGGGGCTTACATACAGGGAAGAAAGTCCAATGCCTGTGAGCTGGACAACATAATCGCAGAGCCCGGTACTGGTGGCCTAGGCAAGAAAACTGCAACTCCCTGCAGCTTCCTGCAAACATCATATAGCATTTTCATTTAACACCCTCCTTCTAATGACCTCCATCTGGCAACCTTCATTAAACCTAAAACTCAGGACCTTAATCCCCTATACAGCATCTGTTCCATGGGATAGGCTGAGTGGTTTGAGGTGGGGGGTCAAATTTTCCTCTTTGATAAGGAAGGAATCTTCAGATTGGCTACTCCTGGATTCTTTAGCGTGGACCACATTCAGGTGCATCTACTATAGAGGGTCATTTAAGGGTATACTTAAATTATTTCTATCAGGTGTGTTTACCCTACATGTCCCAAAGTGAACATGGGTCATATGTTACAGGCATGTTTGTTCAATATGCATGTGTCAGGAGTGCCTTCAGGAATATTCATAGCTCCTCCTGTAGGCTGGTGAATATCTGTGTTTAGCCAACCTGTTTAGCATAAAGCTCCTACCCCAACCCCTCCTCTTCCAAAGTGCCTGTCCCTGGTCTTTTCTGGAGGCATAGTTCCCAGCCTGCAGAATGGCCACCTTGCAGGCTATAACCTTTTATAAGAAATAAACTCTCCTCTCATTTTACAGATTTATAAATTGTGTGTGTGTGTGTGTGTGTGTGTTTGACAATGGATAAGGAGGAAGGTTAAGTAGAAGCAAACAGAGTATCTCACATTAGGGATTTATGAGGAAGGTTCCAAATGAATTGGAGTTTGGAAAACATGAGTAAGGTAGAAGAAGGGAATAAAATAAAAATAGGAGAAAAATTAGAAAGAAGCAAAGGGTTAAAGACTGTCATGCTTACACTTTAGGCATTAAGATTAATGATGAAACATGAGAAAGATACCAGTTAAGGAAAGCCACATTTAATCACTGAAACACATATGAACAGTTGATGAGGTCAGATACTTTAAGACAACACCAATTGATGAATATGGTGATATTGATGAATATGATGAAATCAATTGATGAATATGGAGATATTCATCATTTAGTAAATGGGATGTACCTGTAACTACAGAAAGAAAAAGGCAGCAAAAACAGCAGAGAGGCACAGAAAATCACAGAAATAAAAAAAGAGACAGAGAGAATAAACAAGAGAAGAAAGGAAAGGTGAGAAAAGAAAAGAAAAAAAAACAAGAAAAATGAAACCAAAATAAGTTGACATTATTAAACAATACAGGAACTGTGAGTTTAATTTCCATTGTCCGGTATAAAAATTTAGCCCATGTGTGCTTAATTTTTTGGAGGAGTCTGGCATCATCAGTTACCATATATATAATTCTGTAGATGGCTGCTCTGTTTTCAAAATCTAATTAAAAAGTACAAAACCCTTCAAAGCTTGGAAATAAATGTCTCTGTGCTTCTTCAGGAATCACTTCAATTGGCAAATAACTGTAACCACATCATTACCATTTAATGTCTCGGGCAGTTCCAATGGTACCTGGAAGATAATAAAGAGGTGTCAGTATTATTCATATCTTTTAATTGCTCCTATTAGCATTTTTTTTGTTATCCTGTGGGCAAAATTGTAATGCTTGACTAGGCATATAGTGGATAAAGGAGACATAACAGTTCAGACTAAAATACTCTCCTAAGTACCTATTACTTTGGATAGCTATGAGCAACAATATAACTTTGTAATAAAACCTATTTACTGATAAAAATTAAAATTGCTTTTAACAGCTTTATAGCATGCAAACCATTAAAATAATTATATCATGCTGCAGCTGCTGTTCTGGTAAGTCTGGCTAAGAAATAAAGTAAAAGAGAAAGAAAAACAAAAGAAAGTGTAACTCCCAAGAGCAAATGAAAGAACGTTGTGAAAGCAGAGAATTGAGGGTCTAGCATTACCATCTTTCTGCCAAAATCATTCACTATTCAAATAGCTGAAGGAATGTTCTTTTATACTCTTTCATGTTTATAAAGATTAAATAAAATAATGCATGCTGCACTATTTCTGAGGCTTCAGGTAACACTTTTTTGAGGTATAAGAAATACCTCTTTATAGAATCCGTAAGCAGTCTCTTTACGTTGACTTAGCACATTTTGTCAATAAGCTAGACATTCCCTTGAAGAGAAGCAATGGAATTCAAGCAATTCCCTTGAATTAAGCAATGGAAGATCATTGCTTAATTCCAAAATTTGTGGCATTTAGATGATTAGCTCCCTGTTATTTACATCTAACTTAATTCCATATTGATGAAACTACATAATGTGTATATGCTATGAATCCATTGAGATTTCTTGGTACTTACCTGAATATATTACCGACTTTTATAATTTTCTCTTTATTTTTTTTCCTGCTTAAAATTATTCGGACTTTGTAAATCTATTAATTGTTTTTATTAAAGCTTCACAGTTATTAGATATTTTACTGTTCCTTTTATACCATTCTCTTCCTTCTGGGCATATATTATATATTCTTCTTATATCTTCCATGCCTCTTATTCATATTTTTCATTTAATTTATCTCATACTCTGTGTTACACTTGAGATGATTTCTTTAATTTTATATTCCAACTAATGAATTCCCTTATTAAATAGGCCTAATACATTATTAAGCCATTCAACTATGTTTTAAATTTCTATCATTATATGTTTTGTATTATTTTTCTAAGTTCTTATTAATTACAAAAATATTTCTTGGTCATTTTGTATAGTCTCTTAATTATATTTCCAATCCCTTTTCTTTTAAAAAAATTTGAAGTTCTGGGGTACTTGTGCAGACGTGCAGTTTTGTTACATAGGTAAATGTGTGCCATGGTGGTTTGCTGCACCTAACAACCTATCGCCTAGGTATTAAGGCTAGCATGCATTAGCTTTTTTCCCTAATCCTCTCCCCACTCCATGCCCTCCCCTGACAGGCCCCAGTAAGTGTTGTTCCCCTACCTGTGTCCATGTGTTTTGTTCAGCTCCCACTTATAAGTGAGAACATGTGATGTTTGGTTTTCTGTTCCTGCATTAATTTGCTGAGGATAATGGCTTCCAGCTTTATCCACGTTCCTGCAAAGGACATGATCTCATTCCGTTTAATGGCTACATAGTATTCCATGGTGTATATGTACCACATTGTCTTTATCCAGTCTATCATTGATTGGCATTTGGGTTGATTCCATGTCTTTGCTATTTTGAATAGTGCTACAATGAACATATGAATGCATGTATCTTTATAATAGAATTACTTATATTCCTTTGGGTGTATAACCAGTAATGGGATTGCTGGGTCAAATGGTATTTCCACTTCTAAATATTTGAGGAATCACCACACTGTCTTCCACAATGGTTGAACTAATTCACGTTCCCACCAACAGTGTAAAAGTGTTCCTATTTCTCCACAACCTCTCCAGCATCTGTTGTTTCTTCACCTTTAAATAATCACCATTCTGACTGGTGTGAGATGGTATCTCATTGTGTTTTTTATTTGCATTTCTCTAATGTTTGGTGATGTTGAGGTTTTTTTCATGTTTGTTGACTGCATGTATGTCTGTTTTTGAGAGGAATCTGTTCATATCCTTTGCCCACTTTTTAATGGGTTTGTTTTCTTGTAAATTTGCTTACGTTGCTTGTAGATTCTTGATAATAGACCTTTGTCAGATGGATAGATTGCAAAACTTTTCTCCCATTCTGTAGGTTGTCTCTTTTCACTGATGATAGTTTCATTTGCTGTGCAGAAACTCTTTATTTAGATACTTCTTTTTAAAAGTATATTAAAAATAATGATTTTTTTCTGAATCTGTAATGTTGATATCTGAGGTATTTGCAGATCTGATTCTCTGTGCACGTGTGTGTGTGTGTGTGTGTGTGTGTGTGTGTGTGGTTTCTTTAGCTGGTGTTAGTAGCTCATAAGCATCATTTTCTTGGGTATTTTGTGAGTCTCTGCAGCCGTAAATCTTAGAATTGGAAGTATAAAAAGTCCTTAAGACTAAACTCAAGGTGAGTTCTTTATGAGAGGGTTTACATTTGCTTCTGCCAATTTTGGGGGATCTACGTCTCAGGGACTGGTTTAAGACAAGTTATTGGTTTAGTTTCTTATTTCCCCCCCAAGACCATTCAGGTAACACAGTTTTAGCAACAATCACAGAAGAGCCTGATTGTGGTGAAAGCTTCTCAAGTTATAAATAGGAATTTGTCCCCTCTCTATGCAGCAACAAGTTCACCACGGAAAATTCCCTGCACTCTCCTAAAGAATGGCAGGATTATTTCTGTTGCACTTACTAAGAGTATAGGCTTTCAGGGCCTTAGCTTTATATGCAGAAACCTCTTAGCCTCTCCATCTTGGGCAAACCTGACTTTTCTCCTCTCCCATGTGTCCTGTGAGGCAATGAAAAACCAAAAGTCATGTTCACTGGGTTCAACAAATATCCTCAAGACAGAAGACAGACCTGTGTTTTTCCTGCCTTTCTGAATCTCTCCTGCCCTTAATTTTGGCTTGTGAAGTTCCCTTCTTTTTTATATAATACGTTGAAACATTTTAAAATTTCCTTTAAAATATTTTTATGTTTTTTCCAACACAACTGAGACATTGGTTGGCACACCAAATCTGCCCTTTAGTCAGAAATGGAAGCTTTCACCCAGTTCTCTTTCACTGTAACATACTTATTTGTGCTTTATTGCTGTTTCCATTGCCCAGAATTATCTCTGCAGCTTTTTCTATATCTATAAACTAACATATGAACTTCATATGTTGCTAACTTAGTTTTTCACTGCTATAATCATAGTGCCCACAAAAGTACTTGGCATATAGGAGATGATAAATATTATTTTCTAATGGAGTAATGATGAATTTCATGTAGTTAGAGTGATTACTGCATGGAGTAGTTCTGTCTCCATTCTTTTTCTCTCTCTTTAAATCTCTCACATAAGAACTGGTTCCAGGGTAATTACATTGACTTAATAAAGTATTAGTTTTGCATCTCATTGAAGCTACGGATTCCAAAATTCATATTTACAATTGAGAAGACCAAAACCACCTGGGTATGCAGTCTTGTGAAAAGCACTGCTCCATTGGTCCAACACAAATTACTAGCTGCCTGAATTGCAAAAATCCAATTAATAATAGAGCAGTCTTATATGTAAATAAGCCAATATTTGGGTTTTAATAATAGAGCCATTTTATATGTAAATTAGCCAATATTTGGGTTTTTATTGTCCCCTTGCCTAAATCCATTTTAATAGCACCCTAGATTCACTCCATTTATATTATTTCCCATTTGGAATTTTATTATCTGTCCCATGATGATATAATTTCTTCTCAAATTATTCTCTTGGCCTTAAGTTTGTTTTTGTTGTTATTATTGTTTGCTTGCTTTCTGACTACCAAATGCATACTTCCAAATACTCTGACTATAAACTTACATTTAGAACTTTGCCTACCTAGGTTTGTCCCATATTAGTGAGAATACAAGTTCCTGTTATGAAACTAAGTTACTTAACATTTCTCATAAGAAGGAAGAGAGTGTTAATCACTTTCTCTGTAACAGGAGTTCTAAGTGTGTGTGTGTGTGTGTGTACACATAGATGTGTGAATTTATTCACTGAAAGCCTCAACATTTTAGAATAATACATATTATTCTATATGTATAATACATATATGTATTATACATATGGATACATAACTCACTCTCAACCCTAATCTAGTCATTTATTTATTCAATAAATTGATATTTATATTTTTTTCTGAATCCATCTAGATTCAATTAACATCTACTTTGTGATCTATAGTTTTAAGTGGTAGGGTCTATTTGCTTTAAAGGAAGCCATTTGCTTCAAAAGTTTGACTTTAAAAAATGTGTTCTTATCTGAATATTTTAATACTTCTTTTAAAAAAATGCAACACCCATATTGAAAATATAACTTCCTATATTTATCAAATGTAACCTTCTTTTTCTGTGTCATTCATTTTTCCTTGCAAAATGTAGTTCTGCTGGTTTTCGTATTATAATATTTGCTCTATACTAAACGTACCTCCTTTAAAAGATTGTTCTAAGATGAGCTGAATCCAATGTTTTATTGATGAGTCCTAAGAGAAAGATTCATTTGAAATGCTCCCAGATTGGAGGAAGCTATTGGCTATGTACCTGTGGCATTATCTTAAATAGCATCTCTAATCTTTATAGAGCTAAGGAAGCCACTTCTTAGGCTGGCTTTCAGAACCATGAAAACCTGAAGGCAATGCCTCAGGCATTTACACAGATGGTCATTAATATAAACGTGAGAAGAGCATGACTAGCTGTCATTATCACACACTGAATTTGTATTTCTGAAGAGAATTAAAAAAATTAATGTTCTTGCTTCTCTTAGCTTTTTTTCCCTTGCCGATAATTAGAATGCTTAGAAACTAACATAGCCATAGAGTCTTATCAGGCACGTGGAATGTATTAAAATGATTGCATATATTTTTCTTCCATTTACAAGAAGCAGGTAAGTTATTATTCAATTATTATGCTTTTACCTGAGGCAATCTCAAAAAGATTACTACCAAGTTCCTTATCATGAATTTTCAAAATCTCATATATTAAGGAGAATATTTGTAGAATAAACCTTTTGGAATTACAAAACATTATTTTTACCAGGAAACTTTTATAAACTAAGGGCTAGAAACAATGGATAATTTATGAATTAAGAAGCTAATACAGAGAATATGTATACAAATATCTGTATTTTTTTATATTTGAGGGAACATTGGGAGAATTGCCCAAGGAAAAACCTCAGTTTTCACTTCATTTGGTGTAGTAAAACATAGAGACAATCTAAAAGAACTAATGTTTCTGATTTCAGTCGAAGAGATCATGGAAATATGAATGGCAACTGTTTATTTTTTAAATTAAACTTTTGAAAAGTGAGAGCATGGCTTGTTGAAGTAATAACGTTTATTTAATAAAATGCTTTACATGACATGCCAGCAACCTCCACTCAAGGAATACCGGAAGCCTTCCCATTCAAGGAATACCTAGAAAGCTTTCCCACTCCCCTGCGTGCCTGAGTCTCTGTCAAGCGCAGATGATGATGCTTGATTCCCTTGCCACAGCAAGCTCTGATTAAATAGCCTCTTATTGTTCTCATTTGTGTGGTCTTGGTTTGTTTCCACAGGGCTTTCTCTGGCCCTGGCTCCATCAGTGACAATTGGAAGAAACATCAATCTCACAGAAAAATAAAAATAATATCAATTTCATTTTTTTGACCCAGACTTTGAAACACAAAATTGGGAAGTATAAACATCTTTGAATCCTCACTGTTCATTACAATTATTCTCACTGTTCTTCACAAGATGGCACATACAGTCCTAAAATTCTCCCTCATTTTCTATCTCCATGTAAAAGGTTACTTCAAACTAAGAGGGTCTTTCCTTATAACTCCATCCATGGACATCTACTCTTCCACTTGCTTTTCCCTTAATTTTTCTCACTCATGTGAAATCTCAAATTAATCCCTTTCTGATGCAAATCCTCAATGACAGGCCCTCCCCTTGTTTCCTTTTTTATCTTTTGCTCAGATTCTGCATCAAAAGACTGGCAAGTAAAACCAGAGAAATCTGTGTAAGATTTGTATATTGTATCAATGTAGATATTCTAGTTTTAATATTATATTATAGTTTTGCAAAATGTTATCGAGAAAAACTGGGCAAATTGTACAAGTGTTCTCTCTATATTACTTCTTACAACTGTATGTGAATCCACAATTGTCACAATAAAAATTTTAATTAAAAAGAAGACACCTTCCACTGGAATAGGCAACAATAGTTTTCTTCGCAGTTGAGTTAGAGGCTAAAGTGAAAGGCAAATGGAATTCTGTTTTACACTCAGAAAAATGTAGAAGGCTATGAATACTCATATAATATTATTTTTTAGTTATATGTATATTAACCAAATTAAAAATTAACAATGATACACTATAAATATGGGTAAATTTGTTAGAAAGGAAGTGACAGTATTTAATCTTTGAAAGAATTTAGTGAAAATAGGACCTCAGACTTGAAAACTTGAACACATGGGGTAATTTAGCCACTATATCATACTAAAATTTCTTTTATAATATTTCTACCAGGTGGATATCTAGCCAAGGACTAAACACATACTGGGTGAAGAAATGCTATTATTCACAGAAATGATTCATGCTTTCAAAACAATTAGATGATTAACTTTCTTCCAGTGAACAAGGAACATTTATGTTTGTTGTAAAATATATGTTTAGTTGGCATCTGCTAAGTGCCAGTGTCTGGATACTAAGGATATTGTTAAAATAGGTTTATTGTAAAATTGTTCAGAGTCTAGTTGGAAAGATAAAATGAAAAATAAACCAAAAAAGTCATCGCTTCTTAATAGATGCATTTATACAATTTGAGTGAAAGAACAGATGTTGGTATAATTTATTCATAGACTTGAGATGGTTATGACAACCAGAAAAATAAAGCTTTAAGAAATCATAACATTTGTACTAGACCCTTAAAGCATGACTAGGTTGTTATCAGAAGGAAAAATGAGCAAAGTCATAGAATCAATAAGTTTCAGGGCTCATTTAGTAAAATAAATAACTAAAATAAAAATATAAGGAAATATTGATGAAAAGAAATAAAATAAGAATAAAATCAGGTTACAAAGGACTCGGGTGAACAATTCCATAGATTAGGATATTGCCTTGACAGCAATATGGCAAATGAATTGGCAGGTAGATACTAAAATCTGGGAGACAGGGAAGGCTAAAAAATTGTGTAAGGAATGGGAGATAGGGTCAGCAAAAACTGGTGCAGACAAGTGGATGTATGGAAAACAGTGATGTGTTAAGCAGTTGTCTGGTTAAAATGATTCAACTAGTTGTTAATATCTGACTAAGAACTGCAGTGTTATAGGGGGACATTAAAGCTTCTCAAGCCTAAATATATTTTGAAGATTCTTTCTGCATACCAATTGAAAAAATAATCCTAGTATAGAATGAATGGCCTTTATTGACTTCATCGTGAGTAATAATGATTACATTTGGCTCTAGGTCTTAATAGCAATCCTTTAATCATTGTTTCTCTAATATCCCCAGAGGTTGATAGAAAGTTAAAGAGTATATACATAATTTGTGGATCTCTTCCTTTTTAAAAGTTGTCATGATGTACACAACTTTCTTCTTCCAGCTGAACTCTAACTGCTCATTATTTTTTAACTTGACCAACATAGATTAGTAATTTTACCAACCAGAAGTTACATTAAATATTTAGTTGAATTCACCTGTGTGAGGAGACGTGAAAAAGCTGATTTTTCTCCTTCAAACCCTTCATCTATCCTAGGCCTCAATGTCCTCTGTCTATTTTTTTTCTCCCACTTTCAGTTCAAAGATTCTTTTCCCTGACAGAAAATCCAAAGGTTAAATCAGATTCAAGGTTTTAAGTAATCTATTAACAAGTCTTCATTTTCTTCCAAAATTCTTACCCTTTTTATTCTGCTAATGGCTCCAAGGTCTTCTGTGTTTTTCTTGGCATTATTTGCTTGACGTGATCTTAGATTACCTGTGATATACTGTTCGTTTTGTTTATTATTCATATTTTAAGTAGTATTTTAATATTTCTGCTCACTAAAGTATTCTGAAAAGTACAGTTTTGATTTTCTTCATAGAATAGATATGCCAGTATAATCACAATTGAAATTTGCAATCTGGGTCATGTAGAATGATAAAGTATTTGGTCTCAGACAGACCAAAGTTTAAATTCCCCCTGGGAAATTCCAACGTGTTCTTGAGAAGACATTTACCTTCTATGGTTACGTTTTTCTCACTGGTAAAAATAGAGATTGCAAGAGATTGAATAATGACCCTCAAAAATCTTATGTATATGTCCTAAATTCTAAAATCTAAAATTATAATCTTGTTTGAAAAAAGAGGACTTTGCAGAAGGAATTAATTAAAGCATTTCTAGATAAGATCACCTTGGAATAGGATGGGCCCTAAATTTGATGACAAGTTCTTACAAGAGAAGAGAAAAAGAAAAAGGAAGAGAGATGCAGAGGATAAAACCATGTGAAGACAGAGTAGATTAAAGTCATGAAGCCCTCACCCAAAGTACACCTGGAGCCATCAGAAGCTGAAAGACATGAGGAAGAATTCTTTCTTAGAGACTTTGGAGAGAGCACGGTCCTGCTTATACCTTGATTTCAGGACTCTGGCCTCCAGAACTATAAGACAAGAAATTTCTATTGTTTTAAGCCATCAAGTTAGCAGTAATTTATTCCAGCAGCCCTAGGAAACTTGTGGTAATTCATCATATCAGGCCCAAGAAACCAATACAGAGATAATGTCACATTTTTAGGAGTAAAAGAAAAATCAGATAACCCATGTAACAACTTTAATAGAGAATGTACTGGTAACACAGCATGTTTTTTTGTTTAACATTAATTTGCTTCTTCCCTCTTGGATTTTCTTTTGCAATATACTGGGATTGAATTAAAGCTAAATACTTTCTATTTTTGCAATTTTATCCATTATTTTGGTTCTACCCTTCTGAAAAGTTGACTACCATGTTAAAATGTTATAGATAACCTTTCTTCATCTTTCTTATTATGGTCACATTACCAAACCATCCATGTTGCTTAGAATATGATGTAGTAATAGTAAAACTTTCCCTAATAATCACTTCTAGCCACAACTATAGTTGACTGCCATTAAAATGACTCCTGATTTATCCAGGCCTCCATTCTCTCTCTTGTTCCCTACTGGCTTCTTTATTCTGTCACTGGCCTGGGAAATTGTTGTGTGTAAAAGATATTTGGACTCAGTTCATTATTCATGCAAAAGGTCCATCGGATACTTAGAGCCTGGTGTAGGCAAGAATAAAGGAAAATATAGAAGAATAGAATAGGGTTTTACCTTTCTGCAATAAAATAGGGTTTGTTTTGCTTGTAGGTGAGAGGCTGATCTAAAAATCCCCTTATATTCTATTTCTAGTTCCTAGTATAGAAAAGATGCCTCAAAATTATTTTTTATTTTAGAGAAACTAATGATACTCTTACAACTTTTAGAACTTAGTCTCATTTAAATTTGAGATTTTTCTACTTTAAAATTTGCATTTAACTGTCATAGTTTTAAGATCACTTTACCTTAACAAAATGACAACCTGATACTACAGTAATTGTTTCTTAAATGCAATAATGTGAAAGCCTCTGAATCAAGTGAAATAAATGTTGGGCTATAAAAGCAATAACCCATTCTAATTCCTTGCTTTATTGCAATGTAAAAATTATTATCATTATACTTACTAACCTGAAATAATAAATATTCATTGAATGATCACATTTCCTTTTTATTAGGATTTTCACAATAATAAAGACATCTAAATTTCCCTTTTACACTATGTTCATATTAAACATTCCAGATGAAAATGAGATGAAAAACGTGATCAGAGTAGTGAGGATGAAACTATTTAAGAGAAAATAACTTATGTTACTGGAAAAGGGCCTGCCTCTTTTCTGAGATATACTAAGAATTCTTTTCTCTTTTCATTTCCCTTTCTATTCCCACATCTACCTCTCTCTTTCTCTCTTTGTCTCTCTCTCTCTCTCTCTTTATTTCTTCTCTCCATATCCAGTCCTATCTCCCTTTCCTTCCTGCCTTCTTTTAAAAATACATTTGTCTTTCTTTCATTCCTCAAATTCTTATTGAGAACTGTTATATGCCAAGCACTGAAAACTGGGGGTATCATGGTGAACAAGACAAACTCACTAATCTCATAGAATTTACATGTTAAGTGACCACTTTATATAGTCAGACTTGTGTTCACAACCCCTAATTGGAAATTATCATCTGGATGACATTCTACAGCTGAATCAAACACATTTTTTAATCTACCAAGTTTAACTCACCCCCAAATTTCTGAGCCCTTATGAATTCCTTTGACTATTTCATTCTTCATAGCTAGTCACACAAAAAAAGTTTATTTTACCTCTGAATTTTTTGAACTTATATATTTGCTTTTGGTTGCTTTTCTTTCTATCTCAATTTGGTCATTCTCTGACATGGTTTGAATTTGTTTCCCTGCCCAAATCCCATGTTGAATTGTAATTCCCAGTGTTGGAGGAGGGGCCTGGTGGGAGGTCATTGGATCATGAGGTTGTATTTCCCCCTTGCTCTCCTCATGATAGTGAGTGAGTTCTCATGAAACCTGTTTGTTTAAGTGTGTGGCACCTTCCCCTTCACTGTCTTCCTCCTCCTCCAGCATGTAAGACATGCTGACTTCCCCTGTCTTCTGCCATGATTATAAGCATGGCCTCCTCAGCCATGCTTCCTATAAAGCCTGCAGAACCATGACCCAATTAAACCTCTTTTTTAAATAAATTACCCACTATCAGGTAGTTATTTATAGCAATTCAAAAACTGAATAATAGAGAAAATTGGTACCAGAAAGTGAGGCATTGCTATAAAGACACCTGTAAATGGTGAAGTGACTTTGTAACTGGGTAACAGGCAGAGGTTGGAACACTTTGGAAGGCTCAGAAGAAGACAGGAAGATGAGGGAAAGTTTGGAACTTACTAGAGACTTGTTAAATTGTTATCAACAAAATGCTGATAGTGATGTGGACAATCCAGTGTGATGTGATCTCAAAAGAGATAAAAAACTTACTGAGAACTGGAGCAAAACTCACCTATGTTATGCATTAGCAAAGAGGTTAGAGGCATTGTGCCCCTTTCCTAGAGATCTGTGGAACTTTGAACTTGAAAGAGATGATTTAAGGTGTCATGTGGAAGATATTTCTAAGAAGCAAAGTGTCCAAGCTGTGACCTGGCTGCTTCTAACTGTGTAATGTCATATGCATGAGCAAAGAGATGATCTGAAGTTCCAACTTTTATTTAAAAGGGAAGCACAGCATAAAAATTTAGGAAATTTGCATCCTGATCATGTGATATAAAAGAAAAACTCATTTTCTGGAAAGGAATTCAAGCCAGCTGCAGAAATGTGCTTAAGTAAAGAGGAGCTGAATGTTAATAGCCAAAACAATAGGGAAAATGCCTCAAAGGCATTTCAGAGAACTTTGTAGCCTCCCCTCCCATCACAGGCCCAGAGGCCTAGTAGGGAAAAGTGGTTTCCTGGGCAGGCCCAGGGCCCTGCTGCACTGAGCAACCTCAGGACACTGCTCCCCACATCATAGCTGCTCCAACTCCAGGTGTAACTAAAAGGGCCCCTGATACATTTCAGGCCACTGCCCCAGAGGGTGCAAGCCATAAGCCTTGGCAGCTCCCACATGGTGTTAAGCATGTGGGTGCACAGAGGGCAAAAGTTGAGGCTTGGAAACCTGTGCCTGTATTTCACAGGATGTATGAAAATACCTGGATGTCCAGGCAGAAGTCTGCTGCAAGGGTGGAGCCCTCATGGAGAATCTCTGTTAGGGCAGTGAAGAGAGGAAATATGGGGTTGAAGTCCCCACACAGGGTCCCCACTGGGGCACTGCCTAGTGGAGCTGTGAGAAGGCCATCAATCTTCAGACCCCAGAATGTTAGAGCCACTTACAGCTTTCACTGTATACATGGAAAAGCCACAGGCACTCAATGCCAGCTGATGAAAGCAGCTTAGGGGGCTGTACCATGCAGAGCCATAGGGGCAGAGATGCCCAAGGCATTGAGAGCCCACTCATTGCATCAGTGTGGCCTGGATATGAGACATGGAGTCAAAAGAGATTATTTTGAAACTTTAAGATTTAATTACTGCCCTGCTGGTTTCAGACTTGCATGGGGCCTGTAGCCCTTTAGTTTTGGCTGATTTCTTCATGTTGGAATAGGTGTATTTACACAATGCCTGTACCCCCATTGTGTCTTGGAAGTAGCTAACTTGTTTTTGATTTTACAGGCTCATAAGCAGAAGGGACTTGCCTTGTCTCAGATGAGACTTTGGACTGTGGAGTTCTGAGTTAATGAGAAAATGTGTTAAGACTTGAGACACTGTTGACAAGGGATGGTTGCATTTTGTAATATGAAAAGGACATAAGATTTGAGAGGGGACAGGAGCAGAATGATACAGTTTTTATTTGTGTTTCTGCCCAAATTACATGTCAAATTGTAATTTCCAATGTTGGAGGAGAGGCCTGGTGGAAGGTAATTGTATCATGGGGGCAGATTTCTTCCTTGCTGTTCTCATGATAATGAGTTCTCCTAAGATCTGATTCTTTAAAAGTCTGTGACATCTTCTTCACTCTCTTCCTCCTGCTTCAGCACATGAGATGTGTTTTCCCTTCACCTTCCACCATAATTGTGAGTTTCCCAAGGCATCCTCAGCTATGCTTCCTGCACAGTCTGTGGAACCATGAAGCCAATCAAACTTCTTTTCTTTGTAAATTACCAAATCTCAGGTACTTCTTTATAGCAATGCACAAATGGACTAATACCTTCCCCAAATTTTTCTTTATTTTGTCACAGTATAAACTCTCTTTTATCAAAAATTTTTTATGTCTAAATACCTAATGAAGGTAAAAAGACCTCTACAGTGATTTCTTTGTAATATTTTGGGGGTAAAATTTAAAACTAGGGATGTATTATAATTAATATTGAAATACTTAATATTAAAATATCAGTTTTCCCCAAATTAATCTATATACCCAATTAAAATCTAAGTTTTTTCCCCAAAATATAACTAGTGAGTTCTAAAATTATTTTGGAATTGTGAATTCTTGGCAACTTTGAAGAGAAAATCTGGAGGACACACAACACTAGATATAAGACCCATTGTAAAGATATATTAAAATAAGATCATGTTGCAAAGATGGACCAACTGACAGATAAAATTGGATAGCTCAAATGCAGTCCAGTGTATGTATGGACTACCTTATTTTTGACAATGTAGGCACCTCAGAGCAATTCTGAAAAAACAGATAATATCTTAGTAAACAATACTGGACCAATTGGCTACATTTTCTTAACACATCAGATTATCAGTGTGAGTAAATTTTGAATCCTATTATAGTTATTCAGAAGAAAGCTTACATTTAATCTGATATAGAAAATTTAAGACTGAAAGGATTTACTAATAACTTTATGGTTTTTTTGTTAAGCCTAGATAACTAAAAAATGGTAGAAGTCATTGACATAATAAGCAAATGGAAAAAGAGTTGCAGGCTTGAGGTAGAGGTTCATTGGTTTGGTTTTGGATATTTAGATGAACTCATCATTAGCAGTAAGTGATGTTAGCTGTTCATTGTCGCAACAACATAAATAAAATACCAGATTGATAAATTCTTAAAAAAAGTGTGACATCAGAAACCCTTTGTTCATTTTATAGGTCTATAGATACATTAATTTTTGTATGTTATTTCATATGGATGTGCCTGAGCTGTAAGAAGCACTCAGCATACTTGGAATTATTAAGCTACAGATTACGTGTAAAGTGACACAAGATGGACTGTTAAGGGCAAAGATCTTTATTGCCTTTCAAAACTTTTTTTCTGTTCTTCCATTTCCTAAGCTTGAATATCTATGATATTCTGTCATTTACTTTCTGTACTCCTCCTAGAAATGCCTGTGCTGCTCATTACATCAGAGATCTTTATGGATCTGTAAGAATGATAAAGGTCCATGTAATACTCAAAGAAAAGAAAAGATAAATCCTGGAGTGAACACTTAGGTTTATTTTCTGCCTCAGCGCAAAACCAAATGGGACCAGCCATTCTTTGGAGTTCTCTGTGTCTCTATGAGTTGCTCAGAGAACAAAGAATACTATTTTTTCCTGTGGTGATGCTTCAAAGTCTTTAAAGTGACACGAGGATCATGTTATTTTACAAACAGAAAAATTCTGTGACAAGAAAAGGAGAAACAGGAAGAGTTCTATTGCTTGGCAACTTGCACCTGTACCAAACTTCTAATCTAAACTTTTTATTAATATGTTACATGGTTTGCTTACCAGGTGATGTCAATAAGCATAAACTTTTTAATATTATTATATTTTAAATAAATACAATGTTAAAATTTATCTCTTTTATGCTTACTCAAACATGGTTCAGGAAACCCATAGCAATTTGATCCATTTTATTAACATTCTCCCTAAATGCATCCTTTCTGTTACACTGCTGGAGCTGCATCCACTGCAGGAAAATAATTTCATGATGAACACTGTGGCTCATATTTTAAATTGTTAAACACCTTACAAATCTGGGAGGATGTCTCTGTCCAAAAAAAGAGGTGTTGAATTTTCTGCTTTTCTTGATGGCATCCTCATACCTTTGTCGATATCAACAAGGTACTATTTTACATAGAAGAAAAATTACTTTTTCAGGAACTTGCCAGTTGAAAAAACCATGAAGTTTCAGAAATAGAAATAGTATTAGAAGTCATTTTTAGAGTTATTATTTGATAATTGGAAGGCAGCATAATGTGGGAGTAAAAGGGTTTATAGTTAAGTATAGTTAATGGGTATAGTTACCACTTGAGTGACCTTGGACTGGCAATGAAACATATCTGCATTCATCTTCATCATCTCTACATTATAGTTATCCCAGTTTAGTATCCTGAACCTATAAATAATTCTTATAAATTAGTAAGAAAAATCAAACGTTGTAATAGAAAAAAAAGAGATATGAAATGGCAATTCACAAAAGAGAAAATCTGAATGGCTAAGATACATCTGAAAACATGTTTATTTTCACTAATAACCAGAGAAATTAAACTAAGATGATGATATGATGTTTGATACCATCAGATTAGCCAAAAAAAAAAAGTTAGAACTAATCAATTCTAGATATTGAGCAAAATGTACCAAAAGCAGGAGCTCTCCCACTTTGCGAACTCTCCCAATTACTCCGAGGAGCAATTTGGCTATATCTAGTGTAGATGAACATGAAATGGCCTGTGACTCAACCATTTTACCTCTAGGTGTGTACTCAAGGGGAATTCTTGCAAAGATACACAGGTAGTTGTATACTGAAATGTTTGTTGCAGCAGTATTTGCAATATTACAAAAATAAAATGAGGCTATGTCTAGTAATAGCCTATCCTACATCATATAAAATGAAAGAATTAGATTTATTTGTGTCAGTACAGATAAATCTAAAAGTAAACTATTAATTGGAAAAATAAGTTGCATATGGCAGAATATAACATTATGTAAAATTTTAAAATACTGAAAATAATATACTATTTCTGGATATACATGTATGTATAGGAGCACAAGGAAAACTTCCTCTTTGCCCTCTGCAGGTTTGTTGAAAAATCAACTGACAAAGAAAAGCAGGTTGATAGAAGAAAATATATATAAATATATTTGATCATGGTTTTAAATGATATGGAAATATTAAGAATGAAGACCTAAAGATACTGGGAAAATCACCCATTTTCATGTTCAGTGGAGTACAGATAGCCTTGTAGGACTGTTATTTGGCAAGAAAGGTCTGATCTAATACTAGACTGAGGGGAGAAACTTGGCAAATGGTCTTTCTGTGTGGCATTTCTTTCTCCCAGTAAGAGGCAGGACCCTTTCTAGAATGGTCTTATGACCTACAATCAAAGAAGATAGGTCAGAGAATTTTGTAACGGACAGTTCTTATGCAGGAAGTGGGGAAAGTCAAATTAATGTTTTACATTTTATATCTGGCACTAGGGAAAAGAGGTTATTGTCTTTATACCTGCCTTGGGGAAGAGAAATTCTAGTTTCTACGGCTTGCCTTAGCAGAGATGGGGTGTGAGACAGGAGGGCAGAAGAAGGTCAGAGGGACGCTTTGCTTCTGAGGCTGCTTGTGAGGCCTTCATTTTGAGGTGTCATTTTCTGATCCCCACCATATGTAATAAAACTAAAAAAGTATGGACTGATATAAAAACATTATATTTGTGCACTGAGAAAAGAGAATATGGGACTGATGAGTAAAATCAGGGGTATTTAAATATATTTATGGTGTTATTTTTCTGCAAATTGTACAAGGTTCAATTAAATGGGGTCATTATTAAAAACAAAGTAGGGTATATATATTAAAAGAGCAAAAACATGAAGCTACTTAGATAATTTTTAAAAACTTTTTATTATAAAAATTCAAACATTCACAAAATTCCACTGGAAAGTCACATATCCATAACTGGTATTAAACAATTGTCAAGCTTTAGTCAATTTGTTACATCCCTACTCCCACGCATTTTCTCTCCTACATTATTTGTAACAAATTTCAGGTATCATCTCAAGTTATATATTATTCTATTAATATATAAAATATAAAATATTTTATAAATATTGATATTTGTTCTGAGGAGTGTGTATATGAACCTTTGTTATCTTAGCATTTGGACATTTCTGTAATAAACTTTTAATTACAAAAAATGAAAATGGTAAATAGCAAGAAGTGGTAGGTGAAGAAAAACAAAACAAAAATAAAACACATAATAGCCCCTGACTATTTCTAATCACTATCTCCAAAATAATCGTGCACTTTCACAAATTGATTTACTTTGAATTCTAATATTACTTTGAGTTCTAGGTTATAACGTTCATCTTTCACCCAATTGTAGAATATGCTTTACTTTACAGAATGAACCAGAATTCCAAAAGATGTCACCAGAGGGTTTCCTCTGCTGGACCCCACTTATACACTTTAAGCAAAGTGTTTGTTCTGCAAAGCAAGGGTCAATATGAGATTTTCCATGTTGTCTTTAAATATTAGCATTGTAAAGAACATTCTCAGAAATGTTTTCAGCAAGTTCATACGAGGACTCCTTCTTGGCCTCAATAATCCAGAGGGGAGAGTGTCCACAAGTAGTTTGGTTTAAGTAAATTCACATTCAAAGAGCTCCCAAAGGCTGTGCCAGCAGCTACTTTTTTACTGAAAAAAATTTTTCAAGTACTATACAAATAAGAAATTTATACTCACCCATATACCAGCAGAACTGATCAATGACAAGAGACATAAATTGGAAAGTAGTGAAAAGAAATTTATTATCTTCCTTTCTTCTACACAGCGCACACATCTTTTGAATGTAGGTGTCCAAGACAGTTAATTTCATTCAGGTGAGAGAGAAGATAATTAAGTATCAGGAAGGAGCATGGCTATAGAGCACCAGTTCCTCTGAAAATGGGAAAATTTCATCTTCATGTCAAAGATTAATTTAAGCTCTCTTCTTAGAACATATCAATTGAATTTAAGTTAGGAAAATTTATGTGTCAAGAACTACTCACTTGGATTCATGAATGCTGCGATTTAATTAACATTTTCTTAGTTAAATATGAATATATATATATATTCTGGCATATATATATATTCTGGCATATATATATATATATTCTGGCATATATATATATATATTCTGGCATATATATATATATATATATATATATATATATATATATATTCTGGCATATATATATCAGTGTTTTTTGCAGCCAGCTCAACTCTGTAGAATTGGGAGAAGTTACACAAATATGAGCATTACAGGGCACCACCTTAAGAAAAACAAATAGGCTCTCAACACCTGGCCTAGATTTTTGGAATTTATAGAAAGCGTATAATTTAAGAATTCCTACCAAGAGGAAACAAGAAGTATGGAATGGGTACATTCATAGAAAAGTTTCAAGGTACTCTTAAAAAATTCCTAGCTGGGCTGATTGGTTAAAGATTTTATTTCCTAAAACCAGTCAGTAAAGACTGCAGGAGGTAACTGGTTCTTCAAATGGAAAGACAGGAACACAAGACTTTAAGGAACATGAACAATCAAGAAAATATGACACTACAGATGAAACATAGTAACATTTTAGTAACTGACCACTAAGAATTGGTGATCTACAAATTGCCTGGCAAGAAATTTAAAATTGCTCTTTTAAGGAAGCTTAGAGAGCTACAAGAAAACACAGATAGATAACTTAAAAAAATCAGAAGAAACAATACATCCTTCCCTTCTCCAATCACCCTTCCCTTCTCCCCCATGATGCATACCTCCCCTCACTGATCCTGTTGAAAAAGAGATCAATGAGGAGAAAAGAGAATCAGAAGCCCTTGATAGGATGGGACATTGATTCCTGTTTATGCCATCCTCAATAATCCTACTTTTACAGTAGGAAAACAGTGAACTCAACTACCAATTTTAAATTTATTATGATAACCCTTATATCATCTCATAAGTTCAATTGTCTTTTCTGTTTAAGAGAAATATTTAATGAAAATTTTATTAAATGTCCTTATATCTATTTAAATCAAAGACTCAATTAAAATAAGTTATCCTTTTGAGCAGAGCACAAATAGTGACTGTGGACACATTGTGTTATGTAGAATTGGTTTGCTTAATGTTTCAGACTTAATTTTGTCATCTAAATTACTATGATACACAGAATTACATACATTAGACATTATAGTGCTTAAGGTCTAATAAAATTTTGCTTCCCCATACCTTTGAGGGAAAGAAATCCTCATTTACTTTTTCCCACTAAGTGACCAAGGTTCTTCATAATTGCATCAGATATGTTTTTATTGTTTAGAATTCAAGTTGATGCTTTTTTATGTGCTATTATACTTTAACCTCTAATTATAATATGTGAGTTTTTCCTCCTACCTGTCCAAGTTGCTCTTATGATTCACAAACAAAGTAACATAGTTCTGCTCATACAAAAAGTTTAGTAAATAATTTATGAAACTGAAAAATCTTGGGAAAAGGAAACAGTAATCTTAATTAATACTTGGATCAACATAAATTGACAAAGACTAAGCCCCTTCTCTATTCTAAAATTTAGTAATGATATATTTATTTTTAATATGTCCTGTTGGTGTAAACACAGTGCCTTTTGTTACTATAGAGAGGTGAGCCTAAAGATTGATTTATGTCAAGACCCACAAAACTAAAAATACCATGAGATGGTGATATGATTTAGCTGTGTCCTTACCCAAAGTGTCATCTTGAATTTTAATCCCCATAATTCCCATTATCCCCACCTGTCAAGGATGGGACCAAGTGGGGGTAATTATGTCATATAGGGTGGTTTTCCCAGTGTTGTTCTTGTGATACTGAGTAAGTCTCACAACATCTGATGGTTTTATAAGCACCTGGCATTCTCCCTGCCACACTCATTCTCTCTCCTGCTGCCCTGTGAAGAGGTGCCTTCCACCATGATTGTAAGTTTCCTGAGGACCCTCCAGACATGTGGAACTGTGAGTCAATTAAACCTCTTTTCTTTTTAAATTACCCAGTCTTGGGTATTTCTTTATAGCGGCATGAGAACAGACTAATACAGACGTGTACTCATGAACAAGGAAAATCCTTCAGTTATATGACGCTCTTTAAGTGTTACATAAAATTTGGGAAGTGAGTCAGGAAGGTATTGTGTTGGAATATTTTTGCATGCTATAAAAAAATACCCGAGGCTGAGTAATTTATAAAGAAAAGTGGTTTATTTTGTCTCAGCATTCTGCAGACTCTATAGTCAGTATAGTGCTGGCATCTGCTTCTCAGACACCTCTGGAAGCTTACAATCATGGCAGAAGGCAAAGGGTGAACAGGCACATCACATGACAAGAGAGAATGGGAGAAGGTGTCACACACTTCTAAACAACAGATCTTGTGTGAACTCAGAGCAGGAACTCACTAATTATCATGAGGACAGAAGCAAGCTATTCATGAAATATCCACTCTCATGACACAAACACTTCCCATCAGGCCCTACCTCCAAAACTAGGAATCATGTCTCACCAGGTGATTTGGAGGAGACAAACATACAAATCATATCAGGTATTAATTCTAGTTTTAAAATAAATGTGGAAATGGAGACTGAAATAACTTAGTGATTTATTCATGGTGCCACAATTTTAAATGCTCTTGCCTTTCATGTTCTGGTTCTCCTCTTTCCATTTGCTACTTTGGGGGTCACAATGAATGGGCAGTCATTCTCTCCCTAGGATGAAAGCTGAGACTCTGTGGGAGTTTCAGATGAAATTGAAAATACCCTTTCCTGTCATCAAGGTTCTCATACCCTAAAAACAGGTGGTCCTAAGAAAAGGCCCAGGACTATTTTAAAAGAGTTAAAAGAGAGTCAGAGGAGAGTGGTTTTGCTAGATAGGAAATGGTTCTTATGGTAGAGTTAAGTCAAGATCCTGAGGCTGTATAATCAGACCCCTTCCTTATAATGGTCACTAATACAGGCTTCCTTTCCCTAGAATCAGAACTTAGAATGGCTACCTTTTCTTATAAGACTGATGCATGGTCCAGACAATTCTCTGATCTCTGGCCCTTTAGTCTTACTGCTTCTTTCTTCTCAATGGCATACTCATTAATACAGGAGCTGCTGTCTCCTGAGTAATTTTGCTCATAATTTTTTCCTCTTCCCAAGGCTATCCTCATTCTCCATTTTCTCTGAAATTCCATTCAGGTCCTAGTCCAGATCTCATCATCTCTGTACAGGCAACATCCAGAAACCACTCACAAGTCTCACTGATCTCAACAATCATTTGTTTGGGATCATATAATATTTTGCCATCTAGTGCTATTGATTTAAAAGTATGTGGTTTTTAAATCAGAAGATGTCCCTTCTGCTTCTCTACAAATGAATAATGTAGTCCTGGAAAGGATTCTTATGTTCTTACATTAGGGTATCTATTGTTATTATTGTTATTATCTGTCATCAATATTTCAATATAAAATTAGATAATATTACTAATACTTAGCAATCAGAACTTAGAATATTTTAAAATACTTTGCAATACTTTGCCAAGGTATCATTTAGCTTTTTGATATAATTATAATGCCCACAAGGACTTCTCTTTTGTATTTATGAGCTTTCCAATGTATCTAAAACAATGTTATTTATTTATCACAGAATCAATAAATATGTATTAAATAAATATAACTTTAGCTCCCAGTTGTCTTTGCAAATGATATAGTAGGCTTATATATTCCCCCATTTCCCTTGCAAATTTCATCTACAAACTAAATATCAAGAAATAAATGAAAACAGAATAACTACAATTAGAGTAGATATACAAAATAATAAGAATTACTGATACCAGGTTTTTACCTTTCCACATTTTTTTCCCTTAAATTTTGCCTTGGCTGTAAATTTTCTTATTGGCCTATAAAAATTAATGAAATATTAGCAATTAATCACTCTGAGTATATTATGCTAATAAGTAAATTATTTTACCCAATTAAATAAATACCATAATAGTATAACCAAGATTTATCACAGAATTTTATATTCCCAACTCTTCACCTATTTATTAAATAATGGGTAGATAACTAAATTAATGTCTCTCATCTTCATTGAATGGCATATACCAACTTGACTAGTGTACATTAACTAGGTACCTAGTAATATAAAATAATACAACTCACCAATATCTTTCAGGAAGTTACATTAAAAATTATATTTAATAATTGGATGTAACTACCATTTGGATGGAATTGACTATTTGAAGGAAAGAACTTGCTGTGCCTGGAAAAATATTTTACATCTATCCAGCCTTCCAGCCTTCCTCTATTTAGTCTTAAGGTACCTTAAAAAAGGTGAATTCCTCTAACTCTGATGTACTCATAAAGAGAGGACAAACTGAAAGATGTGAAATTTATAAACTTCCATTCTTCACTTCCTTCACTTCTCTGCCTACAGTTGAAGAGGTGTGGGGCTTTGCATACTTGTATCAGAATAACAAGTTTAACTTAATTGAAGCAGAGTCATTTTTAATTGGTGTCCTACAGAGGCCAGATCTTGGCCATTGGGGGATTTATGTGGAATATTTAGAGCTTTAGCTCATGAGAAATTCTCCATGTTTATAGAATAGTTTTTCTAATTAATGACCCACTTATTTTCTTTGTTTCTGATAAGCAGAACTGATTTAGACAAAACATTTGTTAAAATTTTATTCTCTCAAAGTTTCTCATCTGCTTTAAAATAAACAAAAGCTTACTCCAATCTCATGACACAGCAATTAGTACCTGCTAATCCTTTTAAAAATACAAAAGTAAAAAATGCAGAAAATGTAGAAGATGTCTGTTTGTTGTTATACTATGAAGCACAGGACTGTGATCTTTGAGAAAAGGTAAAAACACTAGGTAAGCCCCATAAGTAAGACTCCTTTCTTCCTGGAGGCAGAAATATCCATTCATCATGAAAACCCCTAGCCAAAGAGGGCCAATAAACAATGACACGCTGGAAGCAAAGAGTACTCATAGTACCAAGATCTTCATTTCTAAATACTATCATTAGTTAAAAGGAAAAATAACTCATTAACAAGAAAGGCTCATGCAAGCACTGAGTCCATTGAGGTACTGATGGAGCTGTAACTTCAGAAAGTCAGGAAATGTTCACGGACACATCAAAAATACACAGGGACTAGGTTGAAGGTGGTCCCATTGGAAAAACCTGGGACAACTTGAGCATCAAAATAAATAATGACAATAAAAAAGAAGCAAGATTTCATGAAAGCATATTGTTATAAGTCAGTGAATAAATAAATGGAAAGAAAGAAAAGCTGTCTTAGAAATAAAAGGAATGATTGAGTTAGAAAATCATCAAGATATTTTAAAACTGGTAGATGATTATTTGACAAGAAGCATGATTTTTTTTTCAAAATATCCCCCAAAGTGATTATCTTGAAGTGTAAAATGTCAACTTTATAGTCCAGATTTATGGTGCAAGCCTCCTTAATCAAGTGATTGAAGTTAGCATCACCAAAATTGGGATTAGCTAACATCATACACCAGGGTCAGGAACTGAGAAGTTCCCATCACTTTTAAGACAGCATGCAAAGAGAAGATTATAATGGATGACCTTGGCCTTTAAAGTGGCTAAAAAGTGAGGAGGAGAACCTGAAGAATTTACACTCTTGTCCTCATATTACAGATAAGGAGACTGAAATCTAATAGGTCAATTGACCTGATTAAGTTCACCAGTCAGTGAGTCCCAAAGATGAAAACAGTTCCATACTCCGTATTTTATTCTCTTTCCATGTTTTTAAGAAAACAAAACATAAGATTAATAAATGAAAATTAAATGAGTTGCTGCTCAGATCAAATGCACAATTTTGGATTTTCAACTTTCTTACCTGTGTTTCTACTACTCTTGCTCATTTACAGTTGTATTGTCATAGAAGCAGAACATCTATGGCATAGGGTTATTTATTTACATGATAGCCCAGTTCCAATATGTTTGCATCAGGTATATCCATACTTTGTGAAAATTTCAACACATTCGATATTTTCATGTAAAGTATAAGTCCATTTTGGAATTTTTATCTGTTGTATTCTGGAAATACATATATTCCAGTACTTGCAATATAAAACACAGTGCCAACAGATAATATATCTATGAAGAAGGAGCTTTTGTTTAACACACTTCTCTGCTCAGAGTCACTTAAAAAATTGCCTTTCAGAGTTTCCAAACCTCTGTCACCGCATCACTTCTATTTGGAGGCAGTTATACATAATTATTTCAAGTACAGAATTCTTTGTAGGTTAATGTCAATTCTTTTAGTTTAAAATAAAAAGATTACAAAAGTGTTCAATTACTCAGAAATTTTATAAGAAAAATTTATAAAACATAACTACATACAAAATATGGTGTTAAAGTGGAGATCCATGAAATGTAATACTACCTCAAAGTAGGTAAAATTTTTTTGACCTGTTAATCAGTATGCACACTGTACACAAATAGAGCACCTCATGCAGCTATAGAGTCCAGATCAGGCTTATTAGTTTAGAGGCCAAAAAGTCTGAGCTGCGTCTCAAATTAGAGCATGAAAATGTACGTTTGTTGAGTACAAATGGACCTAAAGGTGGAAATGATAAAAACTGGGCACTGGAGGGGGTAACTACTAGAGGGGGAAGAGGAGAAGGGGAGCAAGGGTTGAAAAACTACCTATCGGGTACTCTGCTCACTACCTGGGTGATGGGATCATTTCTACACCACACCTCAGTGGCATGCAGTTTACTCATGTAACAAATCTACATATGTACCCCCAGAACCTAAAATAAAATTGAAAAATAAAAACCATGTCTGGATAAGGAAAGATGAGATTTGCCAGAATTATTAAAACAGATAATAGGAGGAATTCTGAAACGTAAAAGCACAGATAGCCACAAGGTATTATATTTAAAAGGTATATATAGTCCCATTCAGGAGGCTGAGGCAGGAGAATCTCTTGAACCCGGGAGGCAGAGATTGCAGTGAATGGAGGTCGCGCCACTGCACTCCAGCCTGGGCAAAAATAGCGAGACTCCCTCTCAAAAAAAAAAAAAAAAAAAAAAAAAAAGTGTATATAGTGTTCTATAGGCTTCTCCTCCCCAAATAGTTGGGATGGAATATATGAGAAGAAACTTTACATGAAGAGACTCATAGAGGCAGTCATCAATTATCATAAATTCAGTGAGAATTCGTGGCATCCCATTGAGCCTGCAGGGCATCTTATTTGAGAGTAGAGAAATCTGTCAGTGATCACAGGAAAGGATCCCTTCCCTCCTCCCCATTGGCTACCTTTAACTCCCAAACTCCACCCTTCCCACATCTGCCCTGGCTACTGTGTTTCTACAAAACTGAGGGTAAACTGTTTTTATTTTTTTTTTTTATTTTTTATTTTTTTTTTTTTTTTATTTTTTTTTTTATTATACTCTAAGTTTTAGGGTACATGTGCACATTGTGCCGGTTAGTTACATATGTATACATGTGCCATGCTGGTGCGCTGCACCCACTAACGTGTCATCTAGCATTAGGTATATCTCCCAATGCTATCCCTCCCCCCTCCCCCGACCCCACCACAGTCCCCAGAGTGTGATATTCCCCTTCCTGTGTCCATGTGATCTCATTGTTCAATTCCCACCTATGAGTGAGAATATGCGGTGTTTGGTTTTTTGTTCTTGCGATAGTTTACTGAGAATGATGGTTTCCAATGTCATCCATGTCCCTACAAAGGATATGAACTCATCATTTTTTATGGCTGCATAGTATTCCATGGTGTATATGTGCCACATTTTCTTAATCCAGACTATCATTGTTGGACATTTGGGTTGGTTCCAAGTCTTTGCTATTGTGAATAGTGCCGCAATAAACATACGTGTGCATGTGTCTTTATAGCAGCATGATTTATACTCATTTGGGTATATACCCAGTAATGGGATGGCTGGGTCAAATGGTATTTCTAGTTCTAGATCCCTGAGGAATCGCCACACTGACTTCCACAATGGTTGAACTAGTTTACAGTCCCACCAACAGTGTAAAAGTGTTCCTATTTCTCCACATCCTCTCCAGCACCTGTTGTTTCCTGACTTTTTAATGATTGCCATTCTAACTGGTGTGAGATGATATCTCATAGTGGTTTTGATTTGCATTTCTCTGATGGCCAGTGATGATGAGCATTTCTTCATGTGTTTTTTGGCTGCATAAATGTCTTCTTTTGAGAAGTGTCTGTTCATGTCCTTCGCCCACTTTTTGATGGGGTTGTTTGTTTTTTTCTTGTAAATTTGTTTGAGTTCATTGTAGATTCTGGATATTAGCCCTTTGTCAGATGAGTAGGTTGCGAAAATTTTCTCCCATGTTTTTAAAAAGCATTGGCATTAAAGGACACCAAAGTTCTCTTGGCAAACAAGGAAGAAATATGTCAAAGCTTCCCTAAAATGATGAAAGGCAGAAATTTCATATTAGCCCATATTAATGAAACTAAAATGCTCAAGCAACATCGACAAATTATGTACAGGATTGTGAATTGTTTATAGAAGATATTGTACCTACATTAAAAGTATATATTTTTATTGACTTATTTTTTAATGCTTTAAAATTTTACTTCATTAATTACTGTCTCAATTTTTAGTAGCGTATATCCTATTTACAAATAGTAAAAAAGTTAATAAATGTATAAGAGATTAACTTGCTATAATTTGGAATGACAAAAAAGTAACATATCAAAAATACAAATTACTCAAGTTATGAGATTTTTTAAAAATGTCAACTATGCATATAGGATATGTAAGTGCAGGTTTGTTACATGGGTATATTGCACCCAGATAGTAAGCATAGTACTCAATAGGTAGTTTTTAAACCTATGCCCCCTCTTGACACCCTCTAGTAGTCTAGTGTCTATTGTTCCCATGTTTATGTCCATGTGTACTCAGTGATTAGCTCCCACCTATAAGTGAAAACATGGAGCATTTGTTTTTCTGTTTCTGTGTTAGTTCACTTAGGATTATAGTCTCCAGCTCTATTCATACTGCTACAAAGGACATTATTTTATTATTTTTATGGCTGCATAGTATTCCATGGTGTACATGTACCACATTTTCTTTATCCAATTGACCATTGAGGGATACCTGGTTTGATTCCATGTTTTTGCCATAGTGAATAGCAAAGTATGTGGCAATGAACATATGAGTGCATGCGTCTTTTTGGTATAATGATTTGTTTTCCTTTGGCTATGTATTCAGTGATGGGATTGTGGTGTTGAATGTTACCTCTGTTTTAAGCTCTTTAAGAAATCTCCACACTGTTTTCCACAGTGTCTGGACTAATTTGCATTTCCACCAACAGTGTATAACCATTTTCTTTTATTCACAGCCTCACCAGCATCTGTTTCTTTTTTGACATTTTAATAATAGGCATTATGATTGGTATTAGTATCTCATTGTGGTTTTGATTTGCATTTCTCTGATAATTAGTGATGATGAGAATTTTTTCATGTTTATTGGCCATTTTTATGTCTTTTTTTTTTTTTTGGAGATGGAGTCTCGCTCTGTCTCCAGGCTGGAGTGCAGTGGTGCAATCTCAGCTCACTGCAACCTCTGCCTCCCAGGTTCAAGCGATTCTCCTGCTTCAGCCTCCAGAGTAGCTAGGACTACAGATGCGGACCACCACACCCAGCTAATTTTTATATTTTTAGTAGAGATGGGGTTTCACTATGTTGGCCATGGCCAGGATGTTCTCGATCTCTTGACCTTGTGATCTCCCTGCCTCGGCCTCCCAAAGTACTGGGATGACAGGTGTGAGCCATTGCGCCCGGCCAATACCGTATTTTTATGACAAACCTGAATTAAAGGGAGGCCGAGGCGGGCGGATCCCGAGGTCAGGAGATCGAGACCATCCTGGCTAACACAGTGAAACCCCATCTCTACTAAAGATACAAAAAAATTAGCTGGGCCTGGCGGCGTGTGCCTGTAGTCCCAGCTGCTGGGAAGGCTGAGGCAGGAAAATGGCGTGAACCGGAGCGGCGGAGCTTGAAGTGAGCCGAGACCGCTCCACGGCACTCCAGCCTGAGTGACAGAGCAAGACTCTATCCAAAAAAAAAAAAAAAAAAAAAAAAAACCTGAATTAAAGTAAAATTTGAAGAAATAAGCACCCTCATACAATTTGGTACCTTTCTTACTATTTGTTAATTGTTATAAATTATTGATTTTTTCTGTCCTTTTTTTAATTATTATACTTTAAGTTCTAGGGTACATATGCACAATGTGCAGGTTTGTTACGTATGTATACATGTGACATGTTGGTTTGCTGCACCCATTAACTCGTCATTTACATTAAGTATTTCTCCTAATGCTATCCCTCCCCCATATCCCCACCCCCTGACAGGCCCGGGAGTGTGATGTTCCTCACCCTGTGTCCAAGTGATCTCATTGTTCAATTCCCACCTATGAGTGAGAACATGCGGTGTTTGGTTTTCTGTCCTTGCGATAGTTTACTCAGAATGATGGTTTCCAGCTTCATCTGTGTCCCTACAAAGGACATGAACTCATACTTTTTTATGGCTGCATAATATTCCATGCTGTATATGTGCCACATTTCCTTAATCCGGTCTATCATTGATGGACATTTGGGTTGGTTCCAAGTCTTTGCTATTGTGAATAGTGCCACAATAAACATATGTGTGTGTGTGTCCTTATAGTAGCATGATTTATAATCCTTTGGGTATATACCCAGTAATGGGATCGCTGGCTCAAATGATATTTCTAGTTCTAGATCCTTGAGGAATCACCACACTGTCTTCCACAATGGTTGAACTAGTTTACACTCCCACCAACAGTGTAAAAGCGTTCCTATTTCTCCACATCCTCTCCAGCACCTGTTGTTTCCTGACTTTTTAATCATCGTCATTCTAACTGGTGTGAGATGGTATCTCATTGTGGTTTTGATTTGCATTTCTCTGATGACCAGTAATGATGAGCATTTTTTCATGTGTCTGTTGGCTGCAAAAATGTCTTCTTTTGAGAAGTGTCTGTTCATATCCTTTGCCCACTTTTTGATGGGGTTGATTTTTTCTTGTAAATATGTTTAAGTTCTTTGTAGATTTTGAATATTAGCCCTTTGTAGATTCTTTCTCATCTGGGAGGGTTTGTATTCCTTTAACTGTAATATAAATTGGGTATTGTCAGTGTACTTCATTTCTGTAAGTTTTCAGATGGCCAAGGATGTGTGTGTGGCTGAATTCTTGCCCTTGATTTCACAGGGGAGTATATTAGCAACACTTTTTTTTTGGTGGTGTAGTTTGGGATGTAATCTAGTAGAAAGTGCTTAAGAGTAAATGGCAGTAGATAGGCTCTCACTCAGCCGTGTGACTCTATTATACAGAGGAGAGGAGACCTACTCACCAGGTTCACTCCTAGGCCTTGGGGGAGCCCCCTCCACTCACTGGCAGTGCTCGCTTATTTCTTTTGTTAGGTGTTCCAGGCCACAGGGTTCCCTCAGGCAGACATCATGTCAGGGAGACAGACTACACCTTTTCTGGGCTGGCCGTTTGGAGGAAGGCATGCCCCACTGCTGCAGCAGCCCACGAACCCACTTGACTCACTCTTCTCAGTGCTCTGAGAGTCTGTGCTCAAGTACTGGCCACAGATCTCTGCTCAGCACTCCCAAGCTGCACATCACACCCAGGCTTTTTGTTCCCTTTGGTAGTAGCAGGTGCAGGGACTGTAGTGGCAGCAAAGGCAGAGGAGATGTCAGTTGCCTTTGACAGCTCCACCCCAGAGAAACACAGAGCCACTATCAACTGGAGATATCAACTGGGAATGGAATGGCTGCTGCTGGCGCAAGCTGAGGGTCCCTGCCTGGTGAAGAGTGGTGGACAGGGACTTACTGGTAAGACAGCCTGTCCTTTTCTCTGTAGGTTGATGGTGGCATGCTAAAGATGTGAGTAAAGCAATCAGGATTTTTGTGCCCTCCCACTGCTTAGAGGTAGCAAGGGCAGGTATCACAGTAGGGGTAGTGGCAGAGGGGCTGTCAGTTGCCACAGGGAACTCCACTTGAGGGAAATGCAGACTCTCTGCCAATGAGATGATCAGCTGGGCATAAGGTAACCATGCTGAGGGTCCAAGCTTGGGGGCTCTGCCTGGTGAAGAGGAGGAATATCAGGAGTTCATGCAGAAGATAGTCTGGCCTCTTCTCCATAGGATGGCCTCTGAATGTTCTAGGCATGCAAAAGCAATCAGGCTGTTTATTCTCTCGCTAGCCTGACATGAGCAAGGGTGGTAATGGCAGAGAGACTGTCATTTGTCTCTGGGAGCTCCACCCCAGAGAAAGGCACAGCTGCCGTCAACAGGGATGCGGCAGCTGTGCTGGTGGTCCAGACCAGGAGGCCTTGCCCAGTGAGGAGTAGCAGAGACAGGCACCCACATGGAAAACAGTCTGGCCATATGGATGGCAGCTGTAGTGTGCTGGGAGTCAGTGACAGTTCTCAGCAACAGGGATGGGGCCCATGGCAGCAGTAATTGCAGCAGGCCTGTGTTAACTCTGGGGGTTCAAGTCCAGAGAAATGCAGGACAGCAATGAGCTGGAGTGCTCAGGTAAGGATGGAGTAGCTGCATTGGGGCCCCGGCCAGTAGGCCTTACCTGGCAAGGGGCAGTGGGGCCAGGGCCTGCAGTCTATCTGCTCCCCAGCTTCATGATTCAGTCCCTTTCCTAGGGATGTGTGAAAGAGCCTGGCTTTCCTTTTTTGTGGAGCTACGGCAGCTGGTGCTGGGGTGCTCAGGGATCCAAGACCCATGGAGCTTCATGTGGGCTTCACCAGCAGCTCTCCCCAGACTCCAGGCAGCTCTCCATGTTAGTCTGGAGTCCCAGAGGGTCAGGGGGAATCTCCCATGCCAAAGGTTGTAAAGGCTTATGGCAGAAGTGTGGGTACCTAAGGGCTCTTGTTTACTCACACTTTCCCTTCCAGTAGGGAGCCTCCCTTGGATCTGTGCCAATCCCAGGTGGGTGGCCATCATGTCTCACTGGTCTCTGCTCTCCATGGGTCACCATTGCTTCCTTGATGAACCCCAATGTGGGCCCCTGGATGATCCACTTGAAGAACTAATGTTTACTCACCACTCTGTCTCTTCTCAATGAAAGCAATCTGTATCAATGTGTATTAACTGTTTCTAGACAGCCATTTTGGTGCTTCTCCTCTAATTACAGTCCTAATAATGGAAACAAATGACTATAGAGTAAAAGTCTACTACATTTAGCATAAAAATTTTAAAAATTTCCATATAAGGGAAGGGTAAGGCAGACAGATCTCTGCATAAAAGAGAGTTCTTTTACCCCTTAAAATTCAGTTCAAAAACAATAACGAATATAACAGTGAATCTTATATAACACTTACATGACCCAGGTACTGATCTAGGGCATTGCATATATTTAACTCACCTAGTCCTCACAATAACTCTATGTGTAGGTAACTTGTTCAAGGTCACACAGCTGATAAGTGGCAGTGACAAGAGCCAAAGCTGTACAGGGTGCACATGGAGTCTTTGCTCATAACTGTGGTACAATTAATTATTCCAATATGCCACCTTCAGTGCTAGGCATCGGGAATGCAAGGATGCTTATGACAGGGTTTTCAATCGCAGCAAAATATCTGTCCGGGTAGATAAGATTTGATGGTGAAATGTGGAGCAGAACACAAAAGCCAGAACATCAAATCAAATCTGGAGGTGGTACAGTGGAAAGAGGTTGGAACATGCAAGAAGAATTCCTGGAACACTTGGATACTTTACAGGTTGTGAGCCCTAGTATTTACTCAATCTTGCCTTATGTATCATGTGCCTGTGCATTTCATATTGGAAAGATTCATGCCAAAAACATATGAACCCAAAAGGGACAACAGCCAGGCTAATATATTCTATACAACAAGGAGGTCCATAGATTGAGGACACTCTCCCCTTGAAATAGTCTTTTATGTTGGACTAAACAGAGAAGACAGAAGGGAACCACTGCATTTTCCAAAGCCCACATCTGAACCACTGTTAAGTCTGGTCTTTCATGTGGACCATTCTGAACTGTGACTGCACTGTTGCCTGAAATCCAAGTTAATCACCTGCTTCACACTCTACTTCTATGCTTCTTTATGCACAAAATACACTGGATATGGTACTCAGCATGTTTAAATCTTCCTTATCCCCCAATGTTCCACTTAAGTCCTACTTTTCCCTTGAAGCCATTCACGACCCAACTGTATTGCTTCCTTCTCTTACCCTTAAAATCATTGTGTGTCATATTCAAATGCAACACATTTCGTGAGAAAATTGATGCTTCATTCATTCAACAAATAACTATTGAATGCAATATTCAGTAATAATGAAGAAAATCGCTGTAGAACTAAACTCTGTGGGTTCAAATCCCTGAATTTCCCACCTACAATAAAATTAATGATCTTTATTAAGTTGTATCTATGTTTATACATAATTTAGTCTCTAGGAACTGTTATTTACTCATCCATAAAATGACTTTAATGGCAATGTCCATCTCATAGAACAGTTATGAAGATTAAATGAATTAACATATTTAATCTTAATGTTTATTATATTAAGATTATATTACCTTATATAATCTCTTGAAACTTTAGATATTTTTATTATATTCTAGTCACCGTTATATATCTCAGTTACTGTGATAGAGCACAGAACTGGCAATTTTCTTCTGTTCTTCACAGCCAGAATTCAAATAGTATATAATATTTTGAATTAAAATGATGGTAATATTTGAATTTGTATCAGGCTATTAGGTTTTGAATGAATACTATTTCCAATCTATTTATGCTTATCTCAGTATTTGAACATTCACATCAAACAAAGCACTATAATAAATACAAATTTTCACTTACTGTTTAGTTTTATAGTAGCTGTTTGGTTTAAAAGAAAAAAAGAAATCACAGTGCCCTGATTTGTGAAGAGAACAATCATCCGTGTTTACATAAAGTCAGCCTAATAGTTATCCATAGGCAGGGAGAAAACAATGAGTCATGATGTTTTCCCTTTTTCTCCCTTCTAATCAATTGATACAAATAGGGATTCTACTTTTGCTTAGTTCCCACTTCAGCATTTGAAAAGTCTGTTTTATTCAGTTATATAGCAAATAATCAAACTTTTTCTTCTCTCATCACGAACAAGCATTATGCCTGTGCTGTCCAGTGTGAGAATCAGTATCTACATGTGGTAGTTGACCATGTAAAAGTGGGTAGTAGAAACAGAGGCATGCTACAAGTGTAATATGTTTGCTGCATTTCTAAGATTCTGTATGTAAATAATAAAATAGTAAAATATCTCGTAAATTTTTATATTGGTTGCACGTTGAGATCATATTTGAATATATGATTTAAATAAAATATATTTTAACATTAATTTTACCTATTCCTTTGTAAATTTTTAACGTGCCTACTAGTAAATCTAGGATTACCTAGGTGGCTTGCATTTTATTACTATGAAACAGTGTAAGTCCTGGCTGTACAAATGCCCCATCCACATTAGGCATCCAATTGATGTTCTGATACAACGTTTATCTCCTCTTCTCTACTTTCTTGTGCATCCCTAACTTTTAATGCTTATTGACAGCAGTAGCAGAAATAATTTAGTGCAAAGATAAAAAGCTATTGAGAGAACATCCCATTATTTCTTCAAATTAAAGTGAAACAATTTTAGACTTCAGCTAGGGTCATATTCCTTCCTGAATGAAATTCCTTCAGTAACTTTCTGTTTTCCTCCAGTGAACTTGCAGATTCCATAGCACACCTTATAAGACCTTGCAAAACCTGGCCCTGGTCCTTGTTCCAGTTTCATTTCTTGGCACTTCCTACCTGGCAGTCTAATCTCAGCTATACATGTTAACTTTTGTTCCTTATATGGAACATCTCTCCTGCCTGCAGGCTTTTGCTCAAGACTGTAGCTACCTCCTTCCAACTACATTTCATGTGATTCAATTTTATTGTTTCTTCAGTTGCATTTTCTTTTGAAAGACCATCCCTGATCCTTTAAAGCTGTAAGGTTGGATTAGACATTTCTAATATATGCTGTAATGTTCATTTGTGCTGTAATTCTGTATTTTATTTTTTATATGAGTACACCATATTTTAAGTGCACATTGTCTTTTTTTCCTGTAGTATTTTTCAAAAGGGACACTATAAGCATTTTGGGAAGGCAATTCTTCATTGCATGGGTCTCTCCCAGGCAGCACAAGATGTTTACCATGACTAGGCCTTACCTATTGAAGACCTATAGCACTGCTCAGTCATTATGTCAATCAGTAGCACACACCGCCTTTCCCCAACCCAGGCACACACACACCTACACTATTTGACTCTCGTCCACATCCTACCTAAGGAAGCTAATCACCCTTGGCTGTGACCCACATGACTATGAGCCCCATGAAGCCAGACAGGAGACCATGTCTTACTCTTTCATTACTGAATCCTCTTCACCTAGTGTAGTATCAGCCATACGGAAAGAGCTTTCTGTTTATTACAGCAGGATTTATCCTAGTATCAGCTCAATTTTTTATGTTATATACCACTGGATATTAAATATTTTTCAAATTAAGTAGAGCATGTTCAAGTGAATTTTAATTTTTATTTAGCAAGTACTGATGGAGGTCGTAGCCATTAGTGCATTTCTCCTTGACTCTCAAAACCCATCCCTTATAAGTATCCATGAAATAAGAGCTGAAGAAACTAACTATTCTTCTCTATAACCTCTGAATTTCAAGTTCTTTGGAATACCAAGTTTATGTACTAGTGCATTTCAAATGAGCATATGCAGCATCCAACTTAATAAAAATAGGTCATTTTGACTGGTTAAAATATTTAGTCTATGTTTACTGCTAATAAACATTTATCAAATTATGATCCTATAAAAGTTAATGTTTGGTACTAACAACGCAAACAGGTATAGCATTTAAAGAAAAAAGATTAATTAGGCTGAATGCAGTACTTTATTGACTGTCATTGGTAACATGTTTCCATAATCTTCCAATCATGTCAAGTATCTAGTTGTCTCATCAACATGTCTAGATGTCCAATTTAATGCTTACCTGGGCTGTCTCATCTCCAACTTTCATGCTTGTTCCTGACATGCCTCCTTTGCTATGTAATGTCCCAGTGTTGGCAGAGAGCCCCAACACCATTTCTATAAATGCCATCTGTTTGCATCAGAGATGTTATTTCTAAATGATGAGTCATAAATATTAAGCTCTGGCCACTGACGGTGCAAGATAGAAAATGGGAATCCCTGTAGGTTCAGAGATAAAAATCAAATCCTAGTTTCTACAATCAATATTTAGGCAACTGCTAAAATATTCAGAAAATAGAAACTAACACAGATTCAGAACATAATTAAGTGAACAAAATGTTTGTTTTTAGATATCATTATAAGCCACTTGAAATCATTTCTGGATTAAGGTTTGAGTATAAATAAACTAAAAATGCATGTTTTTATGTTAAGGGGAAAAGAAGTTTCTGATTTTGGTAGCTGCCGTGAGAACAAAAATCAACATCTGCAGAAGAGGAGTGATTACTTGAGTTTTGTTGTTGTTGTCAGGCAGATTTTTAAACCACCTGGTATACCATCTGTACTAAGAATCTGAAAAATTGGAAAAGAAAAAAAAGATGTGTGAACGTGTTAGCTTAGAAGCAAAACAGATTCTTCTCCCCGTTCCATATTTAGCCCACCACCTGAAAATATGTATTTACACTGAATTTATGAATGAACAATTTCCATTCGTTTCTGTTTTTTTCCTCCAAGTAGGAATATTATTGCTTTATTTAGATAACAACAGGATTTCTAGTACTTGTTGATACTTAGTGAGAAAAAATATTTCACCAAGTTTGACTGCTTTTCATTTCATTAGCTTCCTAGTCACAGCCCATCTAACCAATTATAGCAGTAAATTATATCTTATTTAAACTAATCACTGTTCTATATGATTGTCTTCCTTCTTTGTCACATAAAAGAAATGTTGGAGACAAGTGCCGTATCACAGTTACAGTAATATATATATGTATATTTATAATATACCTAGGTATATTCATATGTATATTTAGTTGCTCATTAACCATGAATTGAGCATTTACTGAATAGAAAAGAAACAGGAACATATATTTGAATAAAATACAAAGCAGGTGTATTTAAGTGGAGGAGCGATGAATAAATAGCTTCAATTAAAGATAGTGAGTAGAAAGAGAAGAAGCAGTGTCTGGTGACATTGAGGATACAGATTAACAGCCTTCTGTTTCCACTCTGGAACATCGCATTACAGCATGCATCACCTTAAAAATGTTCTTACAGTAGCTGTCTGCTCATTTTTAAAGTTTAATTACTAAAGTCATGCAAACGGGTATATTTCAAGGGCTACCCAAAATTATGATGCCTAATTTAAACATTTTCTGGGCATCTGATGTGATAACATGGTGTTCAGAACAGGATTGTTCTCTGCTAAATAGTTGACAAATAATCACTGGGATACTGAGATTGTGGTGGACCCGGTTGGTGCTTTTCCCAGATCCCCTTTATAGAGTTGATGCACCTGCCCCCTGCTGCAATGGTTATTGTTTGCTAATGCTCACACAGCTGCACTCATCTCTAGGTAATTTCCCTCTGCCAAATGGAAGCTGCCTTGCTTGAGAAGTTATGTCCCTTACCCTTGCTACTGGTGGTATCAAATGACTAACTGGCATGAGATTACAAAAGCCCAGATTCTATGCTTTGGATTTTTCCTCTGTGCTGTAAAATTTATTGTCCAGAGTTATCCTGGGGATCAGGCTGGAGCTATACTCTAGCTGAGACACTCATGGGTTTAGTTTCTTTCTCTGTCCTGATTCCATCAAGCTGTGCCTACTGAGAGCACTATCTTAAAAAAATATCACATGGAATCAAATCCTTATCTTAGGTTTTGCTTACAGAAAATCCAGCCTCAGACAGAGATTAAACTAAAAATACTTGTGTACAGTATTTTTTACTATAGAGAATACATGTTAAACTTTGTAGTATCTGAAACTGCCATATTTCATCAAATGAGAGAAGCATACAGTAGATACAATCTAATTTATTGATATTTGCACAATAAAGAGCAAAAAGAACTTCACTAAATTGTTTTCTTCTATTTTTTGTTTCATTTGCATGCTGGTTTTTAAAATTTTATTTTATTTTAAGTTCTGGGATGCATGTGCAGAACATGCAGTTTTGTTTTGTTACATAGGTAAACGTGTGTCATTGTTGTGATCTTTCTGCTCCTTAGCTCAGCTAGGTCCAAGTTCTTGTCTCACAACCAGGAAAAATTAGGTATGCAGACACCAGAGAGTGAGAGGAGAAGAATTTATTAAGTGAAAGGAAGGCTCTCAGCAAAGAGGGGACTTGGTGGGTGGTTCCCCTACCTGAAGGTGGGAAAATCCCCTGTGTGGCTGGATCCCGGGGCTTTTATGACCTCAGAATGGGGAATGTGTATTGATTTGTTTGTGAGTATGCAAAAAAGGTTAAAGCAGAAACACCATTCAAAGGTGGACACAACAGTGTATAAAACCAGTTAGGAAAGAGTACGTATATGTAAAATAGGTGAAGAGTGGGGATCAATCAGAGGAAAGCACACCAAATAGGAAGACAAGTTCTCAATCCAGTCTGAGGATTTAACTTGTAGCTTGGCTTTCAGGCTTTAAACTGTTTTCAACTTGGAGGTGGTGTTTCACTGGGAACCCTCCCCTATCTGCCTAGGCATTTGGCTGCCTCCTGTTGCTATCATTATGGTGGTTTGCTGCACTTCTCAATCCATCACCTAAGTATTAAGCCCTCCATGTATTGGCTATTTATCCTAATGCTCTCCCTTCCCCCATCCCTCAACAGGTCCTAGTGTGCATTGTTCCCCTCTATCAGGGGAACCGGCCCCCGATATTTCAACAAAGGTTCTTTTCTATTTTCCCTAAGTGTTGGCCAGTCTGAGAAATAAAGAGAAAGAGTACAAAAGAGAGAAATTTTACAGCTGGGCCTCCAGGGGTGACATCACCTATTGGTAGGTTCCGTGATGCCCACCTTAGCCACAAAACCAGCAAGTTTTTATTTTTATTAGGGATTTCAAAATGGCAGGGGGTTATGAACAGGGAGTGGGTCACAGAGATCACATTCTTCAAAAGGCAATGAAATATCACAAGGCAAATGGCAGAACAAGATCACAAGGCCAGGGCGAAATTAGAATTACTGATGAGGTTCCATGTCCCGCTGGGCATGCATTGTCATTGATAAACATCTTAACAGGAAACCAGGTTTGAGAGCAGACAACTGGTCTGACTAGAAGTTGCCATGCTGGAATTTCCTAATCCTAGCAAGCCTGAGGGTGCTGCAGGAGACCAGGGTGTATTTCATCCCTTATCTTCAACTGCATAAGACAGACACTCCCAGAGTGGCCATTTTAGAGACCTCCCCCTGGGAATGCATTCCTTTCCCAGGGCTATTCCTTGCTGGGAAAATAATTCAGCGACATTTCTCCTGTTTGCTTTCTGCAAGAAGAGAAATATAACTCTGTTCTGCCCGGCCCCGCAGGCAGTCAGACCTTAAGGTTATCTCCCTTGTTCCCTGAAAATTGCTGTTATTCTGTTCTTTTTCAAGGTGCCCAGATTTCATATTGTTCAAACACACATGTTTTACAAACAATTTGTACAGATAACGCAATCATCACAGGGTCCTGAGGTGACATACATCCTCAGCTTACGAAGATGATGGGATTAAGAGACTAAAGTAAAGACAGGCATAGGAAATTATAAGAGTATTGATTTTTGGATCAATACTCTTGGGAAGTGATGAATGTCCATGAAATCTTCACAATTTATGTTCAGAGATTGCAGTAAAGACAGGTGTAAGAAATTATAAAAGTATTAATTTGGGGAACTAAGAAATGTCCATGAAATCTTCACAATTTATGTTCTTCCACCATGGCTTCAGCTGGTCCCTCCATTCGGGGTCCCTGACTTCCCACAACACCCCTCCTTGTGTCCATGTATTCTCATTGAAGTGATAACATGTGGTGTTTCGTTTTCTGTTCCTCTGTTAGCTTGCTGAGGATAATGGCTTCTAGCTCCATCCATGTCCCTGCAAAAGATGCAATCTCATTCTTTTTTATGGGCATAGTAAATAGTTTGCTCTATAAAATATTTTCCTTTACAAAAGTTTTTATGGAAAACTTTATAAACTTGACAACAGATGTAGGGATGATTTAAAAGCATTAACTTCCTCAAAGCAGGTTTTTAAAGATTACCTGGGTCAAGATAATGTGGAGGCATTTCTTTAAAAGCAGAGATACCTTGGCTCCCAGGGGACCCCCAATTCAGAATAATAGGAAATGGGTGTTGGAGATCTACATGTAAACATTAACATCTTTACCCACCACCATGAGTAAAAAGAAAATTAAAATAACTACCAAAAATACAAAATGGAATTTCCTGAGTGTTAGGAGTGAGTGGCTTTGATACATAGACCCATGGAACAGAATAGAGACCTCAGAAACAAATTGATACACCTACAGTGCATTTTTTACAATGTTGCCAAAAACATACATTGGGGTAAAGACAATCTCTTCAATAAATGGTGCTGGGAAAACTGGATATCAGTATGCAGAGGAATGAAACTACACCTCTATTTCTCACTGTATACAAAAATCAAATCAAAATGAATTAAGACTTAAATTTAAGTGCTCAACTGTGAGACTTCTACAAGAAAACATTGAAGAAACCCCCCGCTTTCATGTGGACAAAAATTTCTTGAGTAAAATTCCATAAGCACAGGAAACCAAAGCAAAAATGGACAAATGAGATCACATCAAGTTAAAAGCTTCAGCTCAGCAAAGGATACAATTAACAAAGTGAAGAGACAACCCACAGAATGGGAGAAAATATTTGCAAACTACTTGTCTGACAAGGGATTAATAACCAGAATATATAAGGAGCTGAAATAACTCTATGGAAAAAAATCTAATCTGATTAAAAAATGGGCAAAAGATCTGAATAGACATTTCCTAAAAGAAGACATATGAATGGCGAACACACATATGAAAAGCTGCTCAACATCATTGATCCTCAGAGAAATGCAAATAAAAATTATAGTGAGATATCATCTCACCCCAGTAAAAATGGCTTTTATCCGAAAGACAGGCAATAACAAATGCTGTTGAGGATCTGGGGAAAAGGAACCCCTCATACACTGCTGGTGGGAATGCAAATTAGTACAGCTACTATGGAGAATAGTTTGGAGGTTCCTCAAAAATCTAAAAATAGAACTACCATAATCCAGCAATCCCACTGCTGCAAATCTACCCAAAGAGATATATCATAGAGATAGCTGCACTCCCATGTTTGTTGCAGCACTGTTCACAATAGCCAAGATTTGGAAGCAGCCTAAGTGTCCATTAATAGATGAATGGATAAAGAAAATGTACATATATACAATGGAGTACTATTTAGCCATAAAACAGAATTAGATTCTGTAATTTGTGACAACATGGATGGAACTGGAGGTCATTATGTTAAGTGCAATAAGTTAGGCACAGAAAGACAAACTTCACATATTCTCACTTATTTAAAACAATTGAACTCATGGAGATAGAGAGTAGAAGGATGGTTACCAGAGGGTGCAATGAGTATTAGAGCAGTGGTGGGGAAGTGGGGATGGTTAATGGGCACAAAAACATGTTAGAAAGAATGAATAAGACCTAGTATTTGAAAGCACAGCAGGGCAACTATAGTCAATAATAATTAAATTGTACATTTTAAAATAACTAAAAGAGTGTAATTGTATTTTTTGTAACAAAAAGGATAAATGCTTGAGGGGATGGACTCCCATTTAACATAATTTGATTTACACATTGCCTTCCTGTATCAAAGTATTATATATCTTATGTACCCCATAAATATATATACCTACTATGTACCCACAAAACTGAAAAATAAAAAATAAAAAAATTAATAGATAATGGGAAAAACATTTGAAAAGACGCTTCATAAAAGATGTTATAAAATATTTTGGATTTTGATCTGGAGAAAGGTTTTGAATTTGTAAGACTTTTCAGTTTAAAAAAGATGAATATATTTCACTATATGAATATTAAATATTAAAATTAAAAGACACCTTAAAGTGAAGACAAGTTATAAACTTTGTATAAAATTTTATGCATTCACAATGTATAAAATTAATAAAGAATTGTTTTAAGAAGTAGAGAACAACTGATTAGTACAACTAATATAAAGCAACCTGGCCTGAAATTTAAAATATTAAAAAAAATACAAAATGAAGAAAAATATTTTCTTTAATAAATATAACCACAGTTGCAAGGACAAAGAAGAAAGTAAAGTAGAAAAGCCTTTTATATTAACCTTAAGAATAGTGCAGATGACACATGTCATGAATCCTCAAACAGATGAGAGACAAAAATATGTGCGTGGGTTTGTGTGCGTGCATGCATGCACATGTGTGTAGAAGAAGTGGGAGGGAATGAGAGAGATGATGCAGTGAACAAATGGGGTTAAATGTTAATCATAGATGAAACTCAATAAAGGGTATATGGATTTTTTTCTACTATTATTTCTGCCACATTATGTGCATTGAACACATTTTTAAAAGTTTAAAGTAGTGCAAAATTTGGTACGTAACAAAATAAGTTCTATGATGAAACAATGGTGCGATATAATAAAAAATACATCTTATTTTTCTCTCCACTGGATTCCTGGCACAGAACTTCTAAAGCTCTTGGAATTTCCTGAGTGATAGGAGTGAGTGGCTTTGATATACTAATGAAGTGACAAGTGAGTCCCCTGGATAGCTTCATGATGAGGGCTGGTCCCCAGAAAGGCTAATTATGTGATTAGAAGTTGGGATGGGTGCTGAAGATTGAACTCAATCACATGGCCAAGATTTAATCTAATTTATCATGCCGGCATGTCCTTCCAATAAAACAAACAAAAAGCCTCTGAAGCTTGGTGGAGCATCCTGATTGGTCGGTAAATACACTTATGTGCAGGGAGGGTGATATGCCCTGCCTCTACAGAGAGGGGGCATAGAACCTGTGTGTTCAAAACCCTTCCAAATCATGTCCTATTTGTAGCCTTTACAATAACACTGCAAAAGCAAGCATAGCACTTTCAGTGAGTTCCTTGAGTTATTCTAGAGAATTGTCAAAAGTGAGAGAGTCATAGAAACCCCCACATTTATAGCCAGGCTTGTCAAAAGTTTGGATGGTCCCTGAGGATTGTGGCTGACATCTGAATTGAGGGTGATATTGTGCAACAGAGCCCTTTGTCTTGTGGAGTCTAACACTAACTCCAGGTAGCGTTAGAGCAGAATTGAACTGTAGGTAACCTGGTTGGTATTATGAATTTGGTATTAGATAATTAATGGTGTTGGACTATGAAAATAAGTAATGAATGTACCCAATACCCTCTTTATTCAGTGGCCTCTAGATCTGAGCTTTACTTCATAGTCTTGGGACTATATTTCCTCCACTCATTGCCTCTGATTCTGGAAGCCACCCTGGAATACTCAAGTCCAGACAGTTCCACGTGCTCCATGTTGTTTTCACAGAAACATTACATAATCCATTCCTCTTGTCACAGGGACATTCTCATCCTCTTTGCACCATAGAACCTCTTTAGCCACTAAAACATTAATATAGTTTTATGTAAATACAGTCATCCCTCATTACAAGGGAAATTGGTTTCAGAATTTCCACATATATCATGCATATTTAAGTCCCAAAGTTGGCCCATGGAATGGCATGTAGGAAAAGTCAGCCTTCTGCATATGTAAGTTTTATATCCTATGAATCCTGTATTTCTGGGTGAGAAATACCCACTTGTAAGTGGACCCGAGCAGTTCAAACCCCTGCTCTTCTTGTGTCAGCCATACATTTGTGTCAGGTATATGATTCTCCATAGACGGCAAAAGATGAAGGGTAGAAGAACATATGCATGCACTGTTTTTCCTCATATCCCTCCATCTCTTGCTTCTCATCTCAGCTACCTGCAGTCCTAAGTGTATTCCCTATCACAATCACTTTGTGACTTGCTCAGGTTCTGGTCAACAGAAACTGCCTGAAGTTTAGTGTGTGTAACTGTATCTTAGCTTTTCCTTTCCCAACGAATTAGAAAAGGTTTCCCCTAGTAATGGCAGTTAATTATTTCTTTTATGAAATCATGATTAGAAATAATTGAGTAGTGTATGGTCAGTGTATAACTATAGATTGACAAATTGATTACAGTGTTTGTCCTTATAACTAAAGTTGCCTCTAATGTTGGGTAGAAAGAAATACCCGAAATCTGCTTTTCTTTCTTTCTTTCTTGAGTAGGAAGTGGATAGAGTGATGTGTAAGGAAGTGAAGGTGAAAATATTTGGATATAATTGAAAGTAAAAAGGAAATCCCATGACCACTGAGTACTATAGTATTTTTGGCTTTATTCTCTAGAAAACAAGGAATCTCCAAGTGCTTTTAAAGGGGGCAGACATTATCTGACTTGAGACTTAAGAAGATAAATTGGACCACAGTGAGCAGGAAAGATTACACAGGAGAGATAACAGAGCAATCAGGAGTCCACTGCCACAATTTCCAGGGTAAGGGATGATGAGAACCTGATCAGAAGCTACTTCAGTAACCCAGAATACACAGGACACCACAACTGTCTGGATGCAGGAAAGGAGAAATTAATCTAAAATGATGGTGAGTTATGGACAAGTATAGGGTTCATGCTTCTGAATACTGAAGTTAGCATGAATTTGAGGCTATCCCAAGGGCGATGGTGGTTTTCTAGAGCTTTGGAGAATTTGGACATAGAGGAAGCACTATAATAAGGTCAATTTTGATGTGGACAGATAAGAAATATAACAAAGAAGCAACTGTTATATTTCCTTCCTCCAAATATTCATATTTACTCTCCTGTCACTCTGTAGCTAAAGTGATCCAGTAATCACATCCTGTATTACAGGAGAGAATTTGAATTCTCAATGTCTTTCTATGAGGGCTGTTTTATTTTAATGAATGCCATTAGCTTTCATTGGGGTATGATTTGAGTATGTCATATGGAGTTGATGACTCCTTAGTGGGGCTCTACTACACCTAGGATGCATATAAATACATCAATTATTCCTAATTGAAACAACACCATTCATTATACAGCCCTGTAGACTGGTCATATTATCATCTTCATGCTAATTGGAAGCATTTTGTAAATGTATGTGTGGAAATGCCAGCACCAGGTGTGTATGTTTTTTTCTTTTTTCAGAATTGCATGTTTTGCTAATGAAGTGTTTTAGCACTGAAATGTAAAAGGGACTTTTGATATCACCTATGTTATTATTCAATTTTTGTGTAAACTTCTCTATAATATGTCCATTTTAAAGTGACAATATGCTTTATTGTTGTATTAGTATGTGGCCATGTTAAACTGAGTACCATATATAAGTGATACCTAAGGCTCCTGGAGGGCAGGTTAATATGAAGCCTTTGTGAAGAATATGGATACTAATTAAGTCTGTTGAACTAAATTATCCCATTGTTATGAGTGCCTGCTCAATCTTCATTCACTTAATAATACATTAGGATTCTTTTGAAATATTTTGTATGCTAGCTGGAATAAAGAATATTTATTGGTAAAGATAAATATATATTTATATAATAATTTTTTATTTTATCCCAAAAATCAATATAACAACGTAATAAATATGACACATAATTCTCCTTGGAGTTTTACATGTCCTTAAGTATAGTCTTAACATTTCCATAAGCTAACAAGAAGGAGAGTCAATATCCCTGGGATGTTTCACCTTCATCACATGACTGAAACAGATTTCTTTGGCAAGAACTAAGACTCCACTCTAAAATGACAATATTTATTATGTTAAACTATTTTCTACTGTGCTATCATTGGTATAATAATAGAGGTTAACGAATAGCCTCTTTTTGCTTTACAAGAACAAACCCTTAAGTAATTTGCAAATATGGCAATACATCAAAATAATTCTTGAGTTTTTATTTACTTTCAAATTTCAATATACCCAATGGAAACTCTGATCCCCTGGGAGATTGTTAAACAGTAATCCCAATATTAATCTACAAGCATACAAGCTCTTAAAAACTACTGATAAAATTACCTTTATTACTCCCCATTAGTATTCATTAGTATTCCTCAAGCAAGGTGGTCAGTTATCCTTTCAAGAAGTCATGCTACCAGAAAAAGTCGGCACAGTCCAGTGGTCAAGAGCTCGAAGCTTGAAGCTAGATGGCCTGGGTTTGGATTTGTGCACTGCTTTTCCCTAGCTCTGCCAAGTTATTCAGCATCTCTGTGTCTCACTTTTCTTGTATATAATTGTTTTTTTAAAATGGTGATTAAATGAGTTAATATGCCTGATCTCTATTCTTGACATGTTTCATTTTAGCAAGAACCTTGCTAAGTCAGTTTAGTATTAAGAATCTCTCACATTTGATATCTCATCACCCCACCCTGCCTTCAGCAAGAATCCTGTTAGGTCAATTTAGCAAGAACCCACTTATTCTAGAAGTTTCCTCTTACTAATTTTTTATCCACTGACCCCTTCACTGTTGGATGTAATTCTCCAGCTGTCTTTGTTTATTCACAGTTGAACTCAATCTCTTACCTCTAATGCAATCGTCTTGACACCTTTTTCAAATGTTCTTCATAAAGTCTTTCTTACCATTTTAACAAGTACCAGAACAATTTTTATCCTTAATAATCACAGGGCATTGACATTTAGGTTTTACATATAATAAGCTCAGCAATTCAAGATTTGTGAGGGAGGAAGCAGATACCAGGTAAAAAGGCAAATGGTGAATCAGAGGTCATAGAACAGCCAGACTTCAGTTAGAGCAAGAAGGTCAGAGATATTTTAGAAAAGAGGATGGTGAAGAAGACATTTTGCTGGATAGTGAATTTTAGAAGATGTTGTGAATGAGTATGCAGCTTGTGAAGGCCATGGTTGTTGGCCATTTTAGAAATATATTCGGAACTACAATGTAACAAGAGTATAGGTAATTAGTGATCATAAAAAGATCTTACATTTCTTTCAAAACCTGAGACAAACAGGGATTTCAGGCATATAATTGTCAAAGGCATTTGAACCAGAGCAACTCTATCTTAAATAGGGGCTGAGTAAAATAAGGGTGAGACCTACTGGGTTGCATTCCAGACAGTTAGGCATTCTAAGTGACAGAATAAGATTGGAGGTCGGCACAAGGCACAGGTTGTGGGGTCTGGATCAGGACTCCATTCTCTAACAGAATTGGTTGTACTTATTCTCTGGCAAAGGCAGTCTACTTTTAGCCTCTTCTTAGAAATGTTTCTTTAGGCTGTTCCAATGGTAAGGCATGTGATTCTACCACAGATAATCTTTTGTATTTTCATTTTATTTTCTAATAATTCCAATAACTGAGAAACTGTACATTAAAGCTATGTATAACTGAATGAAAGTAGAATAACTAATTACCTGAGAGTAATATTTGCAATAATTATTGTGCTTAGGTCTTATGACAACTTTTAGCTGCCTTTGAGTTGGTTCCTATGTTTTTGCCAGTGTCCAAACTATTAAGAATGTGGAACCATAAACTCTATTTATGTTAGTTGTAATTATTAATTTAGTTTCTTGCACATATTATGATTGAAGGATCTCAGGATTTGGGGTTAGATTACCAGCTTATTTGAAAATCCAATCTCTTATTTGAAGATCATTTGTGTTTCTCAACACAAGGTGTATATTAGAGTCACCTGGAAACTGAAACTGCCTGTGCAAAAATTATATCAGTGAGAAAATTGTGACAGTGAAATAGATGTGATGTAGCCCACCCCCACACTTGTCTTTAGCTTTCAAGTGGCCTTAATTATTCCTGGGCTTAGGCCTAATAAAATAAAATAAAAAGAAGTAACAACCTGAGAGTAATATTTGCAATAATTATTGTGTATAGGTCTTATGGCAATTTTTAGCTGTTTTTGTGTTGTTTCCTATGTTTTTGTCAATATCCAAACTATTAAGAATGTGGAACTAAAAACTCTATCTAGGTAAGGTGTAATTATTAATTTAGTGTCTTGCACATATTGTAGTTGAAAGATCTCATTACTTGGGATTTTGTATGTGGTAACATTTAGTTTATAGTTTAGATGATAACTGCCCTTCCCTAAAACTTAACTACTTTTATAAAGCTAATGAAATGCTACTAGGCTAGGGGGAGAAGAGGAACCTGAATTCTGCTAAGATGTAAAGTTGTAAAGTTGTCATGAGATATGTCCTGCATCATTATTATAGATTGGCCTTTTGAGGTATCTTTTCAGTTTTTTTGTATGTCTGACACCCACGACTCTGCCTGGACCCACTGACCATACCTCCTGTGGCCCCACCTAGAAGTACCTCAGCTCAAGGGGACAGCTTTGACCCTCTGTGATTTCATCTCTTCCCCATCCTATCAGCAGCAAGCTCCCATTTTTATGTCATCCTCACCCCTCCTCCAAACTGCCTTTGAAAATCTCTTAACATATGAGCTTAGATGAGATTGATTCGAGTAATAACTCCATCCTACATGTGGTGTGATAGCCTCAAATCAGTTAAGCTAAACCACGCAATGCCATATAGTCTTTGTGCACTAGGCAGGAAGAATCTATCGGGTGGTTACAGAACCTTTAAAAAGAACTGTACTCAAGACCTACACTAGAAAAACTATGTCAGAATTTTCAGGTTGAGACCCAGGAAATGGTAATTTTTCAAAGTTATCTTTAGCATTTTCTGTGTCGCCAAACTTGAGACTCTTTGCTTTATGATTTATTGATAATTGCCAATGGATAATTACCAGTTTAGCTAGCCACTTTTAGCTTTCAGCTTTTTACCCGCCTAAAAATAGGAGTAATTGTTCTAACTTAAATGATTATTACATATTAATCCTTCAATACTTCTAATGTCTTTTTTTTTTTTTTTTTTTGAAAGGGAGTCTCGCTCTCTCGCCCAGGCTGGAGTGCACTGGCGAGATCTCGGCTCACTGCAAGCTCCGCCTTCCAGGTTCATGCCATTCTCCTGCCTCAGTCTCCCGAGTAGCTGGAAATACAGGTGCCCGCCCACCATGCCCGGCTAATTTTTTGGTATTTTTAGTAGAGACAGGGTTTCACTGTGTTAGCCAGGATGGTCTCGATCTCCTGACCTCGTGATCCGCCTGCTTCGGCCTCCCACAGTGCTGGGATTACAAGTGTGAGCCACCTTGCCCGGCCTACTTAGTTCTAATGTTTTAAACAGAATCTATGCAATGTGTCTAACACAATATCTTACTTTCCCTTCATCAACCTGTTTTGCCAGAGCAGAAGTTATGACCAAAAAAAAATTGCCATGCAGGCTACAAGCGATTTCAAAATGATAACGTGAATGATGATTTCTTAATGCATTGCCTGTTTAAGCATCAAACAAGTTTTCAAAGCGAATTATTGGGTAGAAAAATATTATCTACACATCTTTTTACATTTTAAGCGTTTTGTTTTTATATAATTTTAAATTTAAAACAAGCTTCGTAAGTAGTGCAAGGAAATCCTGTATATGGTTTACCCAGGTTCATCAATTGTTTACATTTTGCCCTATTTACTTTAGAATTTATTCTATATTCATATTGTTTCTGAAAAATTTAAAAATAAACTGAAGGTATTGTACTTTTTTACCACTAAACGTTTAAATTTGTATTTCCTAAACACAAAAATATTGTTTTACATAAACATATTAGTATTATCTACATTAGGAAATTTGACATTGATAAAATAAGAGCATTTGATCCATAGTCTATATTCAATTTTCATCAATTGTGGCAACCATAGGCCCATTTTTTAAATGATTTCTAGCTAGAATTTTATTTCAGCAAATATGAAATCGGATTGTGAAACACAAAATCCTCAAGTTATAACCTACTCACAAGTGATGGTAGCTGCTCAGGATATAAGCAAGATCAGGCTGTGTCTACAGATGTCCATATAAAAACTTGTATGCATCAGTTGCTTCCTCCAAAACCTTGGATAACTCTAGTCCTTCTATCAGCCCAAGCACAGTTGAGTGCCCACACTAACTTTCTCATTATTCTCAAGGGCCACTAGCATAGTGAAACTCAATAAATATTTATTAGTTGAATAAAATAACCAAAGAAAAAGTCATAATTTCCACCACCAGTAATGATCCCTTCCTCTTCTCTATACATTCACAGCCCATTGCTCTGTTGATTTTCTAATTATTCTAAAATAACTCATTTAGAAATAGCTATTGAGTGTCTATTATATGTCAGGCTATTGATTAGGGGCTAAGACAATAACAGTAAACAAGACAGATAAATGCTCCTGTTCTTGTGGTCTTCATTCCAGTGAAGGATAAGTTGTGTCTAAGTATGTCTCTTTTTTCTTGGCCTCATTTAAATATTGGCATTTGAATATTTAAAGTTTTGCATCTCATGCTACTTTATGCATCACTAAATGTTTTAGTTTTTCTCCAGGGTGTTCATACAGCTTAGTGGTTACAAGTTCAAGGTTTGAGGTCAGATTGCCAGAGTCTGAGTCCTTGCACTGCTACTTATTATTTATGTAATAGTGAGTGAGTCTTTTTATTGTTGCAAGCTTCCCTGGACTAGCAATAAGAACACTTACATTATAGGTTTAAAGGAGACAGTGGTTGTAAAACACTGAAGAGAGTGTCCGACAAAAAGTGAATGTTCATTAACCATTGGTTGTTAGAGTTAATTATTAATTTTAAAGCCAGGAATTTCCATTTGGACATTCTTTTTCATATCTTATAACAATTAGAATGGTGCTGAGGTCATAGGGAGGTAACAGTCAATTTCTGATCAGAAAATAACTGACTTATTTGAAAACAGTATAAAACTGTGAAAACCTTATCTACAAATAATATTGCCAAATATTTATATGCAACAACATTTTCACACTTTTCACTGGTATATAAGGGGAAAAAAGTTAATATTAGAATAATGTAAACATTTATTCTAATATTCTTTTTTTGCACTTTGTTGAGGTAGCATGCTTCTTTTTTGGAAATAATTATTAGATTAGATTAGATTAAATGAGTATGTTATTCATACCATCATGAATCAAAACACACAAATTATGAATTTTCTATCAATGCTATAAAGAAGTACTTACGTGTAAGATACAAGAAACTAGAAACTACTAATAGATGATAGTTGGTAAGAAGTCCCTTAAATTTAGAAAGAGCTTAGACTTTGATGAATGGAAGCTCAAGTTCAAATCTTGAGAAACCAAATTAACAATGTCAACATCCATAAAATAGAAACAATAATAACATACACCTCATAAGTTATACGGCTCAGTGAGATACTATATCTGAAATCCATTTAGTGGTAATGAAATATACTGACTTGATTATTGTTAATATTTAATTTGACATTATTTTCAAAGGTTTAGAATTCAGACTATTGACACTATTTCATGTCTAAAGGCAATGGAATAAAGATGACAATTAAGTCATTGGGTATGCTGTAAACATAGATATCGTTAAAAAGGATCCTTGTTTCTTTGAACATTAGTTTTAGGTGACATTTCTCCTTCCCTGTAGTTAATAGGAAGGCCAGAATATGCATAAGTGAGAGAGAAGTACATGCAGCTGACTTTCAGTGGGGGAGACCCTGCCCTCCCAGACTTATTTTTAAGACATTGGATTATATGATTGTACGTGCTGACAAGCTGCAAGTGCAAACTCTGTGGGGCAGACCAATAGGCTGACAGCTCAAACAGGAGTCGATGTTGCAGTTCTGAGGCAGAATTCCTTCTTCTATGAGACACCTTTGTTTTTGCTCTTAAGGCCTTCAACTTATTGAAGGAGGCTCACACAAACTGTTGAGAATAATCTCCTTTACTTAAAGTCAACTGATTGTAGATTCTCATCACATCAACAAAATGCCTTCATAGCAACAGGGAGACTAGTATTAGATAACATAAGTGAGAGCAACAGCCAAGGTCACACCTACTAAATGTGACAGTGTATGTGTGTTAGCACCAGCAGCACGGGGCACTGGCTTTTGTTTGTAGTGCACTACAACCCTAGAGAACCACAGCTTTTGTTTCCAGTCTTTAGAAAAATTATAAACCTAGCCTATGTTTGTATTTTTATATTTTATTTTAAAGACAGGTTCTCACTTTGCAGCCCAGGCAGGAGTGCAGAGGTGTGATCATAGTTCACTGTAGCCTTAAACTCCTGGACTCAAGCGACCCTCCTGTTTCCCAAAGTGCTGGGATTACAGGCATGAGCCACTGCGCCTGGCCCTCTGTTTTTTTTGAGACGGAGTCTTGCTCTGTCGCCCAGGCTGGAGCTCAGTGGCGCAATCTTGGCTCACTGCAAGCTCCACCTTCCGGGTTCACACCATTCTCCCGCCTCAGCGTCCCCAGTAGCTGGGACTACAGGCGCCCGCCACCACGTCCCGCTAATTTTTTTTGTGTATTTTTAGTAGAGACGGGGTTTCACTGCGTTAGCCAGGATTGTCTGGATCTCCTGACCTCGTGATCCACCCGCCTCGGCCTTCCAAAGTGCTGGGATTACAGGCGTGAGCCACAGCGCCCGGCCTCAGTTTTTATTTTCTGCCTTTCTACATCTGCCTTCAGTGCCTTCACTTCCCTCTTGCCTCCTAGTTTTGATGCTGCTCTCCTAGTAATCCCTGGATGTGCAGAGTCCCCTACAATAGCCTGACCCCAAACATACAACCCTTTAGATCTAAACTTTCTTCCACCCTCATATTCATGGAAGTGTAAGAGGAAAAGGTAGCATTTATTTTCCTTCAACCATAGCTAGGTTCATGACTGAATCTCCTATAACAAAACATAGAATAACAATAGAAAAGTATATACATTTATTCAATATAAATTTTACATGTTACCTGAGTTTTCAGAAATAAAGACCCGAAGACCAAGGAAAACTGTATTTTTTATGGAGAGTCATGCAGAAGTATGATTGGAGGAAGAAGGATTTGATCTAATTATAATAAACTGGGTGTGAGGATGCAGGGGAGGATTAGCAAGATGCATTTGCTAATCTTGTATTTGCTAATTCTTCTTGGCCTCTCTGTAATATTTCTTTTGTCCAAATGTAAGTCAGGATACCTGTAACATGAGGATCTTCAGGGGAGAAAGAAGGGAGAATGTCAGAGGGATCTTCCTAGGTGCTATGGCCTACTTCAGGAAAGAAAAAGAAGAGGGGAATTTCAATTTCAATGGCCTGTTCTAGGAGAGAGGGAGGTGGAAGACGGTCCTCAATTAATTTCAGCTTAAGATACTCAGAACGCCAAAGGGCCATGTTTTGGGGTATCATTTCGTACAGGAATGCTAGCATTTCCTGCCGCATTTCTATGGCCTGTTTCAGGAGAGAGGGAGGTGGAAGAAGGTCCTCAATTAATTTCAGCTTAAAATACTCAGAACACCAAAGGGCCATGTTTGGGGGTAGCATTTCTACACCCCATTAAAAGTTACTTAATTACCATATGATTTATTACTTTATGAATTTGATTAATTAATTGGTTGATAGGTTCTTTTTCTATTAAAATTACATATTATAATTGGAACAGCATTGATTTGAGAGCCAAATGTCCTCATTTTAGGACATACAAACGTATGACTTTTACTGATTGGTGTAATCTCATTGAAGCAGACTCAGTTTTCTCATTTGGTGGAAAAAGAGCATTCTATGAAGATAAAATCCTTTTTGTTCTCAATAACAGTTTAGAGCCAATCATGCTTTTTTCCTAATTTTTAAAGATATCATTTTTAGTGTGTTCCCTAAAACTAAACATTTTTAAAAATTTTAGATACTTTTAGATTTGCTTAATATGCTTAATTTGAATAAATATTTATCTTCCTTTCTTACTACTTGATGTTAGAGTAAATCAGGTTATAAATTCCTGTGGAATGGTGTTTAAAACAAAGATTCAAAGAGAACTATTAATTACATCTGACTTATTGAAGAATGAATGAAATTCTGCATGATATTATGTCCACGACAAAAGAAGAATAAGAAAAAAGAAAAAAATGAAAAAGTTAAAATCAATATACCACCTAATCTGCACTAGTTAGATAATTTGTATCTAATTTTGACTGAAAAAGTTAGCATGCCACTTAAATTTCTATTACAGTGATGACCTAAAACACTTCAATTCCCTCACATTTCTAGGTTATTCTGGGGATGGGTGATGAATATCTTCCATTCAACTTTCTAATTCTTGTGTTGGGCACTTTGGCATATTGTATTTCAAGAACAACTATAGGTAATTAATTTCCCATGTCAAGATAGTATTATTTTTCCCATAGCTGAATATATGCACTTCTATATTGATTTCTACTGGTTTCTTATGTATGAGTTTTATCACCAGAAGTAAATGATGAATTCATCAAGGACTCTGATTATACACTGTCTCTCTTTAAGCTTCCCCAGCAACAGCATCCCACAGAGAGCTGGACTCAGAGAGATTTTGGAAATTTCTTGTTTATTTGAGCATATCAGTAGTTTTCTATCACCATACATATAGAAAATCAAACAACAGTCAAAAAACTTGAAAAGAGAAAATACTTTTTTATTCATTTTAGCAATTGCACATGATATGGGTGGTACAGCAACCCAGCTGAGCCCACTATTCAAAGTATCTTGGCCAAGCAAAAGAGGCATGTAAACTTCTAAAGACTTATAAAATAATAAAACCAATTACCAATGCTCTGTTTCCTATACATAGGCACATGATACCTCCATAAGGATAAGCCTAATTTGATTACCTAATGAACAAATAACATATTTGATAAACTAATTAATGTAATTAATTATTAATGTGTGTATTCACATATACATAGAGCCTTATGTACTTCATATCACAGTAGAAATTATATGTTGTGTGGATCCAGAAAAAACATTTAATGAAGATGGCAGGTAAACATAGAAAAATGCTCATTTGCTCTAATTTCTTGTATTGTCTTTCACATATTTACAAATATGCTAAATCATTGTTATCATGGGCACTGAGATCGACCATTGCTTTTATTCTCTAACTGGTTTTGTTTATAAGTTTGCATTTAACACCGAGTCAGAGCTTTCCATATTTCTAGCAGAATTCTCTGCTAACCATACTTTTCAAAGAAAAATTACTGGTCTTGATGACAGTATCAAAAAGGAACTAAACTGAGTTAAATACATTAAGAATTACATATATTATCAATGATTTACCCTTCCAGTTATAGCAAGCTTGCAGATCTCTCTTTACTAAGCTAATATTATGAATGGCCCAGATGCAGGGGGAAAATGGCCCAGCTGGCCCTGTGGAATCCCTTATGATACACAAAATAAGAATTCTTCAGGTAAACCTTGTATTATCTAAACTTTATTCTCCCCATGTCTGACTCAGGCTTACTTGTGCTTAGTGCTGGGTAGGTGCTTCATCATCTGTCTCTGAAATATCTTCTTATCTCTGAAATGACAAGCATCAGACACCATGGGGCAACGTGTAGGAGAAGCAAGGGGATTGTGGCCCATCAGCTTCAATGATCCCGTCTTTGCTTCAGTAGAGATCCAGCATCCTGGGAATGGCTGCCTTGGTCTTCTGATCTGTCAAGAGGATTTGATGGGCAATTGTAGAGACTAATAATCCCTTTGCTTTGTGACAACAAAGTTCTGAGGTGAGCTTTAACGGGCTCAAAGAAGAGTGATTCTTTCCTTTGAGTGTTGGGGCTCCCACCTATAGCAAGAAACCGATACAGGTTTGTAACTTGGAAAAGGTGTGGCAAGTATAGGGCAGCCCAGGTTGCTGGGTCTTAGTGGTCCACATTCTTGCAGTCAGCAAGACTCTCAGCCAAGCACAGGGTATCCTTTTTGTACAGAGTTTCTTTTTTCCTCATATTTTTATTTTTTATAGATAATTTTGATTTGCATTGAACTGATGGAGAGTTGCTGTTTATCACGTCAGACAGTCTTTTCCCTACAAATCAGTCTTCTGGGAGTTGGACTGATTTTACATGAAAGTCCATATGTCCCACATTCAAAGAGAGGATGAAGAATTTAAGAATGCAATCAGGAGTCATCACTACTTGGAAAACGTCCTTGTCCTTGCTTGTTAGTTTATCTTTTGCTGAGGGCTTTCTCAGTCTGGAGCTTGTCCAAGCAAACATGCTTTCAACAGCACTCTTAGTGGCCAGCTGCGATACTGTCAACAGCATGATTTCAACCTGCAAGTAGACTGTAAGCCCCAGACTGTGAGCTGATTGAAATCTCTCTTCTGAGGTACTGAATGAGAAATTGTCTTTTATTAAACGAGATAACTCTCATTGCGTCATGGTGCAGTCAGACATCATTGGCATAGTAACAGGAGTTGAAGATCCTGCTACACTCCAGCTCACACTCACCCTGCGATTTGTGCAATTCCATTACATTAAGGCAGCTCAAAGTGTTTCATATAAAACCTGTTTTTAAACCATACCAATCTGAGTGCAAATTTAGGAAAGAAAAGAGTAAGGTGAAATTATTCAGTAAATTTACTTTGAAAAGTGCATTTATACTAATGTGCAAACTTTAATATGAAAAGGATGGCATTAAAAGGCTTGACAATGTACCACATCTACAGAAAAATTTAAATATGGTTGCATTCACTAGGGGGCTTCATTTTTTTTTTACAGTGTCTTTTTATTGATGACAATTATGTTTTACTCATGTTCAGAGCATGACCTTTTTCATGTTGAACAGCATCTTGAAAATGCCAAAAGATATTTATTTGTAAAGAGATAAGGAACATTTTTTAAGTGCTGAAGAGCAAATCATTTTTACATATACAATGCTTGATAACACATGAACCTGTCACTTTATACTAGATATGTCTTAGTGACCCATGTAACATACTAATTCACTTGGAGGAATTAAAAGATGCAACTTCTGTCCTTCAATACACTGTAGACACATTTTCTTGAAAAATGGGCAGAGAGAAGAGCAGTACAGATGAAAATGCTGAGCTACGTGTCATTCAGGTGATATGTGCGATTCTTATAAGTATGAGCTGTAGTAATAAGGGAAACTATAGATTAAATAGAAGGCAGTTATCATTTTTAAACAAAAAAGGGAGGAGGGCTCAAAGCAGGGCATGGCAGCAGGGGTGAGCACTGTGGCAGTGGCCAGCTCATTCACTGAGGAGGCAGAGAGGAGTAGTAATGTGGTGGGAGCAAACCTACCACATGGGCTTGAAAGTTGAAATAAAAAAAGCATAAAATCTATGTGTCAGCCAATCAGGAGACACCACAGGAGGTCAAAGGCTCTGCACTGGTTTTCCATGAGTTGGTGAATTGTGCAGTCTGGTTACAAATTTGTTTTAAGAATCAATTGATATTTTGTACTTTCTAGGATGCTAGATGTCTTCTTTACTCATCCTTAATCATTCACTCATCATTTGCTGCATTCAGCTGCCCTAGACCCTGGTGCTCCACCAACCTAACTGGTTTCCAAGGGACTACAGATCTCCTGGAGCATTTGAAGTTGAGAGCTTTGATGGTGCCTCTGATGGTGTCTTCAGTACTCTCTACTCCAAAGAAAAGAACTACCTTTGTTTTTCATTCATTTGCATGTTAGTAAAACAAAGCTAAATCTTTGGAGCAGAAGCCTGTCATTTTAATCTGCTTGTATTTTAGGAAGCTTTGCTATGTCATACATACCACTCACTCTTAGAGACAGCTGATTGAGGGAGGAAATCTCTCCACAGCCACTACTGCTTTTGCTCACAAGGAGGCAGTGTGTTATCAAAAGCTAACAATCTATTAACACAGAAGACCCCACTGGCTTTATGCTCTTAATATGCCTAAGGGCTGAAGTATTTCAGCGTCTTAATTTACCCGACAATGAACCATGTTATTAAGGGTGAATCACTTAGCTTCTATTAAATATAATAACAAAAGGCTAAACATTTGCTTATTAATAAACCTAGCTGTTCAGCAAATATACACCAAAATGTCCCCTATTATCCATGCTTTGCACTCGGGATACTGAGATAACAGTGATAGATATACTTATCCCTCTTTGGAGCTTCCAACTTAGTAAATTGGGGATCTGGAGGTTGAGAAAAATTTCATTGAGCTGGGAAGATAGAGGAACAGAAGAATGCAGGCTAAAACGTGAAGGATCAGGCTGCCTTAAAAAGATATAGACTATATTTTTCTCTTTGTGAAAGGAAAAGTAGCACAATCTGAATTTTGTTGTCTATGATTTATTTCCTTTTCTCTAATACAAGCCCTTGCTATGCCTTACAGAATCTGCTAAAATTCTAGCTGTATTTGTCCATTATAATTCCCCAGACTATCGACATACTACTCTTAGAAACTCCATTTGTTGATCTGGCACCATAGAAATCTCACTGGGCTATTGTTTAGGAACAGTGAGTTGCAAAGATCAGGAAGAAAGCAGAGGGGAATAAAGAAAAAGGAAGGAAGAAAGGAAGGAAGGAAGGAAGGAGGGGGAAGGGAGGGAGGGAGGGAGGAAGTGAGGAAAGGAGGAGGGAAGAAAAAATAAAGAGAAGGAAGGAAGGAAAGAAAGAAAAAGAGAGGGAAAGAAAGACAAAGAAAGGCAAGAAAACAAAAGAAAAGAAAAAGGAGGGGAAGGGATGGAGGAAGGAAGGAAAGAAGGAAGGAGGGAAGAAATGAGAAAAGGAAAGAAAAGAGAAAAGAAAAGAAGGGGACTGAAGAAAAACTGGTTAAAATCCTGGCATTCATGTTTATTTCCTTGCTGTTACAAACTCATATGTTCTTTCTCTTAGATTTTATTGTACTTTGTATCACTGCTGCAAAACACGACACTGTGTTTTATTTGGTCATACAGTTATGACTACTGCTGTTAAAAGTAGAAATTTATTTGAATTAAATTAAACAATACACTAAGAATAATTAGAGCGATTTATTGTAATTTGCAAGATTGGAAAACAGAACAAAAAGGCAAAAATTATAGCCAGGTTCAGGAGAATAACAGCAAAAAAATGCAAAGCTATCATGGCTCTTTTTCTGATGTTTGTCTGTCTGTGCCTGTCTCTGCAATATTCAGCTCTGTCTGCCCTGCAGCTCTCTGTGGCAGGTTAGGTTTCTGGGACATGGATGCTAAAATAGAGTTGGGATACAAGATATTTATCAGGAATCACCTACAAAGGAAATGGGGAGAAAACAGGATTGGGAAGAGGAAAAATGTTGAATTGTGACCCATGCTCAACAGGGCCTTATCCACCTTAGCTGGGAGATGTGGAGCAAGATTATCCATAAGGGTTGTCCCCCAGCAGGCACCTTCATACTCCTTCCTCACTGAGGCACAGGATTCGAACTTTCCCCAGAAGTGGAAAGAACATAACTTCAAGAAAAGGTGGCTCTTGCTTAGAGCTAAGACTGATCCAGAAGGGTTAACAGGAGCCTCTCAGCTGACCACACTCTCCGCAGCTGGCAGTAAGTCTTTCCTCAAAAAAAGATCTGGGTGTAGCATCTCCATGTTGGCCACACTCTGATTTTCTTGTCCTCGTGAATGTATGCTCACTCCGCAGCTGCTGATTTTATTCACAGGCTGTCTAGTTACTCAACTGTAAATATTGGTAGAGAGAAATGGTCCTTTACACTGTGTATTCCCCACAATAGAGCACTTAGAAACTACACACCCAGAGCACTGTCATTACACAAAGTGTTGTTACACTCAGGAAGCCCTCAAGAAATTCTTGATTGGTTTCTGAGTAGGACAAACTTAGTTACCACTAGAATACTGTTTTTTTTTTTTTTTTTTTTTTTTTTAGTTTCACTGGACAGACAAAAAGGATTCCAGTGAGAAAACATAATCGAACAGGATACTAACAAATTTAGTGGAAATTATTTTTCTAGAGAATTTCAAGGGGAAAAAATAATAATTTTTTTATTAAAAACTAAAAACATCTATAAGATTTTGTATTGGCAACTTCAGTTTTTGCCTTAGTTCTATGGGTTAGATGTATGACATTGTTCAAAGTGATACAGGGCAAGTGAGTCCCTAAACTGGGGCTTAGCCCAGGAGGGTTCTTGGCTTCACCCAGGAAAGGATTCAGGATGCACCAGTGGTGTTAGACAGCAACTTCTGTTGAAGTGGCAGTGCACAGCAGCAGCAGAGGCACTGTTCCTTGTGGAGCAGAACTACCCCATAGGCGCTGTGCCCAGAGTAGCAACTTGGGGGCAGTTGTGCAGTCATATTTATACCTACTTTTAATTACGTGGCAGATTATGCAGAAATTTCTAGAAAAAGGGTGGTACTCCTTAGCCATTGCCATGGAGAGGGGTGGTAATTTCCAGGTGCTGTCATTGCAGTGGTAAACCAACATGGCACTGGTGGACATGTCTTATAGAGGGGTTCTTTTTTTCTCTTCCACGTTTCAGCTAGTCTTCATTCTGCCCCAGAGTCCAAGCCTCACCTCCAGAAATGAGTCTGACCTCATACCCCAAAGGCGTTTAGAATCTTTGGGCTTGTTTTTGTTTTTTAATTTGTTAAACATTGGTAGCAATGAGATGTCACTTTATTGTAATATTTCGTGAAATCTATAAGAGCATAGATGGTGACATGTTGGGTGTTTCACTAATCTATTGCTGAAAATTAGATGTCTGGCCCAAACATTATTTGTGTATGTTTCTTCTAGTTTAGAACTTTTCTGATCCTAAAGAAGGAGGCTCATGTGATAAATGAATAAATAAGAAAAAAGTCAAACAACATTGAGAAGATAAGTTGAAATAAATCACTTATGATTGGCATAGATAACTACAGGAAACACATTTTTTGAAGGCTTAGGTCTTAGAATGGAAAAACTTGAGTTTCAATTTATCTTCTTCCACTGATATCCGTAGCTCAGTGGCTGTGGATAGGTCACTTAAACCCTCTGAATCATTTCCCTCACCTTTTATAAGTGGTATGAATAATATCTAACATACGTACCATATCTCAAGGGAATATTGTAAGATTATCATGAGATTACACTGTGTGTGTGTGTGTGTGTGTGTGTGTGTATGTATGAACACTTTGTAAATTCTAAAGATTAATGCAAATATTAGTAATTTGTTTATAATTCCTTCAGTTCTAGGTGGATAATGGATTTGCTATTTTAAATAATTTAAACCATTAATAGCTAAGTGTGAATGTGTAAGACCACGTTTAACAATGACATGGAAACCTGGGATAATTTGAGGCCTTGAACTATTGAGAAAGAGGTAGGGATACTGGAAGCTTGTAAAGGTATGGAAAGTAGACCTAGGGTGGAAAGGGTTACCATCTGATCTCCAATCTTTCTGAGATCTGTCCATGATTTAACATATTCTCTCTATCCCAAGTGTGTCATTTCTTACTTTATTCTGATAGAGATTTTTTAATTTCTTAAGATAAAATGCAATCCATAAGAGAAATGAAGTAACATTTATCCCTGAAAAAAATAAAGCAAGCCATAAAATGAACGCCTTCTTCAAACCATAAAGCTCATTGAAGCCAACACTTTCAATTAGAGTTCATTCCAAGCATCCACGATATTTTCATCTTCTTCTCAGTCATCAGGATTTTTCATGAAGCAGGTATAAACTCAGTAATGAATCAATAGCTCTGTGACTAATGGAAGAGTTGTAAAATGATTTTAATTACTGTAGTTTATAAATAGGAAATCATACAATAATGGTAAATGATAATGTTTATAATATTCTCATCCTCACCCTACGCTGTCCAACTTTGTTTCATGATAGCAGAGCTTTATTAAATATATAATTGGCATAAATAAATGCAGATGAGATTGCTTTTTCAATCCTTTATAAAACAAAGATTAATTTTGTGAAGTAAATGAATGTTTATGGTTTATTATTTTGGATAGTCATCTTTTAGGATTTTTAGAAATGCAGTATATCTCTGTTTCTATTGATATACAATCACTTAAAGTTAATGAGAATGTTTGAACTTATCTGGTTCAACCTCTTTCACTTTCTTGAGAATAAATCTGAAACAATGGAAAGTAAGATGACTTGCCCAAAGCTTACAGCTCTTTATTAGCAAAGCCTGAGCTGGGTTCAAGTTTCTGATACCAAGACCAGTGCAAAGACATAACCACCTTTGCCTTCCATGCCCTGATATGAGCAATCATATCCAAATGGTTCTGGATTCACTTACATTTATTCTTATTTCCACTAGACAGCATCTTCTGTGGGTATTCAACAGGGCACAATGTTCATATGGGTATGTGTCACTCTAAGAAACATGATAGAGTCATAGGCTGCAAGAATTGTAGTAAAAAGAGGCCACAGAAATCACTTATACTCCTTTATTTCATGTGTGACTCCACAAAGTGGTCATATAATCCCTGATGAATCTTCTCAAAAGACAGACATTTACTGCTTTATTTCCTATGGTAAGACAGTTTTAAATGTTAGTTATTCATCTGTTCAAAACCATAATATTGTGGCTGAAATTTGAAGATATTTGAAGCAGCCATTTTTCTCCCTACCTGCTCTCCCTTCCAGGTAAACCTGAAACATAAAGCCTTGTGCTGACACATCATTGTATCTACTAATAGTCTTTAATCTCAAAATTGATTAGGTATATCATTCGTTCTACAACATTTGGGACCTTAAAAATTTACGATGTCAGAGAACAAAAAATTAAATATATAAAATGGTACAACCAAAATGAATTCACATTCTAGTGAAGGGAAAAGTTAGTTTCCTAAATACTTGCAATATTCTTACTTAACCATGGTATAAGTTATGCACAAGTAGTTTAGAAAATGTGCCTAGAAAATCAGGAGAGGTAGGAGTTTTCAAGAAGCATGGACATTGTTACACTTGCAGAATTAACTCAAGGACCAGAAGCAGAAGTGATATTAAAGATCACTTCCATTTGCTAATCTTAAAGTTGGAGAAATGAAGGCTTAGAGAAGTGACATTCTCAAATTTCTATAATTTCTTTGTGGTAGAACTGAAGGGAAGCTTTGATGAGAAACTGGGGTTTTAATATACTCATAAGCGAGTGAGTTCAAAGAGCAGCAAGGGGTGGGAGAATGCTTCAGATCAAGGGGACTACCAGCGTGAGGCCTGGAGACACGACTTCCCAAGATGTCACTATCACACTGAGAAGGTAAGCCTGGTGAGGTCATGTAGCACTACAGAAGGATAAGACTGAGATAAATGTCTACTAGTAAAAATAAAATAGAAAAATCTCAGTGCTTCCTGTTTTATCCATTTTCAACCTTCACCATCAGAAAAATCTTCTCTCTGCATATCCTCATTTATTTGCCAGCATCAATTAGATGGAATTATAGAAATGGATGTAATTGCTTTTTATTTATTGTTATTCCTCAATCAAATGGCTCTTTAGATTCACATGACAGTGTTCCTAATACATACCACGCAAACAATAGGTGAGTAGACTTCTTGTTATTACTTTCTTAATTTTTATTATCTTGAAGAAGGAAAAGCTGGACAAGATATCACAGAAAGTTCATCATCTCTTCCTTCAGCCCTTTTATTTGTTTTCCTTTGGTTTTTATCCACTTACTTTTTTACTTATTGACATAGCAGAACTATTATTCACATCTCATAGCCATCTTTTCTACAGGCCTCTTTTCCTATGCACTTGCTCTGATATTATAGACAGGAGCCTCAGAAGCCAGCATCTAAGAAGGGAGGCCCGTGTGTCCCACCTCCATAGGCTTCCCATGCATATTGCGTGGCTGATATTCAGGAGAAAGTAAATAAATGCTACCCTCTGCTGTTTTTCATTTGTAAATAAGAAAGCAAACTGAGGAGGAATAAAGGTGAAATCCTGTCTGCTTAAAAGCAAAATAGCTATGTGAAGCCTTAAAAGCCTGTAATTTACTCAGGAGCTGAAACTTATGTACTCTCAAAATAACCAAAACAAAGAAATAACCTATTTAAAAGCCATATGGATTACAGTCTTTTAGCTCTAAATCATACCTTCCATTAAGCTGGGAAGAAACCACTTGGATATGTTTTACAGATAAAAAACAAATGTGTGCTTATGAGTCCTTTGGAAGCTTTGAGGTACTTGTGGCCCAGAATCTATCATGAGGAAGAGCAGGTTTCTTCACAGAAAATAGGGGTGTCTGTTTTTGAGCAGACAATTAAATAGTTAAACACAGAGAAAGACATTGGTTCCAGATGGGGGTGTTTTAAATCTGAACCAATTTTTATCATGGCAAGATGAGAGATTTTTTCAAGTAACATTCCGAAATAAGGAATTTGGATACTGAAATACCTTGGACACAAAAATTGTCTTTCAGATTCTTTCTCTCTTCTTCAGAACCATTGCCCCAGCTGCAACACACACACACCTGCAACCACATACAACCAAAAGAAGATAACACAACTATGGATATTGAACAGTAAATTCCTGAGATTCTTCCCTTCCTCCCCACAAATGTCTAATATTAAACACTGATAGTTATGAGTCTTCTAAGGACATTCTAAAATGATCCTCACTAAAACTTGGAAATCAAAGTTTTTAAAATTAATGTATTGGTTAAACCAGGCTCTCACCATATGCCGTATTTCTTACTCTAGAAGAGTTTACAGGCTGTAAGAGGAGACAGACGGGTAAACAACTTGCACTGAAGAAAACAGCAGAGTTGCAAATGCTTTAACAGGGCTTTATTCCGGAAGCTATAGACAGAAGGTGAGAGGGAGCCCTTCAGGGAGACCTCCTCCCTTTCCTCATTAGAGCCTCGACACCCACAGCCCCAACATCACCACTTTCAGAGTCTCAGTCTGCTTTCTGATCTGTTTACACTGAGAGATAACTGTTGAGAAGGACGGGGGTGGAGAAAGGCTAAAAAACAAACTGTAGGAGTATAGTTTCAGGCATAATGCGATGGATAGAGCATGCCTGTGCATGGATGTGATGATGGGAGGAAGCAGGCATCAGGCCCTTGTCTAGGACCCTTCAACAATTCATGCCAATGAGTAAAGCTGGTCCTGGAAGCACATATCCTGTGGCTATTTCTACTTTGGGGCAAGCACTAATTACTGTGTAACCCTCACATGTGGATACAAAACCCAGGTCCTTGTCACATTCCTCTTCACTGATTTAGGAATGTGCAGAAAATTGCCCCCATACACTCAAGAATATATCATATCTGTTGTTACCTGCTATTTACTGTTTTATTTCTCATCTACTGATTCAGCCGCTTCTTGCTGTATAGCTTCATGTCTTATCGGTTTTCTGTTATTTCAGAAGTACTAGTTCTTTCTGTAGGTAATCCTTTGATTGGAAGTTATTCAGTTAGGATCTACGAAAGAGGTAGAACAAATTGACAACCTATTCAGATACAGTAACTTCAATTTACAAATCAAAACATGGGGACTAGCAAAGAAAATTCTTCCAATAAATGATGTATTTATATGAAAATTCTTAAATTTTTATAAAATTAAATTCACATTTACTTATATATTTACATTATAAAATGATCACTAAAATGAGTATTTAAACCAATTGCATGGTTTGCTGTACTTTTTGATACAGATGTTGAAAACTCAGTCTGCAAAATAAATATTTTAAGATAAATTATTTTTATTCTAATTATGATATTTGAATTTTCAGGGAATGTCTATAGTATATGAGGAAAATAGGTAAGGATATCTGAAACCAGCATAAATAAAAAGCTAGCTTACTTTGACTTTCTCTAAGGGAAGGAGGTAAGTAGAGTTACAATAATTTCAGCAGTAAATTGCAACCATCTTAACTGTTTTGCTTTGTTTTGATTTTGAGGTTAACTTTCTTTAAGTTACCAAATAAAACTGTTTTGTGTTACTGCTGGTACCAAACAGATGTCTGCTCAATTAAACAATTACCTCAAAACATTTTGAAAAGCTAATCATAATAGCTTTGTTTCATTTGGGTTTTTACACTGGTTTATTTTGTCTTTAATACTTCATAGGTGGCTTTTGATATGCAATTACTTTGCATATTCTTAATGACTAGGTTGCAGAATTGGGAGAAGTATAGGGAGATGAGGGATTGTATGTTGAGGTTCATGATGCAGAAGTCAAGCAAGACTTGTTAGAACAATCCTTATCATATTGTGAGACCTCTTTGAGTGCTACTGGAGTGCAGCAATCATTGCAACCCTATGGGTCAATTTTTTCCCACATCTTTGCTTATCCCAAGCATGCACACTTTCTTCCCTGTCCCTTATACAATAGAGGAGTGAAAATTAAGCAGCCTGACTTCTTAGGACATGTATCAGTCCATCTCCTTCTTAAATTTGAACTTTCTTGTGTTAAATTAATAGATACACTTCTGTACTTCATAACCTCGTGTACACGAATCTCTAGATGGAGAATGAATACAATTAAAAATATTGATATAGCTTTAGCATTTCTCAACTTATTAGAGTCATATATGAGTATCTTGAATTTAAAAATAAAATCTATTGAACCACAGGGAAAGGATCATATTTTGAACAAATGGTTCTGAGTCAGTTCGTTAGCCATTTATCCAAATAAATGAATCTTGGTCCTCAACTCACACCATATACAAAAATTAATTCAAAATGAAATATAGACCAAAATTTGAGAACGAAAACTCTAAAATTCCTAGAAAAAAAAGGAGAAAACCTTAGTGATGTTAAGTTTGGTAGAGATTTATTAACTTATGAAAATGAAAAACCAAGCCATAGACTTGGAGAAAATATTTATGAAATGTATAACTGACACAGGAATTTTGTACAGAATGTATGAAGAACTTTTACAACTCAATAATATGAAAGCAAACAACCCAATAAAAAAGCAGACAAAATATTTGAGTAGACACTTTCCAAAGAAGACATATAGGTGGCAAAAATACATGTGAAAAGATATTCAACATCATTCATTGTTAGGGAGATGTTAATTAAAACTACAATGGGATATATTACTTCCCATTAGAATGAAAAAATAAAAAATACTGATGATACTAAGTGTTGGCAAGAGTGTGGAGCAACTACAACATTTCCACACTGCTGGTGAGAGGATAAAATAATCCAGCCACCTTGGAAATATTTTACCGCAATATGGCTCATCTATTTCATTCCTAGGTATTTGTCTAAGAGAAATGAAAGCATATGTCCAAACTAAGATTTGAGCAAGAATATTCACAACATCTCTACATATTTGGAATATCCTGAAACCAGAAGCAATCTAATTGTTCATTAACAGGTAAATAGATAAACAAATTATGGTAAAACCACACAATAAAATACTATTCAATAATAACAAGGAATGAAACAATGACACATATAGTGATGAGCTGGATTTGGCTAGAACTAGCTCACAAGATGTGATTGTGTGCATTTCTTTCCTACTGTGAGTTCAGAGACATCATGTTGGTAGCTTAAAATCCATCATGATGGGAATCTTTGCACCATGAAAATCAACAAATGCTACAGATCGCTCACACCCACCCCTACCAACACTGCCACCAGAGAGCTGGTGGTTAAATATTTATAATCATGCCACTGGATGCATGAACAAAAAATGAATCTAAAAGTCATTATGATAGATGAAAAAAGCCAGACCACAGAAAGTATGATTCTATCTGTATAAAATTTTAGAAAATGCAAACTAATCTATAGTTCCAGAAAGCGTACAACTGATTGGCTGGGGACTGGGGAAGAAATGGATTATAAAGAGGTGTGAGGAAACTTTTGGAGTCAATGCATATGTTTATTATTTTAATGGGGATGATGTCTCATAGGTGTATACATGTATCAAAACTTATCAAATTGTATACTTTATGGTTGTACAATTCATTGAATGTTAATTATACAACAATAAAGATTAAAAAATCTATCGGAGCACCAAATTATCAACTTCCTTTTACCTAATTAGATGTTGTTGTCCTCCTCAATATTTTTGGTTAACTATATATTTTCTTTTCTTTTTTTTTTTTTTTTTTTTTTTTTTTTGAGACCGAGTCTCGCTCTGTCACCTAGGCTGGAATGCAGTGGCGTGATCTCGGCTCACTGCAAGCTCCACTTCCTGGGTTCACACCATTCTCCTGCCTCAGCCTCCCAAGTAGCTGGGACTACAGGCTCCCACCACTGCGCCTGGCTAATTTTTTGTATTTTTAGTAGAGATGGGGTTTCACCGTGGTCTTGATCTCCTGACCTCATGATCCGCCCGCCTCGGCCTCCCAAAGCACTGGGATTACAGGCGATTAACTGTATATTTTCTCCTGGGATTTCTGTGTCCATATATAAAACATATAAATACATATACACACACACACACATATGTATGTATGTATATATTCCCTACATGTCCATGTAAAGTCTTCTGTACAATCTTGCTTCATGAAAGCAGTGAAAAGTCATTCTTACTTCTTTGTACCTCCATAGCCCTGCTGGACAGCCTGTACTGTTGTTCATGACCTTAATTTATTCAGCCTTGCATCATTTATTAATTTAGCTTGTTACATAAATATGATAAACATGATGCTACTGGAAGAATAATCAGAAGTCATTGTACAGAATGAATTTGTGTGAAAAGAATTTGGAGACTGGGCATGGTGGCTCACACAAGTAATGCCAACACTTTGGGAGGCTGAAGCAGTAGGATGTCTTGAGCCCAGGAGTTTGAGACTAGCCTGTACAACATAGAGAGATGCTGTCTGTACAAAATAAAAATAAAAATAAAAAATAAAAAAAATAGCCAAGTGTGGTGATATGCACCTGTAGTCCCAGCTATTCAGGAGGCTGAGGTGAGAAGATTGCTTGAGCTTGGGAGATTGAGGCTGTGGTAAGCTGTGATTGCATCACTGCACTCCAGTCTAGGTCACAGACAGAGGTCATGTCTCAAAAAAAAAAAAAAAAAAAAAAAAGAATTTGGATTATTATCTCTATCAAAAGGGTCAGAGGGTAAAAGACAGTTATTCTCCAGATGTGACTCTTAAAGAAAACAACAAATAGTCTTACATGATTTAATTCTCCAGAGCAAGGAAATGTTTCTGTTTGGTAGGATTATAGAAAATTAAATTCTTCTGGGAAATAACTGGTTTTCTAGAGTTTGAACAACAATGCACATTCTCATGGGAACACGTCAACACTGAGTAGTTTCAGGAAAAACTGGATATACAGTCCATCCTTAGTTTTTGCTTCTCTTTTTCTACAAATACACCAGGATGTCCTAAATAATGTAAACCGTGTTATTTTAAAACTGTGGATGTGTCAGTCAACACAGTGTTTCTTCAAACGGGGAAAATGAATGTCTAATTCTCATGAAACACATGAATGATCTGAAGACAGGTTAAAAAAAAGGACATTTAGAAATGATAGATTGAGGATATGAAACGGAGTTTCTGAGAAGTCGAAAAAGACTCCCATCAGCCATACCTAACTCCACATGTTCATGGGGAAAGATGAAGCAAATAAAAAATATTGCCAAAATAAAATGACTGGCTACTTCTTACCACCCCAAACTCTTGATTGTTTAGTAAACCAATTTGTCTCCAAACTCTTGTTTTTTAAACTGTTAGTCAGGCCTAAAAAGTTGAAAATGTTCATTCTGAAATTAGCTATTTTATTTTGCCTCTGCAGATAATTCAACCCATCACTTATTTTAAATAGTTGCAATGACTTTTTACATTAAATCTAATAGATATGTATATATACCCACCATGTATATACACACTAATATACACAGTTATAAGTAGTCATATTCCCAGAGAAAACATAAAAAAATTCACTTCTCTGATACTGAGTATAATTTAATACATGAAACTTTACTAAAAATCAATTTTTAATTTTATTCTAGGAGGTTTGATTCTCTTTCCAAATAGTTTTACCAAGGCCAGGGCAAGCAAGTAGAGAGGTGATGAGAATAAATGAAATTAGTCAATCAAAATATTTATTCACAGACTCCCAGTATTCCTGATGTCACATCTATGCGGAGTCTATTCATATACCAAATCTTATTTTAAAGCTATTGGAAAAAGTATAAAGTAACTTTGCCACATTGTCTTGATATAAATTGTCTTAAAAGTAGCTTCTTTTTCTATGATAGAGTGTATTAAAATATTTTCATTGTATTTATACTTGTGTTTTCTCATAGAAAAGATTTGATTCTTTTTGAACATAGAATATGGACACAGAGTGAATTGAAGTTAAATGTGGGACTGAGTTTGAGCTTAGTCTAGATATACTTGAAGTGATGGACTAATAGAGAGTGGAGAGTAGTGTGGATGAGAAGCGCTTCCACAAAAAGAGGAAAATGGTGAATCAGGTCAGTTTCACCACAGGTAGTGTTTGTCATTCGGAGAACTTTGCTGGGCCCTGGGAATCCGGAGTTAAATAAGACACAGCTTCTCATTGAAAGAAGACGAGGAGAAAGAAGATGTCAATCCATGATGTTTATTAAAGGCTAGCAATGAGGTATGTTGGCCCAAGTTTTCAATTCAAGAAAGATTTTTTTAGAAAAAATTATGTGTGTGTTGACTCTTGAAATATGACCAAAGTTATTCAACCAAAGAAAAGCAAGAACATTGTTCTAAGAAGATAGAATAATATCACAAAAATTGAAAGCATGAAATAAGATTATAGGAGTAGTTGGATGTTATTTATATATAAAGTGCATGGTGGTATATGGTAGAGAAAATAGATGACAATATGTCTTAATATAAGCAGTTTTGTTTTCTCTGATAAGACCCTTCAGGACTTCCAGGGAAGAAATATGGATGGTTTTAGATTTATATATAATACTGTGCATTGTCAAGTCTCCTGTGAAGCAAAGCAGGATAGCCCAATGAAGCACATGTTTTTGTGTTGGATATAGGTTGAAATGCCATTGCCAGATGAGATTGCAGACTAGTTGATCAAAGGGCTTGAGGACAGGTTCTCAGAATCGGGGTATATTTTTACCGTTTTAATCACCTGCTAGTCACTCACTTGGTGAGAGTGGCAGTCCTGGCTATGGGGATGGCCAAATGTGTGACATCTGACACTGGACAGATAAGATAGATAACAGTTTATTGGTCACATATACTCACAGCCCAGGGGAGGAAGAATACTCACAGCCCAGGGGAGGAAGACACTACATAGGCCACACAGGAGTAGCACCTGGGAACAGAGTGAACAACCATGGACTGTAGGGAACAGATATTGTATGGTCAAGAGGGTGGGATGACTGCTGATTCTCACAGGAGGATGTGCTTATCTTGTTTGAATAATTCTGTGGGGTGACAGAGAACTGAAACCCAGTCCTCAGAGATCAGCCAGACTGTGCTGATCACTTGACAAAGAGGGTTATTTGGCTAGGGGACTTTATCCAGGGGGACAGAGACAGAGGGAACTTGGGGTTAGGTCATCCAAGCCTTTCCCAGATTTAGATGACAAGGCTGCACATAATATTGTAGATTTAATTTTAGACCTTACTTCACAGTTATGTTTCCCCAACAGTAAAGATCACAATCATCTCTAACATTTATTGGCCATTTTCTGTATGTCAGGAACCTGTTCTAAGGGTTTCACAAATGCTATTTCTTTTAATTCTCATAAAACTTTTTGAACTAGAAACCATAAATGTCTTCATTTTAAATACAAGAAAACTGAGGCATACTAAGGTTATTTAATTTGCTCAATTCACAGTTAGTAGATCTGAGAACCAGGATTTGAAGAGCAGATTATTTAATGCCAGTGTCTTCAGAATACATATGATGCATCATAATAGAAAACAATCATTACTCAATGATTAATGTTTCAATTATATCTAGCGCAGATATATTATGAACTAAAACGCCAAATATGCTCTAATTCTTAGGACAAATTCAAATTTTTTTTTTTTTCCTACAGGAGTTACTTTGGACTTTGATTCTAAATCCTCCTGTATATACATTCACTCCCCCCTGCCTTTAATGATATTTCACTGGAAATACGTAGAAGTACTTGTAGTAGAAAAATGTCTAGGAATCATTTTTAGCACTGCTACCAAGAGTAAAACCTAGCATAAATACTTTCATTATTGTTGACTATAGCTTCTTCACCTGTCAAATAAGGAGGCTGGATTAATTGACCTCTGAAAATATAGACAGGGCTCAGGCCCCTCACTTATGAAGAAGGCAAACCCTTTCCCTCGCAGAGCTTATGTTCTGGTTATTAAAGGCAACACATAGGTAAAAAGTAATATAATTTCAGATAGTTATAAATGCTACAAAGAAAATTCATAATAAGGCCAAGAGAGGTGGCTAACACCTATAATCCCAGCACTTTGGGAGGCCAAGACTGGCAGATCACTTGAGGTTAGGAGTTTGAGACCAGTCTGGGCAACCTGGTGAAAGCCCATCTTTACTAAAAATACTGGGCAGGGTAGCACAAGACTGTAATCCCAGCTACTCAGGAGTCTGAGGCATGAGAATCGCTTAAACCCCAGGGGGGGCAGAGGTTGCAGTGAACTGAGTTCATGCCACTGCACTCCAGTCTGAGTGACGGAGTGAGACACTGTCTCAAAAAAAAAAAAAAAAAGAGAAAAGAAATAAAAGAAAACTAATAATGATAAAAGGTCAACTACAGGGGAACACAATTTCAAACAGAGGAAAGAAGAAAAAGCACCTGATGCATGCCTGAACTGCAAGAAGACCAGTGGGATTGGATCAGAGTGAACAATAGGAAAAACAGGCTCTGGGGAGGCAAGCAGGGACCAGACCAGGCAGGCAAGAGACAACTTTCAAATTTATGCCTTGATTATTTCTAGAAGGATATGTCCCTTTTTTGGAAATGTTAGATATAGAAAAAATGTAAGAAAAATATGAAATTATCTAAACTGAAGAGTTCATGGTATAAAGAAGCTAATTTTTGTGATGTGCATGCTACATCATCCAAGATGGAGTCAGATTCTACTTGGTGGAAGTGTGACACCAATCACTACACATTGATATAGCACAATGTAGGCATTAAGACAAACAGGCAGACAAAGCATCAACATCAAGAAAGATAATATATGACATAGTTCCATCATGTGGGGAACTCATAAGCTCACTGGTGATATTTACAATTTCAGTTTAAAATTACAGACCAAAGTTAAATTGCATATTGGCTAGGGAATAAATGAGACATGAGAGAGAGAAGACAGTGAAGACTACTCTATCAGGAGGAGACTAATATACTAAAGGAAGAACAAATCTGGTTGGAAGAATGAAATTAATCATAAGATTGATGGGGACTTATAAATGTGGTAGATGTTTAAACATGTTTTATTCAGAGGGTATCAATAGGAAGAGAGAAATGGAAGCTTCCAAAGAGATAGGGTAGTCAATGGAAAAATGCCTATATTTTAGTCTAGGTGAACAAGAACAACAAAAAAGAATGAATAAACGAAAGTCTAAAGGGGATTTTACAAGAATAACAGAGGTGTGGCAAGGGATCTGAAATATTGAGTAGACAGCAGAGGCAGTGGTGTGGGAGTGAGAGCGTGAGTGTAGGGACAATAAAGCCTAAGTGCAAATATTAGAAGTCTAAAGGCTAAGACTTGGGAGAAAAATGAGTTAGCAGCAGGGTGTGCTGTTATTTTCTAGGAGCTGAACAGGATTGCTTTTTTTCTTACCCTACATTACAACTGCTGTATGAATCATTTCCTGTCACTGCTGTGGTACACACTTGCCTCCTGTTGTACTATGCCTGACAGCCTTTGGACTGGCATCCTCTTCAGACTGTAAAAGATCTGGGGCTAAATACAAAATTAGGAATCTAGATTAAAAGAGAGGATGACTTGATTCCATAGCTTTTAAGTCTGAGCAAGAGTGATAACAGCCCCTGCTCTCATGGAATTGATTTATTTTTTCCAAAGCCATCACACCATGAAATTGGGTTCAGAAACAGGAAGGTCAAGAGCAAAGCTCCTCAGAGGTCCATGGGCCTACATCAGTTCAGGAACTGTTTGATATCAGTTGGCAATGACCAATGGAATTGAGAGTGAGCAGTAATATTTGGATCACTTTTTAAGATTAAATTTGTTACTAGCAAATATAGTAATTAAAAATGGATGCTTGATTTCCTTTTGCAGGTCCGTTGTCTTTGCATTTCATTTTTCTATATTGTTTTTTATTGCACTTTTCATAAGTAGCCATCAAAACAGATGGAGAAAATAAATAAACTTGTTCTTCACCATGAGTATGGTGATTTAAGAAGCATTAGCTTCTCACCAGTATCAAGCAGCTTTTTGGTAAGAAGCAGACTCTGCATTTCAGGATTGTAGAGCTTACATCCTGGCTAGCTCTCCCACACTTCATGAATTACAAGCCCTCCATGTAATGTCATGGATTCTCCATTTACACTCCTAGGCTGTTGTGATGGTTAATACTGAGTGTCAACTTGATTGGATTGAAGGATGCAAAGGATTGATCCTGGGTGTGTCTTGAGGGTGTTGCCAAAGAAGATTAACATTTGAGTCAATGGGCTGAGAAAGGCAGACCCACCCTTAATCTGGGTGGGCACCATCTAATCAGCTGCCAATGTGGCTAGAATATGAAGCAGGCAGAAAAATGTGAAAAGACTAGATTGTCCTACCCTCCCAGCCTACATCTTTCTCTTGTGCTGGGTGCTTCCTGCCTTTGAACATCAGACTCCAGTCTCTTCAGTTTTGGGACTCTGACTGGCTTTCCTTTCTCCTCAACTTGCAGATGGCCTATTGTGGGACCTTGTGATCACATGAGTTAATACTTAATAAACTCCCCTTTATATATATATATATATATATATATATATATATATATATATATATACACACACACACACACACACACACATTCACATATATGGATATATATTTAAATGATATATATGTGTATGTATATATATGTGTGTATATATATATGTGTGTATACACACACACACACACTATTAGATCTGTTCCTCTAGAGAACCCTGACTAATACAGATTTTGGTACCAGGAGTGGTTCTATAGAAACAGAATATTAAGGATGGAGTTCTTTCATTGCCTTTTGAATTTCTGGAGTTGGTTGATTAATATGATTAAACTCCAAAATGCTAAGGACTGTACTTCCAATAGTATGGAGAACACTGATAATCCTTGGTGTGAACTGTTTACAGCGTTATGCAGAATAAATGAATTTAACACTCCTGATTCCTTTCTTATGAGAGGCAAGAAGTTTAGTGACTCTATACATAACACCTTTGACCATATGTGGGGAACCAAGGAACATAATGAAGCTGGTTGGTTGTTCCTAAGTCCAGTGGACAAAGTGATGAAAGAAAATGATGAACTCAGGGATTATATTTCCCAGCTTCAGAAGCAGATATTGAGCCTCAAATCTGCTAAGATTGCCCTGAGTGAGTCTTATCTCCTGTAAAGAAAGAGTTGAAATTGTGGAAAAACAGCCACAAGCTCTTATCATGTGAGCGGGTGACCTGCAACGAAAGGTGCATGCACAGTCTTGCCAGGTGTCTACTGTTAAAGTGAGGTTGTTGATTGGAATGGAATGGGACCTTGCAACTTAGAATGGGGATGTGTGAGAGGACCCTGTTGAAGCCGGGGACACCAAGTTTGTAAACTCTGATGAAATGTGTTTACCAGAAGAAACAGCTTCCCATCCCCAGTAGTGGCAACATCCCCTCCCCAATCCATGCTGCCATCAGCCTTTCCACCTTTGTCTGAGGAGATAAACATGGCACTGCCTTAAGCAACAGTGATGGCCTCCTCCCCTGAGGTAGTTGCCAGGCAAGATAATGTTGATTCTCCCCAGGAGCCTCTGCTAACACCCCTGTTTGTTTCTAGACCTATTACTACATTAAAGTCCCAGCAGGCCCCTAGAGGTGAGGTTGAGAGTGTGACTCATGAGGAGGTGTGCTACACTTGAAAATAACTGCTTGAGTTTTCTAATTTATATAAGCAAAAATTGGGAGAACAGGCATGGGAATGGATATTAAGGGCATGGGATAATGGTGGAAGGAACACAGAGTTGGATCAGACTGAATTTATTAATTTGGGCCCTCTAAGTAGGACTCTGCATTTAATGTTGCAGCTCAGGGAGTTTAAAAAGTTCTAATAGTTTATTTGCTTGGTTAGCTGAAATATGGATTAAAAGATGGCTCCCTGACAGCCAGCTGGAAATGCCTGATCTCCCTTGGTTTAATGTAGAGGAAGGGACCCAAAGGCTTAGGGAGATTGGGATGGTGGAGTGGATTAGTCACTTTAGACCTACTTATCCCAGCTGGGAGGGTCCAGAAGACATACATTTGACCAAAGCCTTGTGAAATAGATTTGTGAGGGCAGCACCTGCATCTTTGAAGAGCCCTGTAATTGTTCTTCTCTGTATGTCAGATCTAACAGAGGGAATCACAGTCACTCAACTACAAAATTTAAATACAATGTGAACAATTGGATCCCGAGGTGTCAGGGGCAAAGTGGTGGCACCCAACCATCAAAGGCAAGGTGTGCTTAGCTACAGTAATGGACAGCAGAGGCAAAACATCAATCAGAATAGTCTGACTCATGTAGAGCTCTGGCACTGGCTAATTACTCACAGTGTTTCTAGAAGTGAAATTGATAGGAAGCCTACCAGATTCCTACTTAACCCTACTTAATTTATATAAGCAGTAAACTGGACAAAAGACTAATTTGAATTATAAAGACAGAAAAATCATGGCCCCTCAATCATTTTCGAGACTTGAACCAGTTTGCATACCCAGAACCCCTTGAATGAAGGGGAGGCTGGGTCCCCTTGAGGAAGGACCCCACTGCACTACTGACAATTTATGCTCTTAATCTTTCTCTCACACTTCCCCAAAGGGAACTCCAGCTTTTTAGTAGGATAACTGTGCACTGGGGAGAGGGAAATGATCAGACATTTCAGGACTACTGGATACTGGCTCTGAGCTGACATTGAGTTCAGGGGACCCAAAATGTCATTGTGGTCTTCCACTTAAAATAGGGACTTATGAAGGGTCAGGTAATTAATGGAGTTTTGCTCAGGTACAACTTACAGTGGGTCCAGTATAAGACTGGTAGGGTGAGGGCTACTATGGTGGGAAAGGCCAAACAGAAGCCATTAGAACTGCCTCTACCTAGAAAAATACCAAATAAAAGACACGATCACAACCCTGGAGGGATTGTGGAGATTAGTGCCGCCATCAAGGACTTGAAAGATGCAGTAGTGGTGATTCCCACCACATCCCCATTCAACTCTCCCATTTGGCCTGTGCAGAAGACAGATGGATCTTGGAGAATGACAGTAGATTATCATAAGCTTAACAAAGTGGTGACTCCAATTGCAGTTACTGTACCAGATGTGGTTTATTGCTTGAGCAAATTATCACATTTCCCAGTACCTGGTATGCAGCCATTGACTTGGCAAATGCCTTTTTTGTAATTCCTGTCCATAAGGCCCACCAGAAGCAACTTGCCTTCAGCTGGCAAAGCCAGCAATATACCTTTACTCTCCTACCTCAGGGGTATATCAACTCTCCCGCTTTGTGTCATAATCTTATTCAGAGAGATCTTGGTCACTTTTTGCTTCTTCTGCAAGATATCACACTGCTCAATTACATGGATGACATTATTCTGATTAGATCCAGTGAGCAAGAAGTAGCAAACACACTGGACTTATTGGTGAGACATTTGTGTGCCAGAGGATGGGAAATGAATTTGACTAAAATTCAGGAACCTTCTACCTCAGTAAAATTTCTAGGGGTCCAGTGGTGTGGGGCCTGTTGAAATATTCCTTCTGAGGTGAAGGCTAAGTTACTCCATTTGGCTCCTCCTACAACCGAGAAAGAGGCACAAGACCTAGTGGACCTCCTTGGATTTTGGAGTCAATACATTCCTCATCTGGGTGTGTTACTCTGGCCCATTTATCAAGTGACCTCAAAGGCTGTCAGTTTTCTGTGGGGCCCAGAACAGCATAAGACTCTGCAACAGGTCCATGCTGCTGTGCAAGCTGCTTTGCCACTTGGGCCATATGACCCACCCAGCAGATCCAATGGTGCTTCAGGTGTCAGTGGCAGATAGGGATGCTGTGTGGAGCCTTTGGCAGGCTCCCATAGGTGAATCACAGTGGAGGCCTCTAGGATTTTGGAGCAAGGCCCTGCCGTCTTCTGCAGATAACTACTCTCTTTTTGAGAGATGGCTCTTGGGCTATTACTGGGCGTTGGTGGAAATTGAATGTTTGACTATGGGTCATCTATTCACCATGTGACCTGAGCAGCCTATGATGAACTTGGTGCTTTCTGACCCATCTAGCCATAAAATGGGTCACACACAGCAGCATTCCATCATCAAATGGAAATGGTATATATGTGATTGGGCTCAAGCAGGTCCTGAAGGCACAAGTAAGTCACATGAGGAAGTGGCTCAAATATCTATGGTCTCCACTTTGGTCACCCTGCCTTCTCTCCCCCAGCCTACACCGATGGGCACATGAGGAGTTCCCTATGAACAGTTGACAGAGGAAGAGAAGACTAGGGGCTGGTTCATAGATGATTCTGCATGATATGAAGGCACCACCTGAAACTGGACAGCTGCAGCGCTACAGCCCCTTTCTAAGACATCCCTGAAGGACAGCAGTGAAGGGAAATCTTCCCAGTGGGCAGAACTTTGAGCAGTACACCTGGTTGTACACTTTGCATGGGAAGAGAAATGGCCAGATGTGTGATTATATAGTGATTCGTGGGCTGTAGCCAATTGTTTGGCTGGATGGTCAGGGACATGGAAGAAGCATGATTGGAAAATTGGTGACAAAGAAATTTGGGGAAAAGTTATGTGGATGAACCTCTCTGCATGGTCAAAAACTGAAGACATTTGTATCCGATGTGAGTGCTAGCCAACAGGGTGACCTCAGCAGAGGAGGATTGTAATAATCAAGTGGATAGGATGGACCATTCTGTGGACAACACTCAGTCTCTTTCCACAGCCACCCCTGTCATCGCCCAGTGGGCCCATGAACCAAGTGGCCATGGTGGCAGGGATGGAGGTTACACATGGGCTCAGCAACATGGACTTTCACTCACCAAACTGACCTGGCTATGGCCACTGCTGAGTGTCCAATTTGCCAGATACAGAGATCAACACTGAGCCCTTGATACAGCACAATTCCTAGAGGTGATCAGACAGCTACCTCGTGGCAGGTTGATTATATTGGACCTCTTCCATCATGGAAAAGGCAAAGGTTTGTCCTCACAGGAATAGACACTTACTCTTGATATGGGTTTGCCTATCCTGCACGGAATGCTTCCACCAAGACTACCATCTGTGGACTCACGGAATGCCTTATCATGGTATTCCACACAGCATTGCCTCTGACCAAGGCACTCACTTTACAGCTAAAGAAGTGTGGCAGTGGGCTCATGCTCATAGAATTCACTGATCTTACCATGTTCCCCATTATCCTGAAGCAGCTGCATTGATAGAACAGTGAAATGGCCTTTTGAAGTCCCAATTACAATGTCAACTAGGTGACAATACTTTGCAGGAGTGGGGCAAAGTTCTCCAGAAGGCCATGTATGCTCTGAATCAGCATCCAATGTATGATACGGTTTCTCCCATAGCCAGGATTCATGGGTCCAGGAATCAAGGGGTGGAAGTGGAAGTTGCACCACTCACCATCACCCCTAGTGATCCACGAACAAAATTTTTACTTCTTGTTTCTGTGACATTACATTCTGCTGGCCTAGATGTCTTAGTTCCAGAGGGAGGAATGCTGCCACCAGGAGACATAACAACAATTCCATTAAACTGGAAGTTAAGATTGCCACCTGGACACTTTGGGCTCCTCCTACCTTTAGGTCAACAGGTGAAGGAGTTACAGTGTTGGCTGGGGTGATTGACCTGGACTGTCAAGATTAAGTCAGTCTACTAGTCCACAACGGAGGTAAGGAAGAGAATGCATGGAATACAGGAGATCCATTAGGGTGTCTCTTAGTATTACCATACCCTGTGATTAAGGTCAATGGGAAACTACAACAACCAAATCCAGGCAGGACTACAAATGGCCTAAACTCTTCAGGAATGAAGGTTTATGTCACTTTACCAGGAAAAAACCAAGACTTGCTGAAGTGCTTGCTGAAGGCAAAGAGAATACAGAATGCGTAGTAGAAGAAGGTAGTCATCAATACCAACTATGACCATGTGACCAGCTACAGAAACCAGGACTATAATTGTCATGCATATTTCCTCCTTCTTTTGTTAAAAACATGTTTGTGCATGTATACACTTGTACTAAGAACATATCTTCATCTCATTTCCTTTTTCTTTTATCATGTGACATAAAATTTATTGACTTTGTAATAACACTTAAGTATTGTTAACATTTTGTTATAATATTTCAGTTCAGTATTGGTGCATTGCTGGTTGTATGAAGGATAGTTGTATTATGTTAGGTGTAATTATGAACTTATTATTGTCTTTATTTGAAGATTATGTATGATCTCAGGAGATGTTCTATAGGTTCAAGTTGACAAGGGGTGGGCTTGTGATGGTTAACACTGAGTGTCAATTTGATTGGATTGAAGGATGCACTGTATTGACCCTGGGGTGTGTCTGTGAGGGTGTTGCCAAAGGAGATTAACATTTGAGTCAGTGGGCTGGGAAAGGCAAACCCACCGTTAATCTGGGTGGGCACCATCTAATCAGCTGCCTGTGCAGCTAAAAATAAAGCAGGCAGAAAAATGTGAAAAGACTAGACTGGCCTAACCTCCCAGCCTACACCTTTCCATTGTGCTGGATGCTTCCCGCCACTGAACACTGGACTCCAAGTTCTTCAGTTTTGGGACTCCGACTGGCTCTCCTTGCTCCTCAGCTTGCAGATAGCCTATTGTGGGACATTGTGATAGCATGAGTTAATACTTAATATACTCCTATATATATATATATATATATATATACATACATATATATGTATATATATATGTATATATATGTGTATATATATATGTATATATATATGTGTATATATATATGTATATATATATGTGTATATATATATGTATATATATATGTGTATATATATATAATGAACTTATTATTGTCTTTATTTGAAGATTGTGTATGATCTCAGGAGATATGGAGATATATATATATATATATATGGGAGCTTATTAACTTTATATACACACACACACACACACACACACACACATATATACACACACACACATATATATATATATATCCTATTAGCTCTGTCCCTCTAGAGAACCCTGACTAATCCAGCTGTTGATTGGCATAGAATTCTGTGAATAACAGAAGTCTCTCAATAAGAGGATGCTTATTAACAAAAAGATATCACCTTTTTTTAAACTACAGAAATGGAGCTCAAGAAGATATTCCATATTAGTAGCTAACTTCACTAACAATTCAAAAATAAATTCACTATTATTTACTGTGACTGACAAATTTAGATAGATATCATTGCCTATAAGATTTGATTTTGAATATCTTTAATGCAAATAATATTTTGCTTTGGGTTACATATGAAGTCTATTAAATACCTCCTTTGCAAGACACATGAGTACCAGTAAAGTGAGTCCAAGAAGATATAAACACTGGAAAATACTAACGCATTTGAATTACATTATTCTGAAAATATTATCATGCAAATAACTATTAATATTTATTATTTATTTGAATGGGCTACTTTTACTGTTAGATGGAATGAGTAAGACTACTTTTCATTTGTAGAAATTCTATGCAGCAATTTACCCAGAAAGCCAGGTTTCAATTCTCTACATCATATAAAGGACCCAGGTAACAAATAAGTGATTTAACACTAAGACACATTAAGATATAAATGATTTAACTTTAGGACACAATGTTACAATAAAAATATGAGGAGGTTAATACTTAATGTGAAATGATAAGAATGCATGTGACCAGGTTTAGGACACCTGCCTCAAAATATGGCACCTCGGCATTTGAGAAAACAGCAAAAGCAGGAAGGTCTCTCTGACCTCCTCTCACTTCTTTCCCAAAGGGTGGGATAAAACCTAGCTGACCTTCCCTTGAAGTATGTCATAAGATTCTCAAGCCACATGTGCCCTCCCTATACCAGGAAAAAGGGAACATTTTTATCTCTGAAGACACAGAAACACAGAGAAGTATCTGAACAAACAGGCTTTGATAAGTTCCCATCAGTTTAATACCATTAGATTACACTCTTTTGTCCTTCAATCCTTCTGTTACAAGACTTTCCATAAAAATGCACATATTCCCCTGTTTCTTTAGGTCTTCATTTCCAAACCCTCCTGTGTTATGTAAAATAAGTTTACATGATTTTTTATTATTAATCCGTCTTTTGTTATAGAGGTCTCAACCATGAACCTTGCAAGGGGTGACACAATAGATTATTACTTTTCTCTCCAACACACAGCACATTGCAATAACAAAAACAATGTCTGGTTGTTGTTTTCTTTATTGGCTGTAGAGAAATATCAAATTAGTTCTCTAGGTGGCAGCAGCAGTCTGAAAACTTGTTTAGGAGAGAATGTCTGCAAATGCCCAAGGAAATTCTAAGACAAAATCATTTTTGAAAAACAACTTTCTCTTTTTCATGTCTAAGAGACATTAGAATTTCTTAACTGCACAAACAATCTTTGGATTGTTTTAAACCAATTGGATAATGTAATAGAGAGCTAATAGCCACAACAAAATTGTAGCAACTCAACTGTCTATGTCTTCTTCCTCGTCTAATATTTTATTTTAGGCAAAAAAGGAAGGTACTAGAGAATGCAAATATATTCTCTCCTTGTGGACCATGTATACCTGAAATTGTACCATAAAAATCCTACTCGTATTTTTTAAAGAAGTTGATTGTAGTTGAATAAACATTTTCTTTAGTAATTTAATATTTAATGGACAGGATAGGTATCGTATCTATAAGCTTAGAGCTGGAGGATGCATTAAATTTGTTATCTTGCCCTCTTCTACTTACTTCTATTCTTCCCTCTGCTGAATTTTTCTCCTTACTTCTCACTTCTTCCACCATTTTCTCAACACCTCCTTTCCTTTCTTGTTTGGTATTCTGTACCAAAAATAATTTCCACAATTGTGAATATATAAGGCAGGATGAAAATATTTGTAGTTTTAAAAGCTAATAAGACAAATTTCTTTGCTGGTAATTTTCCTAAAGAAAGGGGTTGGGAGAAAAAATAAAATTTATTTCAAACCTATAAACCTTTTTCTTAAGGAAAAATAATTTTCTTGCTAATAAAAGGTGAAGTCTGGAACTAGTTTATCAGGAAGAAAATATAAAGATTAGAAATATATAATAAATTATACTTTCTTGGCAGGGGAAAAACAATGATCAAGAAATATATAATAAATTAATATAATTTTAGTTTTCCATGGGCAATCTAGGAGACAGAGTTTCAGGAGCCCAGACCTCAAATAAGAAGGAAGTTGGGAGAAACCTCTTGCAAAGAAGGGGACTAGTTTTTATTTTCTTTTTTTAATTTAATTTAATTAATTTATTTTTTGTTATACTTTAAGTTCTAGGGTACATGTGCACAACATACAGGTTTGTTACATATGTATACATGTGCCATGTTGGTGTGCTGCACACATTAACTCCTCATTTACATTAGGTATATCTCCTAATGCTATCCTTCCCCCCTCCCCCCACCCCACAACAGGCCCCAGTGTGTGATGTTCCCCTTCCTGTGTCCAAGTGTTCTCATTGTTCAATTCCCACCTATGAGTGAGAACATGCGGTGTTTGGTTTTCTGTCCTTGCGATAGTTTGCTCAGAATGATGATTTCCAGCTTCATCCATGTCCCTACAAAGGACATGAACTCATCCTTTTTTATGGCTGCATAGTATTCAATAGTGCATATGTGCCACCTTTTCTTAATCCAGTCTATCACTGATGGACATTTGGGTTGGTTCCAAGTCTTTGCTATTGTGAATAGTACTGCAGTAAACATACATGTGCATGTGTCTTTATAGCAGCATGATTTATAATCCTTTGGGTATATAGCCAGTAATGGGACGGCTGGGTCAAATGGTATTTCTAGTTTTTCATTACATGGCGATAGTAGAAACTTAGGAAAAAAATGTCAGTTAAAAAACCACAAACTCTGTGTCAAGACAGTATGAACACTTCAAAAGGAAAATGTTTCTCTTACAGAAGCTTTTACCTGAGATATCAAAAGTTTCTTATGGATTTCATCCCAACCAATTATAATCTGCTGAAGTTTACATTGGGTCATAAATTTTGACCCTAAGACACCAGACTCTTACTGGAACTAACAAGATTTTCCTGAGCAAGGATCAAAGAAATTCTTTTAACCAACTGTATACAGACCAATGAACTCATTCTGTCCTCTCCATTATACTAGTTTCAGTTCCCAATTATCATAATGCCTGTGAACTCCTTTTCAGTTCTTTAAGATGTTTGAGCTTTCCCCTCATGGAAGTACTTAGTGAATTTAATCGTTGATGTGTATTTCCTCCCTTGGCACAATTAAAGTTGACTCGGCTGTGGAATTTTTAGCTGTATTTTTGTTATATATATATATATATATATATATATATATTTATTGGCATTTGTTTTATTTGGCAGCCTGTTAGCTAATATTTAGTATGAAGTCCTGCTTTTTTTTTTTTTCACTGTTCTGTATTTCCCTTTCCTCATCACCAAACTTTAGCTAAAAGGCCGCTGTACAAAAGAGCATCATCTTCATAGTGCTTTGGGAAATGTCTCCCAAACACCTTACTTTTATTCTACTTTCCCTATATACCCCCTCTTCAAGCTTTCATCAGTCTGACAAACTAGCCACCAATTCTATCTCTTGTTCTCATGATAGTAAACATCAGTGACTGCTACTTAGAGCATTAAATTCAAATTCCTTGAACCTCATTAAAGAGTTGCCACCACTGGTCCTAAAATATTTTTTTCCAGTTCTACCTCCCTGTAATCTCCTGAATTTATGTATTGTTGGTTTATTTCAAATATATCTATTTCTTACTCTTTGAATCTACTTAAACTTAATGACCTTCTTGTTTCTTCAAGTTCATCTTTCACTGAGAATAGCATATTTGTTTCTTCAAAATCTACCAACGTTTAAGGACCAAATTGAAGCCCTTCTGTTCCCAGTGAGCCTTGTGGGGCTTGTGTCTAGTCATTTCTCACGTCTTTGAGATTCTAGCTTTTATTATATGTGCCATTTATTACATGTGCCATTTATTTGGTGACCATGCAAGCACCCCCGGTAGCATCTCTTGACTTGTGCTTTTGTATTGTCATTTAACTTTCTGTAGGCTTTTCTCAAATTCATGCTACCTCTTTGTATATTTCCAATTTTATCAGTAACTGTTCAGTTAAGGTTTGTTGATCCCTGAAAGCAGGCATCATTAGAGCTTCAAAGTGTGTCATCATCAGGATGTACTGGGTTATAATTTGGTCACACATACCTGCAAATCTCAGCAGCTTAAAGCCACAAAAGTTTCTATCTCACAGAAGCAAGTTGATTATCACAGGGTGTCTGGGTAAACTGCTCACTCCCAGACCCAGGCTTCTAGAGCAGCTGCTGTCTGGAACAGGGCTTCATTCTTGGCAGAGAGAAAAGTTGGCAAGTTTCACATTGACTCTTAATGCATTCCACCTGGAAGTGATATGCAGTACTTCTGTTCACATTTTACTGGCAAAACAAATCAAATGGTCAAAACTTACAAGAAAATTGTAGAGTTGTGCAATTCTACCATCAACGCCAAAAGATAAATGGAAATATTTGGTAAAGCGAGCAGATAGGATGCAACAGAGGTATATGTTTCACACACTACCTCAACTTGAGAAAAAGGAAACCTCGCCACATAACCCAATTATCTCTTTACCATATCAGTTATAAATGTTGCACATTACAGTGGGTAGTATTGAAACATCTTGTATATTTTCAATCAACTGGCATTTAATTCTACGTTAAGTATGTTTTGCTCCTTCTACTAATCAAATATTTATTAGGCTTGCTAATACTGAAGGATGACTGCATCATAGATCCAGGTTGTTTCTTCATCATATGCTGCAAATAGTTAAGCCTTATAGATAAGCACTAGTCAAAGCTGAATACCAATAAGAAGCACTGAATTTAATTATTTCACTGTCTAGTCCCAGAAAAGCGAGCTAGTTAAAGCAGAAAAGAAAAATAAATGAGAGCTGGTAATAATCTTCCTATACTTGTTTTGAAAGGTTACTTAATATAAGATGTGAATTTGTTTTGAAAATATGCTAACTAAAACATGGGCTTGGGGCAATGTTTATACTGTAATTAATATTCAAAATAATGTAAAAAACATTAACTGCATTAACCCCTCATAAAATTCAAAGGCTTTGAGGCAGATCCTTGCACCTGAGTGCCTGTAGAAAGAAAAACCTTACCATCTGCGTTTAATTGGAAATTGCCTGTTGCTTTTGTTCTATAAAAAGTAATCTTATAAAAGACATCTATATTAGGGAGAAAAGACAACAGAGAACCTCCAATAAAAACAGAACTTGCAGCGTTGCTTTCTCCACATAGATATTGGATCTGTAAATCCAGTCTTGCCTTGTAAAGTTAATGAGGCTCCTCCAAGCTTTTAAAATGACTACAACGTGAAATCCACATAACCAGAGAAATAAATGGAGGTTAATCATACTGTGGGCTTCTATTATACTTCCTATGCTAACAGTCCCATAAAAACTTGGGTTAAGTGAACAGGGATGTTAAAGATTTTATAGCATATATATTGAGAAGAATCTTTTGTTGGGGCTGCTGTGAACTGGGCAAGACAGGTCACAAATTACAAGATCCTTTTGAAGAATAAGGAAAATAAATAACTTGAGAAGTAAAATGAGATAATGGAAAAAATATGAAAGCAACAAACAGGAATTCAATAGCGGTATAAGTAGAGAGGGAGAAGCCAGGAATGGTACAAAGAAAACAGGAAAGAAGAAATAAAAGACAATGTGCAGAATAAGATACCAGATATGCAGTAATCGACCTGCACTGAAGTTGAAAACTAAAGGCTTCTGTACTTACCTTTCCTTTTGTTGTTGTTGTTTGTGTGTGTGTGTTTGACTCCAAACTATTTTTAATGAGGTATAACATATCTACAGTAAAAGACTCAAATCCAAAGTGTACAGTTCAATACATTTTTGAAAAGTTGCACCACCTGTGCAATCACCACTGACATAAAGATTCAGAACATTTCCAGAAACCTAATGAAAGACTCTCTAATGAATTGCCTCCACTAGTCACTCCACCCTCATATATTCTGCATCTATATTCTTCATAGATTGGTTTTGATGGCATTTAAACTTCTATAAATGAGGTTTTGTGAAATGTACCTCTTTTGTATCTACTTTCTTCAACATTGTGTCTTTGATATCTGTGCATGCTGTTTCACATAGCTGTCATTTGTCCTTTTTCATTGCTCTGTCATATTCAGTTCTATGAAGATACTACATTTATCTGTTCTTGTGTTGATGAACTTTAGGGTTAGTCCTAGATTGAGGCTGTTATGAATTCTTCTGCTACCAATCTTCTTGGACATGTATATTGAGCACATATTCACATTTTGGGGGGTATATACCTAGTAGTAAAGGTTTATGAGCATATATATATATATGCTTAATGTTTCCAGGGTATTGATGTCTTTTAATTTTTGTTATTCTGTTGATTGTGTATTGTATCACATTTTGGTCTTCATTTGCATTTCTAAAATTACTACTGAAGTTCACCACCTGTTTGAAAGTTCATTATATTTCACTGTTGTTTTTTGGGAAATACTTATTCAGAACATCCATTTTGGAGAAATTGTCTTTACAGTATTTTTCTTATTGATTTGTGGGTACTTTATATATATATATATGTACATATATACACATGCACATATACATATATACACACATATATATATTTCAAATTGAACAGTTTTGATTGTAATGTTTCTCAATTTCTCTGTACATCTACTAATTTTTTGTCAACTTGTCTGTGAGTTTGTAAGACAGCTATTTTTAAGCCTTTCACTGTAATGTAGACTTTTCTTTTATTCTTTTTTTTCACTGATAATTTTATATTTTGAGTCTATTGGGAACATACAGATTTATGATAGTTTTTTTTCACTAAAGTAGCAATTATGGAATTGCTATTATGAAATGTTTATTTTTAACTCAGTAATACTTCTTGATTTAAATTCTACTCAGTCAATGAATCTAGCTATATGGAACTCTCTTGTTTGCATAGTGTATCTTTTTGATCCTTTTAATTTCAACCTTTTGTGTCATTATACTTCCGTGAAGTGTCAAATGATTGTTTATTTTTCCCTGTTTATGAATATCTTTATTTTTATACAATCTGATCTTTCCGCTTTAATTGGAGTATTTAGTTTATTTATACTAAATTTAATTGCTGTTATATCTGGGATTAAATCTGACATCTTGCTATTCATTTCCTTTTATTATGCCATCTAGTCTTTGTTTCTTTGTTTCTTGTTCCTACCTTCGTTTGGCCATTTATATGTATAAATTTAGCTTATTTGGCTAGTATTATATTATTTAACTTAATAGGTGTTTAATTTTCATCTTTGGTTATTATTTCAAGTTTCTTTTAGAGCTCCTAACATGCATTTTAACTTATTGGAGCCTTAAGTTAGCCCTTAAGCATTTCATAAATAATACAAAGACCCCACAACACTTTAAATTCATTTACTCTTTCTACAAACTGTTGTCATATATTTTGATTCCATATACATTTTAAATCCTACACAATTTTAAAAGCAGTAAATATTCATTGAAGCTTTCCCCTATATTTACCATATCACTGTTCTTCATTAACTCTTATAACCATGCTTCATTTATGATCATTATCAATCTGCCTATAACACTCCTACAGTAGCAATTTCAGTGCTCATCTCCTAGAGAAAAAATTGTCATTATTTTATTTTTATATTTTAGTGAAATATTAGAAGGTTAGAAAATTCTTTTTTTTTTTTTTTACGTTTCCACACTATATATTTCATCCTTATTTCTGACTTACTCCCTTTGTGTTGAAAAGTCAGCTTTCGTTATCTTATTTCTGCTTTGAATGTAGTGCACTATTTTCTGGCAGCTTTCCAGATTTCTTTTTTGTTTTTAGTTCAGTAGATTTTTCTCTGACATGCCTAGGGGTATGGTTTTGTGGTTGTGATTGTTGTTGTTGTGAGTTTGTATACTTCATGCAATTTGATAAAATTCTCAACGCTATGATCTGAACTTTTTTCTCAGTTTTGGAAAATGTACATCCAATATCACTTTAAATGTTGACCCTGCTCATTTTCTGTTTTCTCTCTTTCATCATCCTGTAATGACAGAGTATGTGCTTTATCAAGAAGAGGGTGATCCACTTTCAGTCTTTCCTGTTCCTTGGGTTTAGCTACTCTAGGCTGACAATTAAAAGTCTAAGTCCTTACCTGACCTGCTTTTACTCGATGAAAACCTGAATCCATTTCATATCTTCCTAGAACCATGAGATGCCAGCATTCTTTACTTAGGTCTTTAGTTGCTTAGTAGCTGCTTGCTGTTTGGTTTCACTGTGTTTCCTTCTGCATGTTTTGCTTAGGAGTCAGCAAATGCCTTGAGAGAACAGTATGCACAGATGTTGGGTTCTGCAGCTCTCTTTTCCCCATCTTGGCCCCTTCAGTTTGGTAGGTTTAGTAGCCCTGAACTTCATTTTTGTGTGCAACTGCTCTGTTCATCCTCTAACCTGCAGGAAATGGGCAAATGTCCCGAGGAGAAGCAGCAGAGAATATTGGTTTCACTTCAGTGCATTTTCCTTCTCCCCGGAATCTTAATTTCCCCAGTCCTGACTGCCTTGGTTGTTCTCCAGTGCTTCTGAGCAGCTGTTTTATGTATAATATCCAGCTTTTATAATTGTTCTCAGTGGGATACTTAGTCCAATATCAGCTACTGTGTTATAGACAGAAACAGAAATCTCTCTTGTTTTATAAGAGTAACATTAGTTGACAAGAATATGGCCCTGTTAAATTTCTGAACATATTAAAAAATGTCTCAGCAAAACTGCCAAGAATAAGGATACAGTGTTCCTCTAAATCCCATGAATTATTTGTATGGTAATTTTATCATAAATTATCACTTTTCATTGCAATCAATGTGATGAAAGACACAAATGTAATTTTTTCTACAACCTACATTTTAGCCAATAATTGACTCTAACTCTGTCTTCTTTCTTGCTAATAATGAAAGGAGCAGAATAAAAAATACCTTTGGACTCACTGATGAATGAGCAATCAGAAGCCATTTTTGTTAAAATCATTAAATTCAATGAAAAAATATAAAATAGACCCAAAAAATATGAGATCAAGATTTATGGATCACTGTGTCACCTTCCATGAAAGCAAAAACTTCAGAGATCCTTTTCTTGGCTTCCCGCTTGGGATGCTCCACGGGTAATCTGTCAACAAAAGCATGAAAGAGGCAACACAATGGGGAGTCATTAAAAATCTACTCAGGCCACCAAAAACTGGAATATATATTTTATTTTTGTATATTTCACATTCTTAAAGTAAATTAGTCTCATCTTGCTTAAATTGCAGGCAACAATTCTATTATTTTACTTTTAGACAAAATTATCAAAGGAAGAACAACATTATTAAGTCTGGAGGGAAAGACACAGTTTAAGTCAGGAGTCCGACTAACTACAACCTGCAGGCCCAAAGGAGTAAGCGACTGTTTTTGTAAGTAAAATTATATGAAACTCTAAGATATATAAAAAATCAACTGAAGTGCTTTTTTCCTACTCTCACTCATTCAATACTTCTGAACCTAGATGTGTGGAGATATCTCCCCACAAACCAAGAAATTCTCTATCAGGTTCTCCAGTGGATACCAGCTGGTGTCCTCTGATTCAATTCAACCCTAATGCTATCTACCTTGGTATAGTGTCAGATCTCACAGGCTGAGAGCTCAGTCCCACAAAACTGCCCCTCACTTCACATGCCAACAGGAAGCAGTAGGTTGTCACCTATATTTCTGAATGACTGGCTCTAAATTGCAGTGCCCAAGACCCTCTCCTCAGGTTTCATTAATTTGCAAGAGCAGTTCACACAACTCAGGAAAACATTTTACTTCTGTTTGTAAGTATATTAATAAAAACTATTAGAAAGGGTACAGACGAACAGTCAGATACAAGATACATAGCACAGAATTTCTAGGTACGATAAAAATAGTTGAACCCAAAACACATAAACTCAAAGACAGAAGAAACTGTTTCTTCAGGAATGTTTTTCTGATATATTACGTTTTCTACCTGCTAGCTGTATGACTTGCCATCTTGAAGCCTTAATATTCTTAGCTATTATTGGGAACAATAATATAATTAGCTTCATGTGTGTGTTACGATTATTAATTAACTATTACCTGTGAAGTGCTTAGGTCATTGTTCAATAGAGTGAGTGCTCCATAACTTATTATCTCTAATTTCTCAAAATATTTTCAGAAGGCAAAAAGTGAAACTTTAATAGTTTTCTTTCAGAAAAACTCTTTTCTAGTATACTGTCTCCAAATAGCAAAAACTTTTGTTTCCTAAGCCCTGCTTTAAGATTCTTACTGACCAATGGATAAGCATTAGCATTATCTTAACTCATCAAGTCAAGTAGAAAAGGAATTACGCTGCAAAAGTTGTTATCCTAAAACACAATTAGTTGTGAATATGACCTAGATCATAAAGATTTAGTATTTTAAATATAATAAACTTATTCATTTACAAAAATTGAGAAAAACATTGAGAAATCTCCCCATTACACTCTGCAAATGAAAAAACTGAAACCCGAAAATGATAAGTGACTTTTTCATCAATAATTAGGAAGCTGGGTTCATAGCTAGGCATATGACCTGCATCAAATGGTTTTTATGTCATTGTTCACTTTCCTGTCTCTTATTCCCCCATTGCTAATGCAGTAAAATTCTTGGAACTTATTTTTCTCTTTGTTTCCAATAAGTTTATTTTTTTTCTGTTGTTATTTTGACCAGTTATTCCTCAGATTCATAATGATATTGTTTAGAAGATTGTCATTATATCTTGATTGTTACTTGTTTGTTTTAATCCAGTAATGCTTTTCGTCTTCAAAATTCAACTTTTCCATTTCAATCAATGTAAATCATAATTGACAGAAATTATTCATTTTTATTAGAGAAACTAAATAAGAGATGTGATTAAATTAGCCACTGCAATGACATGGCATTTATTTGGTAATTCACAAGTGATTATTTTTCTGTTTTACCTACAGTTCTTCATAGGATGCTATGCAGATTATGGGTAGACTGTATTTCAGAACGGCTGAAGGCTGAGGGGAAAATTAACATATGAGTATAAAATATTACTACTTTTATGCTGGGTGATTATTAACTGAGTTTCTTTTACAAGTTTCCCAGCTGACTGAGGCAATGGATTTAATCTTCTTGTGGACCTCTGGTTAATCTCACCATTTTTCATGGTCACGAAGCACTGAAACTCTAGACTGATGTCACCATCTTGGAAATCCATGCTTTTGTGTCCAAGGGGTCATAAGTAAGAGCTGCTTCTTAGGGTATATACATAACAAATGGAATAGGTGACACACTATTGCAATTTAAAATTGGCAGGGTACAGTTTGGCATTCTCACCTTATGACTCAATTTCACTAGTTAGTGGACAGCATATTACCTTGAGATTCAGCAGGGTCTCTGGAGTCAGATAGCCTGGGTTCCAAATCCAGCTACTACTTGTTCTATCAGTGGTGGTGGAAAAATCATTAATCTAGGGGAAATTTTTATCATCTATAAATCCGGAAGAATAAATAGTAGCTATCCCAGAGGGATCATTGTCAGGATTGAATAGGAAATTTGTCTAAAACACTTAGCTAGTGCCTGGCACACAGGAGTCACTCAGGAAACATTACTTATAATAACAATTATTACTGTCATTATTGCTGTTATAAATAAATCCACTTTTTGCCATCTCTTCCATCATGAACTCATTCAGTGTGGAGATATCTTTAGAGTCAAGCATTCATTCAGTAGGCAAATAAGGACCACAGTGCCAGACACATGTCTAGACACCATAAATACACAAATGATGAAACCAATGGCAAGCCAAGTCACCTTCTCTATGCAGGAGAGCCTTCTGCAGCATCCAAGACAGACATTTGGATCCAACCTGAAATTTTCTAGTGATAAACACTTACAACTTCATAAATCAGCATCATAATTCATTACTGGACAGATTTTACTTTAAATTTTCAAATTCTGTTCACCTCAGTAGTTACAACAGCAATAACAATGAGACAAACAAACAACATTCTATCATGTCTGAAGTTTATGAATATTTCAGTTTTTATCACTGCATAACAAACCACCCCAAATGCAGTGCTGTAGAGAAGCAACTCTCCTGGATTCTTTGGTTTAGGAATTAGGAAAGGTCACAGAAGAGATGACTTTTCTTTTCACAATATCTGAGAACTCAACTAGGAAGACTTGCAGCAGAAGACAATTAATGGCAATAGGCTTGAGCCATCTGATGGTACATTCCCTCAAATGTCGCTAAATGATACTTGTTGACTAGGACTTGAGCTGAGCCTGTTGGTCCTAACACCTATGTGTAGCCTCACTGTGTGACTATTTGAGCTTCGTCACAGCATGGCAGTTGGATTCTAAAATAATATATTAAGAGAATCTGATGGAAACTGTATTAACTATTATGATCTCACCTTGAAAATCATATAGGATCATTTTGGCTAAAATAAAAGCTTTCTTAGAACCATGGGAAGGGAACATAGATGCTATTTCTTGATGGAAAAGTGTCAAAGTTACATTTTAAATAAAGCATGTGGGATGAGAGACATGGCTGCAACCATTTTTAGAAAGTATAATCTGTCACAAGGATGAGAAGATACAGCTGACATTATCAGAATTCACATTATTATAAGCAGATTTTGGAGTTAATCTAATCTAGTCAACTGATGAGGAAACTGAGTCCAGAGAAATAAAGTCATGCCATCTATCTGATTAGGAATTTTTTTTTGCCTTATATGTAACCACTATTTTCGATTACATATGGTTATTTACTTCCTTTATTTATGGGGTTTATTTTGGGTATGCCTCCCTGTGAGATAAATGCTGCTTCTTTTTGAACTTTATGTGCTGAAATAAAATAAATTACTTTGTTTTTTTTGAGACTGAGTCTCACTCTGTCACCCAGGCTACAGTGCAGTGGCGCAATCTTGGCTCACTGCAACCTCTGCCTCCCGAATTTAAGCAATTCTCCTGCCTCAGCCTCCCAAGCAGCAGGGACTACAGGCGCCCTCCACCATGCCTGGCTAATTTTACCCTGCACAAATTTTTGATATTGTGTACATATGGAAATTATTCTTTAACCTCTCCCTGAACCCACCCTCACCACCATCTTAGTCTGCTCAGGCTGCCATCGCAAAATACTACATACTGTGTAGCTTAAACAACAGAGATTTTTATTCTCGTAGTTCTGGATGCTGGGAAGGCCAACATCAAGCGGCCAGCAAAATAGCTCTCACTCTGAGGCCTCTTCTTTTGACTTGTAGGTAGCCACCATCTCAGTATATGCTCACATAACTTCGTTGTGTATGCTTGGAGAAACAGACAGAGACTTCATAGGCTCCTGGTGTCCTTTTTTATGAGGATATTAATTCTATTGGATCAAGGTCTCACCCTTAGGACCTCATTTAACCTTAATTATTTCCTTAGAGGCCCCATATCCAAATACAAACACATTGGGACTTGGACTTCAACATATGAATTTGGTTGGGAGATGGGGCACAAACATCTAGTCTATAACATCCATCCCCCCAAAAAAATATTAACAGAAGCTAATGTTATTTGTAATGCTACTTTTTATGCTCAAAGTTATCCTGGAGTTGTTGCCAAGAAAACTTTCACTAATCTAAATTATTCTATCCTGTCCTTGTCCTTCTCAATAATTTTGTTTTCCATGACCTCAGCTGATGATGCAGCTTTGAAGATAGACAAACTCTCATCACTTCTTCTTTTATTATGTATCCACTATAATTGAGTAAATCACTGTGTAATCATCATCTTTCTCTAATAAATACAAGTATGCAAGCAAACTGAACATTTTAAACCACAAAAGCTCAATATTTTTAACTATAAGAGCCCCATCATATTTATGATACAGATAAAATATAATAATGCATGCAAACAAGGAATTAAAAACAAGACTGAAAAAAATGAAGAATCCTGAAATGTGAAAGTATAAGGAAAACTAGGCATTCCTTTTTTATAAGCGTCACTGCATATCGTGTAATTATTTTACATATATTGGAAACAGACTCTAAACTCTATCAGATGGGAATATAATGACCAATTTTAAGATAGTTCAATCTGCTAGCTGGCTATTTAAGTTAAAGGAATGCTGTATTCTCATTTAAAAGTTTATTGCTGGTTAAAGTTCACTTTTCTTACCTATTGGTAGAAAAACATTGTAGCATACCAGTCTCACTGCCTAGTGCAGAAATATACTAATGCTTAGCATGTCTTTGAAATGCAGAAGGCATAAAAGAACTGAATTCATGACCCTGTATTGTGATCTGAATTTGTGCTCAGCTTTGTTCTTTGTCTAGCCTGCTCTGAGGTTGACATGGGAATCTTGGTGAAGAGTTATTAACCTTTAAAAATACAAACTGTGCCTTTCACTATAGAAAAAAAATCTTCATGCAAAACATTAATTTGTGATCTAAGATCTCTAAGCCCAGATGGCTTGGCTTGGGAATTCTTTTTATTGAGCATCTGTGTTTACTTTTATTGCTACTGATGGGCTTGAGGGGCATAATAACCACGTGGCCACCATGTTTAGTGGTTAAAAAACATGAAGCTTGTTTCTGAATCATTCTCAAGTCATTAAGCACAAAAAGATTTAGACCATAAGAGGAAATGTATATTTTTGAGTGCAACAGGAATGTTAAATCTCAGCGTGGGACTTTATAATTGGCGAATTAGGAATATTTTTTTCTCCTTCAATATGGAATTGTTTGCCGTTTTTTCCCTACTAAGACCAAATTCAATTTCATTTGAGTTATTTGACTCTTCAAGGCCCAGTGCCAGATGCCACAGATATAGTGAGGTGTTTAGGAAAACAGTCTGTGACTTGAAGGAACTTACAACCCAGAGCAGGATATAATTAAGTACCTAAATATAAGAGAAGTTCTCTAAAGAAGAGAAAGCCCCATTTCCATGTAGAGTCCCCAGTGAAGATGTGGTGCCTAAGCCTGAGGAGTGGTAAGCTTTTAACATGAAGAAATATGGCAGAGGGAGCATACCAGGTAGATGGAAAAGCATGAACAATGTATGAAGGTTGGTTTCCATTTGTGCAGAAATTTACTGATCAGTGGGGAAATTGTCAGGTAAGTTATTTTACCACAGATACCCGCCAAGAGTTACTTTGCATTAAAAAGAGTGGATTTTTTAACAAAAGACCCCATTGTCATAGAAAGGTATGCATGAATAGCAAGACGTTTTTGTCTATTGATATTCCTTACATCCTTCAACCATACCATGGATTTGAATTTCCATTCTGTCTTCAGGAGTGCCTATTGCTTCTTTTTGTTGTTTTGGTTGTTGTTGTAGTTGTTGTTTTGAGACAGAGTCTTGCACTGTTGCCCAGGATGGAGTGAAGTGGTGCAATCACAGCTCACTATAGCCTCAACTTCCTGATTATCCCACCTCAGCCTCCCAAGTAGCTGCAGTACAGACATGTACCACCATGTTTGGCTATTTTTTGGATTTTTAATATATATGGGGTTTCACCATGCTGCCCAGGCTGGTCTCCAACTCCAGGGCTCAAGGGATCTACTTGCCTTGTCCTCCCAAAATGTTGGGATTACAGGCATGAGCCAGGAATCTGGCCAGGAATCTCTATTGCTTCCTGCACAAAGATTACAATAGTTACTTATGCTTTCAAGTGTGACCAGAAATAAGCTAGTCATATCTAAATAAAGGTGAAATGCATGCAATTTATGCCTTGAATAGAGACGGGTAAGATGATTTGGGGAAAGTGTGTTGTGTGAGCACCACTGGGCTCTTGAGGTGCAACATGGAGACATGTGTTCCAAAGAAAGGGGGTGATGGCCAGCGACAATAGTGATATGCATAAAGCGGAAGATCAGTCAGGACAATGTACAGAGTTCTCTTAAAATGAAAATTACTGCTCAAAGTAATTGAGTGAACCAAACCTCCAAGCTTTATGTCCCTCTTTAATCTATCTTTCTAATTGTCTGTCCCACTGAGTTTATGAGACTGAAGCACTAACTACTGTGCTAACGAGGCACGTAAACTTTAAATTCTCTTCACATTAACTGTTCAGCCAAAAGAGATATATGGCCATTCTCAAAGCACATATTTATGGCTTGATTTCCTATCCTGAAATGTTTGGTACCTCCTTTCTCACTTGGTAAAAGCTTACTTATTTTTCAAACTCAGCTCAAAATTTCATTTTCCTGTGGAATATTTTGATTGTACTTCATCACTCTTTATTTAGAGTTAATTTAATTCAGCCTGCTGAGGATGTCTTAGATATATTGAAACATTAAATTGTGATTTTTGTCTGTATTCCTATCCCCCTCACCATACTTTGGCCCTTTGGTGAAAACTGATTCTTTTTAGAATTACATTTCTGTGACCCAGCACATAGTAAATAGTATACATTTTTCTACTCAATAAAATGTGGGAAATAAATAAAAGAAACTAAGGCAGGAGTGAGAAAAGGGAGCCAAAGATCAGAATAGAAGAATCCACATAAGCGTGAGACACTGCACTAGCATTTTTTAGGAGGTATTGAAGTTGAGATCTAAAATCAACTTACATCAACACACCTGACCTTTGACAACACAAGCCTAAGATTATTGTCTTTGTAAGGTCAGTCTTTAGAGAAACAGCCTAGTGAAATAAGGCAAAGCTAATAGGAGAAACACCCTTGATGGTGCTTGATAAGATACATTGATAATGTGGATCGAGAAGGAGTGGATGAGGCCAGTGTGTGTGGCTAAAATGAATCTGTGCTAATCATCTTTGCTGAAAGTTGGAATAACTGAAAGATTCTTGTTGTATGCTGAGATAAATAAGTCTTAGTCATGATTGTTGAAAATCTTATAATTTTGTGGTTGCAGGTAGGATTGAATAATTACAGAAGAAAGACGAAAATCCTTTTAATGAGGAGATTTGTGTAAGGCTCTGCTGAGCCAGGAATGGTTGTAGTCTGTGTTGAGGACAGGAAGAAGGACAGACTGATTGGACAATGGCATGCATTTTAGATAATGATAGATCTGACAGAGGCAAGAAGGAGGTGGAAGCAGAGACTCTTACCATCCCACAGGTTAAGAAAACAACCACTAACAGTAACTGAGTTCCCCTTTTATTCCGGGTAATACAAGAAGCTACAATATGTACAGTATTAGCAATTGCCATAGTAACACATGAGGTTTGTTTTGAATTATTTCTGTTTGTATGGAGAAAATTGAGAAGCTTTCATATCCTCAAGATTGCTCAAGATTTTTGAGACTCTCAAAGTTGCCTATCATGAAGAAGCTGGTGTGAAGCCAAGAATAAAATGCAAACGTACCCAGCCGTGGCTGACTCCTGTAATCCCAGCACTTTGAGAGGCCAAGGAGGGTGGATCATTTGAGGTCAGGAGTTCAATACTAGCCTGGCCAAAATGGGGAAACCCCGTCTCTACTGAAAATACAAAAATTAGCTGGGAGTGATTGTGTGTGCCTGTAATCCCAGCAACTTGGGAGGCTGAGGCAGGAGAATCACTTGAGCCTGGGTGACAGAGCAAGAACCCATCTCAAAAAAAAAGCAAATGTACCAGATCCAAAAATCTATCCCCTGCATTTTTTGCTATTCTCTTTCTTATGGTGGGCTTCATGCAGATACAGTCCTTAGTTGACCTGTAGTTTTAATTCCACAGATATTTTAAGGTGAAGGGTTTTCTCACTAATTTGAATTATTATTATTATTTTTTATTTTTTATTTATTTATTTTTTTGAGACAGAGTCTCGCTCTGTCACCAGGCTGGAGTGCAGTGGCCCCAGTTCAAGCAATTCTCCTGCCTCAGCCTCCCAAGTAGCTGGGACTACAGGTGAGTGTCACCACGCCCAGCTAATTTTTGTATCTTTAATAGAGACAGGGTTTCAGCATGTTGGCCAGGATGATCTCCATCTCTTGACCTCATGTTCTGCCAGCCTCAGGCTCCCAAAGTGCTGGGATTACAGGTGTGAACCAACACACCTGGCCCAAGAGTTTTCTCACTAATTTGAATCTTTTTCCAAATGACCAAAGTGAAAAGCCAGCTCTAATGTTAAAGGACACTTCTTTTCTTAACAAGAGGTAAAATCATGACTCTCATTGAGATTTAAAATAAATTTTTGGGATGTTAATTTCTTATCAGACTCATGGTTTCCAAATATTGTCTCCCAATCCATGGGCTGCCTTTTCATTTTGTTGATTGTTTCTTTTGCTGTATAGAAGCCTTTTAGTTTGATGTAGTCCCACTTGTGTTACCAGAACACCAGGGATTTAGTCTAGGCTCTTTTTTTTGTTCACAATAGGCCAATCACCAATACAAATATTGCCAGAGAAGAAGGCTTTTTATTTGGGTGACATCAACTGGAGAGATGGGAGCCAAAACCCAAATTCATTTCTTCCAACCAACTAAAATTGGGGGTGTATGTAGCAGGGAAGAAATGTAACTACATGCAGAAAAACAGGAAATGGGGAGGGGCTAAAAAGAGAAAATGGTAAACAGGAATTAGGAAGGGTCTGGCATCTCATTGACTGGGTGTGGTGATCTAAATGAGGTTTGGCTTCTTGAGGAAGAACTCAGATAAGACAAAAGCAAGTTTCAAGTTTTAAGACCTGGAAGTCAATTTCTGTGTTTATTTTGAAAAATCTATAAATATTAGTTATTTAGGGAAATTGGGCCAGTTTCACTTGTTTATTTTTGCTTTTTTTGTCTGAGCTTTTAGTGTGATATCCAAAAAAAAATTGTTAACGCCAATGTCAAGGAGCTTTTTCCTGATAAGTAACTCACACAACTCAGGAGGAATTTTAAAAAGAACAAATAACCTAATTAAACAATGGGCAAAGGACTTAAATACACATTTCTTAAAAGAAGACATAAAAATGGCCAACAAGTATCTAAAATGATGCTCAATATCACCAAAATGGCCAACAGGTATGTAAATAATGCTCAATATCGCCAGGGAAATGCAAATCAAAACCACAGTGAGATTTCATTTTATACCTATTAGGATGGCAATGATCAGAAAACAAGAGATAATGTGAGATTATAAAGAAAAGAGAAACTTTGCACACTGTTGGTAGAAATGTAAATTGGTGCAGCCATTGTGGTACAAACCAAAAAGCACCTGAGACAAGTCTCAATCAATTTCGAGGTTTATTTTGCCAATATTATGAATCATGACCCATGATTCAGCCTCAGGAGGTCCTGAGAGCATGCGTCCAAGGTTATTGGGTTATGGCTTGGTTTTATATGTTTTAGGGAGACATAGGCCATCAATCAATACATGTGAGGTATACATTGGTTTGATCCAGAAAACCAGGACAACTTGAAGTGTGACATGGCAGGGGATTCTTGCAGGTCATGGATTAATTCAAAGATATTCTGATTGGCAATGGGTTGAAAGAGTTAAGTTATTATCTAAAGACCTGGAGTCAATAGAAAAGAGTGTCTGGTTAAGATAAGGGATTGTGGAGACCACGGATCTTATTATGTAGATGAAATCTCATAGGGAGCCACCCCCAGAGGCCATAGATGGCAGGTGTTTCATATTGAGACCCTTAAAAGGTGCTACACTCTCAGCCTCTCTTCAAGATCCAAAACAAAACACAACATGGAAAGGGAAGGGGATTCTCTATAGAATGCAAATTTCACCAACAAGATACAGCTTTGCAGGGCCATTTCAAAATATGTTAAAGATATATATAGATATCTATAGATATCCATATATATATCTATAGATATCTATAGATATATCTATATATCTATCTATATATATCTATATATCTATCTATATCTGTATCTATATATCTATATATATCTATATATCTATATCTATATATGTATATAGATAGATATCTATATATGTATCTATCTATATCTATCTATATATATCTAACTATCTATCTATCTATCTATCTATCTATCTATCTATCTATACACATATATCTTGGGTGAGCTACTTTGGTTTCTTTCAGGCCCCTGCAAACTGTCAAGTGACTCAATACTAGAGTCTGGTTGGAATTTTGTATCTTATTGCTACAAAGAGTATGTTATGTCAGTCTTAGGACCTCTGTTTTAACGTCAATGTTAGTCAGTTGTGTGCTTGAACTCCAAAGGGAGGAGAGTGTAATGAGGCCCATCTGACATCTCCCTCCATTTCCTGTCATTGTCTGTACTAGATTTTCAGATTTAGTTGGATCCCCTTGGCCAGGAGGAGGCTCATTCAGTCAGCTGGGGGCAGGGGTGGTCTTAGAATTTTATTTTTGGTATACACTGAAAAACAGTGTATATTGTGAAGGATCCTCAAAGTATTAAAAATAGAACTATCATATGACCCAGCTATCCTGCTTTGGGTATATATCCCAAGAAAATTAAATTTGTACCTTAAAGAGATATTTTCAATCCTTTGTTCATTTCAGCATTATTCATGACATATCCAAGATTTGGAAGCAACCTAAGTGTCCACTGACATATAATACACATATACACATAATAGAATATTATTAGAGAGGATACTGCGATTAGTGACAACATGGATGAAACTGGAGGACATTACGGTAACTGAACTAACCCCGATGTAGAACAAAAATACTGCATGATCTCACTTATATATGGAATCTAAAAATGTCAAATACATAGAAACAGAAAATAGAATAATGATTACCTGGGTTGGGAGTGGGGAGGAATGGGAAGATGTAGGTCAAAGAGTACAACCCTGTACTTATGTAGAATGAGTAAGTCTAAAAAACTAGTGAATAGCATGAAGTCTACAGTAAATACCGGAAATTTTCTAGGAGAGTTGACTTTAGGTGCTTTTACCATACACAAACACAGACACACACAGGATGTACACACATACACAAAGTAACTATATGAAGTGATGAATATGTAAATTTGCTTGACTGTAGAAATTATTTCACAATGTATATGCATATCAAAATATTATGTTCTGCCCCTTAAATATGTACTGTATTAGTCCGTTCTCATGCTGCTAATAAATATGTACCCTAGACTGGGTAATCTGTTAAGCAAAGAGATTTAATTGACTCACAGTTCATCATGACTGGAGAGGCTTCAGGAAACTTACAATCATGGCGGGAGGGGAAGCAAACACATCCTACTTCACATGGCAGCAACAAGGAGAAGAATGAACAAAAGGGGGAAAAGCCCCTTAAAAAACCGTAAGCTCTCATGAGAACTCACTCACTATCATGCAAACAGCAGTATGGGGGTAACCACCCCCATGATTTAATTACCTCCCACCAGATCCCTCCCGTGGCACATGGGGATTATGGGAACTACAATTCAAGATGAAATTTGGATGGGGACACAGGCAAACCATATCATATACAATTAAAAAGTTAGAAAAACTAAAAATATACTTTGTTATTAACAGTAAATATATAATGCTTAAAAACAAGTAAATAAACAGCTGTTAAGATTTTATTTAACTCATTATTAATGAGGAAACTGGTAAAAGGAAAGTTCAAAAAACAAACACTATTATATATCAGAAATATTTAAATTAGCTTGCAAATGGACACAAAAGTAGCTTTTTGGGGGGCCAGTGGTTGATCCTCCGCCAAACAACATTTAATTTTCAAAAATTTATCTGCATTACTATTAGTTACCTACAACTTTCAGAGTTATTAGATAGTTCAAAGAAAATGAAAGCCCCAAAAGAGCCCAGGAGAATGAGTGCCAAACAATATATACTTTTTAACTGAAGGCACCAGTAGTATGTGTGTATATATATACACACACGTATATATGTGTGTGTGACATATATACACATATATATCATACACATATATCAAAAATATATCAGTATATCACACACATCTCTACTATATATGTATATTTTTTATATATATACATATATATACACTATGTCTACTATGTATATATTACTTTGCTTATTCTAATGTCCTTACACTAACTTAAGTAAAATGAACACTTGACCATAAGGGGGTATACTGGGATGTTTTATGACACCCAACGACCTGTCACTTGGAGAACAATATAAACCAAGCAGGGGCTCAAATGCTACCCTGAATCTTTATTGTTACATTTTTCTTCTTCTCTCTTGATATCATTTTCTTCTTTCTCTCTACCAATTACCTTTCTCTTCCATAGTCTTATGACAGAATGTTACTTTAAACAGCTCTGTAGTTTATGATATTTTCTGGAGAAGCAGCTATAGTGTGCTGGATCTCATTTCCCAATTAAAAATTTCTGCAAAGAACCCTGATTGGTTTCACTTGGATTATATGCCAATTTCTGGAGCTACGGATTTGTGGTAAGGGTGAAGGTTATGATTTTCTAACTGGACAACTTAGTAACAGTGTGGATAGAGTGGGGAGAATACAGCCACCAATTCCATAAGAAGGGAGGAAGGTGGAGCAGATGAAACAATGGTATCCACTGCACAAGGTAAGCCAGAAGGGAAAAACTTTGAGGTAATTTTTATACAATACAGAGGCATGCCAACCATGCAGGATTTTATAAGTCAGTGGCTTTCAGACTACAAGACCTAACATAGAAGACATATTTTATGATGACCCATTAAATAGATGCACAATGAAACAAAAGTATTCTAAAATAGTAATGAATATATCCTTACTATATAACAATACACAATGATCTATCCTATTCTATTCTAATATGTTAGTCACAACCTATTATTTTTTTTGGTTCATCCCCAATAAATCATGACTTACCATTTGAAAACCCTGATCTAGGTGAAGCAAAGAAAAACAGGCTCCTGGAAATCAAATATAAAATTAAATATCATAAGGAAACTTACTGGCTGGGTACCATGGCTGAAGCCTATAATCTTAGCAATTTGGGAGGCTGTGTCAAAAGGATTGTTTGAGCTGAGGAGTTGGAGTCCAGCCTGAATAACATCGTGAAACCCCATCTTACTAAAAATTAAAAAGGAAAATAACAGCTGGGTGTGATGGTGCGTGCCTATAGTCCCAGCTACTCAGGAGGCTGGGGTGGAAGGATGGCTTCAGCTCGACAGTTTGAGGCTGCAGTGAGCCACTGAACTCCAGCCTGGGAGACAGAGTGTGATACCTTGTTTAAAAAATAAATAAATAAAAACAAAAATGAAAACAAAAAAGGAAGCTTACTATGGTTATTATTTAAAATAAAAAAAAGAATAACCCACTGATTAGCCACCTTATATGGAGCTTAGCTGTGGCCTGGTGCTGATGAGGTTGGGGGTTGCCGAGGATCTTTGACAATGGAGGTAGAGCTTAAGAAGAAAACTCCAGACCAGAATTTGTTTTGTAGGTTCGGAAAAGAGTTACCATCAGATCAATCTATGTTCACTGGGCTCTGAGGAAATTAGTCACACTGATCGAAATCACATGATTAATAGAATTAACTCTGGGAAATAACAGGAAATTTCCATATTAACAATTCAAACGACAAACTTAAGGAAAAGAATTTGTTTTATAAGATTTAAGTAAACCAAGGGATTTTTTAATCAAAGAATTACTTCCTTGAAATAGACTAGCTTGATGTGGTAGCCTACATGCTATGAGTATTTTTTTACATAGTGATATCTATAATTATTTAGTATTGATTATAATAATTGTTATGTTAATTTAAGCATTACATACTTTGCTGTAAAATGCTCAAGGCACTCTGATAATTCATTTCTGGTGACTCTTTCATTTAGGCTCCAACGTAGATAATCGTCCTTTTGTCACACTCTATTATTTAAAAAATTTGTCCTTGGCTACTTCCTTCACAATCCACTTAACAAAATTTGAAAAATATACTTTTCTCCATTTTTTAAGATGTATTTATGAAATTGAGAAGAATCCTAGACTAGTGTTTCTCAAACTTTAATATGCATTTGAATCACCTAGGGATCTTGTTAAATGCAATTCTGATATAGTAGGTATAAATGAGACTTGAGAGGCTGCATTTCCAAGTTTTTAAGCAAGATGCTGATGTTGCTTGTTGGAGAACAACTGGTTGAATAGCAAAGTCTTAGATTCATCAATGCATATTTTTTGCTTTGTTTAGGTAATTATTTGTGTTGCTTGCTGTCTTATTTGTTCTGATTATGGAAATTTTTAAGAAATGTGAATAAAAAGCAAGTGTCTGGAGAACCACAGTCATTTCAAGTGTTAGACTCATTTTTGAGCAGTGGTTTCATAGCACTTCAAGGTTTAATTGGGAGTAGAGAAATAAAATTATTATTTTTAATTTGGTAGGCACATATTAAAATCAATAAAGCAGAAAATACCTCAGCACAGACTGTTCTTAATGAGATTTCAATGCCCTTATCATCAGAGATTTTTTCACTATTTTATTAACCCATTAATTAAACATTTGAGCATATACCTCCTGAATGCTAAGCATTAGTTACATAGATTCTGATGTCTAGAACTCTTAACTTCAGCAAGGAGACAGATGCATAGACAGAAGACTGCAAAACCATGTAGTAATAATGCAGGGCATGTGAGCCCCAGAGTGGAGCTTAGCCTGCAAGGAAGGGTTCTTGGCTTTTCCAGGAAAGAGTTCAAGGGCAAGCCAGTGGTAGGGTAGAAGAAAACAGCTTTATCGAAGCAGCAGTGTTACAGCTCTGGCAGTGTTACAGCTCTGTGACTGCTCCTGCCTGAGCAGGGTTACCCCATAGGCAGTGTGCTGACAGTAGCAACTCAGGGCAATTTTTCAGTCATATTGATACCTAATTTTAATTACATGTATATTAAGGGGTGGTTTATGCATAAATTTCTAGAGAAAGGGTAGTCACTTTGGGGTTGTCAAGTCATTACCATGAAAGCATGGTAACTCCCAGGTGTTGCCATGACAATAGTAAACTGACATGATGCACTGGTGGGCATGTTTTATGGAAAGCTGCTTCTACTCCATTTCTGTTTTAGATAGTCCACAATTTGATCCATGTTTCAGTCCCACCTCCAGAGTCAAGTCCTATCTCCTATCTCAGCAAGATAAGAGTTTTGCACAAAAATTGAAATTCGGGGGGATTTGTATATAATTTATTGGAATGAACATGCCTAACCACTAACAAGTGGCAACCTGAAGTTGGACTGTAGGACACTGAGATTGGGTGGAGAATTTGGTTTCTTTTTCGACATGCCTATATCCACTAGCCTTCTTTAGAAATTTTTCAGGGTCCTAGGAAATGCTCCTCTTTTCTGTTCTTCAAGCCTTGTTTAAAAGAGGTACAATTGAAGTTACGTACTTAACTCCTCATCATCTTGAAGGACTAGAGCAAAACCCCATGTCTTTATACAAACACCAATAAGGCATACACAGTAGCTGTTTGAAGACTGAGAAATAAAACAGTAAGATCTTAGCAAAGGGTGGGCTACAGTGAAGTCACGATAAAGCAAGTTGATTAGTGAATAAGAAGGTTATCACTGAATGATTACATTTTGTAGTTTACAGAGGACACTGGAAGCTCTTTTCGTTTCAGCCTTTTCCAAAAGATTTTCTATGATATGTGGTCAAATTACCATGCTTCAGTTACCAAAAAAAGACTCCAAACTTTATTTGTGTCAGAATTCTGAGAGATGTCTATTCTGTGTCTTCAGCCATATCTATAGTTATGAAAATCATTTCTGAAAGGGCATACATACTAATTTTAAATTGTTTAATATTTTTTCTGTCCCCTGTGTAGCTTTCTCCTTTCATTAATAATGAGTTGACTCTGTGTGTATTGGTTATAATTATGTTTCTAAATTTGATTTACTCATTTGCATAAGATAAAGTATTTTTGAGAAAATGAATGGATCACAGATACCATATACTCTGAAAGTTCAGATAGTGGAGAGGTGAGCCACTGTCTGCCTAACATCCCTGTTCAAATGTAAGTGCCTTTTCCCTAGATGTTCTACCTGACTCCCAAAATTCAAACTCACCCGAGATTTGTCTTCATTCTGAGGAACTTGGATCTAGAAGATCTGAGACTGACTTTTGCCAGCTGTTCCTTCTCCCCTAAGGACAGGGTCTTAATTGGGTAAGTATAAGAGTGTGTGTAAAGGGGACAAAAGTCACTAAGAGAAGTCCCTTCACAGGGAACTGTGAGCATGACTGTAGTCATGCTCTCTTTTAGCAGCTGTGGCTGGAAGATGGTAGTTTTAAAGGCTGAAGTTAATGCATAATAGTATTTAAGCCTGAAGTTTATCATAGTGGCCAGAAGCCAGGAAGGCAAAGAACTCAAGGAGATGTGCCTCAAATTTAGGCCATGAGCAGGTTGTGTTATTTCAACAAATGAAAGCAGAGCCTAGCCAGGGAGCAAGGTAGCCAGGCCGAAAGTGAAGAAAGTCCAAACATAGACAAAGGATTCCTCACAAAATGTAGAACCTAGAAATATAGGCAGCTTTCCATATGAATATGATCTCTGTTTATCCCAGGCATTGTAGTGAAAACCAATTCCGAGTAAATGTGGTCATCAGAGAGTTTATCATTCAGTCCCTGTGGTGTAAGTCCTAAAATTACTCACTATTATGTGATCCTTTGACATTTGAAACAAGGAGGGCATCAAAAGGCCTCACCACAGCTGCCCTTCCCACTCTATTCCCAAGGATACAGTCTCTGCACAAATCAACCCTGGACCAGGCACAGTTCCTGCTTATCGCCAAGTAGCAAATTTTAGTTCCTTGCCAGCCCATGAAATTATTCAAACAAGCCAATCACATCCTCCAGCAGGAACAAGAGGTCACCTTACCCTCTTGATACTACAAAGCCTGTCTCCCACAGCCCCTGCTTGTTCACTCTGTTTCCAAGTACAACCACTGTGTGGCCCCAAATGGTATGCAGTGTCTTCTACCCAAAATTTGGTATATGTGACCAATAAACTGATGCTGTTCTCATTTTTTCAGCGTCAGGTGTCACATATTCAGCCATCCCCAGAAACCTAGAGCAGAAATCTCTCCCTTTCAGTGGGCTAAAGAAGAAGTAGTTAAAATGGCCCTACACTGGGTGAGGTATTCCATGGCCTGGCTCACGTGTGACTTCTTCCTATTTACGATTAAAGGTAAAAATAAAGGCTTAATTTCTACACAGGATCCTGTATTTGGTACTCTTTAGTTGATGCAGAGAAAATGTAATGGTCAGACATTCTGCGGAACAAAAGTTTTCTTAATTCGTATGCAGTGTAGTTTTCATGGCTTCGCTCAGACACTAAATACTCCCATTAGGTGTGTCAGGATAATACTCAGGAAATAGTGGACACAGTTCCCATCCTTTCAGTGTAGTCCCAGTGAAAATGATAGAGAGGAAAACCTCCCTTTTCAAATCTTTATTTGGCCTTCTTAAGATGTAGCTTGTTCTTGTTTATCCGAATTGTTTCCTATTTCCTTTTTTCTTTGATAGTCTAAAACATTAGTTTATTAATTTCATTTTGTGGGACACCTTATAAAAAAACTACCTATTTGATGTAAACACGTTCTAAATTACCAAAAATGTCCTTATTATGTTAAAGAACAATGCCTACATGCTATGCCTTGCATGCATATGAGCACACTTAAACATACAGCCCAGGATAAGCCAGTGTCTGTTCACTCCAGGCAGACTAATGGATAGATAATTTCCAATGTTCCTGATACTGTCAAATGAAATACACTAACTAAAACAATCACTTATTTACCTATAATGCTCTTTAAATACCAGTTATTCTCTGGTTCTTTATTTTCCTTCTTACACTAATACAAACATACACATAAGTAAGAAACTTAAACTAAATAAAGCCTAATCACTATTTGCCACATTGTCTGGACAAGGTTGTGAGAGAATGAGAAGACACTTTAAAAATCCCCAGTTACTGGCTGGGCGTGGTGGCTCACTCCTGTAATCTCAGCTCTTTGGGAGGCCCAGGCAGGTGGATCACTTGAGGTCAGGAGTTTGAGACCAGCCTGGGCAACATGGCGAAACACTGTCTCTACTAAAAATACAAAAATTAGCCGGGCATGGTGCCGCATGCCTGTAATCCCAGCTATTCTGTAGGCTGAGGCATGAGAATTGCTTGAACCCGGGAGGCAAAGGTTGAAGTGAGGTGAGATCGTGCCATTGCACTCCAGCCTGGGCAAAAGAGTGAGACCCTGTCTGAAAATAAATAAATAAATAAATAAATAAATAAATAAATAATTAAAAAATCCCCAGTTACCTATAAACACATAATCTTATTAGACAATCTATTTTCATTGTATCCTTGGCCCAAAAATGGTTTAATAAAATTACAGTTATAGTAAATTACATAAATTGAACAAGTAATTGCATCCACAAATGTAAACAGTATTGGCAAAATGATATATATATATATATATATATAAAATTTTATATTATATATATAAATTACATAAATTGAACAAGTAATTGCATCCACAAATGTAAACAGTATTGGCAAAATGATATATATATATATATAAAATTTTATATATATATATATAAAATTTTATATATATATATATAAAATTTGACTTGAGAGCTATTGAGTATTTTATAGTTGGAAAGTCCTTAAATTCTCACCTAGAAAAATCTCTCAGATTTATTTAAACAAAAACAGTCTAAATATATGGCACCAAAGAAAGTTTAAACCTAAAAAACCTTGGAAATTTTTAAAACACAAGGATGAGCCAAGGTAGTTCTTGCATATGCAAACAAAAACTAAGCAGGTCTGCAATATTAATAAGAGGCAAGGTAGAATTCAAGGTAAAATGAGCTAAATAGGACAAAGAAGGTCATGTTTTATTGGTAAAATGTAAAATCTACAATGATGATATGAATGTCACAAACTGGCAAAGTATTAAAATGTGTTAAGTGAAAACTCCTGTAAATCAAGAAAAACTGAGAGGACATAAGCAGTGGAGGCTTTAGTACATCTCTTCTGCTCTTGATCAGATCAAGAAGGGCCAACTTAATAAGGATAAAGAACATCTAAGTAATATATTAATTAGGTTATCTCGTAATTACACAGTACCTATTAAATTTCATACTCCACACATGAACTATATCGTCTTCAGCATGCCCACAGAACACTCAAAAGAGCTCACTATGTGTTAGGCAGAAAGAACACATCTAAAGAGAGAGAGAATATAATATGGACCATATTCTTTGGTCACAAAGGAATAAATAAGAAATTAATCAAAATAGAAAACAAAAGCAACTACTTATCTATGTCACTTTCCTAAATTTCACTCTTAGAGCCAAATACAAAATCAAAGCTACAATTAAAGAATAGCTGGAAAATAATTAAGAAAGAGTAAATAAACACACAAAATTGAGTACGGGTTCTTATAAGAAGGTAGGGCATATACATTAATCCTCAATTAGAAAATATTACCTTTAATGCTTGCTGCAACTTGAATAGGAAATAAACCCATTGGTACGCATTTGGAAGAGAAGGCATGTCAGCAGTTGGTGTAACTTCACATTAGAAGGCCTTCTAGTGAAAAACGTAGTTTCTTGTTGACTCTTAGCTTTCATGTATACCTTTGTACTACACCTTGCCCAGTAGCTCTTGCTTTTTCCTGTTTCTGTAGAAACAGAAAGAAACCAACAGCAAGGTAGTCCTCCATTCTTGCTTTGTTACATCAAAATCAATGTTTCTAGAAATGAGCAGCTTCTTAACTATGCCAAAGAAGACCAGTCATGCAGAGTCAAAACTAATTAGATGAGTAATTTTAAAAGATGAGCTTCAACAGTTGTGATATTAAAAAAAAATAAGAATTGAATTTTTGTTATAACAACCAAAGAAACATCAGTCAGGGATTGAAAAAATTCTGCATAAAAAAAACCCGAGTGAGTCTCAAAAATTTTCCAAAAATTGATTTGTAACTTTCTGCTACATATACAAATTAACATGAGTTACTACACAGAAATGTATGTGATATTTGTTTATATTCATAGAAAAATAAGGAAAATATTTCTTTTAATTTTTTTTACAAGTATGTAAGTTGCTTGACAGCATATGACATTCTTTTCTTTATTTCTCTGTTGCCTAGAACAATATCTGGTAATTTATAATAAGTAAATAAATGGTGAATATATAAAATAATAAATAAATTAATTAAATCTTTAACTTTTGGGGACAACATAACAGCAAAGTTTGAGCAGTAACTAGTAAAGCATATTCCCTTCATGCAAACAGGTGAATCAACAATATCAAAATGGCATGTGTGAGACAAATTTCCTCCAGAATTTCAGCAGGATAGAGAGATGAGTGGTCCATTTTATCTTACAGTTCTCCAGTAGCTGTAGGAGGACATAAAAAGGATATTCAATTTAAGTGACTGCGGTCTGTGCTTTCTGCTCCCAAGTTGCTCCTAAAAGGATACAATTCACATTCAATTCACCACTATTTCTCAGAAGAGCTTTTGGGATTTATATTAAGAATCTTTTTATGAATTTTCAGTTATAGCTAATCAGCATAAGATCTTCAGATGAGTAATATAGTCACTGCAACTGCTTCTTAGCTTGCTTAATATGTGGAACCCAGACAGCTAGTGATAACAATGCAGGTTCCTGATTTGCTCCATTTCCTCTATGGATGTCATACAGATGTTTGTTGTGTCAACTGGAGAGAAGGAGATAAGTCAACTTTAAGGTTTAAATTTGTTGCATGAATAAGCCACAAAGAAGGGGCAGGTAGTCAGACATGCTCTGGTAGGGTGGGGAGCCAGGCAGGAGGTTAAGGCAATGGTGTGAGCTAGGATAGAAAGTGTAGAGGTTACACAGTCCACCAAGCAGGACCTCCACCTAGATCCTCAGAGCTGGAGAGATTCCCAGCTAAATAGGGTTAAAGAGCTCATGCTCATATTGTAGACCCCTTCAAAGAGCACAGGGAGCCATCTTGCACCTGCTGGTTTCAATAGGCACAACTTCAGCAATAGAGCATACCCCTGCTCACTCCTATTTTCTCTTTTTTTCTCACTTTTACACTCTTTCTCTCTATTTGCTAAATAAACTTGCAGTGAGAAATATTAACTTCATTTTGGTTGTCCCTTGCTTAAAATGTCAATCACTAAACTCTATGCTAATCACCGTAATAGGACTTACACACTTAGCAAAGCATTAAGATGTAAAATTACACAAAAATCTTGCCTGTACTCTATCAATTGCATCATTTATGTTGTTTGTAAGCGCTAGAAGCTATTACCTTAAATGTGCATAGTAAGACTAGACAATTTCTGTAAGTTAGCAACTGTTTCAAGCAAGCATTTAAGAACCATTGCAGGAAGACTAAAAAAGCTAATTGACCGATACTCATTTGTCCTTTAAGATGTAGACCATAATAATTTGGATCCTCAGACATTCTTACTGATTCTGACCCAGATAGAACAACTTCATTCCCCAGCGTAACTACTCAGATTTCTGAGGATAAGTGAGCATGATGTGTGATTCTTTACAACCATGGATGATACTTTCAAATCAAGGATTGCAAGCAAGGAAAATATAATTATTACCAGATAGTATGCATTGCTTATGCTAGAATATGCAGCACAACGAGGGCCATTCAGGAAATCATACCTGAAATTAGCACAAATCTAGTGGGCTTTTCTGGATGCTGTCTTCCTCCCTCTCTCCTTCCCTCCCTTCCTTTCTTCCATCCTTCCCTGCTTCCCTTCTTTTCCCCTCTTTTCTTTCCTCCTACCTTTCTTCCTCCATCCCAGGTCCCCTCCCTCCCTCCCTCTCCCATCCTTCTTTCTTCCTTTCATTCCTTCCTGCTGTCTTTCCTTTCCTTCCCTCCCTCCTCCCTCACTCTCTCCCTTTCTTTCTTTCTCCCTTTCTGCTTCCCTTCTTTTTTCTTTGTTCTCTTCTTCCCTCCTTCCTACCTTTCTCTCTCCCTTCTTCTCTCCCTCCTTTCCTGAAAGGGTAATAAGCACATAAATGTTCAGACACTGACATTGAGCACCATGCTTTATGAACTTTTCTTCTAGGAATTTAAGGACTATAAGTTTATTGCTTTTGTGCACTGAAATTACTATTTTTCTTTGCTAAGTTAGCCTTTCAGACAATTTTAAGATTTAATTTAAACTTTGCATCTCATTCTAGGTCACTGTTATCCATTTTTGTATGCTGAACTCACAGAATCTGAGAATCTATATTTGGCAACCCATCATCAGCTATCAGGGTTGTCAATTTTAAGTCTTTTTATATTATCATTTTCCATATTCATTCCTTATTTATGTAACAGAAAACTTTAATGTGTTTCTTTTTGGTACATATACTACATGTCCCACAATGCTTAGTGCAACACCAACGTTGCAACACCTAATACGTGCTTATGGCCTAAGATAATTGAATGACTCTATGAAGCTTACTGGGTTCACACATTAGTGACACTCACTCAGGAGGAAATAAAACAAGAAATGCTGAGCCATGATTTTATGCTTCTTTGGGGATCCTATAGACAATTAAAAGTTAAGGAGACCATAAGAGGAAAGATTGACAGATTTAATTTTATGAAAATTAAAAAGTAGTCTACCCCAAAATAATAATAATTAAGTCAAATTATGTACAGAAAAATTAACTACATATAAGACAAATAATTATAAATATTACTTATATACACAAAGAAATAATATCAATAATTTAGAAATAAATATTAGGATTATTTTACATCTGTGGAATATATAAATAAATAAAATAGACAAAGATCCATACCCATGTTGTGCTTATAGTCTGGAAGAGAAATGCAGAATACATTGTATAAATAAGTAAACTCTAAGGTAGTCCTGTTTTCTGACTGTGGTCCTGGGGTCTGGGTCCTTGGAAACAGGACTACCTTAGAAAATAGGACTACCTTTAAAGGATGCTATTTGCTTAGAAAACAAACAATCTGATATTCTTTCACATTACATGCACACACACACACACACACATAAATAAATAAATAAATAAATAAATAAATAAATAAATAAATAAAAAAAACACCTTGAGGTGGGACCTGACAGAAGCAGAACAGCAGTGAGAAGTACTAGCCAGTATCCACACTTCAGGTACAGCCAGTTAGTGTCATCACTGCATGGGAATGAGATGGTCAGGCAGGAATGTGCAGCACAACTGCATTTTTTGCAACAAGGCTGTTACCTCTCTAGAGCAAAAGACATTAGGGCATGTGAGCAGGAGATGAGGAGGGTGTTATTTTGTTAGAAAAAAAGATGGTAGATTAATGCTCTATTCCTTTTTTGAGACAATGAACCATAATTAATGATATAAAAAATATTCTTCATAGCTATATTGTGTCCTTTTTGAATTCCTTGAATAATGGCACTCTGCAAATGGGATGGCACACATAGTAAGTTTTGGTTAATCAAACCCTAAAGTTTGTGGATAAATGAGAGATAAAAGTATATTTTGCCTCAACCTGTTTAGTTCAGACAGTAAAACACAAAACCTCCACCAAAGCAAAAATTCTTTTTACTCAAAGAGGAAGTTTTCATTTAAAGTAAATTATGCCGTTTTGGTTATGTTATGCCAACACTTTACTAAATTAGAATATCCTAAGGTTCCGTGCGACTGGACTGGCTGGGAATACATCACTGTACATAGCCCAAGCAAGAGAGAACATGAACAAGCTCTGCTCTGGGCTAAAATTTCAATAACCATTCAAAAGAATAGGATATCCAACTGTGACTTTCTAACGTGGCAATATGAAATACTTTCTATAAAATGATTGATCTATGTTTCAAGGAAAATTTCTTCTCTTGAAACTTGAGCAAAGTACTTGAGGCTTTTCACAAGTACAGCATATAGAATATTAATACTTTCCTATCAGTTCTTCATTTTACTCCAGTAAGATGCAGAAAAATCTCATTTTAGAGGAATCAGCCACATTTTTAAAGAGAAGCAGCTGATTTTCTTTGACATACTTAGGTTTATTGAAAGTCCTCTCATCATGCTAGGTGAAATAGTTAAATAGTAACAGATCTTTCATATGAACATCAGATTTAGTTTTAAAAGCCCTCTGGTGAAGCTCAGAGTCCAGAATGCTCCAATTTTATTAACATTTATAACTATGCTTCTTTTATGAGGAAAAAAATCATGATTTTACTTTCAGTTAGTAAACATTTCTGAGGTAAAGAATCAAAGCTTCTCAGAGAACAAATGCTTCCAACCAAAGGGCACACTGAGATTTTTAGAGCAATCCGTCTCAAACTGCAGATTTGAATGATCCGCAAGGCAGAGTTTGAGTGACCCATGACCCATTGGAAGACCACATGAAATCAATTTGTGAATTAAAACAGTATTGCTTTTTTACTGAAGAGTAATGCAATTGGATGGAATGGAACAGAATAGAACACAAAGAATAGAATAGAATAGAAAATAGAAATAGATCAGAATTTATCACATATAAAGAAGGTAATTACAATCATAGGAAATAGATGTGGTAGGAGGCATGGTGGGAGGAGAATGGCATATAGAATTCTCAGTGTTTGTTCTAATGTTCATTAGAAGGTAATGAACACAAAGAACAAGTTTACTTCTGAACATTCCAAGATGCAGTGCTATTTTAAATAAGAAGACAGAAATAAGTATTTACGTGAAATGTTAGCAATACCTAGTTTCTACATTAATCTGATAAGCACTGACAGGAGGGCTACTTGCTGAGCCCTCTACTGCTGCTGGAGTCCTAAAGCTGGAAGGGTCACATACCCTCTCTTCAAGGAGACCATTGCAATGAGGGAGATCAGCCTCTATACCCTCTTTGATATTTTGTTACTGACCACTGGCTCTCAGACTCTTCATGCAATGGAAATATGACATGAGGCCAAGCAAGCTTTCCCGAACAAGGTTCACTGGGGCTTATGCTAGAGCACAAAGGAAACAGCACAGGAGAAAGGGTTCTCTAGCTGGCTGTCTAAAGGGGGCCACCCAGGGCCTTTTATTGGATAGAGTAAGGAGCTTGATGTCAAGGATCTGCCTCCTGGGGTGACCTTTCCCTTCTTCCTGGATGTGGTATTGAATTCTCAGTGCATGCTCAGTGGATTCAAGATAACAGTGTTGCTCATTACTGCCAGGAAGGTTGTATAAGGGTAATTTTTGGGTCTCACGCACATGTCAGTGGTAGAGTCAACTGTCTTGGGGGAAACTTTTGTTGAAATGTTGCTTATCTTAGCTTCTTAGCTGGGAGTGCAGGATCTTGTGGTTAACAAGTATGGAAAATATGTCAGGGGGTGTGTGATGGTTAATATTGGGTTCAACTTGATTGGATTGAGGGATGTCTAGATGGCTGATATGGTTTCTGGATGTGTTTGTGAAGGTGCTGCCAGAGGAGATTGACATTTGAGTTCATGTATTGTGAGAGAAAGACCTACCCTCAATGTGGGTGGGCATCATCCAATTGGCTACCAATGCAGCTGGAACAAAGAAAGCAGGAGAAGATGAGATAAGTTTGCATGCTGAGTCTTCTGGCTCTTTCTTCTTCACGTGCAGGATGTTTGCTTCTTTCCACTCTTCCTGCCCTTGGACATCAGACTCCAGGATCTTCAGACGCTGGCTCTGAAACTTGTGCCAGCATCTTCCCTGGGGCCCTTGGGCCTTCGGCTGCAGACTTAAGGCTGCACTGTCAGCTTCCCTGGTTTTGAGGCTTTCGGACATGTACTGAGCCACTACCAGCTTCTCCCTTTCCCCAGCTGTGGTCAGCCAATTGTGGGACTTCACTTTGTAATCACATGAGCTAATTCTCCATAATAAACTCCCTTTTATATATACATATGTTCTATTGGTTCTGACCAATAGGACATAAGACAGGGTTCTCTATCTGGAGAACCCTGACTAATATGGGGGGCAGAGGGTGGGAGCTAGTCTCATTTCCCCCACTATGTCTCATTTCCCTCTGAGAGATTTTACCCTCCTTATTCTTCTTCTTTTTATTTTATTTTATTTTATTTTATTTTATTTTATTTTATTTTATTTTATTTTATGGAGTCTCACTCTGTCACCCAGGCTGGGGTGCAGTGGCACGATCTCGGCTCACTGCAAGCTCCACCTCCCAGGTTCATGCCATTCTCCTGCCTCAGCCTCCCGAGTAGCTGGGACTACAGGTGCCTGCCACCATGCCTGGCTAATTTTTTTGTATTTTTAGTAGAGACGAGGTTTCACCGTGTTAGCCAGGATGGTCTCGATCTCATGACCTCGTGATCTGCCCGTCTTGGCCTCCCAAAGTGCTGTGATTACAGGCGTGAGCCACTGTGCCCGGCCTACCCTCCTTATTCTTAAGGAGAAGGGGTGGGAGGGAGGTCAGAGGTCTCATTTTCCAAGCTGCTTTCTGCTGAAAAGAGTCATCATCTCCACCTACCTTTGGAGGTGTAAAAATCCCCTGCTGACTGACCTACCAATTTAGATTATTAAGGACTCAAGTTTTCCTGGGATAGTATGGGTTAGAATTCTTGTGTCACCATTAGCTTGACTTGGAACTGTTGAATCCTGGCAAACACAAACTTTACCAAAAGGTTAAAAGGACCCACATAACCACATAACCACAACAAAATGTTCACTAAGGATCTAAAGAAAGGCAAGAACGAAGTAACATGTGGTAGGTACCCTTCAGTGGAGTCCCAGACGGTTTGAGCAGTGGGATTATTAAAGTTATGCAGCCATGTAACCTGTTGGAGGATGACATCAGCTGTTTGTTCCATCTCTCCAGAAACATTAATGAAGAAACAACAGGAGGTATTTGCAACAGCACATACTTCTACTTTTCAGCCAGTAGGTAATCCAAGGATAATCAGTCATCTAAGACCATCAAAGCCAGATAGCCTAGTGACTTTTGTATGAGTTTAAAATCCTGTCCCGTTGTGGCTGCCACCATGGAGACATGGCTGTGACATATTATATGATGACATTGTTGTAAATTATTCTCCTGGCTGGTCCCATCAGCGAACCAACCAAGGTGACTATTCTGACAATCAGCAGCCCCATTGCTCATCTGGACCTTCTTGGTGACAGCTGAGTGCTATAGGGGTTATTGGAGAATACTTTGATATTCTTAGGAGGAAGAGAAGTGTGACCTTTTCCACAGTCCAATTGCTACTTATATGATTGGTATCAAGACATTGAACTTCTATCCCTTTCCCATTTACCATTCCCAAGAACATCAGTCCATTAGCTAAGCATAAGAGTCCTGGGTAGGAAGGGACCCAATGATGGGTGATTAGAAGGCAGCCATAAGAAGTACTTGTCATTGTCTCCCTGGTTTTCAGTGTCAGAAGCCAAGGATATCTGTGATTCCATGTTACAGCCCATTATATAGTTTGGATATTTGTTCCTGCCAAATCTCAGGTTGAAATATCATCCCTGGCCAGACATGGTGACTCATGCCTGTAATCTCAGCATTTTGGGAAGCTGAGGTAGGAAGGATAGCTTGAGGACAGGAGTTCAAGACCACCCTGGCCAACACAGTGAGACCCCATCTCTTTAAAAAAAATAAATTTAAATTATAAAAAAAGAAACATAATCCCCAATGTTGGAGATGGAGCCTGGTGGAAGATGTTTGGGTCATGGGGGCAAATCTCTCACGGCTTTCCCTCATAATACTGGGTGAGTTCTCACAAGTTCTGGTTGCTTAAAAGTTTGTGGTACCTCCAGTTCCCTTGCTACTGCTCTAACCATGTGATGTGCCTGCTTCCCTTCACCTTCTGCTATGAGCAAAACCTCTCTGAGGCCTCACCAGAAGCCAAGCAGATGCTGGTGCCACGCTTCCTGTACAGTCTGCAGAACCATGAGCCAATTAAACCTGTTTTCTTTATAAATTACTCAATCTCAGTTATTTCTTTAAAGCAATGTAAGAATAGCCTAACACAACCCAGGTAGCTGTGCCACCAAGGCTGTACTCTCTGGAACTCATGCCATGTCCCAATTGCAGTTGGAAATCATGCACATAAAAAGGGACAGAGCTCAGGGGTGAGGTTAATCACATCTTTTGATGAGCAGGTGCATTTAAGGGCACTGAGTATGTAGCTCCCTCTGGTAGTATAGTTAAAGATGGGGATCCTGTAAAGAGCACAAGAGGTGTTACATTAGGGTAGCTTGGGATCTACATTGGCATACCAGGTCATGGCTGATGGATTAAAACATGTTATCATTCTCAGGTTAATGGACGTTGAGTGGATGAGATGGACTAGGTTCATAAGAGATTTATTGGCTCTGTAAATAGGGTGCTTTTGGACCAGGGACCATTCTGCTGGGTGCTCCCACCAGACATTTTTATATGCCTCCCCATTGACTTGTTAATGACATATGCAATAGTCCAATAACTGTTTGGTGTGGGCTGAGACAATGTTTGAGTAAGTTGGAACGAAGAATTTCCCTCCCATTTTCCCAAGCTTTGTTTATTCTGTATTACCATCGGGGAAAACATAAGCACCAGGACAAGAAGTAGCAAGGTCAGTTCCTTATATTCAGCAAGGACAAAAGAGATATTTACCAGGGGAGGGGGCTAAGCAAAGTGATAAAACAGCAGCAGCAAAATAACCAGTATGATAAAAGAAGCTATCAGACTGAGGCCCAGCTACCATATTACTTATCTCTTTGTGAGATGGCCCTGTTGAACAGGTACTTACGACCCTCCACTGTCTCACAGGAATAAGATGGGCTTTTCAAGCATGCCTGAAAATGTTCAGCAGAAAAGAGCTTTAATCTGGAAAGTTGTGCCCACCTAGGCATTCCTTGTCAATTGACTGTAGTTGGAGTGGCCAGGATCACTCAGTAAAGACCTTTCCATTTAAGTAATAGTTGGTCCTTCAGGGAGCCCACCTTCCAAGTCTTAAGGAGGACCTGATCTCCTGGGTTAATCTGGATAGAGGATGCCCCACTCCTGGCAGGGGATGGCAGAATATTGTTCCCCTATTCTAAGATTGCCTTCTGGGCCTGCCCTGAAAACATTAGATGTTGTAGGTTTTGATCCAATTCTCCATCTAACAGAAGATTAGTAGTGAGAAAGGGCATCCCCTAAATTATTTCAGAAGGACTGAAATTCAGGTTGCCATAAGGGACTGTGCAGATTCTGAGAAGTGTGACTGAAGCATTTAATCCACAGTTTATGGGTATCTTGAAAAAGCTTTGCTAGGATCCTTTTAAGGGTATGATTCATCTTTTTAACTATCTCTGATGATTGGGAATGTCAAGATGCATGAAGTTTGTAGTCTATCCCTAAGGCTGTTGTGAGGCCCTGAGTAATCTTAGCAACAAAGGAAGGCCAGCTATCACTCTGGAGAGACCTGGGAAGTCTGAACTGGTATACTATCTCCTTTAACAGGAGTTTACAGCCTTCCACTGCTTCCTCTATAGGGGTGAAAAAAGCTTGGCTCAACATTAACACTAGGAGGTACCTATACCCTGACTTCGAGGGCAGTTGAGTGAAATCTACTTGTCAGTCCTCTCCTGAATATGTTCCTCTATGCTGAACCAACTTAAAGAGGGAGGGATAGGATGAGTTTAGGGGTTAATCGGGGCACCCAACTCACAGGCAAAGGTCACCTATTTTACAGTGTTTCTAAGTTCTTTTCTGGTAATTATTCTATGGACTATGTCTCATAGACTACCCCTCTCATAATGAGTGGCATCATGGAGATGCTTGATGAGCTTCCATTGTTCAACTCCGAGGATCTTACCATTGTCTGTGAGCCATCCAATATTATCTCCCTCTATCTCCATCTCTCAGCATTCTTCCATTCTTGTTGTGAAGATAGTGGGCAACTGGGGAGTTTAGAGGGGATTATTGTTACGGCCAGGACCCTCTTAGGTTCTTGAGACTGATCTACCTGCTTTGCAGCCCTACTGGTCCTATTGTTCCCTTGGCTAATGAGGGACCCATCTCTCTGGTGGCCCTTACAGTGAATGACTGCCATTTGGTGAGGAATCTGTACTGCTTCCAAGAGAAGCAAGATTAGATATTGATGCTTGATTGGGGAGTTTTTGGCTGTTAATACTCCCCTCTCCTTCCATATGGCTGTGTGGGTGTGCAGCATGAAAAACTCATACTTTGAATCAGTATATAAGTTTAACCTTTTGCTTTCTCCCAATTTTAAGGCTCTAATTAAGGCAGTTGGTGCTGCTTTCTATGCTGAGGTATGAGAAGAAAGGGCTTTGGCCTTTATAACCTCATTTAGACTCACTGTTGCATACCCTGCTTTCCTAGTCCCTTCTCCCATAAAACTAGTACCATAAATATAGTATTCTGCCTCTGGATTATTAAGGGGCTTATCCTGTAAGTTGGGTCTACTGGAATATTTTTGTTCTATGGCTTTTACGCATTGATGCTATAAAGCCTCATCATCTACAGATGGGAATAGTGTCCCCTGGGTCAAAGTCTGTTATACCCTCAGAGAGATGTCAGGGGTGTCTAATAAAAGAGCTTGGTATTTGGTCAGCCTCCTTCCAAAATGGTGTCCTTTGACTTCCAACACAGTCTGAACCTGATGACAAGTGATGACTTCCATATATTGCCCCAATGTCAACTTCGATGCCTTGTTAACCAATAGGACAGAGGCTGCTACCACCCTCAGGCAAATAGGCCATCCCTTTGTGACTGGATCTAATTGTTTTAAGAAATAGGCCACTGACCCCTGGGAAGATCCTAACTTCTGGGTTAAGACTCTCAGAGCTATTACCAGTCTTTCACAAAGATAGAAGGTAAATGGTTTTTCTAAATTTGGTAGCCTTGGAGCTGGGGCTTGACCTAACTCAGATTTTAATGCTTCAAAAGCTTGTTGGCACTCTTTATCCCAGTGCTTGGGGAATCTTTCTTTCCCTTTTATGGACTCAGCAGCTCGGACATTAGGTCATAATTTGGAATCCAGATGTGGCAGAAAACTGCCATTCCCAAGAAGCCCCAGAGTTGCTGTTTGGTTTGTGGAATCAGCAATAAAATGATTGCCCTTTTTTGATCTGTGGCCAGTATGCAAGCTTCTGGGGTCAGAGCAAATCCCAGATATTGAATCTTTTGTAAGGAAATCCAGGTCTTGGTTGGGAATGCCTTGTATCCTGTTCAGCCAGAACATGTAGGGTTTTAACGATGTTAAAATTTGAGTCATGACATGTCTGACTGGCAATTAACAGATCATCAGCATATTGACATAAAATCACATTTCTCAAGTTTAATTCGCTTAACTCCTTTGCCAACACATTTCCAAAGAGATGAAAACTGTCTCAAAAACCTTGAGGAAGTACTGTTCATGTATATTGGGTGGTTTTCTGGGTATTGGGTTTCTTCCATTCAAAGGCAAAAGAATATTGGAATTCTGGGTATAGAAGCACACAAAAGAAGGCATCTTTTAAGTCTAGCACAGTGTGATACTGAACATCCCTGTGTATCCAGTTGAGCAGAATGTATGAGTTTGGAACCATTGGATGGATTGGAATGACTGTCTCAATAACAACCCACAAGTTCCATACACAATGGTATTCTCCATGGACAGTATGCACCAGGTTTCAGGCCTATTTTTATTGGCCAATCCCAAGACAACAGTTTCCCATACTGAGGGGTCCATTTGGTTCTTGTTCTCTTCAGGAATGTATTTGTTTCAAACTGTGACAGTTCAAGAGTGCCAATAAGTGGATTCTTTGTTCTGGTTCCATTTCTAATTGAAATTTGATCCCTTCCAAGGAAATGGTTGCTCCAATTTTACTTAATAAGTCTCTACCTAACAATAAATTAGGACATTTAGGGACATTCAGGAATGAATGAGTAGTAATACTAGACCCTGCCTCACAAGCAAGAAGGAAAGTAAGTTGCCTTACTTTAGACCACCTGTCTATCCCTGTTACTATGCAGTTACAATTGGAAAGTGGGTCGACAGACTGAGTCAAGAAAGAGTAGGTGGCTCGCATATCCACAAGGAACTCAGTTCTTCTACTGCCATGTAGAAGGTGACTTAAGGCTCTGCTAAAGAGATGATGATGGAGCATGTTAAAGTCAGATCCAGGCAGGATCTTGGGTCACATTACTCAGTGAAAATAGACCTCTCATCTGAGAGGTTAACAAAGAGGGTGGGGTTGGCCAGGGTTGCAGCTAGCCATCCTGATTTAGAATGGTTAGGTCATTCCCTCTTTCAATATTCCTTCCTGAAATATGCACATTGGTTCTGTTCAATGCTGGCTGGGTGCATTCAGTTGTCTGGTCTTCTGGGTCCCCTAGGGTCACCCTTAGATGGCAGATGAATTGGGGAAGCCAAAAGCTACTCTTTCTTGGTTAATCTCCTTTCTTTATTAGCTTTCTCTCTCCTGTCCCTATTATTGAAAACCTTATAAGTCTCTGTTACCAGGGTCAACAGTAGGATCTGGGGTTCTGTCTATATTCAGCTTTCTCCTGATGTCTGGAACAGACTGAGTAATGAAATGTGTGGCAAGCGGTGCCCTCCCTTCTGTTTACTCTGGGACAGCATTGGTGTATTTTCAGAAAGCTGTCATGACCCAGTTGAGGAAGACTGCTGGAATTTTCTCCTCTTTTTCCTGAGTAATATCTCTAACCTTATGATAGTTCATGAGATTTACTATGCACTTGTCCATTGCCTTAGCAAAGTAATAAAATGACCCATCTAGCTTTGTCAGTAGCATCTTCATAATCCCACTGGGGGTTTTGCTCTGGGACTACATCTCAGCCCACTCAGATGACAGCCTTGTGGTCGTTCATGGCCACTGGGCAATCTGAATACTCTCTGGCCTTTCTTAGTATGTGGTCTTTTTTATCAAAGGTCAGCAATGTGTCAAAATAAGTGACATCCTGCCATGGCAATGAGAAAATTAGGTTTGATGTCACAAACTCATCTCTAAATTTGTTAGAATCTTCTGAAAATCTGCCAAACTTTTATTTGCATAGCCCCAATCTACCATCAAAAAGGGAAAATGCATTCTTGTAATTTACCTTCTCTCCTCTGTCGCTTCTTTAAGGGGAGAATATTCCTGGGCTTGTGGCAGGGTAAAAGTAGGTGCCAACTTGGAACCTGATTAGAACCCCACTGATTATGTGCTGGAGCCTGCATACGTGCAGAGGTCTGATTACGGTATGGTGTCAGTTCAGGAACCAAATGGGATGGTGGAGTTGGGATTCACTGGGTGGACTGATCAGAGACTGAAAGAGCAGATCTGTCAGCAAGTATTGTTTAGATTTATCTGGAGATGGCCAAGGCATGGAGGCCACACATACCTGACAGGAATCCCACTATTTTGGATCCTGATATAGTTTTATAAAAGCCTGTACATAGGGTACTTCCCCAATTTTTGGAACATTTTGCCAAACAGGTGCACATGCAAAATGATATTAAAATTAAGGAATCCATTCAGTGGCCACTTCTCATGGTCTCTAGGGTGTACTGGGACCAGGTCATGCTGCAAAAGAAAATTAACTTCTTTTTATTCAAGCCATCTAGCATAAATTTGCCCCAATTAGAGATGATGCATTTCAGCATAGAACCTTAGAGTATGCTGAGAGCAGTGACCATTACTATACATTTGTCTCCTTCAGTCAAAGGAACATGGGCTGGATGTAGACCCTGAGACTAGGCATCAATAAGGAGATAGGAAGTCTGTTGGTCCCACACAGTGTGGTAGTATAAATCACACAAGAGGACCAATCAATGTGGCAAGAGAAGAGAGAGAGAGCCAATCCCCTTTTGAAATTGAATGCAGGCTTAGATAGTTCCCTCTACCTCCTTTACCTTACACCAGGTCCAAGTCCTGTTAATTTGGAGCCTGTACTCAGTGGTGACCAAATGACAGTAGATGCGATTGGTTATCATACAAGTAAAAAGAAAACATGGTTTAGGACATAATTACTCAAAGATTAGACCCACATACTGTTTTTTCTCTCATAAAGACAACACACAGAACTGAGAGGACTACACATTCAAAAAGAAAAATAATGAAAAGCTCACAAGCCTCCCTTCCCTACAAGGAGCTGCAAAGGGAAGCCAAGTAGTAAGGAGTTTTAAACAGAGTTGAAAAATCCAGAGCCAGAGTGCCAGAGTTTCTCCACCAGACCACTTAAGCCAGGGGAGGGGTGCCACCCATTTGCTGCCTGCTGGGTTAATCAATCCGGGGGAGTCAATCATTTCAACCCATTTTCCATGGATGTCTATTAAGGTGACTCAAACCAGTAAAACTAAGGTAAAGTGAGAAAAAGAAAAAGAAAAGGTGCACCAGAAGGAAAAAAAAATAGAAAAGAAAGAAAAATGTTTCTTGCCAAGGTGAAGCCAGGAGCCCTGGGAGGCTAGAGGAAGACACACCACTCATGGTGATGTTGAATGAAAGGTTCAAGAAGCCACTCATCAGCAATAAGAGAGGTTGTGTTCAGCCACCCTGATGGCCCTTAAGTCCCTGAGGGGAAGGGAGATATTACCCTGGTCCCTTTGTGGTCACCTGGAAATATGTTACTGTACACAGGTTCTTAGGCTTTTCATGCAATGGAAATTGACATGAGGCCATGCATATTTTTTCACACAAAATGTATTGGGACTTATGCTTGAGCACAAGGGAGACAGCACAGAAGGAAGAGTTCTCCAGCTGGCTCTCCAAAAGAGGCTGGCCTGGGCCTTTTATTGAACTGTGTAAGGGGTTTGATGTCAGGGATCTCTGCCTCTGGAAGTGATCTTTCCATTCTTCCTTGTTATGATGTCCAAACATGCCTAGCCCAGGTTAAAGTCTTGGTTATCCTCAGTGGGTTCAAGATGATGGAGTTGCTCACTACCACCACCCCCAGAAAGCTGCCTAGCAGTCATTCCAGAGTCTCATGCACATGTGGGTCATAGGATTACCTGGCTTGGGGATGATTTATGGTGAAATATTGTTTATCTTAGCTTCTTAGCTCAGTGACACAGGATCTTGAGGTTAGCACATATGGGAAATGGGGGTATTGGGGTTGGGTGCTATCCCTAACCTCTCCCAATTTCTCCTTCTCCTTTGTTCCTTTTTTGTTGCTTCTTTTTGTTTTTTCCTCTCCAGCTCTTGGTGCCCCAAAGTTTTTTCCTCAGTACCTTCACTCTAAATATACTGTTTTGATTTTCTCAATCTCTCAAGGGGCTCTGATTTCTGCCAGTAGCTAAAGGAAAGAGTATCATGCTATTCTCTTTGAAAAACTTTCTGTTTTAATAAGAGTTAGTCTGACTTGAAACAATTAATTGTTAAGTGTGTATTGGTATGCCTAAGACACAGATTAACGGAAGAATTATTTGCTAAGATGGGGACAAGGGTTTCCTGGTATACCTTAGCTTAAACCATAGAAAGACATACCTACGATGTTAATAAAATGGGGTCCATTATAACCTTTTATTGGCCTCAGAACAGTTATGTGTAAAATCAATTTGGCCTGAGCTGAGACAACTGTGAGGCAATTTGGACTAACCAATTTGGATTAATCTAAGACATTGTTGTCTTAAGATGGAGGGTTCCTCAAGATGGAATATAAAATCCATATGTGATTAATTAAAATGTTGTCATTAATATAAAGGCTCAAGGTGTTCGTATCACTAATGTACAACTTTTTAAATAGCCCTAGGAATCTTTTCATCTAGATCAAGGAAAAATAAATCACTAGGATGCAAGAAACATGCATAACTTTCATATTTTATTTAGGGAAAATGCAACTCTTTCCTAGTGTGTACATTAATCAAAGTTTTAGGTGCTGCTTATAGCAAAATTAATAATGTAATAAAGATGAGTTTCTAAGAGTTTAGAGATTAGTCTCTCTATTCACAGTAAAGTAGGACCTAGAGGGGCAAAACATGGTGAGTTCCCTTGTGCTTCGTGTCAAACTTCTTCATGAGCTGAAGAAGGTTTCTGGTCAAGAGAGCAGAATCCTGAACATGCATGTGTACCCTCAATTAGTTTATACCAGCTTCTCATGTTTCTTCATCCCTGGGTGATTCACAAGCTCTCTTGATTCCCTTAACCCATATCTAGAAATAGGTCCTCATTAAACTCTATTTCACTTTTAATACAGGAGGTAGAAAGAAATTATTTAGGCAGATAGTGAGGGTAAAAGAGTTGTCGGCAGGGCTTTCTTTCTAACAAAAAGCAGCCCCAAAATAGTTTCTTTCCTAACAAAGAGGAGCCTGAAAAATTGAGCTACAAACATAGATAAGCAAGCTGAAAGCTTGCACGGGTGAATGCCAGGAGCTGTGCCAACAAAAAAGTGTTACCTGGGGACCAAGCATATCCAACGTGAAGGCTCCATCTTCCTTTTTTTTGTTACCATGTGTACATTAAAGGAATGGGCAACATGGTACCAGCCAGGCAGAGAACCCATCTACATAATAAAAGATTAGGGTGGGGGCAGCCAGCTTTTCAAGCCCTATGCAAATGGCACACCTAGTCCTAATCATTTTTTTGTGTCCTATGCAAATGGCACACCTGGTCCAACCAATCTTTTGTACCCTATGTAAATCAGACACTGCTTCCTCAAGCTTATCTATAAAATCCTTTGCATTTCACCACGGAACTGGCAACCCATTTCTATGGGACCCCTCTCTTCTACAGAGAGCTCTTATCTTTCTTTTGCTTATTAAACTTCTGCTCTTAAGCTCACTCTTTGTGTATCTGCATCCTAGTTTTCCATGGCCATGAGACAATGAATCTTCTGGGTATCACCCCAGATGAACGAGGCTGCTTCAGTTTGAGTAAACCACTGTCTTCCTTCAAGGCCCTGGATGAAAACAATGATCAAGCAGAAATAGATCTTAACTGCTTTAAAGACTTAACTTCAATTCCAAAATACATCTCTAGTGGAGGAACCTTTTGGTCTCATTCTGGTAAGCGTGATAAACGCACACCAAGAGCAAGCTGAAAGACTTCCTTTGTGCTCATTCTATCTGAGCTTTCACAAAAGAATCAGATTTGAACCTCTTGGGTTAGGGAAAGCCAGTCCAGAATATGTCAGCCAGCAAGAAGAAGTAAAGAGAAGGAATAAAAACATGTTGATCCCAAAGCCCAAAGAAGGATTGGTTCAGATGAGAAAATGTTGTATTGTTTTTAGCATGCACCAATGTCACTTGAAATGGGAGTGGGGGGTGGATCCTACATTTTAATATATCTATCTTATTTAATTTGACATTAGTCACATGAAATATTGTGTAGTATAAACATTTTTGAAAGATCTCCAAAAACTAGAAATATTTTAAAATGACATAAAATCAAAGTAAATAGAAGCTCTAGTTTTTGCTTTCAACTCTTCAGTGGATTTTCCTGTGCCCCCACTTCAGAGCATCTTGGTTATGACAGATATTTTCAGGAGAATCAGCCTAGAGCATAAGAGCATCTGCTGATCCTTACTTTGGCAGGAATCCCAAGAGAACAACAAGTGTCAGGAGAAGAGAAGCCACATCCATCTGTCCTTGACTTCTTTGTTCCTTACATTTGAAACACGGTGGTCAATAAAATGCACATGGCATAGGGCAAAATTTCTCTTTCTTATTGATTATGTTAAAATCCTTGACTCTGGGCCATTCCTTTTAGAAGGGATGAAAGAAGAGGAAATCTTCCATCCACCTAAACACTGACATTCTACCTACATCACTCACCCTTTCAGATAATATTTCCAAATTCTTCACTTTCCAGTGATACTTAGGTTAGATAAGAGTTGGGAGACTCTCTGATATCAAGGAAAGATAAAACGTTGATTTTTCATGCCTATTCCAGGGAAAGTAGGGGGACCAGTAAGATCTAAAAAGATAAAAAGACAAAAAGGTAGAGGAAGGAAAAATCACTTCTCTCTGCTTGACTACTTCAGCTAGAACATTAACCTTTTCCTGCTCTCAACAGGGACTTACACCTTTGTCCCTCTGGTTCTCAGAACTACACCACCAGCTTTCCTGAGTCTCCAGCTTGCACACAGAGAGCAAATCATGGGACTTCTCAGCTACTGAGGCTGAGAAGCTTCCATACATAAGGTAACATACAATATGTAAGTTACATACGCCAAATTCTTACAATAAATCATGTGTATATCTTACTGGTTGTACTTCTCTGGAGGACTCTAACTAACAAAACTGTTTAATAGCTCTATATAACTTGAGAAATAGCTATTATTTCCATTTTACAAATGAAGAAAACTGTATTCAGAAGTTAGTTGGAGTCTAAATTTACCCAACGAGTAAGGGGCACATTAAGGACTTGAATCTGGGTGTCCTAGGTTTTCTTGTGTTCGCTCTGGTTCTGTATTGTCTGTTCTACAGGCCATTCCAGAGTATAGCCTTACTTCGCTTTTTTTTTTTCAGTTTATCTCCCACTCACTTGCTATGTAAGGCTTCCTTGCATTTCTTTCTTTCCAAATGCCTTCCCATCTCCACTCCTATCTCTGCCTGTCAAGGTACTATCCATCTGTCAAGGTTTAATCTCAAATATCAACTATATAAAAAAGCAGCAGATCTCAGCCTTGTTTGTACGTTTAAAACATCAGGGAAGACTTTTAAAAGTCCTGTCATTCTGCCTATAACCTGTGCCAATTAAGTCAGTATCTCTGAGACTAGAGACCAGATATTAGTATTTCATAAACTTCCAGGTGACTCCAATTTGTAGATAAAGTTGAGAACAACCACATTAAAATAATTCATTGTCTTATTACCAATTGATTTTTGTCAAAAAATTTTCCCATTAATTTTTTATAATGAAACTACATTTTACTCATTTTGTTTTCTTCCTGCCCTATCTCTAGGAAACAAAATGCCTTCCATATTTAAACACTCAATAATAATGTATTTAATTGAAATAAACTGGATTTACCTGAAGAAGCTAGAGAAAGAAAAAGAGTGTTCTAAATACCTTCTATAGGAAATGATTTGTGGTTTTTTGTCTGGAAAAGCAACTTGAACTTTTGGCCCAAAGATATCCATTATGCAAAAACATAATTTAATTACGTCTGTCTTTTAAGACTTGTCTTTATGGTGTTACGGGACTTATATTTTTTAGTTGAGAGACTTTAAACTTAATGAATATATATTGTAATTTGCTACTTAAAGTAATTAATAATTTGTATTGAAATATCTCTCTCATCTTAAAGACAATATTATAATGGACTGAAGCTATAGCTGTCATGCATTGGGCATTTATATTTTCAAGGAAGCCAGATGAGGACAATTTATTCTGATTTGCTTCATATCTTTCAATACAATGACCCTTGTTTGTTGGTACCTCAGAAATGTTCTCCTGCCTATATAGTTGTTCTTAATACTGTCTTCAGTAGTAGTAGCATCCTTTTCATTGTCATTATCACTTCCTCGTTATTGATCTCTGGATATCGTTGTTGCTCACTTTTACTTTTGCAAGTAACTTCCTACCTAATCACCTGCAGTCTCCATTTTCTAAACTTTCTTCCACATTGTTTCCATAACTAGTTTCCTCTGTTACAGATTTGCTTAGACACCAACTGGAAAACCTTAAATGTCTCCATATACCTTTAGAATCATGGCAACTCCTAGTATCCAACTTCTAATAAGATACGGTGTTTACATAAAATTTCAGTAATTGCTCCTATAAAATACCCCTTGTTCATTATGTTCTGTGGAAGTTCAGTCACCTTTCCCTGAAAATGTTGCAAGTATGTTCCTCTATTTCCAATATCTTCCCGAGAAAATCCTAACATTTCATTTAAATCACGTTAAATATATTACAGTACAAAATCTTTGCATAGTCTCCACAATAGAATTAGTGTCTGTCTGTCATGTTCCTTTAGGACTTCTCTGGTTCTTCTAATGCAGGATTATGATTGGGACTTAATGTTTCATTTGAAATGTCCGATTATATTTAAAAATTTGTGTGTGCATGCAATTTTCCAGATGTCTGTCTTTCAGGATCTCAAAAAATCCACCACCACAAAATGAGCAAGAAACAATGATTTCCAATAGTATTTATTTGTATACCTCCCAAATTACTTGCCTACATCTTTATTCAGACTACAGTCTCCTAGACAACAAGTTCTGACTCCTACTTATCTTTGTATTCCTCTCAGACTTTGGCTTAAAATGTGTAAGAATGATTTGTAAACAAATGGAAATTGAGTTAGTTTCATAAAATATTGTGGGCATTTATTTGCATTGTGTGATTTAAACACTATGTAACTTCTCTCTAGCTGGTTGGACTAAACACATACAGGAATGAGGTATCCAGGGCAAGTGAGCAATATCATAAGAGAATCTTCAGTGAAATAATAAGTTTAATAAACCTAGGTACTTATTTCCAGAATCAAGTAGCAGACATATAAAAATAACAGTGGAATTCACTGTCAAAAGGATATAAATTCCCAAGAAAATAAAGGACTCCACTGATTGGGAAGATGTGTACTTTTTTCTATAAATTTTGTGAATTTTATTTTTCTGTATTCATCTCTGTAGCACCTAACCCAGCTCCTTGAGGTAGTTGATACTTAATATAAATTTATGGATTGCATGTTTAACTAAATAAGTGAGAAGCGCACATTTGGTAGAAGCAGATACATGCAATGGAGGTAAATTGCTGAAGTTGGCAAGCTTCAACAGAGTGGTGAGTTTAGCTCTTCCTCCCTAGAAAGGGCAACTATGCCTGAGTACAGAAATATTTGAAAATTATTTCCCTTATCCCCGCCATATAAAGATCAGTGAGTTCTTTTTTCAGACCATACACCTTTGCAATGAAAATACTAGGCCAACAATAGGCAATATTCTGGATGTATTAATGGCTGAAATTCAATTCTGTTTGGCACCAATTTATTAGAGATGTATTATTACAGGTGAATAATGGTATAGCATAGATGGTTATTGTAGGGATAAAATTCAGACATAAATATAAGAGCGTGCTTTGAAACAATGCTTAAACTCCAACCTTCAGTACTTTTTTGACCTTTTCCTAATTATTTCAACACTTCTCTATTGATAACACAAATGAATAAGAATTTTGTTAGCTTAAATTCATCATGATCCTTTTGGGAGGAACCTAACATTGAAATAGGTGAAAGTGAATTATGACAATGTTTGGTGTCCAGGCTAACTCCCTATTGGTGCTAACATCTCCTAGATGGAAACAACGGTTACTAGGACCTTTCGAGTTGAATTTTGAGAACTGTAGTTGACTTTCCACCACCAATGGACACCCATGATGAAGGAATTGGAGTGTGAGATTTTCTAGTTAAAAACTGTTTGTTATACATTTCTTGTTCTTCAGATGAACTGCACTTCCAGTGTTGGATTTTTCCATTGACCGTCACTGCTGTGAGAACAGTGAAAACAGGATCACATTAGGAAGAGGAGCTTCCTAATGACATTTTCTAAAGACAACAAAATCCACTGTGGATTCTTAGATTGATGTGATGCATAGCATAGTTTCAGGACAGCCAGAGATGTGTCTATTGGACTAGCATGTTTAGTACAGAGGTAGAGTTAGAAAGCTTCATCCAGTTACCTCCAGGAAAATCCTTCATCTCAGTGGCAGCAGCTGTCCAATTATAGGAACAGTAGAAAGATGGCTCACTATTGGGCTTATCACATTAGCCAAGACAGGCCAGAAAACCCTGATGTTCAAGGGGCCTGCATATGGCCTGTACATGTGGACTCTGCTCTGATCCAGGGCCTGTTAGTAACTGTCATCATGCCAATTTTTTTTTAGTCTCGTTGTGATTGTTTTGGAATGTCGTGTATGCAAATTGTCATGGTTATTGTTAAAGTTTTTTTTTTTTTTTTTTTTTTGACAGATTCTCGCTCTGTCACCCAGGCTGGAGTGCAGTGGCATGATCTCAGCTCACTGCAACCTCTGCCTCCTGGGTTCACACCATTCTCCTGCCTCAGCCTCCCAAGCAGCTGGGACTATAGGCGCCCACGACCACACCCGGTTAATTTTTTGTATTTTTAGTAGAAACTGGGTTTCACCGTGTTAGCCAGGATGATCTCGATCTCCTGACCTCATGATCTGCCCTCCTTGGACTCCCAAAGTGCGGGGTATTAAAGTATTTTATGTTTGGCTGTTTCCACCCAAATGTGTCATGAAAAATACCATTTACCTTAAGTGAAGCCTTATTATGGAAATATTTAGTGCTATAGAAAGAAAAAATATCTTGATTTTTGTATAGCAGAGTTTCTCAAATTTGAGCATGCACTGGTGTCACTTGGAGGGCTTGTTAAAACACATATTACTAGATGTCACCACATGAGTGTCTGATTCCGTGGATTTGAGCGAGGAACTGAGAACTTGTATATTTAACCATTTCCCAGCTGCAGCTAATGACGTTGGTCCAGGGACCACACAATGAAAACCACTGATACATGGAGATATGAATCATACTTAGGGAAGATGGTAAGCTATCATTTTTAAAAATATGTGAAGGTTTTTGTATTATACGTGGAATATCTTGGGCTTTGGTGTCTGTTTGTTCATCCATTTTTTATTTTTTTCTGCTTTGATTTGGATGTTTGTGCCCTTCCAAAACTCAGGTTGGAACCTAATTCCCAGTGTTGAAAGTGTATCCTAATGGAAGGCATTTGAGTCATGGGAATAGATCCCCCAAGAACAGATCAATGCTCTCCCTTTGGGGGTGAGTGAGTTCTCACTCTGTTAGTTCCCACAAGAGCTGGTTTTTAAGAAAAGCCTGCTCTGCCTTCTCTCTCTCTTGCTTTCTCTCTCTCTTGCTTTCTCTCTCTCTTGCTTTCTCTCTTTCTGTGTGATCTCTGCACGAGCCCACTCCCCTGACCCTTCTGCCATGAGTAGAAGCAACCTGAGGCCTTCACCAAATGCAGATGCCGTATTTTGAACTTTCTAGCCATCAGAATTGTGAAACAAATAAACATTTTTTCTTTATAAATTACTGAGCCTCAAATAGTTTTTTAAAGCAACACAAAACTTCCTTGCCATCTAAGAGTAGAATAGATTTTCTCCACTGTAGCCACTCTCTCTTCCTGTGTCCTTACCTCCAGTGGCAGTGGTTGAAAATCAAGTAAAAGGCTATTGACAGCTTTGTATGATTCAAGCCAGGTCAGGGAATGAAATAAGAACTATGCTTTCCACTATTTTAAATTCAAAATGGTATAACATTTTGTTTTAGCCTCTGAATTTTTAAAAGGAATAGTGATTATTCTTGTTTTCTTTCTCTCTTTCTTCCTTCCTTCCTTCTTTCCATTGTTTTGTTCTTTTTCACATTTAGGTTTTCAAGTTTCACTGAAGAAGTTCTTCATTTCCTTTTCTAAGCACTTGTCCATAGTTAGCCCTTGGGGAAAAGTATTCACAGATCATGGCCTTAGGATAAATAATGGAAGAACTTAAACTTTAGGCAAAGGCAGGTGAATAATCACACACACATTCACACACATGCTTACACACACCGTTCCTGAAAACCATCCTCAAAGAGAAGAACTGAGATCTAATCCATTTGTTGAGAACTGCTTATTTAGCAGGATATTTTGCCAGAAGAATGATAACATATTCGAAGTTATTTTGAATTATTCACTTATAAAAGATGCACCAATGTTAAAATATTAGCTGAAGGCATGACCTTTCCAGAGGGGTTATATGTTGGTTTTTAGGAACTGATTCATTTCTTATTAATACTGGGAGCCCACTCTATCTCTGGGAAAACTGGTTCTGTTCTTCAGCCATGTGAGACCCCTTTTATGAGTCAAAATCAGGATTTTGGAGATATATTCAATTAAAGAATAAATGTTACTTTGTTAGTTGTAGAAAATTTGTGAAAGTCAGAAAGTTTGCTTGCTCCTTGGTGAGAACTAACTGTGAAAAATGAGTAGGTAGAAGGAGGAAGAACTGAGAGGAATAAAGTAAAAGGCACAATAACATAACATTTGCTTGTACCATTCAGTTTGGTTACTTCAGGTAGTTTCCAACTAAACCAATTTAATTATTCAACTACTAAAACTAATATTTAGTACTGCACCATTGCATGTTGTTAGATCAACAAATAAGCTAGAGGTATTTTCTTCAGGGACCTCTGAATACAATAAAGAGGCAAGGAAGCCAATGCATGATTTTTGTAATTAACATTTACTTACCATGATATAACCATAAGGAGAGGTATATGCCACTTTGCTCAGGTGGAAACACAGAAAATTTGTCATCCTAGTGGAAAGATGATAATCAAAATCTGAACAAGATAACACAGAGATCCCATGCATTTTATTCGTGTAATGATGGTTGCCAGCAATTAACTGCATGCCAGAACACAAGTATTTATTGAGCACCGATTCATGTCATTCACAGTAATAGTCCATGGAGATATGACAGTAAACAAGTAAACCATCTGCAAGTCAACAAACAAGTAAATTTTATGAATTGCAATAGTAGTAAAAGGAGACAAACAAAGCAATAATCACTGATAACAGTGAGAAATAATACAGAGGGTGGTCAGAAAAAGCCTCCCTGACAAGATGACACCTCCACTTTAAAAAGTGGAGAGTAGCATATATAAGTGGTTGCTCTCGTATACAGATGTGCTTTTAGATTAACACATAATTTTTTATACTTTTTTTGATCTAATGGTTAAGATTGTCTAGACATTTCTTATTGCTGTCATTTACACCCAAAGCACATAGCGTGATATATAAAAATTGCTCTTGTTTTATGAGAGCCCTGTCTTCTCCCCCACTACTTTATTGTTCCATACCCTTCCCCCATGTCACAGCAAACACTTCCATTTCCCAACTGCACTGTGTTCTTTCATGATATTGTGGCTTTATAGGTCTTTATCTTTATGTGGAAAGATAGCCTTCATGATCTTGGTGGCCTTGACCCTGGGCCACCTAACTAATATTTATTTGTCCTATAATTCTCATTTAGATTCTCTAAGAGTCTGAAGTAACTCTTCCTTTTTGCTTCAATCCTTTGTAGTGAATTTGCTTTCCAGAGTGCCCCATGCATATCTCACCTTCAACACATTTTACATTGTGTTTAATTTCTGCTCATCTGTTGTGCTTCTCCCACAAAATATGACTCCCTGAAGACAGGTATTGTGTGTATCTCCATATCACCAGTATAACCTACAGTAATTGGCTGAAAGAGGCTTTCCAATGAATGTTAGAAAAATGAAGGTACAAGTGATTTGGCTATACGATGATTGTTTAATTCCTGTTTATTCTGGCCACATCATCCTGTGGTAAAAATAGTTAACACTTCTGAGAGATGAAATACACATGCCTTTTAATATTCTTACTGCTAAGTACAACTAAAAATCCTGGACATTACATACAAAACAAACACCCAAAAATTTCCATCTAGAGACCTTGGAATTCAAGGATTATGATGGCTGGTGAATTCTCTGGATTTTCATTTTTTGGCTTTATTTTTATTCATTTTTTTTCTGCCATATATATATACCAGACTTGGAGCTGAAGGAGCTCGCAACCTGAAAACAATCATAAGCATGGAAAAGTAAAGCACCTGAATGCCTGCTCTCTCCAGAGAAAGGATCAGGAATGGGGCAACTTAGCAAGACAGAAAACATTTACACAATGGCCACTCTACTTTAGGCAAACAACACAGAGTGCTTTTTTTTTCACCCAGGCTGGAGTGCAATGGCATGATCTCTGCTCACAGCCTTTTTTTTCTTTTTTTATTTTTTTTAAATACAAAAACAAACTGTGGTCCCAACACCAACAAAGGCTTACTGGGGAGCTGAGGCCTCCACTCTTGCCAGGCTTTAACAAAGTGCCCTACTTTTCTGGGGGGTGCTGCTAGAGAATGCCAAATAGGGAGTCTTTAACTTTCATCTTCACCAGGAAATAATGAGGTCCCCTGTGCCACAATGTCAGGTGGTCTCTGGACTTCCACTTCTACCCATAAGTAACACTCGCCCACCTCACCCAAGTGGTATCGTCCCTATCCAGTAATAATGAGGTACCTCTCACCCATTCTGCTGAGGATGTGTCAAAGGACGCCGGGTGGAGAGTCAGAACTTTTACCCAGTGGTAAAAGGCCACCTCTTCCAGAGTGTCAAGAGAGGTCATGCAGATAGCTGTAATGAGGCACTTCCACATAAGAATGTATGAGTGAAAGCCTAGTGAGGATCCACAACTCTCACCCTCAACAATGAATAACAGGACCCCCTTCTCCACTCAGGTGTCAACAGAGGCTCGATGGAGAACCTGGACTTCTATCTCACATGGTAATAATGAGACCGGTGGTTAATTTTAGGTGTTAATTCAAAAAATTAAAAAATACCTAGAGTGCTGGTAAAGTATTATTTCTAGGTGTGTCTGTCGGAGTGTTTCTAGAGATTAGTGTGTGAGGAAGATCCTCCCTTGATGTGGGCAGGACCCTCTAATTGGCTGGAGGCCAAGATAAAACAAAAAGACAGAGGAAAGGTGAACTATATGTCTCTCTGTCTCTGTCTCTTTCTCTCTGTCTCTCTCCTTCCCCCTTCTCCCTCTCTCCATCCTAAAGATAAAATGCCATTCTTCCCCTGTCCTTGGATGTCCGAATGCTAGAAACTCCAGCCTTTGGACTCTGGGACTTGTGCCAGTGGACGCCGGGTTCTTAGGCCTTTAGCCTCAGATTGAGAGTTACACTATTGGCTTCTCTAGTTTGGAGGCTTCCAGACTTGGACTAAGCCATGCTATTGGTATCCCTGTACCTTCAGTTTTCAGATGGCCTATTGTAGACTTCTCAGCCTCTAAAATTGTGTAAGCCCATTCCTCTAATATGTATGTATGTATGTATTTATCTATCTATCCTATTCTGTCTAGAGAATCCTGATACAGAGACAGCTTCCACCCCTTCCACTGCTGGAGAATTGTCAGAAAGAGCAAACTAAAACAGACAGTTTAATAAGATCCAGTGTCTTCTGCATAATACACTAAATAGCCAGGTTTCAAATGAAAATCACTATCATACCAAGAAACAGGAAGATCTCAAACAGAATAAAAAAGGACAATCAATATATGCCAACAGCGAGATAATAGAGATGTCAAATTTACCTGACAAAATTTTTAAAGCAGCCATCATAAAAATGTTTCAGTTAGCAATTACAAAAATGGTTGAAAAAAATTAAGAAATAGAGTCTGCAAATAAATAGAATTATAAGGCAGAATAAAATGAAATTTTTACAACTGAAATCTATCATAAGAAATAAAAAGCTCAGTGGATGGTCCCAACACCAGCATGGAGAGAACAGAAGAAGGAATCAGTGAACTGAAATATAGAATGATAGAAATTATGCAATCTGGATGACAGAAAAAAATGAGTTAGGAGTAGGGGAGAGCAGAAACTCAGGAGATTAGAAAAAATAAGTAAGTACCATTGGTGTCACTAGCATCTCAGAAAGAGAGGAGAAAAAAGGCAGGACTGAAAAGAAGTTTGAAAAACTTGATGTTTGAAAACTTCCAATATTTGACAGAAGACATAAATCTATAGAGGCTGAGCAAATGCCTAAAGTTTTGTCTAAGGAGATCTACATCAAGACACAACATAGCCAAACTTCTGAAAACTAAAATCAGAGAAAAAAAGTCTTGAAAACAATTAGAAAGAGCAAATACCTTACCTATAAGAAAAAAATTATGATGATATGGATTTGTTATCATAAACTATGAAGGCCAGAAGAGATGGAATAACATTATTCAAGTGCTGAAAGAAAAGATTAATCTAGAATTATATGTCTAGTGATAACATTATTTCCGAAATAAAGGTAAAATTAGGATTCTCTCAGGTGAAGAACAACTAAGAGAATTTGATACCAATAAGCCTATTCCAAAAGAGTGGCTAAAAGACACTTTGTAAATATGAAGAAAATTATAAAAAAATAACTGATATTAGAAAGAAGGAGAAACATACAAATACGAGGAAATACATCAGATTCCCTTCTTTTGAGTTATCTCAATTAGTTTTATGATTGAAGCAAAAACCATAGTATTATCTAACATAGTTCTAAATTAATATAGAGAAAAATTTTAAGACAATTATATTTTAAAAAAGAAAAATAAAGGAACATAAAGAGGTATGGTTTCAATACCACTAAAGCTGACAAAATGACAACACAGGTTGACTATGATAAGTAATGTGTATATAATGTAATACATACAATAAACACTAGAAAACATGTCTATAGTGTACAGAGAAGTACACTAAAAATACTTTTTTAAAAATGAAATTCTAAAATAGGGCTTAAGTAAGCCACAGGAAGGCAGAGAAAAACAGAGAAAGAAAAAACAGAGAATACACAGAAAATTAAAAAAAACAAATGACAAATGTAAACCCACATTAAATGTAAATAATGTAAATGTATTAAAAGAGAATGACAGAGTGTATTAAAAACACAACCCAATAATATGCTATCTATAAGAAACATACTTCAAATTTAATGCTATAGACAGATTCAAAAATAAAGAGTTGAAAACAGGTATCTCATGCAAACTTTAATAAAAAGAAAGCAGGAGTTTTATATGTTTTATGTTGGAATCAAAGTAGACTTCAGAACAAATAAAATTACTAGAGATATAGATGTACATTATATAATAGTAAAATAGTCAATATACTGAGAAGACTATACTATCTTGAATGTGTTTGTATCAGTAAAATTGATAAACTTCCAATAAGACCGACAAAGAAAAACAAAGGAGCCGCAGATTACCAATATTAGCAATCAAACAAGACATACTATTACAGACTTTGCAGATATCAAAAGAATAACAAGTGAGTGCTACAAACAACTATGTACACACACATTTTGCAACCTAGCTGAAATGGACCAATTATGCAAAATAAATAAATTCTACCACAGCTCACCCAATATAAAATAGACAATTTAAATAGCCCTATGACTATTAAGAAAATTAAATTTATAATTTAAAAATTCTTCAAAGAAGAGAAGTATCTAAGCCCAGGTAGTTTCACTGGAAAATTCAACCAAACATTTAAAGAAGCATTAAGACCAAATATATACAATCTCAGAGAGAATGCTTTCAACTTTTCCCCATTCAGTATTATGTTGGCTGTGGGTTTGTCATAGATGACTTTTATTATATTAAGCTTATGTCCCTTGTATGCCGATTTTTCTGAGAGTTTTAATCATAAAAGGATGCTAGATTTTGTTGAATGCTTTTTCTGCATCTATTGAGATGATTGACAGAGCAGGAGCACCATCATCTCGGACAAACACTGCCACTTTAAGTTCCAGCTCCATTTCTAGCCTTATGCATTTCAAGGAAATCACTTCTCTTCTAACTACAAGCAGCCAGTAAGGAGCAGACAGTAAAATACAGATAAGACAGCTCTGGCACAGAGGGACATGACAGAAAGTCTCTTGGGTAACTGCCAAACTTCACCCTCATACAATGGGCCCCAGTAAAATGGTGGGCCTTAATAAGCACATTTCTTTCCCTTCAGGTGCATTAAGAGAGAGAAGCTAAAAGCAGACTCAGGGGGTATGCCTTCAGCTGCAGGAAGATGTATGGGAACAGCCACATAACTCTCTCTCCCAGATAAGCACAACAAAGAGACACAGAAGCAGTCCAAGCCTCTGATAAACTCTCCCACCCGAAATCCTTAAAAACTCTTAGTCTGTAAGAGAATGGGCTCTGATCTAACTTGGTCAGAAGCCCCTCTCAGGTTTGTTTCCTCTAAAATAAACCTGTCCTTGACTTTTGAGACACCTGTTGTGTTTCTTTCCTCTTTCTTTAATTCTTACAATGATCATATAATGTTTGTTTTTAATTCTGTTTATGTGGTGTATCACACTTATTGACTTGCATATGTTAAACCATCCCTGAATCCCTAGTATGAAACCCACTTGATCATGGTGGATTATCTTTTTGATATGTTGTTGGATTTGGTTAGCTAGTATTTTGTTAAGGATTTTTAGCATCAATGTTCATCAAGGATAACGGTCTGTAGTTTTTTTTTTTTTTTTGGTTATGTCTTTTCCTGGTTTTGGTATTAAGGTGATGCTGACTTCATAGACTGAATTAGGGAGGGTCCCTTCTTTCTCTATCTCGTGGAATAGTGTCAAAAGGATTGGTATCAATTCTTCTTTGAATGTCTTGTAGAATTCTGCTGTGAATCCATTTGGTCCCGGAATTTTTTTTTTTTTTTTTTGTAGACAAGGATGCCCACTCTCACCACTCCTCTTCAATATAGTACTGGAAGTCCTAGCCAGAGAAATCAGAGAAGAGAAAGAAATAAATGGCATCCAAATCAGTAAAGAGAAAATGAAACTATCATTGTTTGCTGACGATATGGTCGTTTACCTTGAAAACCCAAAGGACTCCTCCAGAAAGCTCCTAGAACTGATAAAAGAATTCAGCAAAGTTTCCAGATACAAGATCAATGTACACAAATCAGTAGCTCTTCTATACACCAACAATGACTAAGTAGAGAATCAGATCAAGAACTCAACTCCTTTTACAATAGCTGCCAAAAAAATAACAATAAAGTTAAGAATACACCTAACCAAGGAGTCAAAAGACCTCTACAAAACACTGCTGAAAGAAATCAGAGAGGATACAAACAAATGGAAACACATCACATGCTCATGGATGGGTAGAATCAATATTGTGAAAAATGACCATACTGCCAAAAGCAGTCTACAAATTAAATGCAATCTTCATCAAAATACCACCATCATTCTTCACAGAATTAGAAAAAACAATTCTAAAATTTATATGGAACCAAAAAAGAGCCAACATAGCGAAATAAAGACTAAGCAAAAATAACAAATCTGGAGGCATCACACTACCTGATATCAAACTATACTGTAAGGCTATAGTCACCAAAACAGTGTGGTACTGGTATAAAAATAGGCACAATGGAACAGAATAGAGAATCTAGAAATAAATCCAAATACTTACAGCCAACTGATCTTTGACAAAGAAAACAAAAGTTTAAAGTGGGGAAAGGATATCTTTTTCAACAAATGGTGCTAGGATAATTGGCTAGCCACATGTAGGAGAATGGAACTGGAGCCTCATCTCTTACCTTATATAAAAATCAACTCAAGATGGATTAAGGATTTAAATCTAAGACTTGAAACTATAAAAATTCTAGAAGATAACATTGGAAAAACCCTTCTAGACATTAGCTTAGGCAATGATTTCATGACCAAGAACACAAAAGAAAATGCAATAAAAACAAAGATAAAAACCTGGGACCAAATTAAACTAAAGAGCTTTTGCATGACAAAAGGAACAGTCAGCAGAGTAAACAGATAACCCACAGAGTGGGAGAAAATATTCACAATCTATATATCTGACAAAGGACTAACATCCAGAATCTACAATGAACTCAAACAAATCAGTAAGAAAAAAACAAACAATCCCATCAAAAAGTAGGCTAAAAACATGAATAGAAAATTATCAAAAGAAGATATAGAAATGACCAGCAAACATATGAAAAAATGCTCAACATCACTAATTATCAGGGAAATGTGAATCAAAACCACAATGTGAAAACCACCTTACTCCTGCAAGAATGGCCATAATAAAAAAAAAAAATCAAAAAAACAGTAGATGTTGGCATGGATTCAGTGAAGAGGGAACACTTCCACTCTGCTGGTGGGAATGTGAACTAGTACAGCTGCTATGGAAAACAGTGTGGAGATTCCTTAACTAACTAAAAGTAGAACTACAATTTGATCCAGCAATCCCACTACTGGGTATCTACCCAGAATAAAAGAAGTCATTATTAGAAAAAAGATACTTGCACACGCATGTTTATACCAGCACAATTCACAATAGCAAAAGTGTGGAATCCACCCAAATGGCCATCAATCAACCAGTGGATAAAGAAACTGTGATAGATAGATAGATAGATAGATAGATAGATAGATAGATAGATAGATAATGATGGAATACTATGCAGCCATAAAGAGGAATGAATTAACAGCATTTGCAGTGACCTGGATGAGATTGGAGATTATTACTCTAAGTGAAGTAACTCAGAAATGGAAAACCAAACATCATATGTTCTCACTGATATTTGGGAGCTAAGCTATGAGGACGCAAAGGCATAAGAATGATACAATGAACTTTGGGGACTTGGGGGGAAGAGTGGGAGAGGGGTAAGGGATAGAAGACTACAAATATGGTGCAGTGTATACTGCTTGGGTGATGGGTGCACCAAAATCTCACAAATCACCACTAAAGAACTTATTCATCTAACCAAATACCACCTGTACCCCAATAACTTATGGAAAAATAAAAACACAACAACAACAACAAATATATTCAATCTCTTCCAGAATCTCTAACTGGATGGGACACTCCTCAATTTATTTTATAAAGTTAACATTACTTTGATACCAAACCCAGTACAGGATGGTACAAAAAAGAAAATTAAATAACAATATTTATTGTAAATATAGATACAAAATCTTTATACAAACACTAGAAAGTAGAATTCACCAATATTTAAAAATAAGTCTACAACATGACAAATGGGGATTCTAGGAATGCAAGACTGGCTCTATATTTAAAATTTAATCAATATAATCCACCATATTAATAAGCTAAAAAAGAATATTACATGATTATATCAATTAACATTTTAAAAATTGACACAATTTACATGTGTCAAATTTATGTGGTATTAGAATATACATGTTCAAATCTATGTGGTATTAACAGACACATATATAGACATGTAGAACAATGAAACAGAATCAGTACTCAATAGCAAACTCACCCAAATATACTCAACTGATTTTTGACAAACATGCAAGAACAGTTCAATGGGAGAAATATAGTTCTTTCAACAGGCGGTGATGGAGAAATTGAACATCCATAAGTGAGAAAAAGAAAAGGAAGATGAAAACATTGATTTAAGTCATACACCTTATACAAACATTAACTCAAACCAGACCACAGATATTTTTAAATGTAAAGCCATGAAACTTACAAAAAACTGGAAACTATCTTTTGGATAAAAGGGGCAAAGAATTCTTAGACTTGACCCCAAAAGTGCAATTCATAAAGAATAAACTGATAAATTTGATTTCAGGAAAATAAAATTTTGCTCTGCCAATGATCCTAGTAAGAATATGAAAAGACAAGATACAGAATGGCA